>NC_000008.11:126964222-127589222 GCF_000001405.40 Homo sapiens
CCAAAAATGCTGCACACAAGCTTGTAAATGATCTCACCTCCAAAGCCCTGATGAGCTAGCTAGAGAGGATTCGTCTCTGAGGCACTGTTTGTAATCATTAAATAGTTTCTTAGGTCTACATCCCAAAATGATCTCACCTCCAAAGCCCTGATGAGCTAGCTAGAGAGGATTCATCTCTGAGGCACTGTTTGTAATCATTAAATAGTTTCCTAGGTCTACATCCCCAGGAGAGTTCCCTTGTACAGCCCTACAAGCTTCCAAACAGATAAGGGGTCATAAATTATAACATAGATGAACAGACAAGCCCTTCAGTCACTGGCATATTTACTTCCTTTTTCTACAGTAGAGAGAAGTAGACCTCCCCTAGCCAAGATAATTCCCTTGACATTTGCATGTGCACAGCTGGCTTTGGTGGCAGCAAGATGCCTTAGGCCCTAAGCTTTGAAGGAACTGGCAGAGAAAGTGAATTCTCTATCGTAAAGCCCTGTTAGACCTTTGTAACCTTGTGGAAAGGTGAATGATTCTGGCCTGCGGTCTATGGCAATGCCTAGGAAAGATGTCCAGTCCCAGCAGCTTAAAGCCAAAGGATGAGTGGTCACAAGATTCCAGGGACCTATAGCTTTGAAACACTAGGGCTACAGGGAGCTTTATAAACTCTCATTACTTCTCTATATCCCAGGCTTTAAGATAATGTTGATTTCTCCTTTTCCTTTCACCCCATCATAACCAATCAGGTACTAACCCCTCGGGACTGGGGACTCATTTTTGTTTGTTTTGTCTTTTCCAGTTTCCTCTGTCTCCTCTTTTCTTGTCTTCATTGCCCACAGTATGTGTTAATTTTCTAACTGAGCTCCCTGTCTCTGGTCTCTCCCTATATCCCCTTCCAATCTGTGTTCCACACGCCTGCCATTTAGCTTCCCAAACTACAGCAGAATATTGAAGAAAGAGAAAATAGTTTGAGTTGGACATACATGAATCAGGAAATTTGCTTTACTGGGTACAAGTCCCTTGACTTCTAGGTTTCAGTGCTTCTATCTGTTAAAAAAAAATAAAAAAATAAAGCAGTATGTTCACGCCTGTAATCCCAATACTTTAGGAGGCCAAGGTGGTGGGCGGATCATGAGGTCAAGAGATCGAGACCATCCTGGCCAACACAGTGAAACCTCATCTCTACTAAAAATACGAAAATTAGCTGGGTGTAGTGGCGCATGACTGTAGTCCCAGCTACTCGGGAGGCTGAGGCAGGAGAATCGCTTGAACCTGGAAGGTGGAGGTTGCAGTGAGCCAAGATCGCACCACTGCAGTCCAGCCTGGTGACAGAGCGAGACTCTATCTCAAAAAAAAAAAAAAAAAAAAAAAAAAAAAAAAAAAAAAAGTTTTTTCCCTAAGAATACCATTGTAAGATTAATATCATGAATCATGAACTTCAAACAACTAGCAGGATGTATGAAATAATGTGGATGCTCTGCTCCCTTATTAAACTAATAACATTATTATGCTAACCATTCCCCTCCTTAAAAAACCACAATGACTCCCTATGTATGAAGACATACATATATACACACAATTGCAATGAAAGGTAGTATATCTTTATATGTTATACACACTTACACAGCTTTCTATATCCTGGCTACAACGACTTCTACATTGCTAGTAGAATAAAATCCAAATTCCTAACCCTACATTCAATTCAAAAATGAGAATCAATCCATCTATCTCTCTAGTTGTTCTTCCATTCTGCTTCTTCTATACTGGATGCTTCACCCAAATCATACAACCCACTGAGCCTCAGGCTATCTCTTTTCTATGGCTTAATTTTTGCTATTTTTTTTTTCACCTCGAAGAACACTTTTCTTGTGTCAGAGTGTTAAAATCAGCCCCATACTTCAAGGCCTCTTGCAGATTCCTCCTCCCTCATAAACTCAGAGTTAATCACTCTGTTGCTGAATGATATTCATAAATTATCTAACATTTCTCTGGCTTTTGTCATTTCCCTCCTTGCATTGTTGTTAATGCATACACATACCTGTTCGGTCCTTCAGAGCAGCTGCTGTGTTTTATTTAACTTCCTACCCTCAGAAGCAAGTATAGTGAATGGCACCAGCGTATGTACCCATTAAATGTTTGTTGAATTGAATAGAACTAAATTAAATTATTAGATCTTGAGCAATTGTAGGGTACATCTCATGCCTTTTAATCTTAGTGTTATCCATCTCTAATGCTGCTAAGCTTCTGTATCCAGAACCTGTAAGAGAGTTGCAAGGGTCTTATGGACAGCTGCAATCTTGGAAGGAACCTGGATGCTCTTCACTTCACCAGTGGACCCTGCTGAGTGACCCTCCTCCCAATGGAGGGCTCAAGATGCCGCCTTTCTGTTCTAATCTATTATGTACTGGGGCAGAACCACAGACTTATCTGCCATTTCACTCTGAGTGCAAAGAAATGACCAGAGATTCTTGACTGGTGCAGTAATAACAAGAATTTCCTAGAGGACTACCCTAGAAAAAATGTCTGGTTTCTTACCTAAAACTTCACAATCCACTTAAGAAACAAAGGTATTTTCTTCTTCTCATGTTACATTTATTCACAGTCTGAGTTTGCTGGGAGGCTGGAATGATTGCCAAGCCTTGTGCAGCTGGAGTGTCACACAGTAACACGTGAAGTTTACCATTTCAAGAAAGAAGTGGGGATGACAAATTCTGTTTTTTCTGGGGGCCAAATAAGAATAAGTGGTCTTTTATTTTTAGCAGGAGAGAATTTGGTTAAAAGTAAGGAAGATCTGTCAGATAACAAATTGTTTAAGTATGCAAAAAACATACAAAATGAGTAATAAGGTTTCTTTATTATTGCTAGACAACGTTAGGATTTATCTATTCATCTACCTGTATGATTGGCTGCATTATGAAAATGTGGAAATAGACCAGGAACCTCTATCAATTTTTATATGTCATAATAAGGTTATAATAATACAGTACAGTATAGTAGTCATAGTTTCCTCATCTGCAAAATGGAGAAGTTAATGAAATTATATTGACTGCTATATTTATTATTTTATTTATTGGTAGAAATAGAGTTGCATGTTTTCATACATATCACAAGATTATGTAACATACAGGAAAAATAAAATTATTCATGCAATATACTTAGTGCACTCTCAATCTCAATATACTTAGTGTCTTAACTAAGGGCATATAGTAAACCCTTAGTTAATAAATGATAATTGCGGATGAAGATGGAGGAGGAGCAGGAGGAGGAGAAGAATCGAATAGATGGCTACATATATAAAAATTGTTTTCTAAGGGACGTAGCTGGGGTCTCCTGTATGCAACATGGAATGAGAACATGATCGTGAACTTACTAGCCATATTATTTTGGGAAAGTTACTGAAATTCTTTGGATTTTGGTTTTGTCTGTAATTTTGGGGTGACATTATGTACCTCACAAGAGGTTATAAAAATCCAATGAAAAAACATAGCACAAGTTTTGGTACACACTAGGCACCTCTACATGTATCTAGAAATGAGTAAATGGTGGAAATTTGAATTCTCTTTATCCATTCCAACAAATGCATAAAATGATAAATAGAGTCCTCAGCATAAATGCATTTGTTCCACTGGTAAGCCCAGACACAGTCCCAGTCCTACATTTGGAGCAAGTCACCACTCCTTTCATGGTATATTTTGACAAATACCAAGAAGTTCCTTCCATGTCATCATGAAATCTCACTACTAGCAGCTTTCTACATGTCATTATCCCTCTCTCTATGAGCTTTTAAATTAAATGTAAATCATCTTATTAAGTGTCAATATGTCAAATTTTTGGTGCCTTAGGAAAGGAAAATTCTTTCAGTGAGCAATTATTAAGCATCTCTTTATGTTCCAACCTCTGCACTAAGAAGAAATTCCTGGTTGCTTTCAAGATTCAGAGCATGTACTGGTGTTCTGGAAAAGTTAGAGGGGCTAAGCATTGAAACAGTAACGGGTGTTCCCAAAGCTGCAACCTTGTCTTTATTAAATGAATGAAGATCCGTGGCTTTGGGTGAGGCAAAAACATTTGGCACAGTGAGGTTCCCTACAAATTCTTAATATCTATGGGCATACAACCCACTTAAGGTTTACTATTGCTCTTACATAGCATTTTTCTGTTAAATAAAACAAGTAATGTAACCTAAAAGAAAGTTAAGAATAATTGTCTTTTATTTTAGATATTTCTAAGAATGCTGAGAAAGTAAGAATATGCCAGTATGTAATACTTCATAAACCTAACTATCCTGAGGGAATGCTTAAACACGTGCATGCATGGAAGCACTCCTAACTATGCATGGCAGGCAATAAGAAGCCATTGAACTTGCAATGTCGAAGATATTGAGATGTCTTTGCAGATCAATTTACTGTCCTGCTGAACTCTATTTCCTGCCTGTTCTTTGATTCATGTGCACTTGCCCGCCCACAGAAAGTTGCAGAGCTTCCGATCCTTTGGATTGCTGGCACTTGGGACAAAGAAGTGCTTGTTTTTTTGCTCTCCTCCTTTTTACAATGCACTTCCCCCACCTCCAAGTGTTAACCTGCCCTACCAGAGCCAGGGAGAGGGAATTAAAGAGAACATGTAAAAAAAATGGGAGGGTGATGGCTGTGCCCAGATTTCAGCTTTTGTTCTCATCTTAGGCCTTAACTGCTTGCTCCATTAACTTTGAGGAATTGGAGACAGAAGAAGGAAAGAATTGGTACTTGCTGATGTTATCGAGATCTTACCCACCAAAGACACCATTTAGGACCTGGCCTGCTCAGAATTACCTTGTCCTGTAGGTCAAGTGCACCAAAAGGGTTGGCCACAGCTCGACAATTAATTAGCTGGGATTCTTCTCAAGATATCACACGTAATGGTCAATTCTGACAAAGAGCAACTCATTCCATCAGTCTCACACTGGTCTACCTCCTTTCAATCAACTGCCCAGTGAGAGGCCAGAGGGATCCAGGTATGTGCTGGAGCTGGCTTGTGCAGGTCCTCAAGAGCTGATTGTGAACACTCAGTCTAATAGTGATGGTCAGGGAGGTTGAAATGAGCCACCAAGGGAGTATTTACACCATGAGAAACAGCACACACACAAAATTGGGGCTTCTCTTTTTTCTTCTTTTGCATTCCCTCTCTCCCTCCCTCCCTTCTTACTTTCTTCCCCTCTCTCCCTCCCTTTCTTTCTCTCTCCTTCCCTCTCTTCTCTTTCTCCTTTTATTTATATATAATATTCATCTATTTATCTATCTACACACACACACACACACACACACACACACACACACACACACACACACATTTGCCTAAACCCCTGTTATGCTGTGGGCTGGACTAGGTGCCTTTAAAAAAACAAAAACAAAACAAAACAAAACAACTTTTTTTGCTTCCCCATAATACTCTTTCTTTTTTAATTACTTCTTAGTCACATGTGTATTTATTGGTTCTTCAATTCTCCACCCTCACCCTATGTTAAGCTTCTTGATGGCAGGAACTTAGCCTTATGCAGTACATAGAAGGCTCTCTCTCTCTCTCTCTCTCTCTCTCTCTCTATATATATATATATATATATACACACACACACACACACACACATATATTTTTTGCAGATAAGAAGAAGGATGGAAAGAAGCAAGGGATAGGATTTTGTGGAAGTTCCATATTGCTAATTATTGAGTGGGAAATATCCCTGGGCAATTAAAATATGTACTTGGATCTTTTAGGCCAGTGTTCTGGGAAACAGGTGCACAAGTCTTGATGTTCTGTATGTGACCCAGATGGCCCACATGGTCCCCTGACTTGGATCATTTTTCTCCCCTCAAAGGGCTTCCTTTGCTTCAAAGGGCTTTAGATTCATGTATGAGTTTTTTTTTTTTATTGTTGCTGTAACAAATTACCACAAGTATAAGTGGCTTAAAACAACACAGATTTTTTTATGTTGCAGTTCTAGATTTCAGAAGTATAAAATTTGAGTTACAGGTAGGACTGCATTCCTCCTGGAGGCTCCATGGGAGAATCTGTTTCCTTGCCTTTCCCAGCTTCTAGAGAATAGCTACATTCCTTGGCTTGTTGTCCCTTTCTCTATTTTCAAAGCCAGCAGTCTAAACTCTTTTTTATTGACCTCCTGCCTCCATCTTTTAAGGATGCTTGTAATTATGTTGGACCCACACAGAGAATCAAGGATAATCCCAATATCCTTAATTTCAACACATACGCAAATTCCTTTTACCATGCAAGGAGACATAATCACAGGCTCCAGGGATTAGGATGTAGACATCATGGGGGCAGGGAGGGGCACACATTTTCAACCACAAATGGGCAATGTTCCTCCCTATTTGTTAAGATAACAGCAAACGAACCAAACTGAAAGGCCACAAAATGAGCAAGAGTACTTTATATACTGTAAAGTATTTTGCTCAGAGAGCCCCATGATGATGAAGATTATTCCTTTCTTTTTTTTTGGCCCTGTCTCCTTCCTGTGGAAATCAGATAGATTCTTTAGACATTCTCTTGATTCCCTAGACATCGTAAGAGCAAACCACATACTAATCTCTCTTTATCTTCATTAAGTGGACACTCTAGAAGGCCCTCACTTGGCTAACGACAGCTTGCCTATACAGATGTCTTCCTGGGCTCTCTACAGCACACATTCAGGGCACGGTTCTTGTAACTACCCAGTGGGTTCTTCTTGCCCACTGCCTAGACAGAGCCTATTTATCAAGACAGAAATTGTAATGGAGAAAGAGTAATTCATGCAGAGCCGGCTGTGCTGGAGACCAGACTCTTATTATTACTCAAATCAGTCTCCTCGAGCATTTGGGGATCAGATATTTTAAGGAAAGTGTGGTGGGTGTGGGCTCGGAAAGTGGGGAGTGCTGATTGGTTGGGTTGAAGATGAAATCACAGGGGATGGAAGTGAGTTCTTTTTGCTGACTTCTGTTCCTGGGTGGGATTGCAGAACCGATTGAGGCAGTTCCAGGTGGTATCATCTGCTGCATCGGAATGAAGGGTCTGCAAAATATCTCAAGCACTGATCTTAGGTTTTACAATAGTGACATTACTCCCAGGAGCAATCTGGGGAGGTTCAGACTCTTCAGCCAGAGGTTGCATGGCCCCGCAAACCATGATATCCAATCTTGTAGCTAACTTGTTTGTCTTGCAAAGGCAGATTGGTCCCCAGGCAAGGAAGGGGTTTTTCGAGAAAGAGCTGTTATCCATTTTGTTTCAGAGTTCAAACTATAAACTAAATACCTTCCCAAGGCTAGTTCAGCCTACAGTCAGGAATGAACAAAGTTTAGAAGTTAGAAGGAAGATGAAGTCGATTAGGTCTGACATAATTTCCTCAGTTATAATTTTGCAAAGGCAGTTTCAGTCTTAGATGCCCTTAGGAGCCAGACAGGTAGTATAAATGAGAGAAACTGGCCAGGTGCAAGACACAGGGAGTGATAGGGACTGTGTCTAATGAAAAAGTCTTTCTCTGCACAAAAGGTTTAAAGTTGAATGTTGTCTTAAGCATTATGACAGCCAAATGAAACATGGCAACGGGTGGTATATTGTCCTTGGTCCAGCCATTTGATTCCAGTGGGAGGGTCTGGGTGAGGGCTTTATTTTTATCATCTCTGGCAGCTCCTTTTCTGCTGATTCCATTCTCCAAAAAGAATGTGCACTCATTTGAGGCAGAAACCTCTATGTCTTCATAATTTTCTTATCCTCTTTCCCTTACATCTATATTTTTTTTCTAAGAAAATTTCCGCATGTAGCTATTTCATTAGATGATACATAGAAAATTCTCTGTAAGCCAGCTTCAGTGTCACAGTCATCGGCTAATACCCAAAGGGCTGTGGCAATTACCTATTTTGTATTCAGTTATTTATCCAAAATTTACTTAAATATATTTATCATTTTATGTCATAAGTTCTGGCTGAAGTGTTGGTAATCTTAACCCTTACTTCTTTTCCGCTATAGATTTCCTAACAAGGAATTTTATCCAAAAGGAACAATGGCCAGATGAGAATCAAATTCACAATTTAGAAGTATCTGGAAGTAAAATACTTAATGACAACTTACTTGAATGTAGATTGAGAAAACATGAGTTAAAATAAATCTGCTTATGTCTTCAGATACAAATGAAATCTCTGGCTTCCAGATTCCCATGAGTTGAGGTTGATTGGCTGCAAGTGGGCCCAGAATTCACTCATGCAACTAACTCCACAGAGTAGAAGGAATAGCCAGAAGGCAGGGGCCAGACACTGTAGAATTACCTTCCACATAAACCCAAAAAGGGAGATGTTTAAGATTATGCAGGGGACTTAAACTTTAAGACAAAGCAACACTGTTCACTAGTAAAACATGGCTCAATGAATGTTCTGGGCTCTGACAAATTACATTTACAGCCCAGTTTAAGGAGGAGTTATCAAGACACATGTAGAGAAGGATGTGGTGAGTGGCAATGATATATCCCCATTCCTAATATTGTAATATTTACCAAATTCTAGTCCTTTCTGTATGGCAGGAACTGTTCTATGACCCTTATCTACGTTGTGTCTAATCCTCTGTATATCCATAATATATTGTGCATATGTGTATCCACCACTGCACTCATACAAGGCTAGATTCTTAACAGGGCACTTAACTAATGTTTACTAAATAACTATAATGCTTAGAACAAGAAAACTTTAACTATGCTGGGCTGTGTGGATGTTATTTGAGAAAGCCCTTAATCATTGTACCAGGTTCCAAGGGCTGCTGTAACAAATTATGACAAAATTGGTGGCTTAAAACAACAGAAATGTATTCTTTTTCTTTTTTTCTCAAGACAGAGTCTCGCTGTGTTGCCCAGGCTGGAGTGCAATAGCACAATTTCAGCTCACTGCAACCTCTGCCTACTGGGTTCAAGAAATTCTCTTGCTTCAGCCTCGTGAGTAGCTGGGATTACAGGCGTGTGCCGCCACACCCGGCTAATTTTTGTGTTTTTAGGAGAGACGGGGTTTTGCCATGTGGCCAGGCTGGTCTCGAACTCCTGACCTGAGGTAATCCGCTGGCCTCGGCCTCCTAAAGGGCTAGTATTACAGGCATGAGCCACCGTGCCCGACCCAGAAATGTATTCTTTTGTAGTTCTGGAGGTCAAGAAGTTTGAAATCAAGGTGTCAGCAAGGTTGGTTCCTTCTGCGGCTCTGAGGAGAGAGTGCACCCCATGGTTCTTTCCTAGTTTCTGGTGATTGTCAGTGAGCCTTGACATTCTTTGACTTTTAAAGATGTCACTACAATCTCGGCCTTCATTTTCACATGATCTTCCCCTCTATGTCTCTATGTGTCTCAAATATCCCTCTTTTTTTCTTCAGTCTGAATTTAAGGCTCTTCCTAAAAAGCCAGGATAATCTCATCTTGAGATCTTTAATTAAATTTTCAGGGACCTTATTTCCAAATAAAGTCACATTCACAGGCACTGAGGGCTAACACTTGGACATATCTTTCTTGGAGACACAATTGAACCTGAAACAGACAACAGTCTTCAGGGGCAGTTGAATAACAGCCAATGAGAGAGACTCATTCCTATTCAGCTGGGCTCAGCACATGATCATGGGGGCATGCATTTTTAGATTTTAACTTTTGTTGTTTTTTGAGACAGTGTCACTCTGTTGCCCAGGCTGGAGTACAGTGGTGCAATCTTGGCTCATTGCAACCTCTGCCTCACAGGTTCAAGCGATTCTCATGCCTCAGCCTACTGGGTAGCTGAGATTACAGGAGTGTGCCACCACACCCGGCTAATTTTATTGTATTTTTAGTAGAGACAGGGTTTCGCCATGTTGTCCAGGCTGGTCTCAAACTCCTGACCTCAAGTGATCCATCTACCTCGGCCTCCCAAAGTTTTGGGATTACGGGCGTGAGCCACCACACCCAGCCTATTTGGGTTTTTATATCCAAATACCACTAACTGGAGACTGTCTTATTTCCATGGAAGACTTCATCTTAGATAATAGAGAAGTGACGTTGCTAAGATAAATTCCCATGATTGGCTAAAGCCTGCTGTTGTGAGCTTATGTAAGTCACTTGTGATGGTTAATTTTGTATGTCAACTTGACTGGGCTAAGGGATGCCCCAGTGGCTGGTAAAACGCTATTTCTGGTGTGTCTATGAGAAGAATTTGGAAAGAGGTCAGCATTTGAATCAGTAGACTGAACAAAGACCATCTGTGCTTACTAATATGGAGGAGTATTATCCAATCCCTGAGGACCCCAATAGAACAAAAAGATGGAAGAAAGGTGAATTCTCTCTCTTCTTGAGCTGGGACATGCATCTTCTTTTGCCCTTGGTCATCGCAGCTTCTGGATTTCTGACCTTAATATTCTAAGGCTTATACCAGCGCCCCCACCACTTGTTCTCAGTTCTTTGGACTCAGACTAAATTGTACCACTGGATTCTCTGGTTCTCCAAATTACAGATGGCATATTGTGGGACTTCTCAGCCTCCATAATCACATGCGCCAATCCCCATAATAAATTTCTTTTTATATATCTATACGTATTCTTATGATTCTGTTTCTCTGGAGAACTCTGACTAAACAACAACATCAACTAAATTTTTTGAGCTTCCACACTCTCATTAGTATAATTGGGAGAAAAATATGCCCCAGAATTATCTGAGATTACAAACGTGAAAGTACTATGAAACCATAAATATCTAATACAAGGAATGGCCATTTCCTCCAAAGGTCCTGTTGATTAAATTCAATTCCAATTTTCAGCCTTCCTCATTGACCTGCTGCAGAATAAAAGAGCCTTTTTATACTAGAAGGAAGCTGGGCCTGGGCTGGGACTCAGACACACAGATTTCCCCAAACTGTCATTGAGTCAATAAGAGTGATTGACAGCAGATGAGCTTGCAGCTCACCATGACCCAAGGGTCTCTTTTATCCTGGATGCCTGACACCTTGCCAGTCACGTCATTGGTGATTCATCCTGTGGCCTTGAATGTGCTTCCTCCATTTGACCCCTATGCATCTCCACCTGTTTATCCTGACATTCACTACTTTCTCCTTACCCTTCCTGCCTCCCACCTGAACAATGACATCAAGGCAATGACGGCAAACAGCAGCAGTTGGATTGCCAGGTGATAGACTTCTGAAATGATTTCTCTTCTATCAATGCCTCCAGCAGCTTTGTCTTCCTGTGTGGCTTTATCTCTCAACACAATCATACAAACAAAAACTAGAAAATGTCTTTAATGCTGAATTAGAGGAGACATTTGCATCAAAATGATCAAAAAGCATTCCAGATTATAAAGGATTTCCTAGAACCTGAATGGCATCAAAAAGTCTTTTACTGACAGCAATGGCATAAGCTCTGGGGCCAGATGGATATGGGTTCAAAACTAGACTCTACCACTTGGAAATTAAGTGGCCTTGGATGAGTTAATGTAATGTCTCTGAGCCACGGTTCCCTCATTTATAAAATGTGAATGAAAAATCGTAGAACTTTCCTTATAGTTTATTGTGTAAGTGTCTACTGAGTTGTAAGCCCTCAATAAATGTTTGTTCAATGAATGATCAGGTAGAGATTGAACAAGGCAATTCATATACCTGACGTGGTGCATGGCACAAAATAAACTGTCAATGTACGATGGTATTACTATTACTTATAGCGCACATCTTAGTCTGCACAAAATACTTAAGACTGGGTAATTTATAACATTATACATTTATTACTCACATTAATGGAGGCTGGTAACTCCAAGATTAAGACACTAGTTAGTTTAGTGTCTGGTGAGTTCCCAGTCTGCTTCTAAGATGGTGCCTTGTTTCTGTGTCCCCCAGAGGGGAAGAATGCTGTGTCCTCATGTGGAAGAAGAGATGGATGGGCAAAAGGGCCTAGCTAGTTCTCTGCAACCCTTTAGGACATGATTATAGCCTAGTCATGTCTTAAAGGACCCACCTCAACGCTGTTGCATTGAAGATTCAGTTTTGCCATGAATTTTAGAAGAGACAGAAACATTCAAACTATTAGAACACCACTTCATCCCAAGAATTGTCCAGGTCTCTTCCTTATACTTTCTTGTCCCTTCCTTGTCATAAGAACTTTGCAGAATAATTAAAAGTATAGACTCCAAAGCTAGATTATCTGGATTTGAATCCTGGCTAAACCAAATTGGGTTGGATATCTAACCTTCCCTGTGTTTGTTTCCTCACAGGCATAATGAAGGTAATAATATGTGTTTCATACAATTGTGAGGATTCAGTGAGTTTATTCATTCATTAGGCTTACAACAGTGCCTAAAAGATAATACTCAATGAAATTAACTTCTATTTGTTAATTATTATTGGAGTTTCTATAGTTTGACTCTTGGAAAGTCCAGACACAAGGAAGATTCCTCCAAAGGCATTCTCCTTGGATCTTCATTGTGTATCACTTTGCATCCTCCGACTGATCTCTTTGTAAGTCTATATTGTATTGTTTCCCTGGACTATGACTTACTCCAACAACTAAGGTCATGCTTCCTCCCTCTTTCCCTACTGCTCCTAGCATACTGCTGGGGTACTTTGATATTGCGTCTACTTTTGAAAAGTGTGTGTTGCAGAATTGGCATAAGATGACATCTTTTAAACGACAAAGCTGTAAATCTTGCAAGACTTTAGCTATACTCTCATATACCTCTTGTCTTTCATGAGTGAAAAATGTAAAGAGGTTGGAACTTGACCACAGACACCTGGTTAGTTAGCAGCTGATTCTCAAAACCAGGTCTCTTAACTTTTAGCACAGCACTTTTTTTCACCCATGAGTGAAACAGCTATTTAGAAAAAAAAAAAAAAGAGATTCCCAGCCTATGGATCCTAAAAACTTGCTTTAAAAATGTGAAACCATGATCCTGGTTTTTGGAGGATAAGAGCCATATTTTGCTGGATATTCACCTGAGCAAATAGGAAATATGAACAAGTCTGAAGACCTGAGAGGACCTTTTGCTTTTCTTCTCCACCTGGTCCAGGTACAAAGCGAAATGTGGCAATGCAAAGAGAGTTTAGCATGGTAAAAAGAAATAGGTAATATTATAGGATGCATTTGCACGGGTCAGGAACTTGGCTGCTGCTACTCACTTCTCTTTGTCCCTTGTCTACTTTCCATCTCAGGGACTCAGTTACTTCGTCTGTTAAATAAAAGGATTTGAACTGGCTGTGTTCCAAATCCTCTTCCCATTCTAGCATTCTGTGAGACTAGCTATGAATGGATGCTAAGTAGATAGTCTGTGCACAAGTATTTCATTTACTATTACCTCATGCTCCAGCCGGGAGGTTCTGTATTGCCAAAATTATTTTCATACAATGCCTCTCTTTGAGTGACACATGGGTAACTGTTAAACATGACTGTAATGTGAGAATATGAGTTAAATTAGTGTAAAAACTGTATGCCTCACAATTTCCAGATGTTAGTATTTCGTAATGTTGTCATTTCTCTTTTTTCTGTTCAGATGTTCAGCAAATAGAAGGCAAATGGCCGTAGGAACCGTCTCCCTGCAACACATTTCTTTCAGCTTGCTTCAACCAATTTCTTCTTGGGGATTCACATGCTCTCTGAGGGTTCACCAAAGTAAAACTGTCTCTTAGAATATCTCAGCATGGTGGCAATGCCTCCCTTGTGTATTGCCTAAAATATTGGCTCTTATGTGACTTTGAACACTTGAAAACACAGACAGCCTGGTGGTAGATAGTATTTACCCAAATTAGAGAAATTAAACTCTGAACTGTTCAAGTTTTAAGCAATCAGTTCCAGTTAGTACACATTCAATTCCAACCTTAAGCATCAAAGAGAAAAAGTGATTTAGCAGCGAGAGCTGCTGGTAGGCAATCAACATAAAATATCCATAAATGCCAAAGCCGAATATTGATCAGGAGGTTTTCTTTTGCCTACTGTCTATCAGCTGTGATACCTAAAGGCTGTTTCTTTTATTAGACAAGATGGGAAAAGAGGCAAACAATTTCAGAAAGAGATTAAATCTCCTTTGTATGGTACAAGAAGGTTATAAAGCCATAATAGAAAAGCTGTAAATAATTCTACCATTAAAATCGTTGTTGCCTTAATCTTTTTTTTATTATTAAAGTTAATACCAAGTTCTTTTGTTCTGGATACTTAGGAGAAAATGTGCTTTCCCTTAGAAGCTAATTCATGTGGCTGGGCTGAGCTATGTAACCCCAGGGGATCATGGTTTCTATTGTACACTACACATTTATTTATCAGATAGAATGTGTGGGATGGTGCCCTCAGAAATGTGCAATGGAAAAGCCATACCAAATCGGAATGCAAACACGGGATGAAAGGGAATGTGAATCAACACAAAATATGTGTGTATACAGACATGTTATATATTTTCTGATTAGGAGAGCCCTAAGAACTATAATATAAATAGGAAAGTAAGGCTCAAAGAAGTTAAGTAATTTGCTGAACTAAGCAGGGTGGCCTAACTTCTGTGACAAACCGCAATAGAAACTCAATGTTTCAGCATTGTACAGTATCTATTTCTTACTCACATCATGATCTGATTGGAAATAATGGCACTCCAAGTAGAGATTTGGAGACCCAGTTCCTTCTGTCTGTTGGTCTGTTCCATGGCCTCAGAGGTCTGCAGAGGATACTCTGCTAATGCAGACAGGGAAGAGAAGAGAGCCCAAAGGGTCTTCTGAAAAAATCTGGGTAGAGCCAGGCTGGAAGTGACTGGTCTATATCACATCTGCCTATATTCCATGAGCTGGAAGTCTGTCATAAGCATCATGAATCTGCAGGACAGTCTCTGTGTGCCCAGGAGGAATGGGAAATGGGTTTGGGAACATAGTGCCAGTGCATTGTCTTTGCTACTTGCTGCCAGAGTTACCAAGCAGATTGGGAATTTCTTCTCTGTAGCTTCAAATTCTATCCTTTTTCCACTCCACAAAGCTCTAGAATTCATCCTCTGAAAGATTTTTGACACGGATTACAATAACAGCAGTGCTTGAGGTCAACAAGGGACTGAAATATCATCTAGATGTTTCTAAAATGTCTCATTTGGATTTATATTGACACAAAGTTGAGTATTTGACTGAATTTTCCAGATCTCATTCATGTTTAACTCAGACATGACCCAGCAGTTGCTTGGAGATATTTGGCCTGATGGAATTTATAATGCAATGTAATCTTAAGAATGTTCTTGTCTCTGCCCCTGTTGCTTTCTCTCTCTAAGGCCTCATCTTTGAGATTTTAGCTATGCCCGTTGTTTCAACTGTAAATGCCATGTGGTCTACTCTCCTATATGTTCATATTTTTAGCACCTCCTTCTTCCTCTCTTCTCAGCTAGAGGGCTCATATCTAACCACCTGCTGAGCACCTCCTCAATGTCCCACATGCTCTTTTTTTTTTTTTTTTTTTTTTTTTTTTTGAGACGGAGTCTCGCTCTGTCGCCCAGGCTGGAGTGCCGTGGCGCGATCTCGGCTCACTGCAAGCCCCGCCTCCCAGGTTCACGCCATTCTCCTGCCTCAGCCTCCCGAGTAGCTGGGACTTACAGGCACCTGCCACCATGTCCGGCTAATTTTTTTGTATTTTTCCTAGAGACGGGGTTTCACCATGTTAGCCAGGATGGTCTCTATCTCCTGACCTCGTGATCCACCCGCCTCGCCTCCCAAAGTGCTGGGATTACAGGCTTGAGCCACCGCGCCCGGCCCCCACATGCTCTTATTAACATATATAACATTGCAACTTAGTTTTTTCTTACAAGACATGTCTATTTTGTTTTAATTTTTAAAATATTTTTTAATTTAATTGATGAAAATTATATATATGGTGTACAACTTGATATATGTCACCATTTTGGAATGGCTAAATCAAGTGAGTAAACATATCTATTACCTCACATACTTTTTATTGTGAGAACACTTAAAATCTACTCTATTCACAATTTTCAAATATATGATACATTATTATTAACTATAGTCACCATGTCATACAATAGATCCTCTAAACTTATTCCTCTTGTGTAAGGAATTTATATCCTTTGACCAACATCTCCTCAATCCCAATCCCCACTCCCCAGCTCCTGGTAGCCACCATTCTAGTCTCTGAATCTATGAGTTCAGCTTTTTAAAATTCCACATATAAGTAAGATCATACAATATTTGTGTTTCTGTGCCTGGTTTCTTTCACTAAACAATGTCCTTCAGGTTCATCCATGTTGTTACAAAGGGCATGCTTTCATTTTTTTTTTTCCCTTTGATTTTCTTTTTTATTTATTTTTATTTTTTTATTTTTTATTTTTATTTATTTATTTTATTATACTTTTAAGTTTTAGGGTACATGTGCACATTGTGCAGGTTAGTTACATATGTATACATGTGCCATGCTGGTGTGCTGCACCCACTAACTCGTCATCTAGCATTAGGTGTATCTCCCAATGCTATCCCTCCCCTCTCCCCCCACCCCACCACAGTCCCCAGAGTGTGACATTCCCCTTCCTGTGTCCATGTGATCTCATTGTTCAATTCCCACCTATGAGTGAAAATATGCGGTGTTTGGTTTTTTGTTCTTGCGATAGTTTACTGAGAATGATGATTTCCAATTTCATCCATGTCCCTACAAAGGACATGAACTCATCATTTTTTATGGCTGCATAGTATTCCATGGTGTATATGTGCCACATTTTCTTAATCCAGTCTATCATTGTTGGACATTTGGGTTGGTTCCAAGTCTTTGCTATTGTGAATAATGCCGCAATAAACATACGTGTGCATGTGTCTTTATAGCAGCATGATTTATAGTCCTTTGGGTATATACCCAGTAATGGGATGGCTGGGTCAAATGGTATTTCTAGTTCTAGATCCCTGAGGAATCTCCACACTGACTTCCACAATGGTTGAACTAGTTTACAGTCCCACTAACAGTGTAAAAGTGTTCCTATTTCTCCACATCCTCTCCAGCACCTGTTGTTTCCTGACTTTTTAATGATTGCCATTCTAACTGGTGTGAGATGGTATCTCATTGTGGTTTTGATTTGTGTTTCTCTGATGGCCAGTGATGATGAGAATTTTTTCATGTGTCTTTTGGCTGCATAAATGTCTTCTTTTGAGAAGTGTCTGTTCATGTCCTTCACCCACTTTTTGATGGGGTTGTTTGTTTTTTTCTTGTAAATTTGTTTGAGTTCATTGTAGATTCTGGATATTAGCCCTTTGTCAGATGAGTAGGTTGCGAAAATTTTCTCCCATTTTGTAGGTTGCCTGTTCACTCTGATGGTAGTTTCTTTTGCTGTGCAGAAGCTCTTTAGTTTAATTAGATCCCATTTGTCAATTTTGGCTTTTGTTGCCATTGCTTTTGGTGTTTTGGACATGAAGTCCTTGCCCATGCCTATGTCCTGAATGGTAATGCCTAGGTTTTCTTCTAGGGTTCTTATGGTTTTAGGTCTAACATTTAAGTCTTTAATCCATCTTGAATTGATTTTTGTATAAGGTGTAAGGAAGGGATCCAGTTTCAGCTTTCTACATATGGCTAGCCAGTTTTCCCAGCATTTATTAAATAGGGAATCCTTTCCCCATTGCTTGTTTTTCTCAGGTTTGTCAAAGATCAGATTGTTGTAGATATGCGGCGTTATTTCTGAGGGCTCTGTTCTGTTCCATTGATCTATATCTCTGTTTTGGTACCAGTACCATGCTATTTTGGTTACTGTAGCCTTATAGTATAGTTTGAAGTCAGGTAGTATGATGCCTCTAGCTTTGTTCTTTTGGCTTAGGATTGCCTTGGCGATGCGGGCTCTTTTTTGGTTCCATATGAACTTTAAAGTAGTTTTTTCCAATTCTGTAAAGAAAGTCATTGGTAGCTTTATGGGGATGGCATTGAATCTGCAAATTACCCTGGGCAGTATGGCCATTTTCACGATATTGATTCTTCCTATCCATGAGCATGGAATGTTCTTCCATTTGTTTGTATCCTCTTTTATTTCCTTGAGCAGTGGTTTGTAGTTCTCCTTGAAGAGGTCCTTCACATCCCTTGTAAGTTGGATTCCTAGGTATTTTATTCTCTTTGAAGCAATTGTGAATGGGAGTTCACTCATGATTTGGCTCTCTGTTTGTGTGTTGTTGGTGTACAAGAATGCTTGTGATTTTACTACATTGATTTTGCATCCTGAGACTTTGCTGAAGTTGCTTATCAGCTTAAGGAGATTTTGGGCTGAGACAATGCGGTTTTCTAGATATACAATCATGTCGTCTGCAAACAGGGACAATTTGACTTCCTCTTTTCCTAATTGAATACCCTTTATTTCCTTCTCCTGCCTAATTGCCCTGGCCAGAACTTCCAACACTATGTTGAATAGGAGTGGTGAGAGAGGGCATCCCTGTCTTGTGCCAGTTTTCAAAGGGAATGCTTCTAGTTTTTGCCCATTCAGTATGATATTGGCTGTGGGTTTGTCATAGATAGCTCTTATTATTTTGAAATACGTCCTATCAATACCTAATTTATTGAGAGTTTTTGGCACGAAGGGTTGTTGAATTTTGTCAAAGGCTTTTTCTCCATCTATTGAGATAATCAAGTGGTTTTTGTCTTTGGCTCTGTTTATATGCTGGATTACATTTATTGATTTGCATATATTGAACCAGCCTTGCATTCCAGGGATGAAGCCCACTTGATCATGGTGGATAAGCTTTTTGATGTGCTGCTGGATTCGTTTTGCCAGTATTTTATTGAGGATTTTTGCATCAATGTTCATCAAGGATATTGGTCTAAAATTCTCTTTTTTGGTTGTGTCTCTGCCCGGTTTTGGTATCAGAATGATGCTGGCCTCATAAAATGAGTTAGGGAGGATTCCCTCTTTTTCTATTGATTGGAATAGTTTCAGAAGGAATGGTACCAGTTCCTCCTTGTACCTCTGGTAGAATTCAGCTATGAATCCATCTGGTCCTGGCCTCTTTTTGGTTGGTAAACTATTGATTATTGCCACAATTTCAGCTCCTGTTATTGGTCTATTAAGAGATTCAACTTCTTCCTGGTTTAGTCTTGGGAGAGTGTATGTGTCCAGGAATTTATCCATCTCTTCTAGATTTTCTAGTTTATTTGCGTAGAGGTGTTTGTAGTATTCTCTGATGGTAGTTTGTATTTCTGTGGGATCAGTGGTGATATCCCCTTTATCATTTTTTATTGTATCTATTTGATTCTTCTCTCTTTTTTTCTTTATTAGTCTTGCTAGTGGTCTATCAATTTTGTTGATCCTTTCAAAAAACCAGCTCCTGGATTCATTAATTTTTTGAAGGGTTTTTTGTGTTTGCTCTTGCTTTTCTAGTTCTTTTAATTGTGATGTTAGGGTGTCAATTTTGGATCTTTCCTGCTTTCTCTTGTGGGCATTTAGTGCTATAAATTTCCCTCTACACACTGCTTTAAATGTGTCCCAGAGATTCTGGTATGTTCTGTCTTTGTTCTCGTTGGTTTCAAAGAACATCTTTATTTCTGCCTTCATTTCGTTATGTATCCAGTAGTCATTCAGGAGCAGGTTGTTCAGTTTCCATGTAGTTGAGCGGTTTTGAGTGAGATTCTTAATCCTGAGTTCTAGTTTGATTGCACTGTGGTCTGAGAGATAGTTTGTTATAATCTCTGTTCTTTTACGTTTGCTCAGGAGAGCTTTACTTCCAAGTATGTGGTCAATTTTGGAATAGGTGTGGTGTGGTGCTGAAAAAAGTGTATATTCTGTTGATTTGGGGTGGAGAGTTCTGTAGATGTCTGTTAGGTCCGCTTGGTGCAGAGCTGAGTTCAATTCCTGGGTATCCTTGTTGGCTTTCTGTCTCGTTGATCTAATGTTGACAGTGGGGTGTTAAAGTCTCCCATTATTAATGTGTGGGAGTCTAAGTCTCTTTGTAGGTCACTCAGGACTTGCTTTATGAATCTGGGTGCTCCTGTATTGGGTACATATATATTTAGGATAGTTAGCTCTTCTTGTTGAATTGATCGATTTACCATTATGTAATGGCCTTCTTTGTCTCTTTTGATCTTTGTTGGTTTAAAGTCTGTTTTATCAGAGACTAGGATTGCAACCCCTGCCTTTTTTTCTTTTCCATTTGCTTGGTAGATCTTCCTCCATCCTTTTATTTTGAGCCTATGTGTGTCTCTGCACGTGAGATGGGTTTCCTGAATACAGCACACTGATGGGTCTTGACTCTTTATCCAATTTGCCAGTCTGTGTCTTTTAATTGGAGCATTTAGTCCATTTACATTTAAAGTTAATATTGTTATGTGTGAATTTGATCCTGTCATTATGATGTTAGCTGGTGATTTTGCTCGTTAGTTGATGCAGTTTCTTCCTAGTCTCGATGGTCTTTACATTTTGGCATGATTTTGCAGCAGCAGGTACTGGTTGTTCCTTTCCATGTTTAGCTCTTCCTTCAGGAGCTCTTTTAGGGCAGGCCTGGTGGTGACAAAATCTCTCAGCATTTGCTTGTCTGTAAAGTATTTTATTTCTCCTTCACTTATGAAGCTTAGTTTGGCTGGATATGAAATTCTGGGTTGAAAATTCTTTTCCTTAAGAATGTTGAATATTGGCCCCCACTCTCTTCTGGCTTATAGGGTTTCTGCCGAGAGATCCGCTGTTAGTCTGATGGGCTTCCCTTTGAGGGTAACCCGACCTTTCTCTCTGGCTGCCCTTAACATTTTTTCCTTCATTTCAACTTTGGTGAATCTGACAATTATGTGTCTTGGAGTTGCTCTTCTCGAGGAGTATCTTTGTGGCATTATCTGTATTTCCTGAATCTGAATGTTGGCCTGCCTTGCTTGTTTGGGGAAGTTCTCTTGGATAATATCCTGCAGAGTGTTTTCCAACTTGGTTCCATTCTCCCCATCACTTTCAGGTACACCAATCAGACGTAGATTTGGTCTTTTCACATAGTCCCATATTTCTTGGAGGCTTTGCTCATTTCTTTTTATTCTTTTTTCTCTAAACTTCCCTTCTCGCTTCATTTCATTCATTTCATCTTCCATTGCTGATACCCTTTCTTCCAGTTGATCGCATCGGCTCCTGAGGCTTCTGCATTCTTCACGTAGTTCTCAAGCCTTGGTTTTCAGCTCCATCAGCTCCTTTAAGCACTTCTCTGTATTGGTTATTCTAGTTATACATTCTTCTAAATTTTTTTCAAAGTTTTCAACTTCTTTGCCTTTGGTTTGAATGTCCTCCCGTATCTCAGAGTAATTTGATCGTCTGAAGCCTTCTTCTCTCAGCTCGTCAAAGTCATTCTCCATCCAGCTTTGTTCCATTGCTGGTGAGGAACTGCGTTCCTTTGGAGGAGGAGAGGCGCTCTGCGTTTTAGAGTTTCCAGTTTTTCTGCTCTGTTTTTTCCCCATCTTTGTGGTTTTATCTACTTTTGGTCTTTGATGATGGTGATGTACAGATGGGTTTTTGGTGTGGATGTCCTTTCTGTTTGTTAGTTTTCCTTCTAACAGACAAGACCCTCAGCTGCAGGTCTGTTGGAATACCCTGCCGTGTGAGGTGTCAGTGTGCCTCTGCTGGGGGGTACCTCCCAGTTAGGCTGCTTGGGGGTCAGGGGTCAGGGACCCACTTGAGGAGGCAGCCTGCCCGTTCTCAGATCTCCAGCTGCGTGCTGGGAGAACCACTGCTCTCTTCAAAGCTGTCAGACAGGGACATTTAAGTCTGCAGAGGTTACTGCTGTCTTTTTGTTTGTCTGTGCCCTGCCCCCAGAGGTGGAGCCTACAGAGGCAGGCAGGCCTCCTTGAGCTGTGGTGGGCTCCACCCAGTTCGAGCTTCCCGGCTGCTTTGTTTACCTAAGCAAGCCTGGGCAATGGCGGGCGCCCCTCCCCCAGATTTTTTAAGGCTGAATAGTAAGTATTCCATTCGCTAGGTCAACATCAGGAAGGTTTTCCCTAATGTTTTTGCTAGTAGAACATTGCTGTAAAACATAGTTTTGGATAGTTATAAATGTATGTTTTTTAGTTTCAGGACTTACATTGCAATTTTTAACCCATTTAGGGATGATTTTTATATAAGGGGTGAGAGAAGGGTCTGGTTTCATGCTTCTGCATGTGGATATTTCATTTTCCCAACACCATTTATTGAAGAGACTGTCCTGTCCTGATTGTATATGTATGTTTTGGTACCTTTGCCAAAAATCAGTTGTCCGTAAATGTGTGTATTTATTTCTGGGCTATTTGGTTACATTGACCTATATGTCTGCTTTGGTGCCAGTACCATGCTGTTGCAGTTACAATATCATTGTAGTAGATTTTGAGGTCAGGTAGTTTAATACCTCCAGTTCTGTTCTTTTTGCTCAGGATTGCTTTGGCTATTCAAGGTTTTGTGTGGTTTCATACAGATTCTAGAATTATTATTTTTATTTCTGTGAAAAATATCATGGAAATTTTTATAGGAAATGCATTGAATCTGTAGATTGCTATTGGCAGTATGGGCATTTTAAAAATACTAATTATTTCAATTCATGAACATAGAATTTTTTTTCATTTGTGTATTTTTCATAAACTTTTTATGGTGTTCCTTATAGAGATCTTTCACCTCCTTGGTTAAACTTATTCCTTGGATTTTTTAATGTTATTGTTAATGGGCTTGTTTTCTTGATTTGTTTTACGGATAGTTATAAGTGCATAAAAATGGTACAAATTTTTGTCTGGTGATTTTGTATCCTGCAGCTTTACTGACTTTGTTTAGTAGTTCTCTTTTTTGATGGAATCTTTAGGGTTTTCAAAATATAACATCATCTTTAAACAACTACAATTCTACTTCTTTTTTTCCAAACTGGATTTGTTTTTATTTCTTGTTTTTGCCTAATTGCTCTAAGACTTCCAGTGCTATGTTGATTTGAAGTGGTAAGAGTGGGCATCCTAGTCTTATTCCTGAACTTAGAGAAAAAGTGTTCTACTTTTCGCCATTGAGTGTGATATTAGCTGTGGGTGTATCATATATGGCCTTTGATGTTAGAGAACATTCCTTCTATAGTTAATTTGTTGAGAGCTCTGATTATGAAAAGATGTTGAATTTTGTCAAATGCCTCTTCTGCATCTATTGAGATGATCATGCAGTTTTGTCCTTCATTCTGTTAATGTGGTGTATCACATTTATTGATTTGCATACATTGAACCATCCAAAACCCAGGACCTGATGACTTCATGACTGAATTCTAGCAAACTAGATAGAAGTAATGCCAGCTTTTGTCAAACTTTCCCAAAAAATGGAAGAGAAAGGAATACTTCCAAACACATTTTGCAAGCCTCACCTTACCCTGATATCAAAGCCAATCAAGGATGCTAAGAAATAAAATAAAATTATAGATTATATTCCTGATGAACATAAATGCCAAAATCCTCAACCAAACACTAACAAATCCAATTCAAGAGCACATTAGAAGGATTATTCACCATGATAAAGGGATATTTATGCCCGGCAAAACATGACGTTATTTTCATATTTTTTTTGTATCATTTGGGTTATCAACTTACGATTCAGGTTTCTTGGGTCCTAAGGCTTCAACAATTAAAATCCAGGTTTTGTGGGTCCTAAGGCTTCAACAATTAAAAACATAATAATATGGCATTTGAATACTAATTCAATTCAAAAGTAAATATTTAGAATAAGGAAAGCAATTAAAACAAATTACAAATGAAAAAACTTGACAAACATCACATGTTTGTTAACTGTCTGACACAACTCAGCTCTATAGTATTTTTTCTTACATTGTGTTCTCTGTATAAAATATCTATCTATCTATCTGTCTGTCTATCTATCTATCTTTCCTAGTCTTATTTCTAGCATTATTAATAGCAGTTTGTTGTTGATATTAATAGCTTATTAGAGTCTTTTCAGCTTCTTAATTCATGGATATGTTATAAAAGTTTTATAAATTTTTGTCAAACCTGAAAAACTTCTGTCAAAGTTCTTTCACTGAATTTCATATTTTCTTTCGAAGTGACTAATATTAAATGCCCTTTCAATTGCAACACGTGTTCTTTTGGGGAGATGGGGTTAAATCTTTTTTTAATTTTTATTTCAATAGTTTTTGGGGGTAGGGATAGTTTTTGGTTACATGGATAAGTTCTTTAGTGGTGATGTCTGAGATTTTAGTGCACCCATCAACCAAGCAGTATATACTGTACCCAATATGTAGTATTTTATCCCCTACCTCTCTCCCAACCTTCCTCTGCCCCAAGTACCCAAAGTCCATCATATCATCTTATGCCTTTGCATCCTCATAGCTTAGTTCTCACTTAGAAGTTAGAATATACTATATTTATTTATTTATCTATTACTGAGTTACTTCTCTTAGACTAACGGCCTCCAGTTCCATCCAAGTTGCCTCAAAAGACATCATTTCATTCATTTTCATGGCTGAGTAGTATTCCATGGTGTGTATATATGTATATGTGTACATTGGTTTTTTTTATCCCTTTGTTGGTTGATGGGCACTTAGGATGGTGCCGTATCTTTGCAATTTTGAATTGTGCATGTGTGTGCATGTGTTTTTTTTCATGTAATTACCTATTTTCCTTTGGGTAGATACCCAGTAGTGAAATTTCTGGATCAAATGGTAGTTCTACTTTAGCTCCTTAAGGAATCTCCATACTGTTTTCCATAGCGGTTCCACTAATTTACATTCCCACCAGCAGTGTAGAAGTGTTCCCTTTTCACCACATGCACACCAAAATCTATTGGTTTTTGCCTTTTTAATTATGGCCATTTTTGTAGGAGTAAGGTGGTATTTCATTGTGGTTTTCATTTGCATTTTCCCTGATGATTAGTGACGTAGAGCATTTTTTCAAATGTTTGTTGGCCATTTGTATATTTTCTTTTGAGAAATGTCCATTCATGTCCTCAGCCCACTTTTTAATGGGATTATTATTTTTTTTCTTGCTGATTTAAGTTCCTTGTAGATATTAGTCCTTTGTTGGATGCATAGTTTGAATTGAAACACTTGTTCATACCAGTAGGAGCCCTGCCAGGGGCTTAGAAGGGTTTTATGCAAATGAGAAGCCCTGAAGCTTAGACATCATTAGTTTCATCTTAAATCTAGCTATTTGAGGTAAACCCTTGTTTATCTGTGTTCACCCTCATGCTGTTTACCCACAAATAACCAATTGCCAAAGGACTTTTAACATGTTCTTCATGGTGGATCTCTGTCTCCATTATGCTACCCTTTTTAAAACTTTATTATCTTAGAGGTGAACCATTGCAAACTTCTAAATTTCCCACTTGAAGTCTTTGTCCCCTTCTTGTCATTCTGAAAAATAATTCCAAAGGAGTTATCCTAAAATGATTTCAATTTTTAAAACACTCTTCTACTTATTAAATCACATCTAAAATCTTCTACCTAATTTTTTGGGTCATATGTGATCTGGACCAAACTATTCTTTCTAGTGTGATCTACTATTTCACTCTAGTCTAGAGATTTGGACTTCACCTAAGCAATGTTTACTACTATGCCATTTATTCTACCTTGAACATGGTGATTTTACTTTCTATTAGAGGGATACAATTCTCAGCATCTCCTTAGGGCCTGGACCTTTCAGAAATGAGGAAGTGTCTTACACAGCTGTTGGAGTGTTCACATGTAGCTCACCTGAAATCTGATCCCTTTTCCCTCCTTTGGTTTTCTCTGTGGTCCTTATGATAACCATATTCTAAGTATTCTACATTGCTTATTTGATTTTTTGACACTTGATTTGACATATCAGCATAACGGGAATAATGAGACTATCGTGCTACAAAGTTATAATAGAGATTAAATGAGATATCTAAAAAATTGTTATGTCCTACAAAATACCCTTATTAGGACAGGTACTTAAGTAGAAGGCCTTTCTCTGGATACCTCAGAGGCAGCTGGCTGAGTACGTCTGCTGTGCTTTTCTTTACACAGTGTGGAGAGGCCACTGAGAATCTCTGATGACATGTGCTATGGAAGAAAAATTATTCATGTTTTAATTGTAAACTCTAAAATGTTCCTACAGAACAACAACAGTGATTAGCAGATTCCAAAATTTCTAATTTTGGA
The DNA here is from genome assembly GCF_000001405.40 of Homo sapiens. NCBI lineage: Eukaryota > Metazoa > Chordata > Mammalia > Primates > Hominidae > Homo > Homo sapiens. The sequence goes on from NC_000008.11 coordinate 126,990,225, forward strand.
AATAGAAAAAAATCTGAAGGTCATCATTTGAGCTAATTTCACCCGACAGGAATTTGATTTAAAATTTGTTTTATTCCTCGCCAACTTTACCCCTGGTATAGTCTAGCAAGACTTCTCTTTCCTTCTTGTCTACTTGTTTTTAAGGGGTGGGTACGGAGTCTGTTTTTCACTCTGGGAAAGATGCATACTTGTGCCAGAAGGTAAATGAGGCCAGCTTCACTAGCGGTTTTAGCGTCTTTGAAACATAGCCAAGGCTGGATCAGAACCAGAATAAGAATTTCTCAAAGCTGCAACAGACGATAAAAATCCAAAATAGAAACTACCATTGTGATGCAAAGAGGGAAGCAGATGCAATTAGCACAGGAGCCATTCTGGAGGGAAAAAGATGAAGTGCTGAAATGAGTTCAGTGGGTGCTTCATTGATTCCATATTTAGGCATCAGGAGTAGTTGTGCCGTAGCAGCCAGGAGTCATGACCAGATTCCAAAGAGGGGTCCTTGTCTCCAGTCCTGGCCCAAATCTTTCTTTTTGGAGATAATGGTTGAAGTTACATTGTGCAATGATGGATACAGAATCCTAGAAATGACAGTTAGGGCATTAACTGGTAACAGTTACGTAACGGTAACATCCCTACCCTTAGTACAAAAGGTGAGTTGACCTCAGGTAATACGAAGAAAAAAAAAGACCAACGTTTATTAAGAGGCGTTTAGCATAATGGTTATGGGCATGGGTCTGGAGGTGGTTTGTCTGAAGCGAATCCTGGTGCCACTATATAAGAGCCATGTGATCTTGACCAAGTTATTAGGTTGGTGCAAAATAATTAGCCGCTAATGGCAAAAACCACAATTACTTTTGCACATATTTTAAATTATGAGCATCAGTGTTTCCATCTAAAAAATGAGCATAATTATTGCAGTACCTCACAGAGCTATTGTGAAGATGGTTAATTAATCATTGAAAGCACTTAAAACACCAAGTCACTATGCAAAGTTTCTTGCCTAAACCACCTACTTCAATCCTCACAGTTCTGAGGCAGGCTTCACTCTCCCCATTCCATGGATAAGACAGTTAAGGCTCCCAAATCAATGACTAACGTGATGTGTTGTCTAAGGCCTCAGGAGAATATTATAGACTGAGAGGCAGCTCTAGCACAGAGTGGAGATGAGGAGTCTTACAAGGGAAAAAGAAACACTTAAAACAGATTCGTTTCCCCAAAACCAACCCCTACTGAGCCACTGACTCCGAGTTTTCCTTTCTCTGAAGAAATTTAGGAGTTTCTTCCCAGTGGATTTCTACTCCCCACCCCTCCCCCACCCTCTGGCATCCCTCTATCACAACAGTGGCTCAGGACGATTCTGGAAAAACAAGAAAAATTGTAAGAGAGCTCCTTCTTCCCTCGGGAAAGCTCTCTCTGTAAATGAGTCAAATGGGAATGAGGCTGGTTAGTGAACAATCGTCATAAGAGGGTCACTTGAATTTCTAGCTTGCAGGCTTTCTCGTTTGTTTCTAGCTATATTTCAAGAAGTCTGCATTTGTAAGAGAATTCCTAAGACCACAAAAGTTAGAAAGGATGTGAGGCATCATCTAAACAAGCTTCCATAGTTGACAGATGAAAAAGCTGAGGCCCAGGAAAGGAAGGAAATTTCTTAACAGCTTTCACAGTTCCTTCAACAGCAGAGCTCAAGACTAGTGTTCTCACTATCATTCACCACTTCCTTCCCTTTCATCAGACTGAACTCTTGGCAGTTCCCCAAATATATTGTAGCTTCTCAAAAAATCTTAGCTTTGACACATAATATATACTCATCCTTAAATCCCAAATATATTCCCACTTTTCATGTTTTGGTTTTGCTTTGCCTAACACCTCATCCATAGTACTCATATCAAACATCATTTCCAGGGAAACTCATCTCTTATTTGCTCTCACAATAGCCCCTGTTTATCAACCCCACAATCTGATGTTTTTATGTCTTTGTGTATGTCTGCCTTTCCTGGAGGAAAAAGAACACATCTATTTTGTTCGTCGTTCTATTCTTTGTCTCTTGGCATCATCATTGGCATATTAGTACGATGTCAAAAATATTGGATGGATGAATGGATGGGTGGGTGGATGGATGGATGGATGGATGCTTGGGTGGTTGGGTAGATAAATAGGTGAGTGAGTGGATAAATAGATGAATGGGTAGGTGGATGAATGGGTGGGTTACCAAATGGGTGGGTGGATGGATGGGTGGGTGGGTGAGTGAATGGGTGGGTGGGTGGGTGAGTGGTTGAATGGGTGGTGAATGGATGAATGGATACATGTATGTATACATGAATGGACATGTAAATTTTCCTTTGAATGTGTAGGAAATTACCCAAAACATTACAAGTCTCAGATAACATGAATTCTTTCATGATTCCTGCAACACTTTTTATAATATTATTTTCTATGTGATTTGCCTAGCTTATGATCCCCTGATGTTTCTAAAAGCAGGAAGAAATGTGTAATCTGCTCTAGTAGCAGGTGGAAATTAAATGCCCCCTCACTGTGTGCTTTGGTTGAAAGTTTTAACTCACTATAAATATTTCTTCTCAACACCTTTACAGCCCATGGGTATATGTGTGTGCCTGTACACTTACTGATTTATCTCCTTAGACCAGCAGGAGATAAAAAGATAGCAGGAGAACTGTATAGGATTAACAAATGGCCCCTTGGACAGTCAAAAGTTTAGTGCCTTCGCATGAATATATCCTATTTTATGGGGAGCCAATGAGGTCTGGCAAGCTCTAATGTCTGTTTTGGTCAAATACTACTATAATTTAAAATCACTGGTATCAGGAATTCCATGTGATGTGTGCAGCAGCTCAGCCCTGCCTACCTTTCAATTCTGAAGCAAGAAAGAAATGATGCTTCTGGGTTCTCTGAGTGACAGAACAGTAATAGACTGTTGCATTTTGAATTTTATATTTGCCATAATTTTGATTTTTTTTCTTCTCTGACTACTTTCTTTTGTAGTCTCATCAGCTCAGAAGGTCAAAGTTGAGATACTTGTCAAGACAGTCAAAGTGTAGAACAATGAGCCTATGACAGAAGTGAGGCATGATATTAATTGTACATTAAGCTTTATAGGTTTTTGGATCATCCATCCCTCTGACAGTGGTAATAGGAATCCTGAGTGCTATTATATTTCCTTCACAGCAAAGATTATAAAAAGCAAGAGGAATTACATGTGCTTCTACCGCATCTTATCAGCACTCAGGCAAGGTTTACTAATATGTATAATCACAATGACTTCCAAAGGTTCCACCTTGGTACTTCTGTTAATTTAATTCAATGTAACAGACACTTAGTGAGCATCTAATAAGTGTCAGGCATTAGGCCTAGTGCTAGGGATAGAGAAATGAATACACAGATGTGGACTTTGCCAGTAAAAATAAGAAGTAGAGTTGTGTGCAGTGGATTTATATGTTTTAGGCTAAATATGGACTTTTCCTAGAAGAGGGATTCAGATGGCATTTCAGTTCACATTTAGTACTATTTGTGTGACTTTGGGCAAGCCTGTTCTCCCCTCTAGGTTTTACTTTCCTCATTCCTAAGCATAGCACATTTGAGCACAAATATTTCATATTTCTGTCAATCTTTGGGTATCTTAGAATTTGGAATTTATTCTGTTGGAAAAGTATCTGCTAAGGGTGAAACTGAGACCTGAAGTTTTAGTTGAAAGAGTCTGAAGACATAGCAGTGAATCCACACGCTTGAAGTAGCACATATATTGGAGGCCATTTCTTGGAATATCATGGGAAGCAGCACCCTTTATGTTGTCACCATTTCATGAGGGGCTCCACAGAGATTCTTACCACCAGGCTTATGTCAAAGACCTTTACCCTATTCTTTGAAAACGAATTCAGCGGGGAGGAAAACAAATCAATTGTAACTCATAAGTAGCTCAAGAAACCATCCCTCATCTCTTCATGGGTGTTTTCCCCTAGTGCCTTAGGACCAATGTGGTCTATTTTAGAAAAGTTAAAATGCTAGATTTTTCCTTATCATGCACCAAGTGAATCCTTATAATCAATGGGTCCAATTTTCAAGAGTTTTAAATAATCACATTGAGTACTCCTAACTATTCATTGAAGATTCTGTAGATAAGAGATTTCAAGTGCAGCAATCTTAAGAACCTATGTATAATAGTTATATATCTGATTCCATTCTGTGGAGGTTAAAATTATAAGATAAACACAGTGGTTGTACGACTAACATTCACAAAAGCATGCTCATGAGTCTCATCCCAGGGTTTTGTGAGGAGATATTTTTCCCACTGACTTAAAGAAAATCATATATTTTCTACAGCTTCCTGTACACTTAGATTCTTCAAGTATTGTAAAGTGAGATTAGCCAGAGAAACAATAGATTTGGTGAATGGATAATTGGCTGGGGCATGAACTAAGAGTCAGACAGGCTTGGGTATGAAAGTCACTTGAACCTCCTAGTAACTGAATGGCTATGGTAAGTCATTTAACATCTCTGAATCAGTTTTCTCACCTGTATGGTAAGGACAACACTAGTACCTAGTTCGATGGGATTTGGGGAAAGTTAAATAAAATGTTTCTGGAGAGTTAAAAAAAAAATACCAATGAATTATCAACAGACAAAAAGCTTACACATGAGCTGACAATACAAGATCAATTTATAAGTTCAAAAATAAATAATCCATATTATTTTCTTTGTTAAGAGTATGGACCCGTTGCAGTCATTAACTGTTAAACTTTCCTTGCCCGGGTTTGGTTTTATTGGCAGTGATTTCCAATCCTGTTTTCTTCATCTGGAGAGCAAAGACTAGACTAAAGACAGAATCCTTTGACCTTCTGCTGTGTACCGTGGTCTTTCTTTTCAAAGACCACAGAGAAAGGCTGAAGATAAACATCTGGTCTTTTCCCGGCATGATCCCTTATATTTTCACTCAGTTGGTGCAACCCAGCTCCTATTCGAATTCTAAAAGTTCTGTGTAAGAGGTAAATTAGTGCTGCTCCCAATGTGGTCCAGGAATGGTGGTAGTGAGCAGCCATTTGGTTGTTGTTGTTGTTGTTTTATTTTACATTCAGGTGGTACACGCATAGGTTTGTTATACGGATATATTGTGTGATGCTAAGTTTCACACTTCTAATGATCCTGTTGCCGAAGTAGTGAACGTGATATCTAATAGGTAGTTTTTCAACCGGTGCCTCCTTCCCTCTCTGCCCCTTTTCAAAATCCCCACTGTCTGTTGTTCCTATCTTTGTGTCTTTATGTATCCAATGTTCGGCTCCTACTTGTAAGTGAACACATACTTTATTTGGTTTTCCATTTCTGTGTTAATGCACTTAGGATAATGCCCTCCAGCTACATACAAGTTGCTGCAAAAGACATGATTGCATTCTTTCTTATGGCTGCATAGTATTCCGTGGTGTGTATGTACCACATTTTCTTTATCCAATCCAGCATTGATGAGGACCTGGGTTGATTCCATGTCTTTTCTATTGTGAATAGTGAGCTGCCATTTGTTGTCAGTCCATGAGATAAGCCCAGAAATTATATTTAGAAACTTTATAGCAATGTAATAACAGAATGCTTTTGTTTCTATTGAATCTAGTGACACAAATTTTGAGTTTGCATTTTAATACCTTTAAATTTAATTTTTCTAAAAATGCATTTCATTATACTTTATAAAAGCATTAAACCACAATCAGCTGGAATTTAATTTTAAAAAACCTGATTATTTAACTCAGATAACAAGAAAAGCCCTGCTGTAAAACAACATAGACATGTCATTTATTATTAAAACTTTTTGCTATATAATTTCTCAGATCATTTTTTTTCTGTTCAAAATATGTTGTGTGGAATTCAAGTTTAAATTAGATAAAATCAACTAGGCATGGTGGCTTATATCCCACGGTGGCTGTAATCCCAGCACTTTGGGAGCCTGAGGCAGGAGGATTGCTTCAAGCCAAGAGTTCAAGATTAGCCTGGACAACATAACAAGACCCTGTCTCCACAAACAAACAAACAAAAATAATAAAAAAAAAAATAAAAATTAAAAGGGAAAGAGAGAAAAAAGAAAAAAAAAATTAACCAGGCCTGGTGATGTATGCCTATAGTCCTAACTACTTGTGAGGCTGAGGTGGGAGGATCACTTGAACCCACGAGTTTAAGGCTACAGTAAGCCATGATTATGCCATCGCACTCTAGCCTGGGTGACAGAGTGAGACACTGTCTCAGTCGATCACTCAATTAAATAAAATCTTGTGATACTTCAGATTTTAATTTTAATAAAAATAGGTAGAGCATATCAATATTCTACTCCCTGGTGCTGATATTTGGCTGAGTATCTTTGGGACTACCAACCATGGTAAGAAAGTTGAGGAAATTCTACAGGGTTATAGGGTAAATATGATATGCCCACCATCAATCATCATAGGAAGCCGAGGGTGCTAAAAGTGAAGTATAGACATAAGTATGCCCATACTTATACAAAAGGCCAGGTATGAGAGCTCCTACTTTTAGTTAGGAGAGGAAGAATGAAGACAGGGCAATGAAAATGGGATGGATTTCACCAGAGGCATAAGTCAGGACAAGGGTTCCAGTACCCCTTAAAAACATAATCATGTAGACACTAAATGTATGTATCTACATATGTATGAAATATATCACTAGAATGTCTACTTTTCATTTTAGAATATGAGAGTTAAAAGGAATCTAAGAAATCATCTAGTTTAAATTTCATGCTTTACATAAGTGAAAAACAAAGCCCAGCCCAGTGTGTTGATTTGCCGAAAGTCCAGCGAGAAATTGCACGTGAAGACATCCAGCAGGCAGAGAGTATGCTGTGTCTGCCTTATCATTATCTAGTCCATGCCCACTGGACTGGAGCAGTGTTATCTGAAGTTGGTCATAGGTAGTTATTCATGTTTAAAGGATGATATAAAAATGATAAATTTTGCAGGCTATTGGAGAGGCAGCATGATATATTAGAACATGGATTTTTTTCTTTTATTTGCATAGATTTTTAGGGAACAGGTGGTATTTGGTTACATGAGCAAGTTCTTTACTAGTGATTTGTGAGATTTTGGTGCACCCATCACTCTAACAGTATATACACCGAACCCAGCATGTAGTCTTTTATCCCTCACCTACTTCCCACCGTTTCCCCCCGAGTTTCCAAAATCCATTGTATCATTCTTATGGCTTTGCATCCTCATAGCTTAGCTTCCAGTTATGAGTGAGAACATATGATGTTTGGTTTTTCATTCCTGAGTTACTTCACTTAGAATAATAATCTCCAGTTCCTTTGAGGCTTCTGTGAATGCTATTAATTCACTCCTTTTTATGGCTGAGTAGTATTTCATGGTATATGTGTGTGTGTGTAGAATATATATATTCTACACACACAGTAGAATATATATATATATACAGACTGTGCTATATATATATACACACACACTGCGGTATATATATATATATATATATATATACACACACACTGTGGTATGTATATATATATATACACACACACACACACACAGTCGCTTGTTGATTGATGGACATTTAAGCTGGTTCCACATTTTTGCAATTGCAAGTTGTGCTGCTATAAACAGGCATGTGCAAGTATGCTTTTTGTGTAATGACTTCTTTTCCTCCAGGTAGATACACAGTAGTGGGATTGCAGGATCAAAAGGAAGAACAGGGAATTTGGTTCACATTATGATCCACCATGTTTTGACCTTGGACACATTAACCAACCAATCTAATCCAGTTTTCTCATGTCTGGAATAGGTATTATAATTAGCGTTGGCAAAGAAGTTTTTAAAAATAGTATTATTTAAGGACATGACCCAGAGTGAAGCTGACCCTGAATAAGCACTATCCTGTTTAACAAGCTCATCCACGGGGTTAGCAGAAGTCAGGCACAAAAAGCATCCATGTCTCCACATTCCCAATCTGGCCTTTCTGCAGTAGCATGCGACTTCTCTTTTACCCCTTCCCTGTTGGCTGAATTTCCCGCTTCGTCATGTTTATTGCAGGATGGTAGCAGCACAGTCTGATGTGCAGGAATAGCCAGAGCAGGGTAGGAATTTGGGGACACGGGGACACACACCTGTAAGAACTAACTTATTTCCTGCAAGAAAGATGTTTCAGTTTCTAGCCTCTTGTCACTAGAAAATGAAGGTAGGGCTTGTCTAGCATGAATTCAGTGTTTCACCTGGTTGATCTGCTACCAATAGGTCAAATCATTTATTGGGTGTAAAAGTGTGTCTTTTCTTAAAACAAGGTAACTGAAAGATCAAACTACCATCTAGAAATATAAGGTGGGCTTTCAGCAGCCCAGAAAGCATTGCATTAGCTTCATCCTTCATTTGGTCCTGCCAGGAGAAGTTTTGTTTGCCACTTGTAGTACAATATGTAGACGTTGTCCATAGGTGCTATAACAGAAATAACTTGATAAAAGTCTGAAGGCCTTAAAATATCCCTGAGGAAGGGAATACACTGCTCACCATACCATGCAGGAAGCTTATGCCACCTCTTTGCAGTTCTTGTTTTGGGGCAGGGGAGGGGTAGAGTAGGAAGAAGGTGGACTCGATGTCATTGGCACATGCCTTGCATACCAGGAACCCCTGATGACCTTTCATTCCTCGCACATTCCAGGTCTCCTGCCTCTCACTGAGCCACCTTGCCTTTAGAAATGTGTGTTGATTGAGAGCCACAGCTGGGAACATTGTTGGGTAGTTCACGATGCTGTTTAATGTTCAAAGTCATCCTTTGAACCTTACATTGAACTCTGAAGGGTGAAACCTTGAGAAGGTTGGTTTATGTGGCTGCTTCCTCTCATTCTCTCCACTATTGTTGGCAACACTATCTATTACCCTGGGAAGCCATTCCTACTTATGTAGGATATCCTGTTATGTGCCCAGATTCTGTCTTTATAATTTACCACTGGCCACAAATAGAAAAGGAAGGAAATGGATATTCATTTAGAGCTTACTTAGCACAGACCCTCAACACACATTATCTCATTTAGTCTTCATGACAATAGCACAATGTGGAGATTTTTATTCTCATTTTACTTATACGGGAATTAAGGTCTTATACATTGATTTTATTTTCCCAAGGTGACATAGCTAATAAATGACTGAACCAGGAACAAAATTCATGTTTCTAACTCTAAAGTTGGTCTTTCTGTTCTATCATGCTGTATCCTAAGAGAGAAATTCCTTCTAGGTAGCAACAAGCGTGAACAAATAGGTCTTTTTTTCTCATTTGACATATATTTCAATATACAAATGAGCACATATTTATATGTATACGTATAGGATTTATATGTATAGGATCTGAAAACATAGTGATGAAATAATAAAGTTTCTCTCCTTAAGAATTTTAAAAATACATATACATATATTCAGACATATAAATAGGAAATTACACTTCATGATGAAATGAAACCAGTGGTGTGATAGGGGAAGTTTGAGGTGATAGAAGAACACACAGAAGGGGCATCTAACTCAGGATCAGGAAATATTTCAGGAAGAACAGATATATGAACAGAGGTCCTTAGGAAGCATAGGCATTACCCAGAAGATGAAATGAAGATGAGGTTTCAATAAAGGGATCAGTAAATACAAATACCTGGAGATAGTAGAGAACTGTGTATACTGGGGGAAGTGAAAGTTGCTCTATATACATTGTATGGGAAGAATTGTTTACCAGCACATTAGTGCACCAGTCCACAACTAGATACCAGGTTCTGCAGAAATGAGTAAGCCACAGTGCCTCTCCTTTGGCAGTTTATGCTTTTTTGGGAGAAACAGACATGCAGAAAAAATGACTGTCCCAGCACATGCTAACATGCCACAGTTAAAACTATCCCAGAGAGGCCAGGCGCGGTGGCTCATGCCTGTAATCCCAGCACTTTGGGAGGCCGAGGCGGGCGGATCACGAGGTCAGGAGATCGAGACCATCCTGGCTAACATGGTGAAACCCCGTCTCTACCAAAAGTACAAAAAATTAGCCGGGCGTGGTGGCAGGCACCTGTAGTCCCAGCTACTTGGGAGGCTGAAGCAGGAGAATGGCATGAACCTGGGAGGCGGAGGTTGCAGTGAGCCGAGATCATGCCACTGCACTCCATCCAACCTGGGAGATAGAGCGAGACTCCGTCTCAAAAACAACAACAACAACATCAACAACAAAAAACAACTATCCCAGAGATAGGGAATACTAGAGTGAGAAGAGAAACGAATTTATACATGTCAGGGAAGGGATACAGAATCAAAAAAGCTTCAGAGAGACTCTGAAGACTTCTGAAGACTGAACAGAATTTGAAGGGTTGAAGAGGGACCCACCAAGGAGGGAAGCCAGGAAAGTATATTCCAGAAAGACATGGCATTTTCAAAGGGAGTCCATGTAGGATGCTTTTCTTAGAGGTTTGCAATTAAATCATTAGTCATCTCCTTTGGTGTATTTATTTGAATACATTCTTCACCAGGCAGCAAAGAGGATACAAGATGACATCAGTGTGTTCTTATTAGAAGTTATAATTCTAGTCCTTTGAATGTTCCCATTTGACTGGAAGTGAGTAAAAAAAGAATCTTGAAGAAAACAAACTTTTAAAGGAAATAGGCCCTCTGACTCCACCAGCGTTGGACTTGGAGTCAATTATCACAAAATTCTAGGCTCTATAAAAATCAAGAGTTCTATCTACTTACCTTTTTCACTTCTAGGTTCCCCACACCTAGCTTAGTGTCTGGCTCCTAGTACATGTTCAAAATATTAATTGAATAAAGGAAAAAGTAAGAGTAAATTTTAACCTTGTAGAGGTCCAGTTTTCTCATCTGGAAAAATTAGATGATATTGTCTGCTGAACCACATAGTATCTGGACTCAGCCTGAATTTGAATACTGCTCCTTACCACTCATTTCCCTTTGAGTAAATTAACTTTTAGGTAACTTCTAGACCCTCATCTGTAAAATAGAGTTGACATTAGCTCCTCAGAGATAGTGAAGATAAAATATAGTTTTATATAAATGACTTAGAACAGGGCTGGGTGCATATAAAGTTCTTAGTAAATATTAGCTAATGTTATAATAATTCTTAAAAGATTATTTTCCAAAAAATGGTAAAATTATAAATCTCATACAAACATAAAAGTGAATACATGTGAAAGATTTTATTTAACTCATTAATGTTGAGACTAATGAGGTGTTACAATCAGTTCAAAGGAGATTCCAAAGTACAGACACATTTATAATCAGGAATGTTGAAATTAATGAGCAAAGGGAGGAAAGACTAACCTCTTGCACATTGGGGAGGGAAATCATTTGAATCTTCACTGGATAAAATTGATAAAATTTAACTGTCTATGGACAAGAATCATTTTGCATTGCCATCAGTTGTCTATAATGTACACAGTTGTAAAACAGCTCCCATAGAAACAAAATTAGATAACTGGGAAGAGTGTGATATAGATATTACATTGTTTTCCATTGAGATAGAACATTTCTCTATGTTGTTATTATTATTACATACCTAACACCATTAATGTAGGAGTTACATGAGATTATAATGTAAAGATGCTATGTAAGCAGAAATGATTCTCATTTTTTTTCTACTTTTGATACTGGTCCCTTTTAGTATTTTAATATCATTATTCTTTTTTAGCATATGTTTGGGAATTATTAATATATTTCATTTTAAAAATAATAGTTTTTTTGCTTCTTTGATTATAAGAATATTATATGTTCAGGGCAAAAAAATCAGTCAATATAAAAAGGTACAAAGGAAAAGGTAAAATCAGTAATCCACCATCAAAAGGTAACCATTGTTAATACTCTCATATATATATATATTTGGGAGCAGACTACACGTTCTGCTTTGTAATTTGATTTTTTCACATTTGATAATTCATCATGTACATTGTATTATGTATCATGTGTCATGATACAATTTATCATGTTATTTTATTTTTATTTTTATTTTTTGAGATGGAGTCTCTCTGTCACCCAGGCTGGAGTGCAGTGGTGTGATCTCAGCTCACTGCAACCTCCGCCTCCAGGGTTCAAGCAAGTCTTCTGCCTCAGCCTCCCGAGTAGCTGGGACTACAGGCACCCGCCACCACACCTGGCTAAGTTTTGTATTTTTAGTAGAGACAAGGTTTCACCATATTGGCCAGGCTGGTCTCGAACTCCTGACCTTGTGATCTGCCCGCCTCGGCCACCTAAAGTGCTGGGATTACAGGCATGAGCCACTGCACCTGGCCATATTTTTACATTAGTGAAATGTCAACGTATTTTTAAAATAAATAAATAAATAATATTTTCATGTGTTTAGAATATTTTATTAAGCCACTCAACAACATTTGTCAATCAGTAGTAGCACAAGCTGATTTCTTTGTCCTGTACTGGCTCTTTCCATTTGTTCGCTCAAAAAGAAACACCGGACATGCAAACAAGAATTTGCATTTTGCCAGAGACTTGATCTATGTGCCTAGGCAAGTTTAATCTCTCTTTTCTATCTCTTCATTTCCTTAGGGGTAAAGTAGAACTTATTGTGGTGAAAGTACAAAGCAAGTTTCTGAGATTGGACTCGAGCAGCTTACAGATCAAAGATCCCACTATTGGCCTTATGAAAGCTGAAAATCTCTGGGTACCTGATGCTCCTTCAGCCATCAACAGATATGACCTCTCCTCTAAGAACCTGAGAGGAACAATAGGATAAATAGCAAGGGACAAAATGTGATCACATCCCATCACAATGGGAGTTGTTCCCAAGTTGATTTGTCTCCTCCACATGATGTGTCTGCCTCTTTCTTACATGTCAGCTAGCTCAAGAGGTCCTAAAGCAGAAACATCTGATTCACCTATCTCTTGTAACCATCAAAGTGTCTGATGCATAATAACTAATGTTATTGTATAATGAGTGAATGAACAAATGACTATAGTGAGGTCAGTTTTCACTCATGATACAGCTCTCAAAGAACCTGACGGTCAGGCGCGGTGGCTCACACCTGTAATTCCAGCACTTTGGGAGGCTGAGATGGGCAGATCACGAGGTCAGGAGATCGAGACCATCCTGGCTAACACAGTGAAACCCGGTCTCTACTGAAAATACAAAAAACTAGCTGGGCGTGGTGGCGGGCACCTGTAGTCCCAGCTACTCGGGAGGCTGAGGCAGGAGAATGGTATGAACCTGGGAGGCAGAGCTTGCAGTGAGCCGAGATCACGCCACTGCACTCCAGCCTGGGTGACAGAGCGAGACTCCATCTCAAAAAAAAAAAAAAAAAAAAAAAGAACCTGACTAAAAGTTCCATAATTTCCTAATTGGAGGAGCTTCCCTCCTCCACCTGCGGTCCCCAAACATATACCACCATCAACTGAACCTCTCTGACTAGGAAGAAAAAAATGTGACCTGAACTCTTCCACTTTCTGCCACCTCAATTATCTACTTCCATTCAGTGATTGAAGATTGAAAATGAATTTGATTACCACAGACTTTTCTGTTGGCTCTTTCTTTCCTTCTTCCTCTTTCCTCCACTCCTGATGTTCATACTCTTCTTGCTTCTCCCTTTGACTACCCAAGATCCTCCTAGGGAACCTCCAGTGCCCCTGCTTGCAATCTATTCTCTACAAGGGGCAAGGGCAATTACTGAAAAGCTCAGATGTGACTATGCTGTTTCCTGATTAACATTTTATGAATAATCTCTTTTGCGTATGGCTATAGTTCTCAAACTTGTATCAGAATCACCTGGATATGGAATTAAAACATCGATTCCTAGAACGAGCTCTCATAGTTTCTGACTCAGTAGGTCTGGGGTCAGGCCTGATAATTTCATTTCTGACAAGTTCCTAGGTCCTGTGGATCTTTTGAGAACCACTATTTTATGATAATAAATCAAATTCTTCAGTGAGAAATTTATTGAGCTGTTTAGGATATTCTTGTATTTATACTAAATCAATTTACCTTTCTAGATTAATCTTCTAGTACTTCTACTATTTCTTCTCTCACTGAGGCAAGCATGGTTTTCCTTCTAGACACACCAAACCAACAGCTATTCTCTATATATTCCTTATTCTTTATCGGTTCTGCTTGATATGTAATGTTCTTCCTCATCGACGTTAATCTGTAAAGTTTTGCTTATACTTCACGACCCAACGCAAATAACCAAAATTAGTTTTGAAATAATCTTGAGCCCTCTATGAGCTACCTCTAGCTCCACACACCAAGATAGAATAACTGACAACATTCTCTGTCTATTCTTCATTCTTCCTCCTCCATAAAGTCCTAAATTAGAGATGTTCATTTCTATGCCAATGTACTTAGCTCAGTTATAAAGTCCTTGAAGGCAGGATTTCTTCCTTCCTTTTTTTCCTCTTCTCTCTCTTTCTTTCTTTTTCCTTATGAATTATATAAGCTAACCAAGTCACAGAATGAATGATCCTAATAAAATATTTATGGAATTTAGTCGAATTTAAGAAACACTTTAGTTTAGGGATGAGCTATCAGATCAGCTCCTAATATCATTTATTCTCCTACATGGGCATTCAGGGAAGAATTAGGTAAATAGTTGGGCAGAAATAGAGTCACAAGAAAACTTTTTTTTTTTCTGGGCAGGTAGTCATAACCAGAAGTGGTTTTATAGGAGCAACACATGTGAAGACAGAAGTCATGACTGCCAACTGGCTCCTTAATATCTACGTTAGGATAGAGGGCAAAGTTAAATGCAACAAGTACTACTACTAATAGTAATATGTTCATATATGAATACATATCATTGTTAAAGTCTTGATATACATCAAGCCCTGTGCTACATACAAAGTATAGGCCATTATATGTGGAACAATGAAGAATTTCTAGCTTAATCAAAAAATCATATGTTTCAAAAACATACCAGGAGTCACAAATTTTCCAGGGATTTCTCTAAATTTCTTGAGAGTCAAATGAGTCACTTTTAAACTGTCTATGGTGTCATGATCTTGATTAATGTATTTTATTCAGTTGTTAACATATCTAAGCCAGATCTTCATTTGTAAATGCCTTTGGATAGTATTCAAGGAAGTCGCTTTCCTGCATCTTTTGTAATATTTATAATTTTACCTTACAGCTGATTTTTTATCATTCAGTAGAAGTTTTAACTCATAAAAGTGAAAATGTATCTTAATAATTAACTTGAAACGTAAGATTGACATTTCTTTCACCAATCTTTGAATAAAGAGCAGAGTCCTTGCCTTTGATAATGAGCCCATAAAATAGAGTTATGTGTCATCTTTCTTTTATAAGCCACACCCATAATACAGTAATACACTTATCTGTAATTTTTAGTTCTTTTTCTGAAAGGAAAGAAAATGTAAAAAATATAAACAGCAATCAAAAGACAAAACCCCTCAAGAGTCTATGTTCTCTCCAATCTATTACAATAGTGTTGCAATAGCACTTTTGGGAGCGTTATTTTTATCAACCCTTCCAAAATATTGACTTATCAAAATCATATTTCATGTGTTTACATAACCTTTTATTAATCAGTTAATTCCAGTAGAATAAATGAGCTTGGGAGTCAATATGACTGATTCTTGGCACACGTAAAATTTAACTGCTAAGGATAGAAGTGTAAGGGATTACTAGAAACTGGCCCACTAAACACCAGCATCAGATTATTGTAGAACTCAGAGTGGCTTGGAGAGCAGTGCTGGAGGTCAGTTAAAAGAACTTCAAGGCAGGAAATCCCAGGCTTATGAGGATTAAACTTTAGGGTGATACAAAAGGAATTCTCAATAGAAATTGTACTTTGAGTACTGATACAAACATTCTGCTTTTCACTTTCATTATAGTATTCAATAAAGTATGAGAAGAAGTTCAACACTTCATTATAAAAAAAGTGTCATGTTACATGATTTTGCCAAACTGTAGGCTACTGTGAGTGCTCTGGGTACATTTAAGGCAAGCAAGGCTAAGCTACGATGTTCAGTAGGTTAGGTGTATTAAATGCATTTTCAACTTAACATTATTTTCAACCTACAATGCGTTTATTGGGATGTAACCCCATTGTAAGCTTAAAGGCATCTGTACTTCACATATTAGCCTCAGGACATTCCTATGAGGTTGGTGTTATTATTTGAGAGTGATGATTCCATTCTCTCCCTTTCAGTGTTTCTCAGTAGGCCCATAAAATAAGAACTTTTGTCTTCTTGGAAATATTAAGAGTATGCTAAAATCTTTAATTTTCTCTCCCCTATGTACTCACTCTACTCCAAGGGGCACTGGTATTAGAGAGATTAGCCAAGGAACCCTGAGCACATGCAGCCTAACTCTCTTCTCCAATCTCTTTTAGATCCAGCCACCTCTTGGGATGCACACGTTTCTCTTCAACTGCGTGATGTGAACTGCGTCACATGGTAAGAGAGCTCAGCTATTGATCAATGGCTTTACCAGTCTTTAGTTCACTCAAATCTAGGAAAGGAGCTGACAGCCTATTTTGTCTTGGGGCCTAAGCAGGGTTCTCCGTTCCAGATTTACCAGCAAAGGTCCATTTCTTTTCTTTCTTTCTTTTTTTTTTTTTTTTTTTTTGAGATGGATTCTTGCTCTGTCGCCCAAGCTGGAGTGCCGTGGCACCATCTCAGCTCACTGCAACCTCTGCCTCCCAGGTTCAAGCAATTCTCCTCAACTTCCTGAGTAGCTGGGATTACAGGTTCCTGCCACCACTCCTGGCTAATTTTTTTGTATTTTTAGTAGAGATAGGGTTTAACAATCTTGGCCAGGCTGGTCTTGAACTCCTGACCTTATGATCTGCCCGCCTTGGCCTCGCAAAGTGCTGGGATTACAGGCTTGAGCCACCATGCCCGGCCGGTCTGCTGTCTATTTCTTAATTGGCTCAGAACTTGAAGGAAAAAATGGTGTAATGAATATTATACAATGTCAACCTTATTTTTATTCTACCCACCATTTTCTTCATAGCTTAGGTGTATTATCTTATTTTATTTTGAAAAATCCCAAAGAGGTGGACACTACTATTGTTTTAATTTTACAGATGAATTTAAAAATAGCAGAGATTAGATTACTAAAGTTGAGATTTATATAGCTGGTAAGAAAGAAGACTGAAATTTGAATCTATTATTCATTTGTTCAGTACTTTAGTATTGGACTAAAATACCGATAAATCCATAAGTCCACTTTGGTACTATACTTATGCTTGCTGGAAATATATGCATAAAATAGTTATAGTTGTTATCTAAGTGAAATTTATAGCTTAGGGAGACTATATTAATTATATATTAATTTAATTATCATAAAAGTAGTTATGTAATTACAAGCTGCAATAATGTCTTCAAAGACCATTCTCTTAATCACTGTAGTATTACTATCTTGCCTTGACTTTGAGATTTTCTAGTGCTGGAATTAATATTATTTCATCTTTTATTGTCTTGTTGAAACATTCCATCATTCTTATTTGGTTGTTTTATTATGATCAACTGACATATAAGCAGACCTGAAAAACACTTGCTTGGGAAGATCATGATGGAGATTCTTGGAAATCTCCTTGCTATTACTGGTCCCCATCCTACTATAGTATCATCCTTTAAGAGGGACAGAATTGTTCCTAACATCTAGATCATGAAGATGAATTCCCTAAAAGAGAATTTTAATTACAGAAAAAAATAAAAACTTAGAGGTCATTCATCTGAGCTTTTTATTATGTTATAGAAAAAAAAAAATCCCAAAGGCTCGGGGAGGTTAAATAATCCATTGAAGATCACATGGTCTATAGATGTAGACTATTAAGACTGGGACAACAGGCTCCCAGTCCAAATAACTACAGTATCTTTTAAAGCATTAACTTAAGTTCTCTAAACACTGAATTTAGCTAAAGTCAGATCCACTCCTAAGAAGAAGTTGTGGTAAAGCAAAATTCTCAGTGTTCTTTAATTGACAGATGAGAAGAGTAACATGAGGTAGATATTTAGTTTTACCCTTGGAGTAATTGCCCAGTATGAAATCTCAAGTATATTATGTGATTTTTTCCCTCCTTTGTTGAAGTATAGAGAGTAGTTCTTTATAAGAGAGATAGTTAATTAAACATACTTCCTCATTTGCTCAGCTTATTCATTTGTGAAAAGAGGACAATGGTATACAACCACTAAGGATATGATGAGAATTAAGTGATGAAATGTATGTAAATGATTTAGCACAGTACTTAGTACATATAAAATATGCAGTAAATGTTAACTTGTGTAGGTGCGTTGTTGTTGTAGTGCTGTCTTCTCACTATATTCGAATGTAGAGCTTCAAATTAATCATTTTAATTTTCAATACGAGGATGGGGGACAAGGAAGGAGGAAATGGTGCATACGTTTTAACACAAAGCTCCTGATGGGAATTCAATTGCACTTCAAAACCAACTTCTTTGAAAATCACTGCTTTATTCTTTATTACATTTTCATATCTATTTCTGTGTCTCACCTGAACTTTATATAAAATGTGTTTAAGAGTTGGTACACACAACAGTTAGAATTATCATAATTTGGCAAATGAGTAAACAGAATCAAGATTAGTAAATGCAAGAGTGGTCTTGTCTAGACTTCAATTTTCTTTAGCCCTAGTCAGCTTCTCCTTTCTAGATGGTAGAACCAAGCAAAACACTATCTTCATTTCAGCCCCCAGGCAAAGCTTTTCAGTTTATGGAAAACTTTCCCCTAGTCCATTCAAATTCTCTGGCCACCCTCGCCAACCTCTCATTTCCATTTCGATTTTTCTGACTTCAGGCCCTGCTTGATGAAGGCAAAATGTTTTCCCCAGCAATTAGTTTAGCGGAAACTTCACATTTGATATTGTGGCAGACAATGTTTCATTATGCTCTCTTGATCTAAACAGAGAAATCACTGTTCCTGAAGGTGGCCAAAGCACACTCCAAAGGGTAGTGTTACTGAGTTACAGCCCAAGAATGGAGACCACAAGGGAGGCTAGACTCCATTGAGAAAATGCATCAGCGAGTGTGGGTATATAGGAATGCTTAACAAGAGATATTATGATCAGCATCAATAGATGTGTGTTTTATGAATAAGAAGAATAAGGGTATTCATGTTCCTAAAGTGCTTCAAAATCTCTGGCTGAAATATACTCTCAAGGTTTACATCCACGGCTCTCCCTGAAATAATATGCTGTTTCCCTGCAGGAAATGTTGAGTCAGTTTCCACAGGCCCCCACACACTGGTGAGAAGTTATGTCTTAATTGTTCTAAGATCCCGAAACTCTGTTTTGTAGCATTCCTTCAGCAAAGCAACCTAAAACCTGTAGTTAAAATTATTTCAGACTCTCCATGCCTGAAACATACAGAGTCATCAACTATGAAGTAAGTAAATATGTAGTTTTCTCTTTGAGGGTAGTGGGTTTGAAGAAATAAACAGGTAAAAGGATAAGAGAAAAACATTTTGAATGGAGGGGTCAGATGATGGAATGACTTGAAGGCAAAAAGCATCGTGGCTGTTGGGACATGAACTATAGGCAGCAAATGGCTGAAAACAAAGTTGCAGAAATAGGGGTCCATTCAAAGCACCTTGAATGCCAGATGAAATCCTAATCAACCAAAAAGACTGGCTTGATGTACATTAAGCTTGTATTATACATTTACATCTATAATTTACATATTCTGCTAAATGATTTTATTAAACTGGAACTTCTATATCCAGCTTCATTCTTCTAATACTCCTTAATGTATTCCCAGATAAATGAAACTTTGAATTTATTAATGTTAAAATAATACTAATAATCAGAACAACTTGTAATTAGACTTATTTAATCATCATGATATCACTGAGGACAAGGCACCATTGGTTTTTCAATTTCTGCTTTTCAGATGGAAATCCTGAGGCTTAGAGAATTTAAATGACGTAGGATGTGGCATAGCATGTCTCCTTGAGATGTTCCTAGCTATGATCATTGATTTATTTGGAGGTCTTTGAGTGTTTCTTTCGGGGACTCCCCCTTGCATATATTTAATAAGTTACACTATACTCCAGGCTCAGCTTGTGGTCACATACTCACTTTACCTCTCCTCCTTCTAGATTTTCTTAAAAAACATAATCTACAAACCAACCTGATCTTCTGCATTGAGATCAAATTATAATATTTTTTAGTCAAGATGTTTGGCATTATGGTCCTTTTCATTTGATAAATTTCAGCCTGATGTGTCTGGATCATTTTTTCTACTGATATTGTCTCCTGTCATGTTAATGATTTCCTATACCTATGGGACACCCTTGTAACCAACCATAAGGCTCTAAAGGAATGAGAAGTTGAATGGACCCATTTTTCCAAGAATTAGTGAGGTGGGGCATTTCTCAGACCTTGGAGAGATGGAGAACACCGCCGCCAAAGAAAGGTACTTGGGTCATAAGGAGTACGTTAAAAATGTAGCCAAAATAAACAGCAAACCTCACAATTTTGCCACTGTTTAGATTTGCCAACCTCTGAGAAAGCCTGCCTGCCTTCACTCTGAAGAGAGCCAAACATTAGTGATGGAGAAAAGCAGAATCCTTTGTATTCATACTTAGAGCTAGGATTTACTTATAGTTAACCCTGTACATGTAAGTAGTTCAATCACACCACCCATTTTGCTACTTTCAGAGTGAGTAATTACCTCTTTGTGGTCTCCAGGGAACAGG
Organism: Homo sapiens; assembly: GCF_000001405.40. Taxonomy (NCBI): domain Eukaryota; kingdom Metazoa; phylum Chordata; class Mammalia; order Primates; family Hominidae; genus Homo; species Homo sapiens. The sequence continues at coordinate 127,010,882 of NC_000008.11, forward strand.
AATTTGAGAGTTCCTTTATTCATGTGCAGTTCCTTTATTCATCACCAGGCACTGGGAATAAAACAAGGAAGAAGACAGACCTTTTGCTTGCCCTCAAGGATGTTACTGTCCAAAAGAAACTTAACAGAAAACAGGAATAGAAGTTCTAAGAGGCATTGTTTGGTCAATGTCATTTGATGTAATGGGACTTTCCTTTGTTTCTATTTACCTCCCTTTAAGTTGTCTTGGTAAATGGATTTTCCAAGTTGTCTTTCTATGAGAAAGTATGCTGTGAATATAAGAGGTAATTTTATTATCTTGGCTTTGTTTCTAGTTATGCAAAAGTAAATGATGAGCTTTTATATTTAAAATTTGGAAAGTTTAGGAGTGAGAGATAATTAACTAATTCCTTCTAACCTCATCTCCCCCTAAATAAGGCAAATTTGCTTGTCTTGAAAGTACTTTTAGTTATCAAAACATTGGCCTTCTTCATGGTTTTTGGATCCTGACAACTATCAAAATGTGGCAAGCAGCCCATACCTGCCTGGCAGGAAGTTATATTTAGTAAGTACTGTGTGAAGCTTTATTTTCCAGTTTCAAACATACTCAACCCTTGTTGCTCAGTTCCAATACTCATGCTTCCAAATAAAGAGAGTTTCTGGAATTCTCGTACGACTGGTAGATAACTTGACAAAGTTTCTCACCAAGTTCAGAATAAGCTGACACCAACTGGTTCCCTATTATTCATAGTCAGTCTATTTTTGTTGTTTGGCTAGTTAAACAAGTCTATTTGTTGTCATTCCTTTGTTTGTCCATCAGTTCAACCAATGTCCCAAGGTGAGTCTTCTGGCATTTAAAATCACATAGAGAAGGGGGGTGGGGGTGGAGGAGAGAGAGAAAGAGAGAGAGAGAGAAAGAAAGAATTCTGATGCGAGACTCAGCCAGTGTTTACTCAATTGTCTCACCACAACATGCAGAATGGTACCTCAAAATTATATTAAAAATCTGATGTTGTCCCAGCATTCAATCATACTGTCAAATTTGTTTAAGAATTCAGAATTTGTCTCCATACTTTCTTTCCTTTCAGATTTGCTTTGTTCCTAAACATTCTTGAGTAGTAATGAAGTCTAGGATCTCACAATATGCTAGTTAATTTCCAGCTCCTTCCCCTCCTCTTCTGATGTCTCTACTTTCTTTTCTTTTCTTTTCTTTTTTTTTTTTTTTTGAGACAGAGTCTCGCTTGGTTGCCAGGCTGGAGTGCAGTGGCATGATCTCAGCTCACTGCAACCTCCACCTCCCAGGTTCAAGCGATTCTCCTGCCTCAGCCTCCCGAGTAGCTGGGACTGCAGGTGCGCACCACCATGCCCAGCTAATTTTTGTATTTTTAGTAGCAATGGGGTTTCATCATGTTGGCCAGGATGGTCTCAATCTCTTGACCTCATTATCTGCCTGCCTCACCCTCCCAAAGTGCTGGAATTACAGGCATGAGCCACTGTGCCTGGCCTCTCTACTTTCTCAATAGTTGCATAACCTTGGAAAGATTATTCGATATTTCTGAACTTCAGATCCCTCATGTGTAATATGAGAATAGTAAATTATCTGCTATATCCATTTCAAAGGGTTGTTGTGAGGAATGAATAAGATTACAAATAACTTTTCCAATAGATGTACTGAATTCATACCTCGAGTAGAGCAAGTACTCAATATATTTTGGATGGTTGAATGAATAAACGAATGAATGAGAGCAATATATAAAGGAAAAAGTTGTATACACTGTAAACTAGGACACACTGGTAGTTCTTACATGAAGAAAATAAACTGTAGGACTCGTCAAAGACTTTTTTATTCATAGTGTTTTCCATGAGGGAGATTCTTGCAGAAACATTTCCTGGGACTGGACTTCACAGAACATACTCTAGCTAACTGTGATCAGGCTGGTCAATGACAATGTAACAGACTCTTGAGTTGGGCTTTGCTTGTTGCTCCAAAATTGTGAGTAGACCCCAAAGCTGAAGATAAGAAATCATTAGTGCCCTAAACATCTATATAGAGCTACAAATAATCACAGAAATCTTCCTTGGGTGTTCATTCAAAAGCACTTCAGCAGTTCTGCTGTTTCTGACAATCAGCCCGGGCACCTAGTCACTTCCCATATCAGTCAATGTAAAAAGACACTTTGAGTGGAAGTAGAAGGAAGAGCAAATTTGTCATAGTCTTGAGTTGGACCAATAGAATGTCCAGTGAAGTTGTTCTGTACTTTTCTGAAGCCAAGAGGAGGGAGTGGCTCCGAACCACACATGGATATTGGATATCTGCATAGGCAGCTTGCTCCACGCCGGTGCCTACCTGTGCAGATGGGAAGGAAAGGAAAGTGGCAAGGAGGCAGAGAAAGCATCTGTACCCTTACAATTTGGTGAGACAAGAATGTATGAATTCCCACAGGTCAAATTATAATGAAGAAAGGAACCTCTCTTGAGTACAAAGAGCTACCTATGGTGGTCTGGAGCCGGAGGACCACAGCATCAAAGGATATAAGATGCATAGCCAACTGAGGAACCTGAGCAATTAAAGAGATCCACAGTTAAGTCACACTTAACTGGCACTTGTGGAAGCCCCGCAAGGCCTGAAGGAGAGCTGACATAGGCACCCCAGAGAGCCAGAATCTGGATCCCATCTTAATAAGGCCATGAACACCAGTGGAGAAGAGGCAGAAACACCAATGGATAAGGAACATTCACATCTTTCTTCCCATGTGCCTCTAAGTGCCAGTGCAGGCCCCACAGGCCAAGCTACAGGGAGAAAGGAGATGACGCAAAGGAACCTAACTGGACTTTAATCACTAGAAGTGAGAAGAGAAATCTATTGGAACCTCCCAAGATAATGCCAAGGGTCAAAGGGTGCGCAGATACATAAGGTAAGCCCTTCGGTACTTATAAATTTAAAAAAATAAACAGTTGTGGAATGAAGTACCTTAGAAAGGATGAGTTCCCTGTCCCTGGTAGTTTGTAAATAGTTGATGCAGCATGGAGTAGTGGGGATGTGGCCCAAGTTAAGTAACTTAGGTATCCCAGATGGTCATGACATATTCTCCGCTTGAGTCATAACTCATCCCAATGTCCAGTTTTTCAGCCACTCTGCCCAGACTTCAAGGTGGAAAGAACTCAGCACTTACCCAGTCCCACTACCTGTTTCCGCATAATATGCCCTCTAATTGTTCAGCATCAGATTTAATATCACCCAAAGAGTAAGAAGATGCCTGCACAAGACTGTCCATGTGTGGGTAATTTAACAGCTAAGAATCATCGTCATCCTGCAGTGAAAGCTGTCCTTGGAGCTCCCATCTTATACTTTTCTTTTGATTCCACAGCCCAGCTAAAATTAGTATTAGCAAATATTGCTGGTGCCCTGCCTTAAATGGAGAAATATGGAGTTATCTGTGTAGAAGTTATAAAATTATAGGGAAGAAAAGCCCAGCCATTTCAAAATCACCAGTTATTTTATCATTTGACAGATACTTTCTACTAGGATGTTGAAATGTCTTCTGAGCTTAAATAGCATCCACTTTTAAGATTCGTAGAAAGTCAGATAGCAAATATTTTGGGTTTTGTGGTCCATACATCCTCTATCACAATGACATGACTATGCCATATTAGTGAAAAAGCAGCCATAAACAATACATAAATGAATGAGAACAGCTGTAATTCTAGTAAAACTTTATTTACAAAAGCAGGTACCAGGTTGGATTTGACTCCTGCGCTATAGTTTCTGAGTCCTATACTAGAGAATTTGGTAACTGGAATGTTTAAAGACATTGGATTTTTATCACTATTATTAAAAATGCATGATTATTATTTTTAAAAATTGCAATACAGAGAAACATAAAGAAAATTAACAATCATCTTTAGATAATCATTATGAAATCAGTATATTGTCTCTCAGTTTTTAATGAGTTGTTTTATATACTCTGAGTCTGCTGTTTAAACAATTTTATATCTTGTTTTTATCCTTAGCATGACATTGTAAGCTTTTAATACGTTATTTTAAACTCTGTGTTGGCATTATTTTTAATGGCTATATAACATTTCACTGAGTAAATATTCCAAAGTAGAAGTTACATAAGCAAACATCCCTCCTCTATTAACTATTTAAGGTTTTCCCAATGTTTGTCTTGGAAAAAATACTACAGGGAAGCACAGGCATACATTTTCCCTTGTGTTTTAAATTATTTCCATAGGTTGGTCTTTAAGAAAAGGAATTATTGAGTAGAGGTTTTGAACACTTGAAGGTTTTTATTATATACTACCAAATAACTTTCTAAAGGGGCTCATTCTCATCTACATTCCCAACAGTTATGTATAACCAAGCTTACTTTAGTGAATCCTCTGCATCATCAGGATTTACCATTAAACTAAAAATACCCATGTTACATTATGTAAAAAATGTTATTGTTTTAATTCATATTTTTATATTGGACTTTTCCCCATGTTTATTATTGACTTATTATTTTCCCTTTGGTGACTTTCATATTCATGACAACAGCATTTTCTAGCATTAATTAATCTTAGGAAGAAACATAGGTGAACGAGATTTTCTTAATAAAAATAAGAGCTATGAATTGCTGAATGATACATACCAGACAATTATATATAATTTTGTGTGTGCATATAATTTTATCTAATTTTATTTAAGCCTCACAGTGATATTATACTGCTGATATCAACCCTTTTTGTGCAGTCTGATATCCCATGTATGTTGAGTGGCACATAAAGTTCAGAGAATGGATTTAGTTGACATTTGCCCCAAATGTCTCTGTGTTTCCTCCCAATAACACTAGCCCACAATAATTAGGCACTTAGGTCTAGGGAATGCCCCAAATATTGTATACATATTATCTCAGTTCAATCTCAAAATAACTCCATAATGTAGGTATTATTTTTACTATTTTACCAATAAGGAAGCAGAAGTTCTGAGAGAGTACTTTATGTCAGTTAATATGACTTGTAAGTGGTATAGGCAGGGAGCTGGTGCACCTGCCTCCAAATCCCAACAGTAAGCACGGCTACTGTGAAGCCTCTTCCTTCTTCCCTGTTCCCTGGGTTTTGGATTCTTGGTCCTGTACCCCTTTCTCAATCTGTTTTTTATACCTGTTTGGGGATGCCTCATTGGGCTTCTTGGTCTTCAGCTTCTAATATGGCTGCATTTTACTTCCTCCTCTAGTTTTGCCATACATGTGCATGCACAGACATGCACACCACACATGCATGCACACACACACACACACACAATCTCAGATGACAAAACTTTGTTCCAGAATGCTTCCTACGGGAGAGGAGACACAGCCTTAAGCAGTAAGCTCTTTCTATGTAGAACTTCTTCAGTAGAAGAACTCAAGCATTAAAATATTGAAAATTATCTTCTTCTAGATAATTTACATAAATAAGATGGGTCCAGATTTAAACATTAACAGGGTGAGATCAGATTATGTGATTTTCATAAGATTGGTGCTCTAGTTTACATGTGTGAGGGCCTTTGTAGTCAAATCTTTTTCTCTATGCAAATGAGCTTCAAACAAACAGCACTGCTGATCCCCAACCTTCGGATTCTCTTTTATGCCCTTTTAATTTCCCTTTTGGCCCACGTCAAGAACCACATATTTGAATATCATGTAGGATTTAGTTTTCAAATTTGGTTGTGGCTTGTACTTAGAAAAACTGCTTGATACTGGAAAGGTATACTTCTGCAGTTTGTGTTTACTTACAAGTTCAAAGAGCTCTTTTCTTGTTTCAATCTAGTCTCTTTTCAGAGTCTGGATAATGTTGGACTCATGCTTACCAAATAGGATGTTGCTGAAGCATCCCAAATGGTCACGATGGATGTTCTACTTGACTCATAACTCATCCTAGATCCCAGTGTTTTAAACGCCTGCCTAGACTAGAAGGTGGAAAAGACATGCACTTACCCAGACCCATTGCCTGTTTCCTCATAATATGCCCTGAAAGTGCATGTCCAGTGTCAGATTTAATACCACTTAAGGGGAATTGGGCAAGACCATCCCATATCTGGATAACGCAACCACTAGGAATCATCCTCATCTCTCAGTGAAAGCTGTCCTTGGAATTTCCTTCTTGCACTGTTCTTTTGAACTCTACATTTTGCAAGCTAAATTTGATAACAGCAAATATTGCCAATGCCCTGGCTTAAATGGAGAAATTTAGAAATATTTGTGTAGAAATTATAAAATTGTACAGGAGAACTGACCACCTTGAAATCTCCAGCATTTTTTCACTGGACAGGCCAATTTTACTAGGATACTGAAACATTTCTCCAGGTTGAATACCATCAATTCTCAAGCTGTCAGGCTATGTCATGGCCCCATTCAGAGAAAAGTGATGGCCTCATAGGCTTCCACTTTGGTCAAGCTGGTGGCCCCACGTTCACCTCCCTGGACCCATTCTCAGCATTCTGAGAAGCCCTGTATTGAGGGATCTCTTCTTGAATCAGAACTACCATTCCTGGGGTATGTGCAATATAATTGCTTCTACCTAGAATAGAGTCTTACTCCCAGATCATGAGATTAGCAAATACAAAGGCAGAGAGATTACCTAGTCTCACCTCATTTTTACTACAATGCTATGAAAGAGATCCTAGATTTACCCCCAAGTTCAGAGAGTAAGAAAGAAGAGTTATAGAGACAACGAGATTGTAAATATGAAAATTGTTGAATGTTTGAGGCAACCACTGTTTTGCCCATGTGATTCTGCTTTCCAATTCCAAATCATTTATGATCCCTTTATAGTGAGTGACACAATTTTTCTGATGGTAGAGAACAGTAGAAATTTCAATAGACTTACAATGAAACACTTTTAGGTTCGAGTCCTGCTTATGCATTTTATAAGTCTTGCCTACTTGGGCAAATTCCATAATCTCTTTAAGCTCCAGTTTCCTGATGGAGATAATAACACATGTGTTGCTGAATATTTGTGAGACTTCAACATTCTAAAGTATGTGAAAATTTAAAGTATAGATCTTGGAACACAATGGGGATTCATAATGTTATTTTCTCCCTGTCTTTTCCTTTTCACTCCTTCTCTTCTTTCTTTCTATTTTTCTTTGTCTTTGTCTTTCTTCCATGCAAAGTCTAGTTATTAGTGAAGTTCACCTTTTGATTCCAAGTTCAGTCTTCTTCTAGAAGTCTAGTCGGAATCCAGGGAGGCAGTGCATTTATGGGCTAGGGTAGGAATAAGTCAAAATTCTGGACGAAAAGTAAATAGAAACGTTCATTTGGAGGATGAACTTGCAGTGCTCTCCAAAGACCTAAGAGAAGAGGCTGACGCTGAATTTGGGTCTGACCATATTTCTAATGCACTTCTCAGCAGAGTACTCCCACCCTTGGCTTCTCCCATTCATTTGTATGGCTCTAGCTTCTTCTAAACCATTTGTTCTCAAAATGTGTTCCCAGGACAAGCGACATCAGCATCACCTGAGAACTCGTTAGAGAAGCCAATGCTTGGACCGCATTCTAGACCTACTAAATCAGAAACTCTGGGGGTGGAACCCAGAAATTTGTATTTTAATAAGCCTTCCAGGTCACCCTAATGCATGCTCAAGTTTGAGAACAACTGCCCTTCACCAATTTTACTTCAGGTGTCCCCTCCTACACCAAGGAAAAGGCAGCCTTGAAACTTGGCATTAGACTGTCAAATTTTCTTAAACAGGTGTCCTCCCATGTGAGCCTTAGGTTAGCAAATGCTCTAACTAAATTCAGTACCCTAGGCGAGGATCCTGATATAGGTCAGGGATGTTGATTTAGCTAACTTGTTTCTCCAAAAAATGCTTTTGAAGTGTCTGAGTTAAATAAACATTTGCAATAAACCCAAACTTTATTACTTGGCCTCTTTCATCATGTCCTTATCAAAATCCTCTCTTGGAGCCTATTCAAAGGAGATTCTGAAGACAAGGCAGGCTTATAACTCCTGCTTCCCAGGTCATAGGATTCATGTGCTATGAGAATCATACTGCTGCTGCATGCTTTCATCACTCTGCCCCATCCCTGAATTTAGAGTAAACATTTCTTCTTAATAAAAATGAATATGAGAAAATTTTAATGTCCACAACTGTCCTGCAAGGTATAAGTTTTTTTATAGATCAGGAAATCCAGGCAGTGATTGGTTACTAGAGTAGATGCTGTTAATTTCACACTCCATGTCCCGAAGCTCGCTGCTGAGTTCACCTGAAGCTTACAGCTTTTTACTTCAAGTGCTTCTCAACCCATCAGACCAGAAGCTGGAAACTGCCAAGGGTAGCTCTCACACAGTGAGAGAAAAGAGACAGGGGATAAATATCCTAGCTGGCCTCTCCCTTGGCAGGAAAAGTCTGAGGTTTACACGGTGACTCAAATGGTCCCCAGAAGGATTGAACCCCTACAGTGGCAATGGCTCATTCGGACCCTCTTTATTGCTTTCTCTCCCTTCTGTCTTACTTTCCTCAGTTCCTTCCTTATTTGAGAACAAATTCGAAATAAATTCCTGTGCTCAAGTTTTTGTTTCAGGATCTACTTCAGGAACCCAAAGCAAAGTAGTTGGATGACTTGATCAAGGTCATACATATATTACATGAGTGCAAAAGTAATTGCAGTGTTTGCATGGTGGGACTTTGCCATTTGATATTGGAATACGTTCTTATATAAATGTGGTTATGTTATACATCATTTTAATGGACACTTCTCAATTTATATTTTTTTGATAAGGACTTATTGCTTATTGTTTATTTTATGTTTATTTTAGACCATGGAAATAATATCAGACAAAAAGCAGATTAGAGCAATTTTCTTTTTCGAGTTCAAAATGGGTTATAAAGCAGCGGAGACAAACCGCAACATCACCAACGCCTTTGGCCCAGGAACTGCTAATGAAGGTACAGTGCAGTCACTGTTCAGGAAGTTTTGCAAAGGAGACTAGAGCCTTGAAGATGAGGAGCATAGTGACCAGCCATTGGAAGTCGACAAAGACCAATTGAGAGGAATCATTGAAGCTGATCATCTTACAACTACACGAGAAGTTGTCAAAGAACGCAATGTTGACCATTGTGTGGTCTTTTCGCATTTGAAGCAAATTGGAAAGGTGAAAAACTTGATAAGTGGGTGCCTTGTGAGCTCAGCAAAAATCCAAAAAAATAATCATTTTTAAGTGTTGTCTTCTCTTATTCTACGCAACAACAATAACCATTTTGCAATCGGATTGTGATGTGCAATGAAAAGTGGATTTGGGGCCGGGCGCGGTGGCTCACGCCTGTAATCTCAGCACTTTGGAAGGCCAAGGCGGGCAGATCACGAGGTCAGGAGATCAAGACCGTCCTGGCTAACACGGTGAAACCCCGTCTCTACTGAAAATACAAAAAATTAGCCGGGTGTGGTGGCTGGCGCCTGTAGTCCCAGCTACAGGCTGAGGCAGGAGAATGGCATGAACCTGGGAGGCGGAGCTTGCAGTGAGCCGAGACCGTGCCACTGCACTCCAGCCTGGGCGACAGAGCGATACTCCGTCAAAAAAAAAAAAAAAAAAAAAAAAAGACAAGTGGATTTTATATATGGCAACCAGCAATGACCAGCTCAGTGGCTGGACTGAGAAGAAGCTCCAAAGCACTTCCCAAAGCCAAACTTGCACCAAAAAAAAGGTCAGGGTCACTGTTTGGTGGTCTGCTGCTGGTCTGATCCACCGCTGCTCTCTGAATCCTGGCAAAACCATTACATCTGAGAAGTATGCTCAACAAATCAATGAGCTACGCCAAAAACTGCAGCATCTGCAGCTGGCATTGGTCAACATAACGGGTCCAATTCTTCTCCACGACAACGCTCAACTGCACCTTGCGCAAGCAGCGCTTCAAAAGTTGAACAAATTGGGCTACATAGTTTTTCCTCATCCGCCATATTCACCTGACGTCTTGCCAACTAACTACCACTTCTTCAAGTATCTCAACAACTTTTTGCAGGGAAAACACTTCCACAACCAGCAGGATGCAGAACACGCTTTCCAAGAGTTTGTCGAATCCTGACGCACAGATTTTTATGCTACAGGAATAAACTAACTTATTTCTCATTGGCAAAAATGTGTTGATTGTAATGGTTCCTATTTTGATGAATAAATGTGTGTTTGAGCCTAGTTATGATGATTTAAAATTCAAGGTCTGAAACCGCAATTACCTTTGCAACAACCTAGGATTCATCCCATATTCTTTATTGCAAAGAAAGCATAAGATTCTGGTGTTGAGTTTGAATCCTTCATTCTTGTCGATATTCCCCAAGGGCCTGGCATTGTGCAAGCATGTAAGAGACGATGGGGCCTTCATCCCATATTCTTTAATGCAAAGAAAGCATAAGATTCTGGTGTTGAGTTTGAATCCTTCATTCTTGTCGATACTCCCCAAGGGCCTGGCATTGTGCAAGCATGTAAGAGACGATGGGGCCTTATTTAGAAAATTAGTAGTTGTTGAATTCTCACCTTCCCAAACCCCTCAGCTTTTTTAGAGAAAATTAAATTTGACAATACACTTTTGTATCTCCTATTACTGTTGACTTTCCCAACATCTATATGACATGCACAGGACCATAATACCCAACAGGAAATAAGTTCTTAATTTGTTGAATAAATGAGTAGATCATGTAGTACATTTCACAATAGACAATAAGGGCCTACAATTTTGAATCACACCAAAGATCACACTGCTGATTAACAACCCAGCAGAACTAAAAGCCCTGCATCTTCAGGACTGATTTAGTGTTTTTTCTATTCTATCTTGTCATGCCCTTTAAGGGTAAATATTTTCCCAATGTTTTCCCATCACTGGAAGAAAACTTACATGGTTGAAAGCAATCTATTATTATGAGTACCACTCAAAGTAACTGTCCAGAGCAAATTTATAGTGAAAAACTCTAGTTTGTGTTTTTGAACAAATAAGGTCTTTTGGCAGCTGAATGTGAAAGATGTGATGACTGGTACAGCCCACACTCAGAGCAGATTGTGACCAGAGGACAACTACAAGCAAGAATCTTTGGGGGCTGTTAGATTCTTCAGGCCACACCACTCTGAAATGTTGACAAACTCTTATAAAATTCTCTTGTCTAGGAGTCAGTAAGCATGTTTTAGACATCTATTATGTGCAAAGCCCAAGGCTAGACACTTCTCAAAATGTATGTGTGATAATAAATTGCTCTATATCTGTTTTTTTTACATCTGCTACTATCCCAAATACAGGCCTCCATCCTAATGTGAGACACCTAATGGTGTAAGGCATCTTATGGATATTATTGAAATAGCTCCTAATCTGAAGTTTGCATTAGGTTTTTGGTGAATACACTTTATCAAGTTATAGAAGTTCTCTTTTGCAGTTTGTTGAGAGTTTGTCATGAATGGATATTAAAACTTATCAAATAATTATTCATTTATTGAGAATAATCATAAGATTTTAAAAAAGTGTTAATATAGTAAATTACTTAGGTTAATTTTCTAATGGTAAACCAGTCTTAATAAACTTGGGGGAATAAAAACCCTATTTGGTGATGACATATTCTCATCTTTATTTACTACTGGAGTAGGTAGGCTGATATTTTGCTTAGGTTTGTGTATCTGTGTTCATGAGTGATATGGCTTATAATTTTCCGTAGTTCTTTTCGTTTTGTCAGGTTTTCTTATGAAGGTTATTCAAGCCTCATAAAATGAATTTGGAAGTGTTCCCTTTTTTTCTATATTCTGGAAGAGTTTATTTAAGATTGGAATTGTTTGTTCCTTTAATATTTGGTAAAACGTATCCAGATAACCATCTGACCTAGAGTTTTCTTTGTAATGAGATTTTAAACTACCGGTTTGATTTCTTTAATGTTTATAGGAAAGATTAAGTTTTCTATTACTTATTAAGCCAGACTTGGTAAGCTTTATATTTATATGAATCTTTCTATTTTCTCTATACTTTCATGTTCCTTGATGTAAAGTTGTTCTTAATATCCCCATTATATTTTTAACCTATTCCATAACTGCACTTACGTTCCTCTTTTTATTTTTGACCAATTTTGTCAAGCATTTATTTATTTTATTAGGTTTTGTGTGTGTGAACCATCTTTTAGCTTTGTTGAATCTCACCATTGTATACTTATTTCCTAATTTAGTGTGCCAAGTGTTTCCTAGGGAGTACCTAGCGAACCATAACTGTGGAAGGGGCAGGAAGGGAGCAGAACTGTGCAGAGGGAGATGTTGAGTAACAGTGCTGGCCTCAGGAGAGACCCCACCAACCCATGGGGAGCTCTGGAGCTGAAGTTACCCATCAGAGTTTTCCTGTGTCAGACCAAAATGGCTGGGCCTGTGCACCCTGTATGGGCTGCCTCAGGAAGGGGCAAGGCCTTGAAAGAGATACCTGCCTGTGTCTTAGGCAATCTCGGAAGGTGATGCCAGCTATATGCTGTCAACTAGAAATACTCCTAGCAGTCAGAGAAAATATCTTTCCTTGAAGCATCACCTTGTTCAATAAACCTTTATTGTGTTCATCTTTAGCTTTTTCCATTTTTTCCAGTGTCTTAAATTAGATGTTAACCTTATTAATTTTCAACTGCTTTTCTTTTCTAATATGAACATTTGGGGCTAAAATTTTGTCTAAATGCTACTTTAGCTGCATTGAACAAGTTTTGGCATATTTATCTTTATTATTGTTCAATTCTATGTATGAGTTACTTAGGAACAAATTTCTGAATTTTGACACATAGAATTTTATAGTTACATTTTTATTATTTCCCAGTTGATAGAATTTGCAATGAGTTTTCTATCTTATAGCTAAAGTGACAGTTCCAAAGTGGAAAATTGTTCACATCACTTCAAAGATTCAAACCCATTCAAGGGCTCCCCATTGCCTCCAGAATAAAGTCTAAACTATTAAATGCACTTTAAAGGCTCTTGCTGATATGGCTTGAACTTACTTCTCCCTCATCACTCCTGCACCCTTTTGCTATTATTTAACCTAATTTTTTTTTTTTTTTATGTCCTCCATCTAGCCAAGTGTGGACTTGCCTTCAGGCCTATTGACCTTTCATAGACCTTGCCCTCTTTTTTTTTTTTTTTTTTTTTCACAGACTCTCGCTCTGTCACCAGGCTGGAGTGCAGTGGTGCAATCCCCGCCTCTCCCGTTCAAGCAATTCTCCTGCCTCAGCCTACTGAGTAGTTGGTATTACAGGTGTGCGCCACCACGCCCAGCTAATTTTTGTATTTTTAGTAGAGACAGGGTTTCACCATGTTGCCCAGGATGGTCTCAATCTCTTGACCTCGTGATTCACCTCCTTGGCCTCCCAGAGTGCTGGGATTACAAGTGTGAACCACCATGCCCAGCCTTTCTTTCTTTTTTTTTTTTTTTTTCCAAATTTATCCTTTAGGTATGTTATAAATATCTCTACCTTTTGAAATTCTTCTTATGTAGGCTTGCATAAAGCAGGTACCTTCCCTCTGTGTTTCCATAGTGTTTTGCTCCCACACACCTTACCTCATCATATTGAAATTGCATATTCAAGAGACTACATCTTTTAATTAGACTCTAAACTCCATGAAGTCAAGAAACACATATATATCTAATTCTCTATTGTATTTCTAATGCATTACTTAGTATATGTAGGTACTCGATTTATATTTATCAAATAATAGTAACAGATACCAATTATTATTTACTATTTGTTAGAAATTGTGCAAAGGTTAGTGTGGTAGGCAGAATAATGGCTTCCCACAGAGGTCTACATTCTAATTCTTAGAAACCATGAATATGTCATGTTACATGGTAAGGGGGAATTATGGTTGCAGATGTAACTAAAGTTGCCAACTCATCAGCTGCCCATGAAAGGGAGATCTTATCTTGTATTATCTCAATGAGCTCAATGTAATCACAGAGTCCTTACAAGTGAAGGGAGGGGACAGAAGAGTCAGTGCTGGAGTGAGACAGCAGTGCTGGAGAGGATGTGGAGAAATAGGAACACTTTTGCACTGATGGTGGGACTGTAAACTAGTTCAGCCCTTGTGGAAGTCAGTGTGGCGATTCCTCAGGGATCTAGAACTAGAAATACCATTTGACCCAGCCATCCCATTACTGGGTATATACCCAAAGGACTGTAAATCATGCTGCTATAAAGACAAATGCACACATATGTTTATTACAGCAGTGTTCACAATAGCAAAGACTTGGAACCAACCCAAATGTCCAACAATGATAGACTGGATTGAGAAAATGTGGCACATATACACCATGGAATACTATGCAGCCATAAAAAATGATGAATTCATGTCCTTTGTAGGGACATGGATGAAATTGGAAATCATCATTCTCAGTAAACTATCACAAGAACAAAAAACCAAACACCGCATATTCTCACTCATAGGTGGGAATTGAACAATGAGAACACAAGGACACAGGAAGGGGAACATCACACTCTGGGGACTGTGGTGGGGTGGGGGGAGGGGGGAGGGATAGCTTTAGGAGATATACCTAATGCTAAATGACGAGTTAATGGGTGCAGCACACCAGCATGGCACATGTATACATATGTAACTAACCTGCACGTTGTGCACATGTACCCTAAAACTTAAAGTATAATAATAATAAAATAAAATAAAACAAAATAAAAAAGAGAAAGGCTCAACTGGCCATTGCTGGCTTTGGAGAGAGAAGGCTACCATAATCCAAGGAGGGTGAGCAGCCTCCAGAAGCTGAAAAAGGCAAAGGAATGGATTGACTCCTAGAGCCTCCAGAAAAACTGCAATGTTGTAATTGCCTTATGGTGAGCCCACTGAGATCTGTTTTAGATTTCTAACCTCCAGAAATGTAAGATAATGACTTTTTAGTTGCTTTTTGTTATAACAGCATTAGAAACCTAGTACAGATTCTGATAGCTAGAAGTGGGGTGCTGCAGTAACAAATAACTAAAAATGTGAATGTGTCTTTGGAATTGGCCAAGGGGCAGGGGCTGGAAGAATTTTGAGTAGCATGTTAGAAAAAGCTTAGATTCTCTTGAACAGACTGTTAGTAGAAATATGGAGTTAACGATTCTGCTAATGAGGACTCAGAAGAAAGTGAAGGACACAGTAAAAAATATATGTGTCATTTTATAGACTACCTAAATTGTCATATGTAGACTGTTGGTAGAAATATGAATATTAAAGGCACTGTTGGTGAGGGTTCAGACAGAAATGTTATTGGAAAATGGAGAAAAGGGATCTTTGTTACGCACTAGCAGAATGCATACCGGAATTACGTCCCAAAATTATCTGTGAAGTAAAAGTTTTAAATGATGAACTTGATATTTATCTGAGGAAACTTCCAAACAAAATGTTGAAGCATTAGCTTGGCTTTTACTTGTTACCCATAAGAAAATATGAAAAGAAAGAGATAGATTTTGGGAAAATGTTCATCAAAAGGTCTCCAGAACTTGATGATTTGAGAAATTCTCAGCCTATTTACATAGTTAAGAGACCTCAGGAAATAGTCTAATAGGTAAAAGAGTAATACATTAAAAAATTAAATTGTTCTATAAAAATTGATCTGAGAATTTTGAATTACAGGGACAGTCTAAGTAGGTGGTTTTAAGGGGTCCAGAAAGAAGAGAATTGTAAAAAGTAAGAGAAGATAGAAAAAGAGAGGTCTAGTAATATGCTGGAAGCTTTGAACTGAGGAGAAATGGTAGTCAGCAGCAAATTTCGAAGAGCTGGAATGACCCAGGGATACAGGAATTGAAGTATCTAATAGCCATTATTGAGTTGTTTGTTATGATGCCCTGTAGAATGTTTCCTGCCCCAAAACTTCAGTCAAATATGCTGGAAGGAAGGGACCATGTAAATTCTGCAGGACCAAAAAGGGACACTATTTGAATTAGGTGAGAGAGAAAATAAATCAGAGAAAATGGGACAAAAGTGATTAGAAGTGTAATTCCTGAAAATGAATTCCAAGATCTCCCTCTGAAGATCTTGGAAAGAGCTGGAAGAAGGTTATGATGGAGATTACTTTGAGTTTCCTTCTTTATGGGATATCAAGTCTTGAGGTGAAGTTGTTTGAAGAAATAAAGGACAGGGTGACATCAGTAACCTGTTATACTGAGGACACTCAGGCACCAGATATCTGGATCCACTAGGAAAGTCACATCAAAAATGAGCATTTGTTTTACCATAAAAAAGAAAATAACAATGGTGTCTGTTTCATGCACACAGATGTTCACTGCAGCACTATTCACAATAGCAATGACATAGAATCAACCTAAGTGTTCTAAATGACAGACTAGATAAAGAAAATGAGGTACATATACACCTTGGAATACTATGCAGCCACAAAAAATAGTGAGATCGTGTCTTTTGAGGGAATATGTATGGAATTGGAGGCTATTATCCTTAGCAAACTAATCCAGGAACAGAAAACCAAATACTGCATAGTCTCACTTATAGTAGGAGCTAAATAATGAGAACTCATGAACACAAGGATAAAAAAAACAGACATTGGGGTCTACTTGAGGATGGAGGGTGGGAGCAGGGAAAGGAGCAGAAAAGATAACTGCTGGGTGCTGGGCTTAGTATCTTAGTGATGAAATAATATGTACAACAAACCCCTCCCCATCACATTTGTTTGCCTATGCAACAAACATTCACATGTACCCCCAAACCTAAAATAAAAGTTAAACAGAAAAAAACACAATAGTGTCTGTTTGGGATACTCCAGTTCCATTTCTCACTACTCCAGTATGTAGGAGTTTAATCTTAGAACCCTCCCTATGTGGCAGTAAGCAAACTCTAATGTATTTCGGAGAGGATGCAACTTGACAGAAACAAGTGAATTGCACAGAGTCTCAATTGCTGTAATGAGTTCACTTTCCTCCAAGGTTACTAGAGGTTTGGACTGAGATGGCACATTCACAACCATGTGGTTAGAGAATTAGTTGTTTGTACTAAGTTTTCTAATTTCTGAGACAGTCATATGAGTGTGTTTTCCATCCCAATACAGAAGTAGTGGTTCCAGAATTTTTTTGTCTCTTTCTCTTTCTCTGATTTATAAAATAACTAGGTATTCACAGGAAGAAGTCACTCATCCTCTCATCATCTTAACGCTATTATCCTTGTTTATTTGTATCTTAGCTTTTGCATTCAATCCCATTTTACATACTTGTGACCCTGGTACGCATAATATTATATGTTATACTATTTTTCTCTTAACATTGTGTTGCAAACATTTCCTCATATTTTCACATTCTTCATGATTATTACTATTAAACTACATAGTATACCATAATTTGCAGGCCACATAGGACCATCAGGTTGTATCCAAGTTGTTATTATACACAATGCTACAATAGACTCTTTTATGCCCTTACTGTTTCCTTGCTGTGATTTCCTTCGCACAAATTCATTGGAACAGACTATTTGGTTTAGTTCATTAATGCATCTTTTTCAAGTCATCTTAACTACTGTTTCTTGATGGACAAGACAGGTACTAAAATACAAACACATGAAAAAGATCTTGGGTTTGCTAGTTATATTGCTTAATGCAAATGACTGCAGTAACCTTTAAATATGATATACTCAACTCAGAGGACATAATTTCTTCCATATATTAAATACTACCTTTGCTGGAGACATCTTACTTTTCCAACCTTTGCTTTTAAGAAGTAGTCTGGAGTGGGTGACATTTATTTTTGTTGATTTGATTCGTTATGGTTATTGATGGTGACATTCCTTTAGAACTCAGATCATCCTCAAAATCGGTGTGCATTTGCATTTACTTTTGACAAAATTATTCCTCAAGAAAGTTCTAGAAAAAAATGGCTGGTATTGGAGACAGCTGTTAACTCTACTCTAGAAAATAGTATGTTTGGTAACTACAAAGACAACTAAAAGCTGAAGGAGTGTCATCTTTTCAGTTTTGTTGGTTGCCTGAGATAAGCTTGTTGTTAAGAAACACATCGGTTTAGATGCTAGTTATTTACCACCCTTTGATGGCTCTGACTTAGTTTGGAGAAATTAATCAGTAGAACTTGGTATTGGATGATCATCCATGGAGACCAGAATGAGATCCCTTTGTAAAATGAAGAATGAGATAAATGAAAAGGGATCAGTTGTTTTATGTTTACTGTGTTTATAGATGTTGACAACAAATTTATACAATTTAAACAAATTTATAATGGCTAAACAAATCTTCTGTAGTCTTTTCTCAGCAGCAGTTTCCCCAGATAGTCTCATCCTCATATCTGTTCTCAGACCTAGTGCTACTTAAATTACTAGTGATATAAATTATCCCTTTTACTCATTGTATGCTTTCTGTGTTTACAGAGTTCATATTTTACTTATTTGTACCATATGTGTGCCTTAGCACGTAGCAAACCGTAGAAAAATTTTTCGAATGTGTGAATCAGAACTTTGCCTACATCAGTAGTAGTAACTAGCACTTCAAATTTCATGGTTCACTTTATTTTTTCAAAATGAGTTTGGTAGCCATCTGGGCTACAAACTTTTATTTCTTCAAAATTAAATACATAAAGCATAACAAAAACTTATGCTTCCAGTCAGTTCTTACTGGACACGAATACCTGCTGAAAACAAGTATGAACTGAAAAAATTACAAAACAATAACCTGAAATCAACAGGGAGTGCACAAAAACAGGCAGATCCTATAAAGGAGCTATAAAAACCTGGAGAAAGGGATGACATGGGGTGAGTTAGCCACTATGTATGGTTTTTAGCATGGCAGAAGAGTGAATCAGTGCCACATAGTGTAGCTAACACTTCAACAGAAAATATACAGTCTTTCTGACAATATGACACAGTTCAGGGCAACCAAACCCACTGGAAAGTGAGTAGGTAAAGGATTTCTGGAAACAAGACAGGCAGAGAGAGTGAGTCAAAAATGTTAGCTGGTGGCTGAGTATGTTTGTATGAGGCAGACTCAAAACAACACGGATTAAAATAAAAGCACTAAACAACATTGCATTCAAGAAACAGGCTTTGTAGCTTTAGTACGACTAAGTTAATTTACGGTTCAAACGAAAACATTAACATATTTGAAGGAATACCACAGAATTTAGAGTTCAGAACATGGCTCAACATTATTTGATATATAACTGGGAAAATGTAACATTTTCAAGAGAAAAGGCAATCAATGAAGGTAAAATCCAAGATAACTCCAATGTTAGAAATAACAATAAATGGACTTTAAGGTGGCTATTATTACTGTTCTCAGTGACATAAAGAATAATCTGGTCAGAATAAGAAATAGAAACCATAAAAAGAAATTTAAAAATTATAGAAATAATAATTTAAAAATTTTATTGGATGGAGTTACAAAGATGAAATAGAAAAAAATCAGTGAACTTAAAGATAGGTCTGCAGACATCCAAACTTAAGTAAAGTAGGAAAAAAGATTTTTTAATTAATGAAAGAACAGATTCTTAGGGACTTGTGGGACATACCACATGGTCTAACATACGTAATTGGAGTCAAGGTGAAGAACGGGACAGAAATTTTATTTTTATAATGGCTAAAACTTCCTCAATATCATGAAAGAATTAAATGTATCAATTAATGAAGTTCAGTAAACTCAAATAGGATAAATACAAATAAAAAATACAGGGATATTATAACTGAATTGCTGACCAAAGAGAAAAGATATTTCTAGAATATCTAGAAAGCAGTCAGAGAAAACGAACATGTTGCATATAGAGGGCCAACAATTTATAATGACAGCTGGCTTCTCCTCAGAAACTATGGAAATTAAAAGACAGTGAAATATGTCTTTATAAAGCACTGAAAGCAAAAACAAAAAAACTGTCAATGTAGAATTCTACATCCAGTAAATGTGTCCTCCAAAAAAACTTATTTGAAGACATTTTTAGATAAAAACTGAGAAATTTTTGTCAGTCAAAAATTTTTGTCACAGATATAAGGAAGGTATTTCACACTAAAGAAAATGATACTAGGAGGGAATTTAGATCTTCAGAAACAAGTGAAAAGTAGCAGATATTCTAAATATCTCTGTAAATATAAAATAACATTTTATCTATTATTAAAAGGGGTATGATTGTTTACATCAAAATTTTAACATTTTCTTGTGGGTTTATAATACATAGAGACCTTACAAAGATATGACAATTCTGATAGAGAAAGAAATGGATCAATATGGTTGCACATTTTCTATATTTTATGTGACTTAAAACAGTATTAATTCTAAATGTATTATGATACATTTAGAATAATACATTAATGTATTAATGTATTAATGTATTAATCTTAATACATTAATGTATTAAGATAGTATTTTGTAAATTTTAGACCAATCACTAACAAATTTATACAGAGAGGTGTGAAAAGAACTTCAGCAGGTAATATACTAAAGAGAAACCATTAGAAGGCAAGATCCATTAGAGAAGGGATTTTTTTTTATTTGCTTTATTCCTACAATAGTGCCTGGTATAAAGCTGATGCTCAAAAATCTATTTTTACATAAATGAATGAATGAATGTATTATGCCTCTGAAAATGCTACTTTTTACAACTTTATTGAGGCATAATTGACAAAATTAAAATTATATACATATGTATTTTGAAGATGTGCAACTTAATTTTTTCGATATACATATCCATTATGACATAATCATCACAATCAAGCTGGCTAACATATCCAACACATCACATAGTTACCATTTTCTTTAGTTTTCTTTTGAAAATGCTATTAATGTACCCTTAAGTTAGGTTCTTTTTTCTTCTTTATCTCTTTTACAGGAGATAAAGGCTTGGAGGAAATACAACATAATACTATTGGTTATTTCTGGAGTGTGGCGGGGTGATAAGAATATGGGTGATAAGAGTCGATATAGTACAGTAGTCAGAAGTACATACCTGAAATCAGACTGCTTGTGCTAGATTCTTGTCACTACCACATACTAGCTGTGTATCTTGAGGCATGTTTGTTGTTCTCTCTGAACATCCATTTTTCTATGTATAAAATGAGAACAAAAGCACCTAAATCAAAAAGTTGTCAGCAGGATTTAATTAAAAGATACCAATAAAGTGCTTGATATAGTTCCTGGCACATAGTAAGTACTCAGTAAATACTAAGTTTTCCCCCAGGTTCTAAGTTTTCTGTAATGCATCATTTTACTTTTACCATTAAAAAATGTTATTATTGTTAAGCTGCTCTATTTCTGAAAAACCCTCTTACGATCATACACATAGAAAATATAAAAGAATTGACAAAATAACTCCTGGAACCAATAAGCAATTATAGCAAAGTTGTAGCATACAAGGTTAATATACAAAGGTCCAGTGGCTTTCCTATATATCAGTAATGAACAAGAGACATTTGAAATTAAAAACATATTGCTGTTTACATTAGCATCAAAATAAATGAAATATTTAGCTATAAATCTATCAAAATATGTATAAGGTCTATATGAAGAGCAAAAACTCTGATGAAAGGTATCAAAGAAGAACTAAATAAATGAAGAGATAATCCATGTTCATGAAGAGGAGAACTCAATATTGTCAAGATGTCAGTGCGTCCCAGCTTGTTCTAATGCAATTCCAATCAAAATCCCAGGAAGTTATTTTGTGGATATCAACAAAGTAATTTGAAACTTCCTATGAAAAAACAAACGACTCAGAATAGCAAACCCAATATCGAAGGGAAAGAATAGAGCAAGAGGACTGAAATCACTTGAGTTCAAGACTTACTATGAAGCCACAGTGATCAAGACAATGTGGTATTGGCCAAAAAAAAAAAAAAAGGATCAACAGAAAGCTCATAAATAGACCCACATAAATGTAGTCAATTGATTTTTGACAAATGAGCAAGGGCAACACAACTGAACAAAAATAGTCTCTTCAACAAATGGTACTAGAACAATTGGACCTTCGCGTGCAGAAAAATGAGTCTAGACATAGCTCTTACACCCTTTACAAAAATTAACTCAAACTAAATTACAGACCTAAATGTAAAACACAAACCTGTAAAACTTCGAGAAGGTAACAGAAGAAATTTAGATGATCTTGGGTGTGAAGATGAATTTATATATGCAGTCAAAAGCATGAAAGAAATAACCTGGATATTATATAATTGATAAGCTAAATTTTATTAAAATTAAAAACTTCTGATCAGTGAAAGGTAATGCCAAAAGAATGAGAATGCAAGCCACAGAATGGGAGAAAATATTTGCAAAAGACACACCTGATAAAGGACTGTTATCCAAAATATACAAAGAACTCCACAATAAGAAAACAAATGCCTTGATTAAAAAAATGGGCCAAATACCTTCACAGACATTTTACAAAAGAAAATATAAGGCAGTGGGTAACCATATGAACAGATGATCCCTAATGTATATCAGAGAAATGCAAATTAAAACAACGAGATACGGCTACATACCTATTAGATTGGTCAAAGTTCAGAACACTGACAGCACCAATGCTGGCAAGGATGTGGAGTTACAGGAACTCTCGTTTATTGCTGGTGGGAATGCAAAATGTTACAGCCACTTTAGAAGTTAAGGGGAGGGAAAGCATTAGGAGATATACCCAATGTAAATGATGAGTTAATGGGTGCAGCACACCAACATGGCACATGTATACATATGTAACAAACCTGCACGTTGTGCACATGTACCCTAGAACTTAAAGTATAATAAAAAGAAAAAAAAAAGAAGTTAGTTTGTTTCTTACAAAACAAAACATACTCTTACCCTGTGATCCAGCAAACATAATCTTTGGTATTTACCTAAATGAGTTAAAATGTTTGTCTGCACAAAACCCTTCACACCAATTTATATGAGAGGTTTATTTAAAAATTCCTAAACTTAGAAACAAGCAAGCTATCCTTCAATAGACTAGATAAATAAAATGTGACACATCCAAGCAATGGAATATTTTTAAGCACTTAAAAAAAGATAGATAGCTCTACCAAGCCATAAAAATACATGGAAGAACTTTAAATGTATAAGCGAACTTTAAATTCATTACTAACTGAAAGAAGCCGATCTGAAAAGGCTACATATTGTATTAGTCCAACTATATGACATTCTGGAAAAGGCCAAATTATGAAGACAGTAAAAAGATCAGTAAAAAGACTCCTCTAGGAGTTAGTGGGGAGGAGGGATAAATAGGTAGAGCACAGAAGATCTTTAGGGCATGAAACTATTCTGTACTACAGTAATACTGTATTACTGATATTACTGATACTACAATGGTGGATACATACCATTATGTATTGTCAAAATCTATAGAAGGAACAACAGCGAGAATGAACCCTAAACTCTCAACTTTGGGTAATAATGATTTGTTAACTTAGGTTCATTGATTTTAGCAAATGTATCACTGTAGTATGTCATGTTCACAGTGGAGTAGGTCAGACGTGTGGGAACAAGGGGTACGGGGAAACTCTCTGGTTAATTATTCTTTACAAGGGATACAGGGAAACTCTTCTGCTTAATTATTCTGTAAACTTAAATCTGCTCTAAAAAATTAAGTTGTTTTTTTTTAAAAAAAAATGTGGCTTGGAAAAAATGTGGGTCTTGTTTTCTACAAAAAGATGGAATATACAAAGAATCAGGAATATTTAAGTTTGAGAAAAGGATGACAATGCATTCTGGCAGTTAAACTCTGAATTTACGTATTCATTGATGGCTTTTAGAGGAGCAGATGTCATGGAAGGCATATCCACACCTGTCAATTACTTGCATTTACTATCCTATAGAATGTATTTGGAAAAAGGCAGTAGTTCTCAAAGTGTAGACCTGCACTAGCAGTGCCAGTATCACCCAGGAACTCCTTACAAATGCAAATTCTGAGGACCTGCTTCAGATTTACTGAATGAGCAACTCTCAAGATTAGTCCCAGCTATTAGTGTTTAAAACTCTCCCAGTGACTCTAATGTTTGCAAATATTTAAGAACTACTGTCTTGAGATATGCAGATGCTGCATTCAACTAAGTTACTATCTGAGTGCTTCACAGTGTATCCATCATTCATTAAGGGTCTGTGGTTGCATGCAACAGAAACTGTTCCAGACTGACTTAAGTAAAACAAAACAAAACAAATCTACAGGAAGTTTATCTGTGAGTAATTTCCAGAATCAAATAAAGAGGGAAACAACTAGACCTCAGGAAGAGCAATCAAAGAAACAGAATTTCATAAGGGGTGTTTCAAAACTGACATTCTTTCAACTGCCTTCTGTGCAAGTGTGATTTACTGGGAGTCAGAATTCTAGAACACAGTCACCTAGTGGCAGAGAGAGGAGGCGCTGGCACTGTGACTGATAGTCCCAGAAGGCCCATATTTAGTGGCAGTTTTAGGGACATGGGCAGCAGGGCAGGCAAAACACTCCATTTCAACTTTAAGGAGGCAGTGTGACAGAGTAGAAGGTATGTGGAGTTTGGCATTAGAAATGTCTGGATTTCAGTCTCTCAACTCTGCTGCTTATTACCATTGGACTTTGGAGAAATTACTTAATCAGCCTGCACATCAGTTGCAAAATTAGCTGATTTGACATGAGGATTAGAGAAAACATAGACAAAGGAGCTGGCACATAGTAGGTAGTGACTTTCGTTGGGCACTATCACCAATCTTTGAATCATCAACTATTGGTTATTTCACTTCCCACAGGCTTAGGGAGGGCTCCTTGGATACCATCTAGATACTAGCTGTTACCCAATGGTACCCTAGGGGTCAGAATAGGCTAATACTCTTCCTAACATGTCTCATACTTCCAGAGATTAAATTCAGTTGTAGAAGATTTGTCTGAAGGTGGGGGAAAGTAACCTTTGAAATAAAGTCATTAAGAGCTGGCCTTTCTGCTGTATTTCAGCAAGGGGAATGAGTCACCATTTCCCTACCTACATGTATGTGTAAATACAAAGCAAGGTTAGGCAACTACCTGCTGTTGCTTTATTCTCTGTGGCCCTAACCTGCTTCCATGGCAGCAGCTTGTGAAATGGCAAAAAATGCAATGATTGCATGACCTAATTCAGGCCTGGTGCTTCAAGTGGGAAACATGTATGGGCCTCTCTGTGTCATACATACACTCAGAGCCCTAGGGCAATTGAAACAGATCCTTGTGGAAATGAATTCAGAGCCCTACACCTACTCATTACATAACTTGAGGTTAAAGAAACAAAGCCCTGTGGATGGGTGTGCCTGGGTGTGCGAGCCAGGGAGAAATACACAAGATACCTAGAGCCCTGCCCTACTCTTACTAAGCAGAAAAGGAAAGCCAGAAAGGACCTCTTTGTCATGGGTAGCTAGAATGTTCTCTGCTCCAGAGCGTCCTGTGAGAGAAGAGAAGAGAAAATTAACATCTACTGTATGTTAGAAAACAGGCTTGGTGATGTTGCTAAGGTTATCTCAAACTTTACAACAGTTGTCATTTTTTGAACTGAGCATGATGAAATAACAATCCTTAGACCATGAATGAAGAAACTGAAGCCTAGGAAAATGAAGTCAAATTGCTAATGAGTGGTGGTGGCCAGCTTGTAACTGAGATCTGTGTGGCCACAGATCCCATTCTAGCTCAGCACCTTGCTGTCAGTGAGAGAGAGACATGGTCAGGCTTCCAGTCCTGTTTTGCTCTATCCCAGTGAGGTAGTGTGAGATGAGAGTCAGATTGCCATCACTCTTACTCAATAGATATTCACAGCACACCAGAAATGAATTTTCTTTCCACTGCATCTTTCTGGAGTAGAAAAAGATGTGCACATTCTCATAGCCAAAAAATATAAGGGGCTATGTATTTGATACAAATAGATAAACATGGAAGCTTCTCATGCTCATCTTTATCTTTGTGCAGGATTCTCAGCAAGAAAGAAGAAAATAGACTCAAAAGGCAGAGGACTTTGAAGGAAGTTTTTTCTTACTGTTTATTTTTCAATCTTGACAATGACCATGAAAAGATAATTTAGCCAATGTCCTCTGAAGTCCAACATGTCAGTGTCCTATCAAGCCAGAGAATGGATGATCCACACTTTAAAATAATTCCTTCCTTCCTGTATTAATGAATTCATTTATTCACTTAAACACAATAAATATTCATTGATAGATTATTACATGCCAGACATATGCTCATTGCAGACATTCCAGAGATAATGAAGAACTAGACCTTAAAAAACTCTGAGTCTAGCAGTGAAAAGAGCAAAACCTGGTCAGTGCTACAGATACATGCAGGGCACTAGAGGACCGCAGAGAGTGGCTCCTCCAGGAGTGAGATCTGACAGTTCTAAGAAGTTGTGACAGTACTAGAGTTAAAAGGCAGAGAGGGACAGCAGCGGGGGACAGAGAAATGTATGGAAGGGCAGTGTCTCAAGCAGAGGCACCCTGTGCAAAAGCAAAGAGGCAGGAGAGAGTTTTCACCTTTTAGGAAAGAGCAAGTAATCTAAAAAATTAGACTATGAAATTTGAGGAAGAGACAGGAGATAAAGTTGGAAAAATAAACAGCTAAATCTGGAAGGAAGTTAAGGATTTTCTCAGGATCCCAAAGTTTGGTAAGTGGTAGGCATGGAATTCAACTCTTTTGGCTCACGTTATACAGATATGCCCATGATACAAAGTCAACTCTTTGAAAAATGTGATCCTTGACCTTCAAGGATGATTGAAAGCTGCTGAAAGAATAAGACCTTATTACATTTTCTCATGGTAAAGCCATATTAAATCATACCTTTTGAAGTTGATATATTCTGTGATGATTCTTCTGAGTGCTATACAATCCATATTGTTGACCAATAGGAAGCATTGAATAATCTCTTAGTGTTTGACTAAAGTTAAATTAAGAACTTCCAAAGGCCATGACTTTCCCTTGCCCATCTACTATTTGCCTATTCACTTGCATACATGGTTAGATGCCACATGCGCCCTACTATTTAGCTTCTCCTTCTCTCTGCTTCTCTTTTCCTACTAGTGCACTCTCTCAGAACATGTGCTTTTAGAGGCTCAACTCACCATGTAAGAAGCCCAGTGACTTTGAGTCCACTATATTTTGGAGATCATAGGAAAAGACAGCATAGAGAGAGAGAAAGAAGCCCAGGGAGCCTTAGCTGTTGCAACCCTCCCAGCCTTATGAGTTTTCTCAGTCCAGACGCCTGACTAAAGGGTCCCTTGAGATGACCATAGCCCCAGTCTTCATCTAACTGCAACTTCTTGAGAACCCTCAGTCAGGAAAGCCCAGCCAAGCTGCTCCCAAATTCTTGACCCTCAGAAACTGAGAAATAATAGACAATGGTTATTATTTTTAAGATACTAAACTTTAGAGTGACTTGATATGGAGAAATAAGTGATACAGACTGTGAATGGTCTTTTGAGTAGAAAAGTTATATGATACAAAATATTGCTTCTTACAATGCCTGCTCCTCTCTATCTTTGACCTGGCTGCTTGTCCTTCTCTTTATCCATCCAAATTTGCCCATGCGTGAAGATTCCACTCAGATCCCACCTTCCCAATGAATCTTTCTCTGATCATCCTAGTCCGCAATAATCTCTGTCTTCAACAAGGTCAAGATCAGGAGTCCACAGATCTGCCTGAAAAGCAGAATCCTTAAGGAGTTTGTTAAAGGGACGCATGCCCGGGAGCTAGCCCAGACCTACTAAATTAGAATCGAGGCGGCTGGGGACCAAGCATCTTTACTGGCCTGGTTTCAGTTGGTGGGCTGGTGTAGATCAGTTTTTGAAAACAAGTCATCTGGACCACAAATTTGAGCACAAGATTATTTATTTACTGCTTTATAATACTTTCTCATTGCAATGAGTCTTTAAATGTTTTAAGAGTAAAACCCTTTTCTCTTTGTTCATTCACTATGTGAAGATTTATTGTGCATTTGCTATTCACTGGGCATTATACTAGGTGCTGGCAACACAGAGATGAGTAAGCACTAGGATCTCTCACAAAGAGATCACAGGCGATTGCTGCAGGGTAAAAGACTGGGCAGTGACTCAGAAAGGCAGCTGGAGGTGGGATGAAGTAACATGCTCAGCTGGTGCTAAAGAAACCCTGAAGCTTTTATAAGAACAGTCAGCTAGGCAAACAGGTAAAACCAGGGTGAGGAGGCTGCCTATCATTTGCTCTCCTTCCTTCTACCCATTCCTATTCATGCACAAATTCTTTCCCCACTTCAAGGCTTTCCTTGATATTCAACATAAGCCAATCTTACTTGTATAGAACCATCTTCAGGGAGGACCAAACGATGTGTTCTCTGAAATTTGTACCCTCCGAAAGATCACTTTGCCCACAGGAGAGTCGACATTCTAACAAATTATTTTAAACCACATATTAAGCACTTATTATATTACAGGTGGCTTTGCTAATTTTCCATTCTTTGCTCAGAGCAATTCTTTGAAATAAGCACTTATACTTTACCCTCTTGCCCACCCACCTTTTCCATTACGGCTATACCTGCCGCTGCATTTACCTTACTTTGGGCCTCCAAACATATACTCATCATCTATGCCTAGCCTGGACCCAGCTAACCCAGCTGTTACTACCTGAGAACATATTTTTCAATACTAGACTTAAACTCAATATACTACATTATTTTCCTATTGCTGTAAAAAAATCACAAGCTTAATGGCTTAAAAGAATACAGATTTATTATGTTGCAGTTCTGAAGGTAGGAAGTCAAAAATGGGTCTTGTAAGGCTAAAATCAAAATGGCAATAGGGCTATATTCTTTCTGGAGGCTCCAGAGAAGAATCCATACCCCTGCCTTTAGCAGCTTCTGAAAGCTATGGGCATTCCTTGACTCATTGTCTTTTCTTCCAACATCAAAGCCAGCAGTCTATCATTATCTCTGTCTTCTGACATCTTCTTTCCCTTTTGTAAAAACTCTTCTGATTACATTGGGCCCATATGGATAATCCAGGATAATCTCTCCATCTCAAGATCCTTAATTTAATCACATCTGCAAAGTACCTTTTGCCATGAAAGTTAAAATATTGCAGGTTCTGGGGGAATTAGGATGTGGACATCACTAGAGTGCAATTATTCTGCCTATTACACTTAATGTTTCCCAAGCAGTGAGAAACACTCTTCTAAGTTCTCCTTCCTACCTTCCACTGAACACATTTCATCCAAGGATCAGAGGAAAGGAAACCAGAGTTCACACCAGAACTGCCATGTCTCCTTACCAGAGTGCATCTGAATCTAATGGCACAGAGTATTTACTCATCTACAATCCGGTATCATTAACATTATCAATGTCGTTCTCCTACTAATTCTAACTGTGCCCCCTGTTGCAATTTTTCTCAACCACTATGTCAGTCGTTCAGATAGAATTTCTCTCCTCACAGCAATTTTGTGAGTTTGCTCTCTCATCATCTACTCCTTTTTCTCACTGTGTCTTACGGAATTTACCTTTGTAGACCACAAGGTCCATCTATAAAATACATGCTAGCTTTGATCCCTCTCTTTGCCTACACTGACATCTAGTTGATCCTTGAAGACACCATGCCCTAAAATCCTCTAAATGCAGGATGCTGGTTGATCCTTTGCCCCCTTTTTTGATGTTCTCCATCTTAGATTCCATACTCTGCCTTTTCAACCACTGTTTGGCTTGTTCTTTTCTTTGACCTTCAATGGCATCCACCTTCTCCATGGTGGTTGGGTGAATCCCTACTGACTTTTCTGTGCCTATCCCCTATATCCTGAAAATACCAAGAATAAATGGCATAATTGAGCAATTGGGCATTATCAATTCAAGATTACCAACAATCATTGGTTCCTCAACTTTGTTCCCTGACTTAACAATATTTCTGTAGTCACCTCCTTTCCTTTCCCATTTCAATATTCTCATGCCTTTAACATACTTCAAGGCCCAGCTCACTTTCTGTCTCCTTACCAAAGCAATGCCTAAAACCACGAGCCCCATCACCATTGATTATCATAATCAGTGCCTCCCTCCTGTTAATTCTAAAAACATTTGTCTATACTCTTGGAGCATGTAAGCATTCTCCCTTGACCAAGTTCTTATTTTCTTCCTAAGTTTGTAAGATCTTAAAACAGATGTTATTTAAAAATATATTTTACTTTCTTTATCCCTTAGACACTAGTCTTACTACACAGTAGGTCCTAAATATATATTTTCTGAATACATGCATGAATTAATGATAATGAAACATTGAAGCATTCTTCAGTGATACCACCATGACAGGTTGGAAACTCATTCATCTGGGCTTATGAAAGCCAGTATTTTTCTTCAACCAGATACTTTTCCCCAACAGGAGACTCAGAATATCAATTAGAAGAAAAACCTCCAGTCACTTGTAGTGACAAGCTTTCTTTTTCAAGTTTGCAAATTCCTGTTCTCAAAACAAAAAACAAAAAAGAGGTGTATGCAAGGTATTTGTATATATATATATATGTGTGTGTGTGTGTGTGTGTGTGTGTATGTGTACATATATATAGAGAGACTTATAAATCTTATTAAAACAAGCTCTTGAAGTTGAAAAATTTTATGTTTTGTCAACAAACTGTAATGGTAGTCATATTACCTAAATTATTTTCAGTCCCCACTTTTCTGGTATTCTAAGCTTTCCTGGCAGAACCAAAAGAAGGGTGGAAATAAAGTCAGTGGGCTGGGGATGTGGGGAAAGGAGAGGTTTAAGAAGGAGATGCTTCCAAGCTAAAAGCACAGAAAATGGAACATCGTTCCAGAAATGAGGCTCCATGCAGCTTTTGACAGTGGTTCAAAGCTGTCACGCTTCTTTAATTCCTATATGCGTCAGCAGAGAAAGGTTTCAGTATTCCCACCGAAACCAGAGATATTTTAGATTTCTGTGATCCACACCCTTGGAATCAAGGTATTAACATGTTCTGCTGGAGGCACTGAAAAGCTTAGCATCTCCCTTTCAAAAAGGAAGAGTTTCCTGTAAAACAAATGAAGTCAATCATAAGTGGAATGGGTCCAGGTTATTATGGGAGCTCACGTGGCTCAGGCAAGGCTGGGCTTAGAAAGAGTTTCTGCTTGTTTTTCACCTCACACCCTCCTTCCCTAATGAGTTCCTCATCATTGGCTTTGGGCGCTTCAGTGGCTGGGCAGATCATGTGGTGTGTTTCTAAGTGCTTCAGAGATTTAGCAAAACACTATGCCCTTGCCTAAGAGCCTCCACTCAGAGACAGGTGTATGACTCAGCTTTATCAAGTGCTCTGGGAAGCCAGTGATGATGGGTAATTGTTCTTTAATGCCAAGTTGAGGAGCTCTTGAAGCACTTAAATATTGTTAACCAATTAAGCTACATATAAACATTCGCCTTCCATGGCTAAAGGCCAAGTGGAAGCTAAGGTCATCAGAATAGAAGCAGATTCATTTGCTAAGATTCAGCTTCTGTCTATTGTCAAAGCTCATCATTTTTGTTTAATTTGCATAAGATTTGCTTTCATTAAAGTCACCAGGATACTCCAGTAAATGAGAAATCAAATGAATGTTCCTACAGGAACAATTCCTAACCAGGGCTTATACCCCTCTGGGGGGCCTTAACAAATCTGCTGTGCAGCTTTGGGGCATATGGCTCAAACTACTCTCATATCTGCTCCTAAAGAAGACTTGCTTCCCCGCCCCCATTTGACATAGTGAGCTCACTATTACCTTTAGAATTTCATAGTAGTAGTTTTCAAGTTTTAGAGGGAAGAAACAATTTGGCCAACCACTGACCTTAAAATGTGAATTTTAATTTTTGCTTCTTACAATGAGAACCATTTTAACTTGGTGTAAACCAGGTTCTCATCCGTAGCTGCCCACAGGGTTCATTTCTGATATTTAAAAAATCCCAGAATCGTCGTTCCTTACCTGAGGATTATACTTCATTAGGTTTGGAGTGAGTCTTTGAGATGTATCTATATCTAATTCAATATCTAATCATATATAATATAGATATCTATCTATAAGCATATAGATTAATGTGAATGAATTAATGCATCAATGTTTATTTGATCAATAATCAAAATAAAATACGTCTTATTTTTCTTTGTAGTATCTTCTGCCTCTGGCACAAACACTGGCATGCAGTAAAAATTCAATACACATCTGTTAAATTAACGAGTGACTTTATATCCTTCCTACAGGATATATTCTGAGGTTGCTTTTTCTTCTTTGGAGTCAGCTTTCTCTGGGTTCTGTCAGTATTCTTTTATGTATCTAGACATTCTTTCAGTTTGTTGAATTTGCCATGTTCCCTCCCACCACAAGGATGTTATACTTATCTCTCTTCTCACCCTTCTATTTACACTTTAAATTTCAGCTCAAAGACCACTTACCCTTAGGTGCCTTCATTGACATCTGCTGGGGAACCTATACCCCTCATGGACAACTTAAGTACATTCCTCATCATACCCTTTCTTGAGACCATTATTCTTTCACTCAAGATCCTCATAAGTTTGAAATTCTATAGTCAGAAATGTAAGTATTTGTTTAACATATCTCTTCATCTCCCCACCATACATAAAGCACCATAAGGACAGGTACAGGGTGTATGTGTGCACATTCCCACTTGCACCACCAGAAATTTGTAATGCTTACACACAGGAAGTGCTCAAGAATTATTTGCATCCAAGAACTATTTGGATAATGAGTAAATGAGTGAGAGAGTCCCTTTTATCAGCATAAAGGCTGACAAGTACAGTTATCTAGCAGGTGCAGGGATTAAATAGCAAAACTATACTTCTTGTCAGAAAGACTTAGAACCAAAAGAATGGAAATTGGAGTAAGGAAAAAAAAAAGGTATCATTTTTGTGGCATTAATAGCACCCATTCACACTGTTTTATGAACCATATACTAGTAATGGTAAAAAGTTTGGGTTTGTAATTCATGTTCTCTTTTCATCCCTTCACTTTCAACTTTTAACTAATTGAAATATCTTGAATGCCAAACTGGGGAAGCAACTCTTCCTAACACACTTAAGAGAGCAGGTTCTGGAGAAAAGCGGCTTGGGTTGGACTCCCAGCTTGAACTCTATTTAGCATGAGAATGGGGAAAGACTTTCATCTCTCTGTGCCTCAGATTCCTCATTTACCAACTGGGGATGAGTTAACAGAACCAGATCCCTGGGATTGTGATGATAATTAAATACACTAATGTAAATGAAGTGCCTAGCCCACCGTTTGGCATGCTACCTTTGCACTTTTTACTAGCACTCAACTAAATGTCAACAGAAGAAAGTGGGAAAGATCTAAAATAAACACCCTAACATCACAATTAAAAGAACTAGAGAAACAAGAGCAAACAAACTCAAAAGCTAGCAGAAGACAAGAAATAACTAAGATCAGAGCAGAACTGAAGGAGATAGAGATACGAAAACCCCCTCAGAAAATCAACGAATCCAGGAGCTGGCTATTTGAAAAGATTAAAAAAATAGATAGACCATTAGCCAGACTCATAAAGAAGAAAAGAGAGAAGAATCAATAGACACAATAAAAAATGATAAAGGGGATATCACCACTGATCCCACAGAAATACAAACTACCGTCTGAGAATACTATAAACACCTCTATGCAAATAAACAAGAAAATCTAGAAGAAATGAATAAATTCCTGGACACATACACTCTCCCAAGACTAAACCAGGAAGAAGTTGAGTCCCTGAATAGACCAATAACAAGTTCTGAAATTGAGGCAGTAATTAATTAGCTACCAATCAAAAAAAGCCCAGCACCAGACGGATTCACAGCCAAATTCTACCAGAGGTACAAAGAGGAGCTGGTACCATTCCTTATGAAAACTTTCCAAACAATAGAAAAAGGGAGACTCCTCCCTAACTCATTTTATGAGACCAGCATCATCCTGATAGCAAAGCCTGGCAGAGACACAACAAAAAAAGAGAATTTTAGCTCAATATCCCTGACGAACATTGACGCGAAAATCCTCAATAAAATACTGGCAAACCGAATCCAGCAGCACATCAAAAAGCTTATCCACCACAGTCAAGTTGCCTTCATCCCTGGGATGCAAGGCTGGTTCAACATATGCCAATCAATAAATGTAATCCATTACATAAACAGAACCAATGACAAAAACCATATGATTATCTCAATAGATGCAGAAAAGGCCTTTGACAAAGTTCAACAGCCTTTCATGCTAAAAACTCTCAAAAAACTAGGTATCAATGGAATGTATCTCAAAATAATAAGAGCTATTTATGACAAACCCGCAGCCAGTATCATACAGAATGAGCAAAAGCTGGAAGCATTCCCTTTGAAAACCGGCACAGGACAAGGATGCCCTCTCTCACCATTCCTATTCAACATAGTATTGGAAGTTCTGACCAGGGAAATCAGGCAAGGGAAAGAAATAAGGCGTATTCAAATCAGAAGAGAGGAAGTCAAATTGTCTCTATTTGCAGATGACATGACTGTATATTTAGAAAACCCCATCATCTCAGCTCAAAATCTCCTTAAGCTAATATGCAACTTCAGCAAATTCTCAGGGTACAAAACCAATGTGCAAAAATCACAAGCATTCCTATACACCAATAATAGACAAACAAAGAGCCAAATCTTGAGTGAACTCCCATTCACAATTACTACAAAGAGAATAAAATACCTAGGAATACAACTTACAAGGAAAGTGAAAGACCTCTTCAAGGAGAACTACAAACCACTGCTCAAGGAAATAAGAGAGGACACAAACAAATGGAAAAACATTCCATGCTCATGGATAGGAAGAATCAGTATTGTCAAAATGGCCGTACTCCCCAAAGTAATTTACAGATTCAATGCTATCCCCGTCAAGTTACCACTGACGTTCTTCACGGAATTCGAAAAAACTACTTTAAATTTCATATGGAACCAAAAAAGAACCCATATAGCCAAGACAATCCTAAGCAAAAAGAACAAACCTGGAGGCATCACGCTACCTGACTTCAAACTATACTACAAGGCTACAGTCACCAAAACAACATGGTACTGGAACCACAACAGATATATAAACCAGTGGAATAGAACAGAGGCCTCAGAAATAACACCACACATCTACAACCATCTGATCTTTGATAAACCTGACAAAAATAAGTAATGAGGAAAGGATTCCCTATTTAATAAATGGTGTTGGGAAAACTGGCTAGCCAGATGCAGAAAACTAAAACTGGACCCCTTCCTTACACCTAATACAAAAATTAACTCAAGATGGATTAAAGACTTAAATGTAAGACCTAAAACCATACAATCCCTAAAATAAAACCTAGGCAATACCATTCAGGACATAGGCATGGGCAAAGATTTCATGACTGAAACACCAAAAGCAATGGCAACAAAAGTCAAAATTGACAAATGGGATCTAATTAAACTAAAGAGCTTCTGCACAGCAGAAGAAACTATCATCAGAGTGAACAGGCAACCTACAGAATGGGAGAAAATTTTTGCAATTTATCCATCTGACAAAAGGCTAATATCCAGAATCTACCAGGAACTTAAAAAATTTACAAGAAAAAAAAAAAAAACTCCATCCAAAAGTGGGCCACTGTGGGAATTTACGGACCCCGAACAGAGGGACTGGCTGGAGCCATGGCAGAGGAACATAAATTGTGAAGATTTCATTTTAATATGGACATTTATCCATTCCCAAATAATACTTTTGTAATTTCTTATGCCTGTCTTTACTTTAATCTCTTAATCCTGTTACCTTCATAAGCTGAGGATGTACATCACCTCAGGACCACTGTGATAATTGTGTTAACTGTATAAATTGATTGTAAAAAGTGTGTGTTTGAATGACATGAAATCAGTGCACCTTGAAAAAGAACAGAATAACAGTGATTTTTAGGGAATAAGGGAAGACAACCATAAGGTCTGATTGTCTGCAGGGTTGGGCCAAAAAAGCCATATTTTCCTTCTTGCAGAGAGCCTATAAACAGATGTGCAAGTAGGAGAGATATCACTAAATTCTTTTCCTAGCAAGGAACATTAATATTAATACCCTGGGAAAGGAATGCATTCCTGAGGGGAGGTCTATAAAAGGCCGCTCTGGGAATGTCTGTCTTGTGCAGTTGAGATAAGGACTGAGATATGCCCTGGTATCCTGCAGTACCCTCAGGCTTACTAGGGTGGGGAAAAACTCCACCCTGGTAAATTTGTGGTCAGACCAGTTCTCTGCTCTTGAACCCTGTTTTCTGTTGTTTAAGATGTTTATCAAGAGAATACATGTACCGCTGAACATAGACCCTTATCAATGGTTCTGTTTTTGCCCTTTGCCTTGTGATCTTTGTTGGACCCTTATCAGTAGTTCTGCTTTTGCCCTTTGTCCTGTTCCCTCAGAAGCATGTGATCTTTGTTAGATCCTTACTAGTTGTTCTGCTTTTTGCCCTTTGAAGCATGTGATCTTCGTACTTACTCCCTGTTCTTACAACCCCTCCCCTTTTGAAATCCTTAATAAAAACTTGCTGGTTTGAGGCTCAGGTGGGCATCATGGTCCTAACAATATGTGATGTCACCCCCCAGTGGCCCAGCTGTAAAATTCCTCTTTGTACTGTCTCTCTTTATTTCTCAGCTGGCCAACACTTATGGAAAATAGAAAGAACCTACATTGAAATATTGGGGGCGGATTCCCCCAATAGTAGGCGAAGGATATGAACAGACACTTCTCAAAAGAAGACATTTATATGGCCAACAAACATATGGAAAAAAGCTCATCCTCACTGGTCATTAGAGAAATGCAAATCAAAACCACAATGAGATACCATCTCACACCAGTTAGAATGGCGATCATTAAAATGTCAGGAAACAACAGATGCTGGAGATGATGTGGAGAAATAGGAATGCTTTCACACTGTTGATGGGAGTGTAAATTAGTTCAACCTTTGTGGAAGACAGTGTGGTGATTTCTCAAGGATCTAGAATCAGAAATACCATTTGATCCAGCAATCCCATTACTGGGTATATACCCAAAGGATTATAAATCATTCTACTATAAAGACACATGCTACATATGTTTATTGCAGCACTGTTTACAATAGCAAAGACTTGGAACCAACCCAAATGCCCATCACTGATAGACTGGATAAAGAAAATGTGGCACATATACACCATGGAATACTATGCAGCCGTAAAAAAGGATGAGTTCATGTCTTTTTCAAGGACATGGATGAAGCTGGAAACCATCATTCCCAGCAAACTAACACAGGAACAAAAAACCAAACACCACATGTTCTCACTCATAAGTGGGTGTTGAACAATGAGAACACATGGACACAGGGAGGAGAATATCACACACCGGGACCTGTCAGGGTGTGGGGGGCTAGGGGAGGGGTAGCATTAGGAGAAATACCTAATGTAGATGAAGGGTTGATGGGTGCAGCAAACCACCATGGCATGTGTATACATGTGGAACAAACCTGCATGTTCTGCACATGTATCCCAGAACTTAATAATAAAAAGAAAACAAAATAGTGAAAAGGAAAACATAGAAACTAGTATGTATTGAACACCTACTACATGCCAAGAACTACCAAACATAATTCAGGCCAAATTAATCCTCATTTAATCTTCACAACGTCCTCAAACATGGTTAAAACTTAACTACAAGAATATTGTATACCTTGCAAATTTTCACAAAGAGAACTCTGGTATTTAATTCTCCTACTTCGTGAACATTGGTTCTTTAACGGGCAGAAATAGATTATATCTTGCTGAAACTATTTCTTAGAAAATTTATGATTAAAGGAAATTCTTTGCAATCTATCAAAACAATATTTGTATCCATGGAAACTTTCATCTCTTGGAGGGGGATGGCCATCATTCAGATTTCCCCATGTAGGACCTCAAAGAATATTGAGCTTAAATCATTTCTGTAGAAAAGAAAGAGCCCAAAACAGCACTGGGACCTTAAACCGGTTTTTAAACTTCTCTGAACTTCAACATTCTCCTTTTAAAAATAGGGATGATAAATGGGGTTCACTTGACTAGCATCTCTCCATTCTACTACCCACCCCAGCTCCCAGTAATTATCATTTTACTCTCTGCTTCTATAAATTTGACTTTTTAGATTTCAAGTGTAAGAACATGCAATATTTGTCTTTCTGTGCCTGGCTTATTTTGCTTAGCATCATCCATGCTATTGCAAAATGACAGGATTTCCTTCTTTGTGTAATGTCAAATACTATTATACATATATGTCACATTTTCTTTGTCCATTATCTCTTGATGGACACTTAGGTTGATTCCATATCTTGGCTATTGTGAGTAATGCTGCAGTTAACACAGGACATCAAAATGTCATATTGTGTAACATAAGTGTATACATTTTTAATTTGTCAATTAAACCTTAATAAATCTGGGGAGAAAATTATAATTTTAAAGAGTATAATGCCAATCTTACCTGCCAGATAATGTTGTAGTAAGAATTAAATTAGTGCCATTCAAACCATGGTCTTTCCACAGATCACCATCTACCCCTATAACCACCAGCCCCAACCCAGGCTCACTGAATTGGAATTTCTGAAGGTGAGGCTAGAAATCTGTTTTTAAAATATCCTCCTATTCATCTTTTTGCATGCTGAAGTATGAGAAAAACTGAATTGAATGATGCAATGAATAAAAAATTACTTTGTGAACTGGAAAACATTTTTACAAATGTAAATGTGTTGTCTCCCACACTACTCTTTCTCTTTCTCCTTCTACCTCCTCTTCTTTCCTCCTCTTTTCTATCCACTCTCTATCTCCTCTACTCCCACTGTCTCCTATCCATTTTGCCTCCTCTCCCCACCAAGCTGAAAATCTTTTGTCTATAAAGGGCTTGTACCCTTTCCAATCTTCAGGGTTCTGTAAACAATAAATATTCATATAACACTTGATGTATGAATGCATGGGCAAATGAACAAATTACAGAAGGTGTCCAATGATGTCAACATTATTTTCTTTTTACATATTACATCTTATTCCATCTACATATTTTTTTCCCTAAAAACTCAAATGTCTTCACGTGTGCTAGTTCATGCACCTTTGCCTTCAGAAAATCTTTCTGAATCATAAAGAGGCAGAAATCCCACCCCTATTCCCTAAATCCCAAACCTAGACAGATAGGGAAATAGAAATTGGGAGAATTTTGGTGCTTGGATCAAAACATTCAAGGAGGACAAACCGGGGTCTGATATTTAGATTTCCCAACCTCTGACTGCTGTCCTTTATAGTCACAGTCTTTGGATTTAGAAGGCAAGATCATCTCTGGCTGCCCTCTCCCCAGCAGTGGAGTCTAGGAAAGGATATGTAATTGATCTATACCTCTGTGTGCTTTGAGACTTAAATTAGAGAACATTTGAAAAAGGCCTGAAGCATAGTAAGTGCTTGGTAAATGTTACATCTCTTTCCTCATGTTCTTTTGGGCTGGTTCTTGCAAATGTTATCAACAAAATGTACTTGGCTGTCTTCACTAGAAATATCTTTATTGAGAGCAACAGAGTGCAGTCTTGCTCTTTGATCTGCGTTCCTTCAACAACTGGGTGAAGGGCTAAAGCTAAAAATGAGAAATGGAACCAGGCCAATGTTCTCAACATGTGTTCCTTGCACTACCTGAATCAGAATCCCTGGATATTTGCTAAAGATGCAGACTCCTGAGCTCTACCCGCAAACTCCCCAGAGTTCCAGGATATGTATTCTAGAAATCTGTATTTTTAGCAAGCACTTCAGGTGAGCCTTATATTCTCTTAAGTTTGAGAATCATTGCTTTAGTTCATTACATGTAAGTCTTAACTGTACATGAGAAAGAGCTGGGAAACTCCTAAAAAATACTGAAGCCCAGATTTCTCCCCAGAAAAAAATAAGTAAGAATATCTGTGCTGGAGGAGTGGGTGAGCATTGGATAAAAGTTAGGGTGGATGGGAAGTGAAGAGAAGAACAGCAACCAGCTAAACCTATTTTTTCTTCTAATACATCCATTCACATTTAAACTTGTCTACTGTGGGAGGAGAAAAAATACGACAAGAAATTATATGAATAGGTTTTATTGAACTTTATTTTTTCTAAATCAAGAGCATGACATGAGCCATCAGTAGCATTTTAGAAAGAAGACATTTTCTGTCTTTCTGTATAGGATTCACTGAAGCTGTAAAACCAAGATGAAGGCAAGGTTAAGATTCTTCTGTAAGCTACCTTCTAGCAAAGATGCTGTTCAGATGACCAATGTGCACTGCTGCACTGAGGAGCCCCTACCTAGCATTTCAACAGCCTCCACTTTTAATTATTATACTAACATTTTGTCAACTGTCAAATGCTTGGAAATCATTTAATATCTTCCCATTTCTATGCAACACAGTTATTGATATTCATGAAGTGAATTCCTTCAGCAGTGTCTAGACTAAATGTCAATAGGGTCTGCTGAGGGAAATACTTTTCACAGAGGGAGGGTATTAATAATGGAATTTAGAAATTATTTTTAATTTGCTTTAATAAAGGATTAGATGAAACAAGACTACTGTGCCCCGTTAATATTCTGCATAAATAAATGTAACCTGGCTAAATCATTTTGAATGTCAAAGATGAGAAATGATCAACTTAACCTAATTCACTTTTAGCGGATATCATCTCCATAATTTTGCAGGCCGAAGTCTAGTCATCTATGTTATGCTAGAGTTATTTGCTTGTGTCCTATGTGGGACAGTGACCTTTTGGAGGCAACCTCCAACTTTTGGAAATCTGATTCATGAAAAAGATTACAAAGTGGGTTTTTCAAACATGCTTGGCAATAACTTGCTTCTCAAAACAAAGCAACAACAACAAAAACAACCTGGGAATTCCCCTCCAAAAATAGTCCAAGCTTCAAAGTGTGAAGAAAGGAGGAAGAACTGCTGCTCCCCAAAAGATCTTACAAAACTCTTGCCATCACTGGGTTTGTAGCAGATCCTCTGCCAAATCTCTCCTGCACTTTACCACACTCATCTCCCCCAACAACCCCCGCAAGGAGATCCAGTTATTGTCCCTATTTGTTATTGTTGCTTTGTTAAAACTTCTGGTTCAGAGAGTTGAGTTAATCACACTCCTCAGTATATGACCTATTTTATTATTTTCCTGTACGAGGCCCCTGTTATGTAATGAATTTATCCCTTTTTTTCCCTCCACACCCCATTCCCATTCCCTCCTCTATCCCATGGATAACCATTCCATGGTATTGTGTGTGTATTTTATTTGAATGTGTTCTTATATAATGGGTAATATGTGAATGATAATGTGTTATAGCTGTTTCTTACTCTTACTTTTTCATGAAGAACTATGTTTTTAAGATCCGTTGATATTCCTCTGTGTACCTCTAATGCACTGTGATTATCCGTTAATCTGACTTTACAGATGAGGGAATTGAGGCCTAGAAAGTAAATTGCCTGGCACAGCATCACATAGTTATTAAGTTGTAAAGCTGGTCTCCAGCTCACTTTTACTCCAAAGTTAGTACTCTTGACTACTCCACTATATGGCTTCCCTTTAAAAACATTATGTTTGGTTTTCATAACAACCGTGTGAGGCTAAATAACTTATCTAAGGTCACTCAGCTAGTTAGTGGCAGAGCTTGGATGACAACTCAGGCCTGCCTGACCCTTGATCCTGTGGGCTTCTCATTTTATGATCCAATGACCTGCCATTGCTAAGGTCTTCTAAGTTAGATCACTCTTCCAACTCCTTTCTCTATTAGTAGGCTGGAATACTACTCTGTTTAGTAGGCTGGAATATGAGGAGGGTACCTTTCCTTTCCAAACAGCAAAATGTGGGGCATACGGAGTCTTGTGGAGAGGCCTGATGTGTGTATCAGTTCAAATATCATCGTGGACAGTGCTGTGGGGATTAAATTCATCTGGACCCACAGGGCCAAGGAAGGCTATGTGGGCAATCTGTCCTCTCAAGGTGGATTTCTGCCAAGGTCTCATGCTGGAATAATGACAGAGCTACTACATTCTTTCTCTAAGGCTGACATGATGCAATAGGTCTGCTGACAGGAGGTTTTTCTTTCTCTAGTTGCCCTTGGACACTTCACGGCTATGTCTACTGGGGTTATGTAAAACTCCTTGTGTGCCTTGGCAGGTGGCCCTGGGAACTCAACTGCGTTATCCTTGTAGTAAGCACTCAAGCAGGGTGAAATGAAGAGTCAATTCTGCTGAATAACTTCTGAAGCTTTTAGGTCAATCTACTTGGAGTCTAGTCTT
Source organism: Homo sapiens (assembly GCF_000001405.40). Taxonomy (NCBI): domain Eukaryota; kingdom Metazoa; phylum Chordata; class Mammalia; order Primates; family Hominidae; genus Homo; species Homo sapiens. The sequence continues at coordinate 127,052,984 of NC_000008.11, forward strand.
GTGAACTAAGCTTATTGTGCCTCAATTAAACTAAAGATGTAAAAAGTGTATGTATATGTTTGTAAGACACTAGATTTCACCATTTTGCATTTGGACAACCAGTTTGGATGAGCACATTTCCTGATATGCAAAGGAGAGAGAAGACAGAAGTTTTCAAAATATTGAATAGAGTTTTAAATAATTGTAATATAAACTTGAGAAGTTGGCTTGTGTGGAAAAAAAGAATCAGGACGAACTTTAGAGTAAAACGAAGTACAAATACCAAGCTGACTTCTTTCCAACATGACCTTGGGCAATTTACTTAACCTTGACTTATTTTCTCAAACATGAACTGAAGACAATGACATCCATTTCACAACTGTATTATGAAATAATATGAAAAAAATGCATATAAAATGCCTGGCACATTATGAGACATGATTGAATGTTAGGTCACCATCAGAAAGAAGAGACTGGCAAATATTTTAGTATCTCAGCTGATTTTAAAGATCTTTTCTAGTTGAAGTTAAATTATAGGTTTTTTTTTCTTTGCCCTTTCAGTTCATTTGGTAGAGGACAGCTTAGCTGGGCCTTGAAGCACTTGGAAGGTCATTCTGTGCATGAATGTTTTTTGGCATTTATTTCTGCCTTCTATATTTTATTTTATCCACTGCCAAGGGGGCATTTTGATTGGCACGGGAGCCAAGTGAAACAAAACACTCCCTCCGAGGGACATACACTAAGCAGCTCTATGAGAACCACCTCCTTTCTGTCATATAAGGGCTGACTTTCTTCCTCTTCACTTTGTTTCTGAGAGATTTTTGATGTTTTCCTGGCCCTGTCAATTTTATTCCCGGCTTGCCTTATTCACCAACACCACAAGACACTATCAGCTCAGACCCAGAAACAGGATGCCAACATTGCAGAATCCATTTAGACATGGTAACGTCTAGTCTGAGGCTTACAGGGGACTGTGACTAAATTTATTTTAAAGCTTAAATGGAGGGAAAGGTTTCTCTGCCTGTCTGACACTTGGTTTCATTACTCAGCCTCTTTCCTAGTGATAGAGATTTTGTTCACTGTCCCTTGAAAGATATCAATCACCTGAGCTCACCTGTTCCCAGTAGCTGTACTTTTGATCAGTGGCTCCAGAATGAATCATCTGAAAATTTCTGCTGCATTAAGCAGAGCCCCTTTCAAGTAGCCCAGGGATGAAATGCATTATTCAATAAGTTCTGTTCTCTCCAGTGCCCAAAGAAATTTGGGAGATGCAGTGACTCTGCTTTAGAAGAGAATTGAGATGATCATGTGTTCATAGGAAGTGTGCATTACATTTTGAACTGAAAACTCCCCAGAAAGGAAACATGTAATAAACAGCAAGGCGACTTAGAATGAGGTTCGGAGGAGGTGAACCTTCAGTCCTAAACCACTGTTCTTTCAACATGTAGCAACCCATGGTTACCTGGGGAGATTGTTCCAAATGCAGGTTCCCTGCCATCCCTAGAGGATTCTGATTTTTGTATTCAGAAATCTGGAATTTGCAGGTGACCTTAATGGACATCGACCCTGAGAATTACCAGCCTAGAGGTTCTGCACACCTTCCTCAAGGACCATACATTACAAATGATATTTCTAAAATGTCATTTAATCTCATTCTAAATGAAGAAAAAAGAAGGAAAAATGTCCAGTGGTAAAATTTTGAACTTAGGCAGCTGTGTTCTCAATTTTAACTTTTTCCCTGAGGGTGATTATTATCTATTTCTCAGATAATTCTTTCTATCTTCCTTTTGGGGAAAATGTTAGAATTTTGCATCTCTGGCCTCTTGAAGTTAAGTGTGGCCAGGTGGGGCTTTAGCAATAACATGTGAACGGTGGTGTCTGATGGGGCTTTAGCAATAACATGTGAACGGTGGTGTCTGATGAGATTTGGTATGAGGCTGATCTGTCAGTTGACATCCCAGAGTGACTGATGGATAGAGATTACCTGCCAACCCATATGGGACATGTAGAGTGAGTGAGAAATAAATGTTCATGATTTGATTTACAGGTTGCTTTTTAGTGAAGCAGAACCTAGCCTAACCTGACTTACAAACGGTAACTCACTATGTGACTGCAGGCAAGGAGGTTAAGATCTCTCTCATTATCGCCACTATTAAATAAAAATGCAATACCCACAACTAATGGTTGTGGGGAAGATTAAATAAAATTAATTGTGTAGAAGACCCTTACCTACTTCCTGACACATTAGTCACTCAGTGGGTGTTGGTTTCTTTTCTTGTTCCCCACAGCCTTTCTCCCCAATGTGCGCATGCATTTGATCATAAGGAATGAATCTGCATAATATTTATAAGTATGTTTCTAGTAATATCTTAAGTATAATAACTCCTTTCTACAAATAAGTTAATATTTGTAAAAGGACACCTAAGAAGATAAATTTATTCTGTGACATCAAGAAGCTCAGTGAATCAGTCAGAGTTATAGAATCTTAACAATTAGGACATTCATTGAGGATAGAAGGTAATCATGCCAAACACACAGATTGGCACCTGCAAAGATGAATATGAGAAATTGGGAAATCTCTGTCTTCAAGAAGCTAATAGTCTAGTTATGAACTAGCTTTTCTGCACCATAATTGAGTAATTTTATACAATGATGCAAGTGCTGTAAGATAGATATGCACAGAATACTGTGGGAACATAGGAGAGAGTAGGATGAACTGTACGTAGGTAGCCAGTGATGACTTCACTGAGATTATATTTAAGCTGAGCCTTAAGTGACAAGTAAATGCTGGGCAGATGCAGGAGAAGAAGCAAAAACATAAACAAAGGTCTGAAAATTAATAACTTGTTTAAGGAATGATGGACTATAGGGTTTTGGAGCTAATGAAAGAAATGGGATCAAGTGGTAAAAGTTGGGTGTGTACAGGTAAGTTAGGTCAGATTGTGATGTTTGGATTTAGTGACTGAATAGTGGAATGGTGACTAAGATTTAGATTATAAAAAGGACAGGATTACAGTTGTGTTTGGGAAGAAGACCTTGAGTAAATTACTAAAGACAGGGGCACATTTGGTATGTTTTCAAAATTTCCAGTGGGAGCAATAATGACTTGACTGTGGCTATTATCTTAGAAATAGATATAAAGAATAAAATTCAAGAGCTGGGCCTAGGTAGAATCAAATTGATTACATACTGAATGTGAGAGACCAAAATAAGTTCAAAAAATGTGATCAAATATTCTAACTGGAACAAACAGATGATTGACGTGGACATTGGCCAAAACAGGGAACACACATAAAAAATAAACTTCTAGAGTGGGAATGTCATAAATTTAGTTTTGGATTTTGTAATATAATTATAATATAAAACATAAAAAGAATATAGAAAATATATAAGCAAGTTATGAATCATAACAATGAAATGAATACTTGTGAATGCATTACACAACTTTAGAACTAGAATGTTACCAAGAACGTAGATGTTAGCTGAATGCTTCTTTCCAATCCCATTCCACTATCTATAATGATTCCCTTCTTTTCATAGTTTTACCACTTATGGCTATATTCTTACATAATAAAATTTTAATTTTTTCTACAGCATATGGTATTCTATGACTTGATTCTTTTACTCAATTATTGTTGTTGTATTGCTATTATTTAAGATTTATTCAAATTACTTTGTATAGCTGTAGTTTATTCATTTTCCCCGCTGTATAACAGTACATTGACTGACTATTCTACAGCTCATCCCCACTCCTGTTGATGCAGTTGGATTATCTCCAGTTTTTTGTTATGGCAAGAAATGCTGCTATAAACATTCTTGTATGTTTCTCCTGGCTTTGATCATTTTGGTTTTGGGGAGCACATTCACATGTTCTAAAGCTTAAGTAAAACATCTGAGTTAGATACATGGAGCTGAGAATCTCTGAGAAATAGATCATATTTAAAGGCCACTGGCTTGATTGAGGTGACTCAGCATAAGTAGATGGAAGAGAGCCAAGCTCGGGATCAAAATCATCATAAATGTGAACTATTAAGGTATGAAGGTATGCACACTGAAGGAGATGTTTGAAAATAAGAGAAGAATCAGGAGGGTGTAATAGCAAGGGAGTCACTGAAAGAGACTTTAAAGAATAGTGTAGTCTACACCTTCAAAGTCAGAAAAATTGGGTAGATTTGTTCATTATAACCTCATCAGCAACTTAGGAAAACACAACATATCCAAGACATGAAGAAAAAAATCAGATAATGAGTGAATGCAAGAAAATAAGGTATTATCTGGAAAATATATTAGTAATGAAATAACCTTGTTTGTTACAGGAGGCCAGAGTTGGACTGGGAGGTTGAGGAGATGCAGGTTCAAGAAAATGTTTTTGGAGAGACAAACGTGTTTATAAATGCAGGGGAGTGATTTGAGATCACAGTAGAAATGGGAAATTTGATGTAGTCATGTCTACAGCAACATCACAGAACATTTATCACTTGCTCTCCACAGACACTCTCCCAATTTCTTTGTATTTAGTCTTTCCAAAAATTCTAGAAAAAAGATATTTTATTATTTCTCTTTCTGTCACAGCTCAACCTGCCATAGAGAACCCAGGACACAAGAAGGAAGGTTAGTTAGAAGGCTTTGCACAAATGCTATTGCACGATGATGGTGAATTGAGTAAGGGGAAGTATTAGGAAGAGGGTAGATTTCAGATTCTTTTTGAAGACAGGAAAAGTAGGATTGTTGCTGTAGCAGAAGTGGGCTGTGAAGGAAACAAATAAAAGACAACTGCAAGCTTTTGGGATTGAATAACTGAAATAATGAAGTTATATTGACTGTGATGAAGACTATGGGAAAATAGTTTGGTGTGGAGGAAGGTAAGAAGTAAGGCTTTTGATATGCTGTGTTTGAGATGCCTAATGATACATTCAAGTAGTGATTTTGAGTAGGTAGCTGGATATGCAAATCTAGAGTTTGGATGAGAAGTTTAGGTGAGAAATATAAGTGTGGGAGTCATCAGTGTGTTGATATTATTTATCTAAATTCATGAGACCAGAGGAGATCACCAAAGGTATTAGCCTAGAGAAGAAGTAACATTTAGAAATTGAGCCCTGGTGTAGAAAAGATGAATAGAAACCAGAAAAAAAAAAAAAAAAAAAAAAAGACTGAAAAGGAGAAGGCATCCAGGTGGAAAGTGAACCAGGGGAGTGTTTTTGGAAAATAAAGTGAGGAAAGTATTGTACGGAAGAGGAAAAAATTAACTGTTTCAAAAGCTAAGTTCAAATTTGCAGAGAAATGAGAAATGGCTATTGGATTTAGTAGTGGCTAATTGGTATGTTGAACCAGGGAACCTCAATTTCTGCATTTTGGTGACTGATTACACTTCCTAAGTATCAGGAATGAACTATAGTCAACTCAGTGGAAGCCCTTTTTTCTCACATGAGTCAGAATTTTTAGTTGGTTCATTAACCAAAAGGGTTGTTGTTTGCCAGTCTTTGGATGTACATCCAAGATTTTTCTTTGCATGGAAATAACTTGCCTAAAAACAAATATTTGAGTTTCTGTTTCAGTTTCTTCAAAGTATGGAAGAACTTAAAGACATGTAAAGCCATCTGAGGTCAGAACATGTCTAGATTTTTGCAACCGTATCCAAATATTCTAAAGTTGTATAGTCCACACTTATTTCAACAGAAAAATAATACCAATCGTACTTATCAACTCTTTCTAAAATTTTCAACTTAATTTTCCTAGAAATTTCCATTTTTTTCTACTCCTCTTTTATTGATTTATAAAACAATACATACAACATGAACACATTTGGGAACAAACACTATTCTCTCTTGGTAAGAGTAGTAGAGGGTAAAGGAGGACAAAATGCTATAGCTGCTTTTTGGCCCAGAGGGAATATGCCATGGCTATCAGCCAGCATTTTCATAGTGGGGAGGAGGATATTATTAATTTCCCCCCCAAAAATTAAGTATATTGAGAAGATATCCTACTAAATTTGTATTCACTTGTAATTTGTCTGCTGACATCCCAATTTATAAAAATAAAAAGGAAACAATATCAGCAACATTAACTTGTCACTGCCCTCCCATTACCTCATGAAAGCCAAACCCACTTTTCTAACAAACCCCAAAACTTCGCACCACTTCCTTCCCTACAGGGACCTCCCATCTGCCAGTCACCCACCCTCTGTACAGCTGGCTAACATACTTTTCAGTTATCATTTCTGGATTGTTATTTAATAGATAATTTCCAGTCTTCTCTCCCTTATTTGAGATCTTAAATAAGCTTCTGGAATGCAAAGTGCAGGTCTCTTTTTTCATAGTGACCACAAATACACCGTTTTATTTTTGAGCATATAATTCTTATATATTTTTGTTATAAAACAGTCACAAATGTCCACAATGCATCGTAGTATATGAAATGTTCCCTGTCCATATTCATTAATCCAACTAATAATTTTAGAACAATTTCTGGGTGCCAAGCATGATTCTCTACCTAGTTGAAGGGGTCAACGAGGGCCTCTATGAGAAGGGAACATTTAAGCTGAGACATAAATGGAAGAACAAGCAGACCTGCAGTAAAGAGGGGAACTTGTCAGGCCCCATCACAGGAATAACTGGGGCATACTGGAGACACAATCATAAAGTACAGTGAGTGAAAGGAGAGTGGCAAGAAATGAGAATGGTGTTGCAGGGGAGTTGGGGATGGCAGGTCCAGGTAAGCTCTGGTAAACATTTCCATGTTATTATAAGTGAAATGGGAGCCCTTGTGGAGTTTTAAGGAAAGGAGTGACATGATCTGATTTATATTTAAAAGATTCATCCTGGCTCTGATTGAAGAATAATAGAAGCCGGGACATTAATTGGCAGACTAACATGGATTAACTTCACAGACATTGTGTTGAGCAAAAGTAGCGAGGCACAAAAGAAGCACAAGCTGTCCTGTGTTTTGATTTCTATATATTATAGACATATAATGTTCTATGCATGAATTTGCGTGAGGTTTACCAGTAGTCCAGGGAGGAGATGTGGACTAGTGCCCGTAACAGTGGTGAGGGAGAGGTCTTTAGTGTGTCTGGTCCTTGCTATAAACTGTTAAAGAGGAAAGGAGTTGTGAGATTCTTCTTCATCTTACATAGATACAGAAACTAGTTGGGACGGCCAATGTCTTGTCCAAAATCACAAAGCTAGTGCCAATGAGCCCAGGTTTCAAGTCCAGATTATCCTACTTATTTTATTAATGAAAAAGGTTCAGATATATACATTTATGAAAAGAAATTTTATTTGGCATCAATAAGAAGAAAAATGATTGATCATGCAACAAAATGAATTAATTTTACAGACATTACACTGAGTTAAAGAAGACAGACACAATGAGGACCTATTATATGAAGTTCTACAACAAGCAAAGTGAATCTGTGGTCTATGGTGATAGAAGGAAAAAAGGGATTACTTTTTTGTGGTTGCAGAAAAACTTACTGGATAGGGCCATGAGAGAACTATCTGGAGTGATGGACGTATTCTATATCTTGATCCATATGTGGTTACATGATTATATATATTTGCCAAAATGTATTGAACTAAATTATTAGGGGAAAAATTCAGGGTACATAAATGCTTTCTTAAATATATAGGGTCAAGATAAGAAACTCTGGATAAGAATCCAAGTTTTCTAATATCAGGTCATATACTCTTGTCTTGAAGCCATAGGTCTTCGGCCTAAAGCTACTAGAGAATCCGGGTTGCTGACCCCTAGACAAATGCCATGACTCTAGTAGCCAGTGTAACCCTTTTCCCTTTGAAGTTGTAGCTAATAAAGTCTAGAGTTCAAAGTCATGTCCTGCATGGGCAAAGTGAATGTTCTAGAATAAGAGAAACTATGCTGAGAATGAAAGAGTTTTTTTGAGACAATAGAATAATTTTAGGTCCTGAACCATGTGAGAAAAGTGTTCTAAGAAAAGCTCTCAAGATCTAGAATGAGGCAGATAACCAAGACAGCTTGAAATAAACCCTGTAAATGGACTGGGGTAGCTTATCAGGATTTAGAGTCATTCTAATGACACTTTTGACAACAGTGTCCACATGATTGATGCTATAAAACTGATAACGGAAGGCGATGCCCTTACAGGAATGGCATTTTGGCAAAACTCAATATCTTCTCACAGTTCATTTTTTATAAGATTCTATTCATGGACTGCATACTTATACAATCTCATTAGTCTGCCATTAATCATTTCTATGTCTGTATTCTGTAGTTTTCAAGACTTGAGTTTGCATACATGAAAACAATATGCTCCATTCATATAACATTTTGGTTTACAAGGCATTTGGGATCTGAATCATGAGACATTCAGGAGAGGAGAGGTGATGACTTCTGTACCTATCTGTAGGTCGTTGGGTGAGCTAAAGCCATGATGGAGAGTCAGGTCCCATGAGGTCCATGCTCAAATGAAACCTGAACAACTAAAGGAATGGGAAAAACAGAGATGCTGGCTTTGAGGGTGATGAATTTGTGAGCACTCAGGCTCTCTGATGCTGTGATTTTGTTACTCCTCGTGAATCAGCTTATGCATAATAATGTCACACCTCTCTTTAGAATACATTAGATAATACATTTAGAATACATTATACCTCCACACAGGTATAACGTATCCTGGAAGACATAAAGTGTCCTCTTACCTTGTCCTGAAGTATTTGCCTTATGCACAGCATTCCAAGCCAGGAAGCTCTTGCTAAGTTTAAAAATGGATGGATATGGGCCGGGCGTGGTGGCTAACGCCTGTAATCCCAGCACTTTGGGAGGCCGAAGAGGGCGGATCATGAGGTCAGGAGATTGAGACCATCCTGGCTAACACTGTGAAACCCCGTCTCTACTAAAAATACAAAACATTAGCCAGGCGGGCACCTGTAGTCCCAGCTACTTGGGAGGCTGAGGCAGGAGAACAGGAGAATGGTGTGAACTCGGGAGGCGGAGCTTGCAGTGAGCCGAGATCATGCCACTGCACTCCAGCCTGGGCGACAGAGCAAGACTCCGTCTCAGGAAAAAAAAAAAAAAAAAAAAATGGATGGATATGAAGGTGGAGGCAGAGTTGGGTTAAGGAATCATTACACATGAAGTATCCTAGTTACCAGAAAAAGGTCACTGGACTGAAGCAGGAAACTTCTTGTTTTGGTTCTTTAAGGTATTCTACTCAGCATAACAGCTCATTCTAATACTCTGTATTAGTTTGCTAAGGGTGTCATAACAACATTCCACAAACCTAGTGGCTTAAACAACAGAAATGTATTGTCTTGTAGTTCTGGAGGCCAGAAGTCACGATGTCGCTGGTGTTGGCTCCTCCTGAGGGCTGTGAGGGAAGGGTCTATTCCTGATCTTTCTTTCTGGTTTGTGGATGCCCTTTTTCCTGTGTCTCCTCACACCATCTTCCCTCTGTACATGTCTTATCCAAATTTCCCCTTTGTATAAGAACACTAATCATGTTGGATTAAGGTCCACCCTAATAATTTCATTTTAACTTGACTACCACTGTACAGACTCTATCTCCAAATACGGTCACACTCTGGGGCAGTGAAGGTTAGGACTACAACGTATTTGTTTTGGGTGACACAATTCAACCGGTAACATATCCTGATCCTTGGCTCCCTCATCTGCAAAACAAGTATATTTACCTTACACTGTTATTTAAAAATTGAAAAGCAGCCAATGTATTTAGAAGAACTTAGTAAACTGAAGATTCTACATAAGAACAAGGCAGTAAAAACAGTGAGCGATAACAGCATAGATATACATAATAATAAGAGCTCTCTCTTACTGAGAACAGCCATGTGCCTGGCAGTTCTAAATGTATTCACTTATGAATCTATGAGATCTCCTATGAAGATTGATGGTAGCATTATCTCTACTTTCCAGATGAGGAAACTGAAGGACAGCAAGTTTGGGCAATTTGCTAACGACACAGCTTGTAAGTGGTATGGCCACTTGTAAGCCACTCCATTAGAAGCCAGAGCCTGTAAGCTTAATCACGTCCCCTCCCCACATACAGATACTAGTGAGAGAACCAACTTTAAATTTCCAGAATAAAGATTGTTTCAAAAATAGAAATAGATATTAAGAAATAAAAATAGAAATTATTTCTATAGACAGCTAGGTAAATGGAAAAGCAATAGTTAAAATGTGAACATATTTTAAGTATGATATACTGTAGCTAAAGATAACATGCAGTACTTTTAAGTAATACTGTATATAGAGAAGTAGATCGAAATAGGTAAACTATTAACATAAATTTTCCTGTAGTGGAATCCCAATTAAAGCAATAATGTAGAGCAATAAGAAGCAAAATCTGCTTGGATCCAAATCATTTCTGAACTTTGTAACTTTGGTCGTGTTGCTTTCTGTGAATCAGTTTCTTCATTTAAAAAAGTTGTTATGAGGATAGAACATGCTAGTATTTATAAAATGCTCATAAATTCTTGGCACAAAGTAAGCTATAGACTCAAAAATGGTGATTCCAGACCTCAAGAAATAAGAACTTGAATTTCAGAGAAATCTTCCCTTATTATCCCTGAGGTCCACTCCATAGCTTGATCAAAGAAGTGGGATACTATGTAGTAGACTAGTGTGGCAGCACCTTAAACCCACAAATAAGTTTGGCTGTTGTAAAGAGAAGGGAAACCAAAATTATTTCAGGACCTACTATGTGCAGAGTTTTTATCTGCTATATACATAGGCATATGCTATTCCATCAGTGGTTCAGAGGGCATAAACAGTTAATAAAGCTATCTCAGGGATGATTAAATTGAGAGTTGCTCAGGGTCATACAATTTTTGAGTCAGGAATTAAACCCAGGGCTATTTCATTCCAAGGCCCATGTTACTTTCTGGTAAAACAAATAACCATGAAATATAATATATTTTCTTTGAATCCCTAATAGTGGGTGCTATTATACCCCCAATTACTTAAATTGATCCTGTACATTGCCAAGAGATTAAATTATAAATTATTGAGTTCAAAAAGTTAATTTCTTCCTCCAAAGAGATGGCATCTTACAGTTTAATTACTCTGACAGCTTTTTTTTTTTATTTTTTCTCCTAGTGAATTATCAACAGAAACTACCTAGAGAAACCTGTAACTTCAGATCTTCTGATTAATTGATTTTCTTTGGGTGCTGCTTGACAGTAACAGAATGGTCCATGGGGACAGTTTTTCAGTGAATGTTTTCAACAATGATAGGAACACAGAGCTAAGCAGAGTGTCAAGAGACATTTAGTGCAGTAGAGACATCTCATCTGTTTTTCTGCAGAACTTGCATAAAATTAGCATCTGATTATTATCACCTCAGAATGAACCGGAACCCGTAAAGATGTCTTTGATCGTAAAAGTGGGGAGGAGACCCTGATGGAAGAAGAGAAGACTTCAGCCTCACAATAGAAAAGACTGTGTTTATGCACCTAAATCTAACTTAGACACCATCTAATTCAAGAAACAGGCACATTTAGGGAAATAAAGAAAAGAGGCAGAAAGAGATGAAGCACCTTGGCTGAATCAGAGAAATTAGGGGTTAATGTTCCAGACTGATGACTTGAAGGAGGGTGTGCATTTTCATGCAAGGGACCATTCTGTAGAAGAAGCAGCACATTCACCCTTAAATGAGCAAAGAGAATCCCAATCACTCTCCCTCTCACCCTCCCCTTTTCCTTCATTTCTCTAGCTCTTTATTTCCAAGAAGGCCAGCCCTTCTCTTCAGCCACATGGTATTTGGACAGCCTAGGCTCAATCCCTGCAGGGAAAGCTCAATCAGCCAGCTGAGCCAGTCACTGAACAACCAAGTCTGGTAAGAACAGGGGTGAAGTATTTAAGAAGCCTATCGTGGCTGGAGGGCTAAAGCCTTGTTCTCAAATCAGCTTTATAGGTAATAAAACTGACATTAAAGCAAAAACAAATAAGAGTAATAAGGCTTCTTCTGTGTGTTTCTTGGGTTTTGTTTCTCATTTGATTCCAAATGGGGAGACAAGGGTATATTTATCCTACCCTTCCCCCAGCCTCAACAGGTTAAATGGGTTAATACATGAAAAGCATCAATCACAGTGTCTGGAGCATTATCAGTATCAGTAAATGTTAACTATTACTTTGAGGCTGGCCCATGTGGCTCCTGGCATTACAGGCACCAGAGGAATTCCAGGGAGACCAGGAGGATTATAGTCTGGGGGAGTATGGAGGATGTGCTACTGTGTGGCAGGTGCTTTGCAAACTGCATTAAAATAGTCTTGATATTTTCAGAATCTAACGGGATCCCATATACTATGATTCTGAAATTCACTTGCGCTTCTTTAGATTTTGCATCTACATGATGCATAGTAACAGTTCTTAATTTGGTTTATTCCTAGCTTATCTATGGTTGTCATTATTTCAAGAGCCTAGTAAAGTTGAAATCAATTTTAGAACTACAAAAAAAAAAAAAAAGGAAGAGATGTGAGTAGGGTCTCACTGTGTTGCACGTAAATGCATTGACATGGAAGATTTAAAACACCTGATGAGTTTTATTCTGTTTCTTTATTCTCTATTAAAGGTAGTACTGTGCAACATTCCCTACCCTCTATTTTTGACACTGACGTTGGGCTTATTTTGATTGTCTAAGAGGTCCTGTGCTACAAGCTGGCAGGGCTTGCTGGGATGAAGTGACAAGCAAAGATTTGCTATATGGTATAGCCAGGGGCAGAGACAGGTTTTCTGGGGGCATGAGACTTCTACAGTGGGGAGACACTATTAAGAAATAGAATACAAAATTATGACTACAAAATGAGAGGCCCCAAAGCTTATGTTTCATTAGCTTCACAGGGAGCTCACTTCTGCCCAGAGCCAAGGACTGTGGACATGACCTGGTAATGGCATCAAATGATTCCCTTTATTGCCTCCCCTGGGGCAGAAATGGTGGCAGCAAAGCAACTTCCAATCACAACTATCTTCTTTCATTTGACACAGGAAGGGGAAGCTCCCTCTTTAATCTCTAATAGAAACATTAAACAGCAGGCCATCACAATTTCTAGCTAAAGAGTTTTCATAGGACCTTTGCAAAGGTTGCATTCCTCCCTTCCCTTGTGGCAGTATGCATAATGTACCTTTTAGGAATATAAATTCAGTGTCTTGGAACACATGATTTAGAATCAGTGTTCAGTTACCAACTATCAAATAAAAAAATAAATCCAGCATATGACTAACGGAAAGAAGTCAATCTGAAATGGTTACATATTATATGATTCCAACTATATGACATTTTGGGAAAGGCAAGACTATGGAGACAGTGAAAAGGTCAGTGGTTGCCAGGGGTTAGAAGGAAGGGAGAGATGAATCGGGGAAGCACAGAGGATTTTTAGGGCAGCAAAACTGTTCTGTATGATACTATAATGGTTGATACATGTCATTGTACATTTGTCAAAACACATATGTCTTGGTCCATTTAGGCTGCTCTAAGAAAATATCTTAGACTGGGTGGCTTATAAACAACAGCAATTGGTTTCTTACAGTTCTGAAGTCCACGATGAAGGCACTGGCAGATTCAGTGTCTGGTGCAGGCGATCCTCTTGCTTTAACTTCACTGGTGGAAGGGGCAAAGCAGCTGTCTAGGGCTTCTTACATAAAGGTATTAATCTCATTCATGAGGGCTCTGCCCTCATGACCTAGTCACCTCTAAAAGGTCCCACCTCTTAAAACCATCACACTGGGCTTTAGGTTTAGTGGGGATGAATTTTGTGGGGAACCCAAATAACAGACCAAAATTCACTGGGAATTGTTTTGGGGAGACATAAACATTCAGACCACAGAAGCACAGCACATACAACACCAAGAGTAAATGTTTATGTAAACTGCAGATTTTTAGTGATGTCACGGAGAAAAACTTCTCCTCGACTCTCTTAGGTTTAGTGCTTGGGAACCAGTAAATTAAACTAACTAAAGACAAGTTAACAAGAGAAAAAGCACAAGTTTTTATTGATATTTACATGCATAGGAGTTCATGGAAAAGAAATGAAATTCAAAGATGCAATTAGACTCACAGGGGTTATATACCATTTTAACAAAGGAAAGGTTTGGGGCTTCAAATGATGCTAAATTGTGGGGAAGTGACTAGGAAAGATACAGGGAAACAAAGGAAAGATAAGGGTTATTTTACTAAGGTCTGTTTATGTAAACTTGTCTGACTCTCAATCTCCAGTGGTAAGAGTGGCTCTCCTCTTCCCAGTTCAGGAGAGGGAGACACCTTCACAAGAGGAAATGTATGCCCTGATTTTAATCTGATAAGAAGAGGGCAGAGAACCCTTCCTACATTTGGTTGTTTTCAATTGCCTTCAGCTCAAAATGGTCCTTACGTGGAAGTGACATATTTTTATGGTGGTGGTATATTCTGATCTCTTTCAATAATAATTGTGTGTCAATGAGTCTCATTGATTATAATAGATATACCGCTCTGGTGCAGGATTTGATAGTAAGAGAGGTTGTACTTGCGTGGAGGCAGGATGAGTAGGTGAATGAACTTTCTATATTCTCCACTCAATTTTTGTTTGAATTTAATATTGCTCTAAACATAAAATCTGTTCAATAAATAAAGTAAAAAACAAAACAATAAAATAAAGTAAAAAAAACAAATCTAGACTGAGGTAAGTAGAAGCTTTATTGGAAAAGATTATTACAGAGGGGGAAGGGACTCCAACTATAAAACAGCAAGCTTCTCAGAGCTCAGGCAGAAAAAGGCTTTTCTTTTATACGAAGGAGAGAACAAGGCTAGAAAGAACCAGATGTAAGTAAGTGAGGTGGCCTGATTGGATAGTAGATCAGAGAACGTTTTACCCTCAGGCCAGCCGCTTCCTGGAAGGAGCCATTGAGAAGGAGCTAAATTCTGGCTCGACTTAGAATGCATCAGAGTTCAAGAGTCTGGGGAAAAGAAAGAACCGTAACCAAAATTTTTTCAGGTCAGGTTAATAGGCATTCTGTTCTAATAGATCACTGGGGACAATAAATTTAGCTAATCATTTATGAAGCCAAGAACAGGAGTTTGGAGCGTCTGTATCTGGCTTTGTCATAGGTAAACAATGCCGGCAATCCTTGAGCCTCATCTAACTCATATCGGGAAGGGTGGTCCTTTGGAATAAGCTATTCTCTGAAACAGTTTAGTCTAAGTACAATGTATTTCACCAGCAAATACCTTGATTGTGCCTTGGAAGGAAGGGGTTGGTGATGGTAAGTCTGGAAAAGGCCAGACAAAGAGAGGGAGAATTCTGGTCCCTGAAGAGACATCCCATATGCTCTCGGGTGAGATTGTGAGAAATGCTGGAAGAATGAAGTGGATGACTACCAAGCCCATCTTATTTCAATGTACATAGATAATACTTCATTTTGCAAAAATGAAAAGTATGGGACAAATACTAAATCAGACAGGGCACTGGGATAAGAGGCGCGAATTAGGATATGTAGTCATTTACTGTACTAATTTGCATGAATAGAAATGCAGAGAGAGCTCTATAAAAGAAAAATATTTTGTGTAATCTATTAGTATAGAAACTCGTAATTAATTTACTAAGATATAACGATTTATTCGTCATGTTAGGCAACGTATTTTCAATGTCATCTTATGGAGAATTGTAAAGATTTTCTTGTATGTTAAAGGTCTTTGGTCACCATCATTATTCACACGATTGTTATTCACCTGGTTATCATTATTCCTCATCATTAAGGACACTAGTAATCTTTTAAACCTTTCTGGCTCTTTCTGGGGAAAAGGGCAGGCTTAATACAGGCATTCCTCATTTTAGTTAGCTTCACTAGCTTCACTTTATTGTGCCTCACAGATACTATGTTTTTCACAAATTGAAGGTTTGTGGCAACCCTGCCTCAAGCAAACCTATCAGCACCATTCTTCCAACAACATGGGCTCATTTCCTGTTTCCACGTCACATTTGGGTAATTCTGACAATATTTCAAAATGTATTATTATTATAGCTGTTATGATAGTCAGTGAGCAGTGATCTTTGATGTTACTCTTGTACTTGATTGGGGAACCATGAACCACAACCATATTAGGCAGCAAGCTTAATTGATAAATGTTATGTGTAGTCTAACCGCTCCTCCAAATGGCCATTCCCCCATCTCTTTCTCTCTGCTCAGGCCTCCCTATTCCCTGAGACACAAAAATATTTAAATTATGCTAATTAATAACCCAACAATAGCCTCTAAGTGTTCAAATAACAAGAAGAGTCCCACGTCTCTCACTTTAAATCAAAACCTTGGCATAATTAAGGTTACTGAGGAGGGCATATAGAAAGCTGAGACAGACCAAAAGCTAGACTTCTTATGCAGAACAGTTAACCATGTTGTGAATGCAAAAGAAACGTTCTTGAAAGAAATAAAAAATAGAAGATGCTACCCTCTATAATTCTATGAAGGTTCAGAGAGGTGAGGAAGCTGCAAAGGAGAAGTTGGAAGCTAGCAGAAGTTGGTTCATGAGATTTAAGGAAATAAGCCACCTCTATAATATAAAAGTACAAGGAGAAGCAGCAAGTGCTGATGTAGAAGGTGCAGCAAGTTATCCAGAAGATGTAGCTAAGATCATTGATGAAGGTGGCTACAGTAAGTAACAGATTTTTAATGTAGACCAAACAACCTTATGTTGAAAGAAGACACCATCTAGGACTTTCATACCTATAGAGGAGAAGTCAATGCCTGGCTTCAAAGCTTCAAAAGATAAGCTGACTCTCTTGTTAGGGGCTATTGTATCTGGTGGCTTTAAGTCAAAGCCAATGTTCATTTACCATTCTGAAAATCAAAGAGTCCTTCAGAATTATGCTAAATCTACTCTGCCTGTGCTCTGTAAGCAGAACAAACTGGATAGCAGCACGTCTGTTTATAGCATGGCTTACTCAATCTTTTAAGCCCACTGTTGAAAATTAATGCTCAGAAAAATAAGATTTATTTCAAAATATTACTGCTTATTGACAATGCACCTAGTTGCCCAAGAGCTCTGATGGAGTTGTACAAGGAGATTAATGTTGTTTTCATGCCTGCTAATACAACATTCATTCCAAAGCCTATGGACCAATGAGCAATTTGGAATTTCAAATCTTATTATTTAAAAAATACATTTTGTAAGGCTATAGTTTCTATAGATAGTGATTCCTCTGACGGATCTCAGCAAAGTACAGAACAACATGGCTTTGAACTGTGCTGGTCCACCTATACATAGATTTTTATCTGCCTCTGCCACCCCTGAGACAGCAAGGCCCACACCTCCTCCTCCTCAGTCTACTCAACGTGAAGATGATGAGGATGAAGACCTTTATGATGATCCACCCCACTTAATAAATAGTAAATATATGTTTTCTTCCTTATGATTTTCTTAATACATTTTCTTTTCTCTAGCTTACTTTATTCTAAAAATCCATTATATAATACATATGACATAAAAAATATGTTAATTGACGGTTTATGTTATCCATAAGGCTTCTGTTCTACATTAGGCCATTAGTTTAGTTTTTGGGAAGTCAAAGTTATATACAAATTTTCAACTGTGCAGGTGGCCCAAATCCCTAACTCCCACATTACTCAAGGGTCCACTGTAAGTTGAAAACTCCTGGAAAGGATTCATCACTGTAGATATTAGGGCTTTCATGATTCATGGGGGGAAGTCAAAATTTCAATATTAACAGGGGTATGGGAGAAGTTGATTCCAACCCTTATCGATGACTTTGAAGGGTTCAAAGATTTAGTGGTGGAAGGAGCTGCAGATGTGGTAGAAATAGCAAGAGAGGCCTGGCGTGGTAGCTCACGCCTGTAATCCCAGCACTTTGGGAGGCCAACGTGGTGGATCACAAGGTCAGGAAATCGAGACCATCTTGGTCAACATGGTGAAACCTCATCTTTACTAAAATACAAAAAATTAGCCGGGTATGGTGACGCATGCCTATAATCCCAGCTACTTGGGAGGCTGAGGCAGGGGAATCGCTTGAAACCAGGAGGTGGAGGTTGCAGTGAGCTGAGATCACGCCACTGTTCTCCAGCCTGGCCACAGAGCAAGACTCCATCCAAAAAAAAAAAAAAAAAGAAGAAAGTAAGAAAGAAAGAGCAAGAGAACTAGAAGTGGGTCCTGAAGATGTGACTGAATTGCTACAATCTCATGGTAAAACTTGAATGAATAAGGAGTTGCTTTGTCTGAATCAGCAAAGAAAGTGGTTGCCTGAGATGGAATCTACTTCTGGTGCACAGGCTTTGAACATTGTTGAAATAAAGACAAAGGATTTAGAATATTGTACATAAACTTAATTGATAAAGTGGTAGCAGAGTTCAAGAGGATTGACTCCAAATTTGAAAGAAGTTTTATTGTAGATAAAACGTTAAATAGCAGCACATTCTACAGAGAAACCTTTCAGGAAAGGAAGAGTCAATTTATGTGGCAAACTTCATTGTTGTCATATTTTCAGAAATTGCCACAGACACACCAGCTATTAGCAACTACCACCCTGTTCAGTCAGCAGCCATCAACACTGAGGCAAAATCTTCCACCAGCAAAATGAATATGAGTTGCTGAAGACTCAGACATCTTTAGCATTTTTTAGCAATAAAGTTTTAACTAAGATAGTACATTTTTAAGACATATGCTATTGCACATTTTATACACTACAGTATAGGGTAAACATAACTTTTATATGTATTGGAAACAAAAAAAATTTATATGACTCACTTTATTGTAATATTGGCTTTACCGTGGTGATCTGGACACAGAATCCACAGTATCTCTGAGGAATGCCTGTAGTTTGAATATGAGTGATGCAAAGAAGGATTTTTAGCTATTGTAGTATCTCTGGATGTATTTCCCACAATCTTTTTGGGTTATAGTTGCTCTTGTATCTGTTTTGCCTTTCCCAATAGTGATTGCACTTAGCAGAATTTGTGCTAGGAAACATTGTTATTGTTATTGATACAAAAGTAATTTTCTGTAAAGAATAGATCATTTTGTCTGATTCATTATTTTAGTGGCTCTCTGAAAAGTATTTTTCTTCATTTCACTTCTGAAACAGAATCTAGAAAAAAAAAATACCATCAGCTGAGACATTTAGAAACATCTGTACTTTCACACAATGCATAGACAACAAACCCTTACAGAATTATTTTTAGGAACTCTATTGAAATTAGATATTTTCTAAAAGTATTTGCTAAAAGAGAAATGCATTTTAGCTTACATCATATTGTTTAATTTTAAATCTATCATATTGTGACAATAACAAGAATAAAAACAATTTCACCCTCAGTGTAAAACTTACAGATTTTGTTGCCGAGAAACTTCAAAACATACCTCTGAATAGTAAGAAGTGTAGTAAAATTTAAATGAAATGTTGGGCCAAATATAGAATGATTGAAAAATCACCCTTGAATTATAAAAATTTGTGCTCATCTTGTGAATACTTTAAATGTCTTGCTCATGGTAAGGACTTCGTGCTATCTTTGTACAATTAACATATAGGGCAAATTTCAATACCAATGACAGTAGATGTAATTTCACATATCAAGTAGTTTCCCTAATAATTTAGGACTTTTTTCACTGACTTCTTGTCATATATGATTCTGTCATTACTTTTTTATATAGCTCAAAATATGGCTGATGGAGTGCTTGTGCCCTTCCATGGTTTTTTCATTTGGTATCACTAGTATTATATTTATTTATTCTTTTTTTCCAGGACATTTGCAAGACATTCGTCAAGTTTTGAGGTTTATTTAAGGTATAACTAGATAATGTATTATGTAAATCAGCCTAACCAGCACGCATAAACTAAACCATGTCACAGGATGCCAATAGTGACAGACGGAGTGCTGATGCCTCTGGAAATCTCTTCACATTGTGGAGTTTCTCCTCTTCTCTTGGGATATCTTCTCTATTTTCTGTGACAGATGCCTATTTGCTAGATCAACTGAGAGCATCAGTGCCTATAGGTAATGAAATACAAATAAAACTCAATTTGTGTTATGGTCTGAATGTTTATATTCCTCCAAAATTCATATGTCGAAATCCGGTCCCCAGTGTGTTGGTATTAAGAGTCGAGGCTTTTGGGAAGTGACAGGGTCATGAGAGTGGAGCACTTGTGAACAGGATTAGTGGTCTTATGAAAGATGGAGCGTCTGTTTTTCCCTTCCCCCATGGGAGTGGGAAAATACGGATAGAAGCCACTATCCATGGGGAACAAGCCTCCACCAAAAACTGAATCTGCTGGCACCTTGATCTTGGACTTCCCAGCCTCCAGAACGCTGAACAACACATTTCTGTTGTTTGTAAATTACCTAATCTAAGACAGCAGCCTGAGTGGACTAGGACAATTGGTTTCTTTTTTGTTTAGGTAGCAATAACTAGAAACAGAATTTCTACAGAGGCAACACACACAAAAATAGGTGTGATTTTATCAAATTAAAATACTTCTGCACAGTAAAAGAAACAATTACCAAAGTGGAAAAAAAATAACCTATGGGGTGGGAGAAAATATTTGTAAACCATGTATATGATAAAGCGTTAATATCCAAAATGTATGAGAAATTCCTCCAAGTCAATAGCAAACAAACCAATAGAAAACCAGAAGCAAAAGAAAAAAGAAAATAAGTTAACCAATTTGAAAAATAGACAAAGAAACTGAATAGACATCTCTCGAAAGAAGACATACAAATGGTCAACAGATATCTGAAAAAGTGTGGATATCACTAATCAGGAAAATGCAAGTTAATATCACAAGATACCACCTCACAGCTGTTAGGATAACTATTAGCAAAAAAAACAAAAGCGGCCCCTTGCTTTGTGTCTGCCAGAATCCATTATGGCTGCCACTATAGTTCTCCAGGAGTCTGGATAGCAGTCCCGGCTGGGAATGTCTGGAGTCTGCAGGCCCCAGTCACTATGGACAGTTTTTCCTTCAGTATTGGGGTTCTAAGAGGCAGAAATTAGAAATAGGAATGCAGATGGTTGCAGAGTGTGGTTGGGGGTTAGAGCGGCGCCCTGGAAAAAAAAAAAAAAAAAAGATGAGTGTTGGAAATGATGTGCAGAAAAGGGAACCCCAGTATATTATTAGTGGAAATGTAAATTGGTGCAGCCTCTATGAAATAATGTATATTTCAATACATAATAATGTATATTCCAAAATTGTTTTTATAGAGTAGATTTTAGATGTTCTCACCACAAATAAATGATAAGTATGTGAAATGATGCATGTGTTAGCCTGTTTTAATCATTCCACAATGTACACAAGTATAACATTTACATTATACCACATAAATATATACTCTATATATATACTATATATATATATACTACTGTTTGTCCATTTAAGTAATTTTTTACAAATAATTGTTCTAAATAATAAGATTATCTTATAAAGGAGACAGTAGGTTTGTTTTGCTCCAGATGGTAGAGTTAATCCCTGAAGCTAGAAGATGCTTAGGGTGAAGTTTGTGCTCAAAATATTTTTCTAAAAATAGAGCAGACTGCCTCAAAGGTGAGGTATGTTGCAGAAAAAAGTCACTGTAAGGTATGTGTGGGATGCTGTTTGGGGATAATCAGGGACTCAGGATAGGGAACTAAGGAGTTTAGGTTGTCTGCTGTATAGAGGAAACTAGAGGAGATAGTTTATTCAGCCATCATTAATTCATTCATTCAGTAAACATTACTGAACACCTGTGTGCCAGGTGCTGTGATTGACACTGGAGATTTAAAGTTGAATAATATCTAGTCACTGGGGCCCTGATGTCAAGGCACATGCTCTAGTGGAAGAGAGGCACACGTAGCTAAGAGTGTGTGGAAAGTGTTATGAGGAAAGTATGTTCAGGATAGTGTAGAGGCTGAGGAAGAGGATTCCCATCTCACCTGCTGCGGGCAAAGAAAGGTGGATGGTATTCATTAGGGATTATCACAGGAGGGATCAACTGAACTAATCCTTAAAATATAATACAGTAGGAGCCAGCCCACAAAATGCTAATAGAGGCAGTGGGGAGGGTGGTGGAAAAAAAAAATAGGTATGAGTCAAAGGAGAGAATTCCAGACAGATGAAAGCTGTAAAAATAGTTTAGTTTTACTGTAAAAAGGTCAAAGCCAGAAGTAAGGGGCTGCAAAGTCCATTTAAGCTGAGAACTTTATTACAGCTCCTGTTCCAAGCCCATGCTCTGTGCGACTGCAGATGGGATATTCTAATACCACTTGTGGAAATCAATCTTTTTGGACAAAGACCAAGAGAGACCCATGTTGTGATTCACTCTCTATGGCAACCCAAAAGGAAGGGTGAATGCCTGCAGATGAGAGTTGCCTCTTCATGCCAGCCACTTAATAGGCTATGGAAAAGGGAAGAGCAGTCCCCATGGTGGGCCTAATAGGAATCATAATCTAACTGATTATCACAGCAGTGACTCTTTCAAATCTGGCCTAACTGAAGCTAGCACCACACCAGGATCTCTGCTGGGCACACACCAATCACCCAGGAGGTCAGTATCATCCCCATTTTACAGATTTGAAAGCTGAGGCACAAGGTAAATAACAGTTATGCAGAAGTCTTGCTTCAGTGTCTAACTTCCTCATCTCACTTTATTCTGTTTTTCAATAGGAGAAGAGATATAATCTCATGATGAAAAGTGCCATCTAAAGTGGCACCTTAGACACAGTAAGCAAACTGGATTGGAAGTGAAGAAGTCAGTCTCAAGATACTTGACAATGTCTCCTATTTGTAGATTGTTTAGCAAAATGCTTTCACCTGAGTTATTTCATTTGTTGCTCACAACCAATCTGTCTGGTAGGAAAGGCAGATGATATGTTCACCTCCAGATAAGAAAAATGAAATTCAGAGAGGCCAAGGGGCTTGCTCAAGATTCCACAGTGAAGAATCTACTTGCAGGAATTTTAACAAAGGTTTTCAAATTCAGAAGTCCACAGGATGACTGCCCTTGAAATCCAGTGGTAACATATAATAAGGTGTCTTTGAGCAGGTAAGAGAGGACCAACCTTTTCTAAAGCCTTTCTCCTCTTGCTCTCTGTGCGCCAACCTGAGCAGCCTCCTGAGAGATTCTGGAACATGCTAGAATTTTTCTTGCTTTAGGGCCACAGTTCATGTCACTCCTTCTTCCTGGAATGTTCTTCACAAGCACTGTGTGGCTCCTTCTTATCCTTCAAATATCTGCTGAAATGTTCCCTTCTTAGAAAGGACTTGCTGACCACCCTGATGGAAGTGCCCTCTCCAGCTCACCTCTTTACTGACTCTGTTTTTATTCCTTTTGCAAGCACATTTTATAATCTATATGTAGTGTTTAATGCAACAGTTTGCTAAGGACTGAAATTTGCATTCCTCCAGCAATCAAAACCCACTGCGATGGTTTGTGGAGGTGGGACTTTTAGGGGGTAATTAGGTTTAGATGAGGTTGTGAGGGTGGGGCCCCTCATAATGGAATTAGTGTTCTTATAAGAAGAGACAGAGAGAACGAAGCTCTCTCTCTTTGTGTGTGTGTGTCTCTCTCTCTCTAAGACATGGGAGGACACAATGAGAAGACAACTGTCTACAAGCCAGGAAAAGGGACGTCACCAGGAACCGAGCCTGCTGACATCTTGATCTTAGACTTTCCAACCTCCCAAACTGTTAGAAATCATTATCTGTTGTTTAAGCCACCCAGACTGTGATATTTTGCCATGATGCCTGAACTGACTAATATACAGTTTACCTGTACATTGTTTGTTCCTCTAGATTATAAGCTCTCCAAGGCAGGGACCATATAGTTCTTTAAAAGATAATGTCATGGCTATAAGTTTACTGCTATTTCCCCATCACATGGGAAAAAGAATTGTCAGAGTTGTCAGCCATTAGAGTTTATTTACCTTAAGGGTGTCTGACGAAATGATCTGATTATCTCCTTAACTTCCTAAATAGCTCAAACTTCATAATGTTTGAATTTGGAAATATCTGTTGATTCAAGAGAGACAGATTACATGGTCTCTCTTGAACTTTGGACATCTCTTCCACAAACTTCCAAATATTAGGCCATCTATTACCAGACCTTCTGAACTTAAACAAATCTTACTTTCAACCCCACTTTAGCCACCTTCACCATGGCCTAACTTTTGCCCTTGTTATTTGTTATCCATAGTTTTCTAAACTTAGAATCCTTAATCACTGGCATTATAGTTGTTTACTTCAACCTCCAACACTTACAGGTCCCTCAAATCCTCATTTATTCAACCCTTGTTTTTTGTCATCTTATAAACTGCAAATTCTTGAAAATCACATGTCCTCTCTATAAATCAGATCCCTTCATATCATGTTTTCAATCTGAGTTTGGCTCCATGATTAATCTTCCAAATCAAAGGTTTACAAACTGTGGCCTGTGGAATAAATCTGGTCTGCACCTGTTTTAGTAAATAAAGTTTTACTGGAACACAGTCATACTCATCCATTTACATATTTTTTATATCCATTTTCATGTTACAATGGCACAGGTGACTAGTGGCAACAGAATCTGTGTGGCTCACAAAGCCTAGAACATTTTCTATCTGTCCTTTATAGAAAGAAGTTACCAACCCCTAATCAAAATCAATAATCTATGAAGTAGAAAGTAAAAGATGATCTTTTGGTGCTGACATGAACATATTATGATTAAAAAAACACTTTATTGAGGTTTGATTAGCATACAGAAGCTGTACATAACACATACAACTTGAAGGGTTTGGTGATCAGTATGCAATCATGAAACCATCACTATGATGAATGTCATAAACATATCCATCACCCCCAAAGGTTTCCTCTGCCTTATTTATTTATCTATTTATAAGAATACTTAACATAAGATTTGCTACCCTCTTAGCAAATTTAGCAACTCTTTGAGTATGCAATATAATATAGTTAACTATAGACACTATGCTGCACATAGATTTCTAGGACTTATTTAACTTGCGTAGCAAAAACTTTGTTCTCTTTGCCCAATACCTCCCTGTTTCCCCCTCCTTCATCCCCTGGTAACCATCATTCTACTGTCTGCTTCTATGAGTTTGACTGTTTTAGATTTCTCATATGAGTGGGATCATTTAGTATTTGTCCTTCGATGTCTGGCTTATTTCACTTAGCATAATGTTCACCAGGTTTATCAATGTTGTTGCAAATGACAAGATTCCTTTTTTTATTATTAAGGCTAGATAATATTCCATTGCAAATATATACCACATTTTCTTTGTCTATTCATCTGTAGATGAACATTCAGGTTGCTTTCATGTCTTGGGTATTGCGAGTAATGTTGCAATGGACATAGAAGAACAGGTATCTCTTTGACATACTAATTTCATGCCTTTGGGTAAATACCCAGAAGTGAAATTACTAAATCACATGGTAGTTCTATTTTTTGGTTTTTGAGGAGCCTCCATACAGTTTTCCATAATGGCTGTACTAATTTACATTCTCACCAACAGTGTAAAAAGGTTCCTTTTTCTCCACTTCTTCACCAACATTTAAATTTCATCTTTTTGATAATAGCCATTCTGACAGATCTGAGGTGATATTTAATTGTGGTTTCAATTTGCATTTCCCCAATGATTAGTGATAGGGATATTGGGCTTTGTTATTAATAACCCACTGGCCATTTATGTGTCTTCTTTTGAGAAATATCTGTTCAAGTCATTTGACTATTTTTAATGTAATCACTTGTTTTCTTATTATTGAGTTGTTTAATTTCTCTCTGTATTTTGGATATTAGAGCCCCTTAACAGATGTATTATTTGCACATATTTTTCTCTTAACCTATGGGTTGTCTCTTTATTTTGTAAATTGTTTCCTTTGCTGTGCGTAAGCTTTTTAGTTTGATGCAATACAATAACTAATAGATTAATGGTCTCTTTTTGTTTTTGTTGCCTGTGCTTTTAGGGTCATGGTCAAAAAAATCTTTGTCCAGATCAGTGTGTGGAGCTTTCCTCTTACGTTTTTTATTTCTAATAGTTTTATAGTTTCAGATCTTATATTTAAGTCTTCAACCCACTTTGAGTTGATTCTTGTATATGGGATGTGATGTGTTCAATTTCATTCTTCTTCATGAGGACATCCAGTTTTTTCAACACCATTTGTTGAGAATTCAATAAAGTTGCAGTATATAAAATCAACGTAAAAAATCAGTAGGTTTTTCATACACTGACAATGAACTATCTGGAAAAGAAATTAAGAAAATAATCCCATTTTAATACCATAGCAAAATACTTAGTGGTAAATTTAACCAAGCAAGAATATGGAAATATCTATATTCTAAAAACTATAAAACATTGATCAAAGAAATTGAAGATTACACAAATAAATGGAAATATGTCTCATATCCATAAGTTGAAAACCGATATTGTTGAAATGTCCATACTAAATGTGATCTAAAGAGTCCATGTGATTTCTATAAAAAATCCAACGTCATCTTTTATCGAAATTGAAAAAAAAATGCTAAAATTTATATGGAACCAGAGAAGACCTGAATAAACAAAGCAATCTTGAGCCATAAGAACAAAGTTGGAGGCATCACACTACCTGATTTCAAAATATATTGCAAAACTATAGTAATCAAAATGGCATAGTACTGGTGAACAAACAGATACAAAAACCAATGGAATAGGATAGAGAGCCCAGGAATAAATCCACAAATTAAAAACCAACTGATTTTTGACAAAGATGCCAAGAATGGGGAAGGGAGAGTTTCTTTCATTATTTATTCTCTGTATTCTTTTCATCTCAGGAAAAATATCCAGTTTCCTCAATTGTATATCCATTCACTCACCCGATAATTTCTTCATTCACTTATTTGTTTATTCATTTAATCTCAATTGTTTGTTCATTCTGTAAATATTCAGATTTCTTTTTATGCATTTTCTCAGAATTGGAAGCATAATACTGAACAAAATAACTATAAATCTCAGCCTCCCACTCCCATATTTACAGTTTGATTAGGGAGGCACATTTAGATATGCAGTGATAATTGCTTTGCTTAGAGAAATTCAAGGTGATAGAATGCATGGTGACACCTAACCCAGACTGGTAGAGAAAGGGAATTCTTCCACTGGGAATGACATGATTATCTAAATAAGTAGGCTCAATCAGGTCAGGAAAGGGCCTGAAAGACTATTTCAAGCAGAGGGAAGGTATTTGCCAAGGCCAGGGTGTGTAGTGGAGAGAATGGGCAGTGGCAGAGAATTATGAAGTGTTCCAATGACTAAAAGTAAAGTAACAAGTTCCTTGTCCAAGAGCTTGGATTGTATCCTAACTGAAATGAGTATACACTAAGTGTTTGAAGAAGAGGGATGAAATGGTCAAGTTTTCATTACACAAAAATAACCTGTTCCTTTCATTTTATGTTTATTTATTTTTTTAATTTTCTGACTGCTCCTTTCTGGAAATCTCAAATTTATATTTGCCAAATATTGTCACATTTTCGATGGAGAATACAAACTAAGAATGGGTTAGGGAACTGAGTCAGAAAGTCCCTGTTGTACAATTCAATCATGTTTTTCTAAGGATGTGCTTTTGGACATTATGGAAACTATCTTAGGCTCTCACTTGGATCCTAGAAAAGAAGGCACCTGTTAAAAGGAATGTCCAGCCCCACCTAATTTGGCAGCTGCCCCTCCAAGCTAATGACATTAGGGATGTAGTGGATTCAAGAGGCTGATGATGCCATCTGGTCAACTCATGTGACTATTTCTATCAGCTTTATTTCTGCAACATCCTGTGCCCACAGAGGGGACACAAAATCGCTTTATAATTCCTTCACCATGTGAAGATACAGATACACCCAGAACCTTAAAGGCAAGAATATGATTGAAATGTCAAATGGGGACTTGGTGATCTAAATTATGTCCCCCAAAAGCCAATGTCTTGCCACCACCAGTGCCCTATGGGTGGAGTTTCTAAACAGATTACTCAAAACACAAACTTTCAAAAAGGGAAAGTCATAACCCTCTAGTCATCAGGGCAATTACGGAATAACATTGCTGGAGTAAGGTTTTCTCAATGCCCAAGAGATGAGCTGGCAATGCCACAACAATGTCCAATTCTTAGTGGGTCCAAGACCATGTGTTACATTTCCCTCCCATGATTACTCACAGCTTCACAGTTCTGCTGTCCTCTTCGCCTCTCTGCCACCTCTTAACTGCACCTTTGACCTCCTACCCCTAAGATTCAACCCTGTGAGATTACTTGTCTTTTCATCTACACTCTGGTCACTCTGACCCCCATTCTTTAGATTCAGGATTTTCTCTTTTCCTGGCTTACTCTCCAGCACAAGTAGAAAAATATTGTGCTTCATTGGAAAATGCATGTTGTTTGAATCACACTCTTTCAGATTATACAATTGTAGTCTTTCATTATCTTTGAGCCATTTTATAATGCTGTAAACTAATATTAATGCATATAATTCTTGTCTATAGACATGTAAATTGTGTCCAGGGGTGATTTAATTGACTTTTCTTCCCCATTGTGGAAAAGGCTAGTAGTTTTGCCTCCATTTGCCCATTTATTTCTATATTCCTGATCTGTAAATGCATTTCTGGGTTTTCCCTTGGACTCATTCTAACATCTCTTCTTTTTCCTCATTAATTAATTAAATTAAATCTTTAACACCTCTTCATATTTTTGTCAGTATGAGAGTATAAAAAAAAATCTTTTTTTGAAAATTATCTTTTAATAGGTGACAAAAAGAATAAACACTGAACAAGAAGTCCTGAGCTCCTACTACAATCCAAAGTGAACTAGTTGCAGTGCCATAGGATGATGTTTCTCCTGAGACTTCTTTACTAGGATCATTTAGACTGTTATAAATGCAGATTCCTGGGCCTCTCCTTAGACCCACTGAATCAGACACTCTAAGAGGAGGGTCAGAAATCTCCATCTTAGCAAGTTAATGTCCAGGAGAGTTAGAGACTCACTATGACGTATGATAAAAAGTAGAAGGAAGGACTTTCCAGCACCTTAAACTACTTGGAAAGATAGATTAATGTCTAGATGAAACTTGATGAGACTTTAGACTAATATGTTACATATACATCAGGAGATGCATGTATAAACCAAATCCAAATAACCCAAAGCAAAATTTCTTTTAGAAATAGTGATAAATAAATGAGTGAGGAGTTTGTCACTCACATCCCCCAGGTAAAACATACCTTTTTAGCCTAAATAAATGCTATAGTTTGAATGTGTTCCCTCCAAAATTCAGGTACTGATAGTTAACAGCAGCCGATATGATGGTATTACACAAAATAGTAGGTTCTTTAGGAGGTTGTTAGGCCATGAGTGCCTCCCCCAAGAATGGGATGAAGGACCTCATAAAAGAGGCTTCTCACAGCATTGTGACCTCTAGCCCTCCCACCTTCCATAAGTGAGGACACAGTGTTCCTCCCCTCTGGAGGATGCAGCAACAAAGTGTCATCTTGGAAGCAGAGGAGCCATCACCAGACAACAGAACCAGCCAACAGCTTGATCCTGGACATCTCATTTTCTCCAGAACTGGGATAAAATAAATTCCTGTTTTTTAATAAATTTCCCAATTTCAGGTATTTTGTGATAGCAGCAAAAACAGACTAAGACAACTAGTATGAAAATATACATTAACAAATAAAATTAATCATAATATATGTTTGCTTTTAAAAGAAAATAAATAAGCCAATATGCTTTCTGTTGATTGATTGATTTACTAAACATTGATTGGCCATCTCCACTGGGGATATGGCATTTAAGAGATCTCTTTGATCTTAGTACTTTTACTGCTTTTTAAATAGGATCAAATACACCCAAGGTAAAAAATAGAACACACTATACGTTACATTTTGGAACTGTTAGAAATTCCTTTGAAGCTAAAATTACTGCTATCATTTGACAACTTTTACCCCTAAAATAATGTGGTGCTCACCAGCTTGCTTAAGTTACAGCACTTGCTGTCTTCTCAGATACAATATCAGAAACTTATAATCCAAGAAAAATCTAAATGGCAAGTGTGAGTTAATGGAAGCCTCATAAAGCAAGAGGTGTTTTGGAAGTGTATGGAAGACATCAATAAATGATATGTATAACATCAAGTGCAAAAGTGTGTGCTAGGAAAGTTCAAAAAAGAAAAAAAATATGGTAAGGTAAGACCAGAGATTGGGGAGTATATAGCTTTTGGGAATTCAGGAAATGCTAACGTCTATGGAGAATTTGCATAGGTGAAAGATCAGATTGGAAGCCTTTCTCTGTGGAAGCATTGTGGATCTAAGTCCAGAAGTGATCCTGAGCCACCTACTATGGAAAGGTGTCAGTGAGCAAGAGACTGTCTGACAAAGGTGGAAGCTGAGCAGACTTCTACTGCGCATCGCCTATGTACAGGCCAGATTCCAAGGGCTGATATTACACTGCTAGTTTGATCTTTCTCAGATAGCTGGGTAGAGAGGGAAAAGTTTCACCCCAAATACCAGATGCCTCCAAACATCTAGATGCTTGGTGTTATGTATTTCAAACAGCAGGTTTGATAAAGCTGTTTTTACTCTCCAGTTGGATGTTGGTTGTCAAGGCTGTCATTAACTTCTGGGAGTTCCCAAATCCTCAGAGAGAGAGAAATAAGCAGTTCTGCCTGCAATCAGAAGCTGGCTTTGAGCCCCACATGGCAACATGCCTGTATTTAATTAGAAGTGGCTTAGTTCTTGGGATTTACTGTGGATTGAGTCTACGAAGCTGGAAGGTTTTATCCTGAGTATTCCACTGTCTCCTCATGTGGATTTTATCAAATTTCTCCTTTAACCATATAAGCGCTTTCAAAGTTGACATATCACACTTAGTTATGAGGGGAACCTAGAAGTATGATTGTGACGTGCATTGTTGAGAGACCATGCTTTGTAAGTGTTAATAATTAAAATTATTTTGAACACTAATTATGCTGAAGACTGGATTTTCTACTCCTTCAGATGTTTTCCAGTGGACATATTTTGCCCTTTTAATAAATTGATTGCGAACTTATCTTCATTTCACCTTTATGATGTTATACCTTTTCATTTTTGTCTTCTCATAGCTAGGGTCTCCTGGTCCCCAAATGTAGACACACATCTTACACCAATCCCAGAGCCATTTTGTATAAGAGCCACCATGGATTTAACCAGCTTTAGCTCCAGTATTTGAACATAATGTTCAGCATCATCACCTGGCCACCAAATCAAAACTGAGCACCCTTTAATCCATCAACAAGTTCTCTGCAGCCATGCAAGGTTATGAAATGGGCACAGACATCAATATACAGTCTTTGTGTTTAAGAGGTTCATGGTCTACCTGAGAAATGCATCTTTAAACCTAAAGTAGACGCTCTGTTTATTCCATAAATGATTTTTAAGCATCAATGGTATATCAAGCACTGTACTGGCTTCTGGGCTATAATAAATATATAAAGACCACAAGTTTGAATTTCATGACATTGAACTATAATGTTTAAATGTTATAATAATCATAGTAAATGTCCTTGAGGAGCTACGGAAGATTCCTGCATGAAGCAGAAACAAGAAGCTGAAGAAAAAACAACTGGCTTTGGGGGCTATATAAATATAACCCTCAAATTAAAAACTCAATAGTTTGATTGATTACCAAATCAATACAGCCAGAAAATAAATGTATTACCCCAAAAGCTTGAGTGAAGAAAGACTTCTGTAAGTTACTAGAAAGCGCTAAGGAAGAAATAAAAGAATGATATTCCTGAGAGCCAGGTGCTTTCTGTAGGACACACAGATACAGAATGAGGGAAAACAGAAAATTCTATGGTTGTGGATTCAAAATAGAGGCATCACCATGTCTATCTCATCAGGGTTTAACCAGAGGAAACCAAACCAGTAAGATATCTGTATTAAGAGATTTCTTGCAAAGAATTGACCTATGTGATTGTGGGCACTGGCTAGGTAAATCCTAAGTCCACAGAGCAGGCAGGAAGAAAACAGGCTGGGACTTGTAGGCACAGGATGAAGCTGCAATACTCATGTGGATGCTGCTCTTCTTCAGGGAAGACTTGGCTCTGCTCTCAAGGACTTTCAGGTGATTAAATCAGGCCCACTCACATTATCTAAAATAATCTCCCTTACTCAAAACCAAGTGATTATGGACTTTAATCACATCTATAAAATATCATTATAGTAACACCTAAATTAGTGTTTGAATAACTGAGAGTTGTAACTGATATGGTTTGGCTATGTCCCCACCCAAATCTCATCTTGAATTATAGTTCTTATAATCCCCATGTGTTGTGGGAGGAACCAGGTGGAGATAATTGAATCATAGGGGCAGTTTCTCCCATTCTGTTCTCATGATAGTGAGTTAGTTCTCAGGAGATCTCATGGTTTTATAAAGGGCTTCCCTCTTTGCTCCACTTTCATTCTCCTTCTTCCTGCTGCCATGTGAAGAAGGACATGTTTGCTTCCCCTTCTGCCATGATTGTAAGTTTCCTGCGGCCTCCCCAGCCACGCTGAACTGTGAGTCAATTAAATCTCTTTTCTGTATAAATTACCCAGTCTTGGGCAGTTCTTTATAGCAGCATGAGAATGGACTAATACAGTAACTTTACCAAGTGGACACATAAAACTGATCATTACAATGTACAGTGAATATTTGGTGAGTTAATAGATATATTCATAACTGAATGAAAGAGGATGGTGATTCCTACTTCAGGGTGGTATTATGAGAGTTAAAAGGGTTAGCATAGATAGAACACTTTTCTATGATTGATCTAAGGTTGGCTTTTAGGGACTACATTATACATATGGGTTTTGTCTTCATGTTTTTGCTTGCATTTCTCTCTCTGCCCACTCTTGGGGCTATTTGGATGTCACCTCTTCTTCTTCTGAGCTCCAGTCTATGTATTCCCTGTTCCATCATCACAACCACTGAAGTCTACACTCCTCATTAGATTCAGGGAACCCAGATGCCAGCCAAAGACATCCCTTTCCCTCATGACCCAGTTGAAAAAATTCTCCACCCTTCTGTTAATTCTAGAATATTTAGGAGTAAAGATCTTTTCCCTCAGATATCTGTCAATTCCCGGCCTTATATCTCAAAGCCCCTTTTCATCCAGGTTTCCTAGATCATTTCTTGTCGTCCCTGTGCTATAACTCATTAACCCAGGCATAAAACTCATCAGCTACTAATGTCCTCTTCCATCCCAGACTCCCCTCACACCAATAATTCTTGAATAGAGCAACCCAAATTGAGAATTTTAAGTAAAATTGAAGGTAAATTTAATTGCAGGAGGACATACAACATTAACCTTTAAATAGAGATCCTAATTCTTAAAAAAAAAAGTCCTCATTGATCTCGGGGCCGTTTCACGCAGGTGCTTTTCTAAATCATCAAGGTTATCTTCAGCTTCACTTTCAGTCTCCTTCTTCGGCTCTGGCGCTGCCACTGGCTCTTCCTGTGCTAATGTGGTTGTGGCAGCTGCAATGGCTGCAGGGGTCACAGCAGCTGCAGCAGCTGCAGCCACAGCCTTTTCCTTCTTGTGTTTTTTGTGCTTCTTGTGCTTCTTATCCTTTTTGTGTTTCCTGTCCTTCTTTTTCTTCTTTTTCTTTCCATCTCCTTCTTGATCTGAATTTCTTGGCAGTGATGGGCTCGGTGTTGGGCTTTTGGCCTTTTTGACCGGTACAGCTGGTGACCAGTTTGTAGACGGTGACTGAGACTGGATGGGGGATGGAGATGCTGGGGGCTTTTTAGCTGCTGGCTCAGGAGACCCAGAGACAGATCGGGAGGATGAGACCCTCCTTACAGACTGTGGGCTTGGGGAAGCAGCCTTTTTTTATCTTTTTAGGTTCCGGAGTCCTGGAGACTCTCCTAATGGGCCTAGTACTTGGAGACGGGGACTGCCTTCTTTGGGGTGATGACGACGCTCCTCTTCGAACGGGTGGAGGACTTGAGGTCTGAGGAGCTCGAGGCCGTGATGAGGGCGAATGCCATTTGTTTGGATGCGGTGATCGGGCCTCCCGGGTAGAGCGGCTTGGGGAAGACCCTTTCCTATGCTTGGATGATAGTGAAGGTGAACGTCTCTTGGTGACTGGGGAGCTTCTTTGGAAGGTGGAGAATGGGAGACCCGCCGCTTTGGTGGTGGAAATGGTGATGCTCTTCGTTTAGGAGGGGGAGGAGGTGAAGCCGTTCTTCTCTTTGGAGGTGGAGAAGGAGAGTATCTCCTCTGTATTGGAGGAGAGTATCTTCTAGGAGAAGGTGAGCGCCGACGTAGGGGAGGAGAAGGAGTCCTTCGTCGTGGTGGTGGTGGTGTGGGAGTCCTGAGCCGTCGAGGATGAGGGGCGGGAGAAGGAGACCGTCGCCTTCTGGTGGGTGGTGGGGATGGACTTCTCCTCCGTCTACCATGAGGGGAAGTCTCTTTTTGGTGCTTTCGTGGTGATGGAGAAGCACTCCGGGAAGGGGAATGTCTCCGCCGCTTGCCAACCTCACCATTCTTCACATGGGATCTCTTGGGTCGTTCATCTTCTGAGGAGAAGGAGGAACCAGAGTCAGATGAAGACTGCTGGTTTTGTCGTCTGTATTGGCGTCTCTGCTGAGATCAATGAGGAAGGCCCAAGTGTCCCCACAGTCTTAGGGGGAAATGTTTGTTATGATGTAAATTTTATTTGGTTTGTACGCAGTTCAATTTCAAAATTGCTAAAATGTGTTTGAGCTTTAGACTATAACATTTGTTGTAATAATTGCTAGGTTGAAGTTCAACATGTAAAAAAAGGGGGCATGGATTTACATTGCAAAAGGTGTCCACAGTGTATTAGTGACATTCTTTCATTGACAGCTGACATAATTCATTGAGTGAAATATTTTAAGCCAAAAAAAATTCCCTTTTTAAAAAAGGGGGTTTAAATACTGTTGACACTTTTATGGTTCCTTTAAATGCTCTGGCTATTCCCAGAGGGGTTTTTTTGTTTGTTTTTTTGGTTTTGATTTGCTTTTTGTTTTTCTTTCTTCTTCTTACATTTTTTTCCATTTGAGTCTTAGCTCCCATTTAAGTTATGCTTCTGACCTTGTATGGTCTGTAAGCTTGCCCAGAAATAAGACCACTGTTTTGAACTACCACAAAAGTATAAATGAATATTTTAATGCCACAGTCTTTCCTGTTGCCTGTGGAGTCTCTGCTGAAATGAATCAGGATTCGAGCTCTAGGATAAGACAGAAAATGAAAGCATGTTGTTTGCCAGGACACTGTGGGTTTATATTGATGTGTAACAACTTGATTTGGAACACTGGACTCTCATTCTGTTCTTCTGGTTTTGTTTTTTTGTTTTGTTTTTTTCTTTTGTAAAGGCCATGAACTAGTCCCAGAAAGGATTCCTTCAGTTACATACAATTTGTTTAATGAAATGTCATGGCTCTGTTCATATTTTTGTCTTGTTCTTCCAATTGGTGTATACAACTTTCAGAGCCTCTTGTATTTGGAAGGCTGGAAGGGCCCAGACTTTGGAATAGTGTCTCGGTTTCACTGTTTTTGTTTTGATTTTTTTTTTTTATTTTTTTTAAACTAAAGCTATATAAAGCTTGTGGATTAAACAGAATAAATTTCTAAATTTAAAAATTTAAAAAAAAAAAAGTCTATTGTCTTCCCTCCCCTACCCTAAGCAATATGCAATAGTGGCTCTTCAATAGTCCCAGACTCTTCTTCTCTTCCTGGACTGCCCATCTCCTGATCAACCCTTAATTTCTCTTCCTTCTCTCACCCTTCTTTTCAGGATTGAATTAATGAATCCTTTCTTCTCACTCATGCAGAGTAAGTTTCTGCCTCCCTGGGTCTTTCTGTTTACTGACCGCAACAACTTCAGATTATACCTCTTCTACTCCAAGTGCTTTCAAAGAAAGTCCTCTGCCAAGACAAATTCATTACGTTTTTTCCCTCTACCTGTTTGCCTTTATTCTCTTTTGTATTTCATCTTCTCATCTAGATTGAATAATCTTTGAGAGCACAGATGTTTATTTATATTTTTCCTTTCCATTTCTACTCAGCATGAGGTGTCCATTGAACAAACTTGATGAATTTTTATTGCTTAATATCTTGCTAGAGGTGGGGAGAGAGGTTGGGGGCGGTTAAGGAACTATCAGCTAGCCTAGGAGATATTAGAGCTGCAGAGATTTGGCTATCTTGTTCAACGTTATATCCCTAGGGATTAGTACATAGGCTTGCAAATAGCAGGTATGAATAAAAAATTATTGAATGAGTAAATGAATTTAAAATATAAGTTACTTAGGCGGTATCTTCAGGCATATCTGTGTTTATGTGGTATTCAATGGCCCACAAATGTCTACATCCTAATTCCTAAGATCTGTAAACATTAATTTGCATGACAAAAGAGACTTTACAGATGTGATTAAATGAAAGGATTTTGACATGCAGATAATATCCTGTATTCTTCATGTGGAACCAATGTATTTACAAGGGTCCTTATAAGTAAAACAGAGAAGCAGGAAAATGAGGGTCGCAAAAAAAAAAAAAAAAACAAACATGAAGACAGAGAAGAGGTTAGAGTGATGTTGGCTTTAGAGATGGAAGGAGTCACAAGCTGTCTTAAAGGAATAAGACAAGCTGTCTTAAAGGAATTGTTATAAAGGAATAGCTGAAGCTGGGTAATTTATTTTAAAAAGGTTTATTTTGCTCACTATTCTCATGTCTGGAAAAGTTTAATATTGGGTAGCTGCATCTGGCAAGGGCCTCAGGCTGTTTCCACTCATGTCAGAACGTAAAGGGGAGCTGGTGTGTTTAGAGATCACGTGGGGAGAGAGGAAGCAAGAGAGAGGGAGGAGGGGCCAGGCTTTTTTTAAACAACCAGCTCTTTTTTTAAAAAAAAATTATACTTTAAGTTCTGGTATACATGTGCAGAATGTGCAGGTTTGCTACATAGGAATACACATGCCATAGTGGTTTGCTGCACCCATTAACCTGTCTTCTACATTAGGTATTTCTCCTAATGCTATCCCTTCCTTAACCCCCAAACCCTGACAGGCCCTGGTGTGTGATGTTCCCCTCCCTGTGTCCATGTGTTGTCATTGTTCATCTCCCACTTATGAATGATAACATGCAGTGTTGGGTTTTCTGTCCTTGTGATAGTTTGCTGAGAATGATGATTTCCAGCTTCATCCATGTCCCTGCAAAGGACATGAACTTATCCTTTTTATGGTTGCATAGTATTCCATGGTGTATATGTGCCACATTTTCTTTATCCACTCTATCATTGATGGGCATTTGGGTTGGTTCCAAGTCTTTGCTATTATGAACAGTGCTGCAGTAAACATACGTGTGCATGTGTCTTTGTAGTACAGTGATTTATAATCCTTTGGGTATATACACAGTAATGGAATTGCTGAGTCAAATGGTATTTCTGGTTCTAGATCCTTGAGGAATTGCAACATTGTCTTCCACAATGGAACAACCAGTTCTCTTAAGAATAAAAGTGAGAACTCACTTCCCTGGCCCCAGAGAGAGCAAAAGCAATTCATCCCCATCACCCAAACACCTCCCATTAGGCCCTACCTCCAACATTGGGATCAAATTTCAACATGAGGTTTTTAGGGGACAAACATCCAAACTATGTCACAAGACAATTCATGTAAGCAGCCTCTAAAAGATGGAAGAGGCAAGGAAACAGATTCTCCCCTAAAGCCCACAGAAGGAAAGCAGCCCTGCCAACTTCTTGATTTTAACCCAGTAAGACCCGTTTTGGACTTTGGACACCAAGAGCTATAAGATGATTATGTTGTTTTAAGCCATTAAGCTTGAGGCAATTTGTTACAGCAGCAATTGGAAACTAATACAGATCACATTCTAATTCAATTAGTATTGTTCCCAGTTCTCTGGACCTCAGATTTCTTTCCTGAAAAACATTAAAAATAATACCTGAAAGTTTTGCACACGAGTGCAGAGTGCCTATTTACTAGAGAGATCAGCATTTGTTTAGGCTCTGAATAGATTTGAGGATGAAATTAAATAGCATAAATAAAGTTCCTAGTGATGCTTCTGATAAAAAAATATCTCCTTCAAAATGCCAGAGGCAGGTCCTAAAAACCCACAAAGCAGGTGAACTGGCAAAAGACTGTAAAAAGCAAAGTAGAGGTTCCTCTTCAAAGACTTTCCTCTCCATCTAATTAGGAATAAATAGTAACTTATCTTAGAAACAAAATTTATTCAAAGACCTGTGCTAACATTCTGAAATATCTGCTAGCCGTAATAAATAAATCGATGTACTTTATGTTCTTAGCTCCCACAATTTAACCTAAATATTTGCCCTGGCATGCTTATACTGGTCCAAGCAAGCATTAGGTCATAGCCTGTTCCTCTTCTTTATTTTAAGGTGTTTTTACCTTTGTCAGCATGCCACAAGTTACTTCCTCCTTCCTTTGTTCTCCTCTGCCTTTGACTCTTTTAAAGAGTCCTAAGTTGCTAGCCAATCAGGACAAATACAGAATGTGAGGTCCCGTTTCAGCCAATGGAAAGTGGACACAGCAGGAAGGTGGATGGGTCAGGTTATAAATGACCCTGTCTCCTTTGTTCGGTGTACTCTTGTGGCAAAACTGCTGGCAAGTGTACCCTTTCTGCAATAGGTAAAAACTGCCTTGCTGAGGAAATTAAATTTATGTTCAAGTGCTATTTCTTTATGGCACCGGGGAACAAGCATTTCTAACAAGACTATGTAATTTAATTTCAGGAACCTAAAAAAGTGGGATGAAGAACTGAGGTTGCTAATAAATCTATACAACTTATAAGTAAATATTTAATTTACTAACATATAATAATAAAGACATCATTGTAAGACAATGTTAAAACATTTTACACATTTTAAATGTGCAATAGTAAATCCTTCACTATTCAGGGATTATTTGGAATCCCTTGTCACCAGAAGCTCTTAAGGAAATAACTTCTACTTCGTTGCAAATATGTTCTTGGCTTAGTTGAGGTAATGCAAATACTAGAATACTTGTTTGTTTAACAGCTTATTCTTCCCTGAAGCTGTTCCTCCAGTCCCTGCCAGTGGGATCTTATGTCTCCAGGAGTACTTAACACCCCTAATAGCCCCATCTTTTAAGCCTCCCTGGGACCTGCCCTCGCAGTACCTCTTATACCTACTCCACTTCCTCCTCATGGCCTCCTGCAGAATGCCATTCTAAAATTAGGTTCTATTTTCCTCGCCCGCATTCTCTTTTGCAAAGCCTCCAAAAAATTTACTTTGCTTCTCTGCGCCTGCTTTATCTCTATTTTCTACACTCGCTCCTTCTTTTTCTAATTATCTATAATAGGCGTCACAAAATTTGCATTTGTTGGAACCAAAATTTCCATGGTTGCCTCAAAATATACAGATGTAAATTTGCATATAATTAAATTTTGCATAAGGGAAACTCTCATTTGGGGAGATATGCAATGCCCAATAAATGGCAGTTTCCTTCAATGTCCCCAGGCCAGCCTCCCAGTCTGTGTGTTTCCCCCTGGCTGCAGCTACCAGGACTCTGCTCTGGGGATTTACGGACAAGGGTATCAAGTTTTAATTAAACTAACCCTCTCAAACTGAATGAGTGGCTTAAAATCTTCCTGTAAAGAAACCGCAAAATAATAATGCTGGCATTGAGAAGTAAGAAAAGAGCGAGCCAGCACCCCCACCCCCCAAATCCTGTGACAAGGTGTATTTTTGTGTTTTGTTTTTTTTCTTTGGCAGCATTATGGGGGAAAAGCAATGATGATCTAATGAGATCTGATAAGAAGTTAGCCCAAAACAAGGAAATTGTTGAGGGTTCTCTTTGAAGTATGGATTTATACCCACCAACCTTAGCTGCGAACCTTACCTCAAGTGTTACCTGTGCCTTGAGATGTTTCCTGGTCATAGTACTAAGCTATCATAATGAGCAAGACATTCAATAAGCAAGTGTGATGGCTATGAGGACAGATCTTAACAGGTTTTTTTTTCTGGAAGGCTTAAAATCATGCATTACTCAATCTAATACTTCACGAAATTTCAGTAAAACCTAATGATAATATAGAAGCTTGTGTTGTAGTTTTGTAATCAACAGCAAAACATAAAATTTAAAAAAAACATACATTACTGGGGCTGTATCCTGCTACAATAATAAGGCTGACATAATAGATGGAGAACAATATGGTAACAAGCCAAAATGTATTACTTCATCCACAAATAGTATCGTGCTATATATAGACAGACTTGTTAAAAATTTAAAGAAATACACAATCAATTACACAATAGAAAATTTGCTATATGGTGCATGGTGGCATGCAACTACAAATGTTTCTAACATGTTTCTCTTCATAGGATTTTCTGAATTTTCATTTAATATTCAAGCACATCAAAAACACCTTTTCAGGTGTGATCCTATACAGCAAAGCTGTCCTCACAAACAATAGTTGACTAAATAAACACATGGCTTTATGGAAGAAATGTGTAAGTATAGCCATTGTTGGAGCAGATGCTCTGCTTAAAAAGAAAAAAAATAAGTTAAAGTTATAGATCTCACCATGCTTATTTACTGCTTAAGTCATAGCCAATTTATTGCACCAAAGTTGAAGTTCAAAGCATAAAGAATACTATATATAATGCAATTAATGAGGTTGATGTCCCTAAAACAAGAGAGAATTAGTAAATGTTTTACAATAGTTTTCATGAGATGGGAAATGACAATAGAAATCTTTGTTACAATGCAGATTTTATTGTGGAAATGATCTCATGGCAAAGTTTTTAAAGAGGCTGCAGAACAATAAAGAGAGATAACACATTTTGCTTTTATGAAAAAGCCGATGTTCCAAATTTGCTGACCTTCTCTGTAAATAAGAAGTGACTGTCAGTAGCCAGCAGATGTGTTTATAAAAATAACCCACTTGATCTGTCCCTGCAAGGTAAGAGTGGCATTTTCAAAGTGCATGAGAGAACTGCTCTCAAGAGAAAATCATACTGTAAAGACAGCATTTCAAAAACATTTATTTGGAAATATTTAAATGATGTGATCTATTTATTTATTTGGTCAAAAATGCCCAACTTGCCTAACATTATTTTATTCCTTAAAACACAGATCAAGCAACAGATCCTACAGTTAGACTCTTCTGATCACCCTGAGAGTTAGTTACCCCTTTCTTTGGTTTCTTCTCTTTAACGTCCTGCATATATGCTGCCATTGTGTTTATAGCACAATATCAGAGTGTGTTATTTATACGTGCATCTCCCTCATTAGATTGGGAGTTTCTTGATGTCAGAACACAGCAATTGTCCCACCAGAATAAAAAGAATATTGCCAAAAGATGCTCTATAAATGTTTGGCCATTGGTTTAAAAAACAAATAATGGACCAATGGGCTCAAAAGCAAACTGGCTAATATAAAAATAATAATAACAACCACAATAATAAAATAAGGGCTAACACTTAAACGGTTGTGTACTCACTATGTACTAGGCACTGATCAAAGTACTTTGTACATATTTTCTTATTTAATATTCGCTACCATCATATTACAATATACTGTTATTAACCCCAATGTATAGATGTAGGTGAAGAAACTTGTCACAAATCATACAGCTAGTTGTCTGAGATGCAATCCATGTGATTTGTTCACAGAGCTCAGGTTCTGTGAAGCGGGTAAAAACAAAATTTGGCATCCAGTTTCAAAAGGAGAATTGCAAACTAATAGAACATATAGCACAAAATGATTATATCAATAGAATGCTAATTGCATATCAAGGATATTTGGTATAATACAAATTATTCTACCTTAAACATATGGAAATTTGTGGTCCATGATGTTGTAGATTCTATCTTCCCACTCTGCATTTTCAAAGGCATATGGTATTGACTCATTCGATTAATTGTTGGATAGTCTTTATTATAGACTAAATCATAGAATAAATACATGGATACATGCACGAATATTATATCTCAAGGGCTTTACATAGTTCATTATCTCACTTCATAGTCAAAACAAACCTACTGATAGTTCCAATGCAAAGCCTAGAACGCTTTGGCTTAGAGAGGCCCAAGTCTTTTCTCAGTGCTGCACTGCTGGTACGTGGCGTGGTCCCCTCTCTTCTCTCAGTACACACTACCCATGCAGACTATCACTCTCAGTCTTGTTTATCTCAAATACAGAGGGTATAACTAACTGGAATGTATCCAGAACAGTGAGGCCAAAGTGTGGGGAAGCTCCTTAACCATGCTGCTGCATGAGGAACAGCTGGAGAGACTGAGAACATGAGGCCTAAAGAGGAGACTCAGGGAGATGGGATCACAATCTTCAAATATTTAAAAGACATCAAGGGGAAAAGAGATTAAACAAGGTAATGTAGCTCTAGAGAGCAAATCCAAGAGTGTTGAGTGGAAGTGAAAGGGAGGCTGGTTTCAGTCAGATAGTAGGAAGAACTTTCTAGTATTTGGTACTACAATGGGAAAGACTATTTTGTGAGATTTTTTTAAATTTTTTTTTAATTATACTTTAAGTTCTAGGGTACATGTGCACAACGTGCAGGTTTGTTACATACGTATACATGTGCCATGTTGGTGTGCTGTACCCATTAACTCATCATTTAACATTAGGTATATCTCCTAATGCTATCCCTCCCCGCTCCCCCCACCCCACAACAGGCCCCGGTGTGTGATGTTCCCCTTCCTGTGTCCAAGTGTTCTCACTGTTCAATTCCCACCTATGAGTGAGAACATGCGGTGTTTGGTTTTTTGTCCTTGCAATAGTTTGCTGAGAATGATGGTTTCCAGCTTCATCCATGTTCCTACAAAGGACATGAACTCATCATTTTTTATGGCTGCATAGTATTCCATGGTGTATATGTGCCACATTTTCTTAATCCAGTCTATCATTGTTGGACATTTGGGTTGGTTCCAAGTCTTTGCTATTGTGAATAGTGCCTCAATAAA
Source organism: Homo sapiens (assembly GCF_000001405.40). Classification (NCBI taxonomy): domain Eukaryota; kingdom Metazoa; phylum Chordata; class Mammalia; order Primates; family Hominidae; genus Homo; species Homo sapiens. The sequence continues at coordinate 127,095,858 of NC_000008.11, forward strand.
CATACATGTGCATGTGTCTTTATAGCAGCATGACTTAAAATCCTTTGGGTATATACCCAGTAATGGGATGGCTGGGTCAAATGGTATTTCTAGTTCTAGATCCCTGAGGAATAAATGACCAACTATTGAGAAATTGCAGGGTAGTCCCTACATGAGGGTTAGGTAGAATTGACCTGCTTTCTGCCTCATAAATTTTAGAAAATTAATAAGATAATTTATTACGGGGTGGTGTTTGTTCCCTCAGTACTTTATCATCTATGTTGATAATGTTAATAATTAATTGCATAATTAACAAATAGCAAATTATTGTGGGGGTGTGTGTGTGTGTGTGTGTGTGTGTTTAGACAGGGTCTTGCTGTGTCACCCAGGCTGGAGTGCAGTGGCGTGATCTCGGCTCACTGCAACCTGTGCCTTCCAGGTTCAAGCCATCATCCTGCCTCAGCCTCCCTAGTAGCTGGGATTACAGGCGCCTGCCACCATGCCCAGCTAATTTTTGTATTTTTAATAGAAATGGGATTTCACCATGTTGGCTAGGCTAGTCTTGAACTCCTGACATCAGGTGATCCATCCGACTCATTTCCCAAAGTGCTGGGATTACAGGCATGGGCCATCATGCCTGGCCCGCAAATTGTTGTTATTTATAACTCTTCAATCCAAATCATCAGTGTCTATGTTGTTTCCTTAACTATCAAATGATGATAATAATAGTACCTTCTTCATAAGATAGTTGAAAGGTTTTTAATATCCATATGGTACTGAGAATGATGCCTGAAACATAGTAACTACCCCATTTTTATTATATTTCTGTTAATAATAATACATACCATTATTGCTCTTGCATACCATATTGCTCTTGCATACCATATATGCTCTTGCTATATGCTACACACAGTATTTCATTTAGGCCTCACTATGTCCCTGATGTAGGCATTAATATCTTTATTTTGCAAATGAGAAAACAGTCTGTACCTTGTATGCCATGCTGCTATTGTTTATCTGTTTGAATCTCAAGCAAATCTGCTTGATAATTGGTACCAAAATAAGCCTTTTTCTGGGTAAGGAATCTGATATTGTGTTTTAAAAAACACACATTTAATCCTGGGGCTGCTGCATTACTCCTGCTGCCCCATCCTACTGTGATCAAAGGCACATACATGAGATGGTGAGTTGTCCCCTTGCCAATGAGGGTTTGGTAAGAAAGGAAAGTGCAGTACTTCTTTGTTTCTGAATTGCAAGTATGTGTGGGTTAGAGGGGGAGGCTGAATATGAAGGTCCTGGGACAGCCCACCAGGTATCCCATGAGACTTTGCAAAGGAAAAGGAGGTGAGTGACAGCCCAGGGTCCAATAGGATAGAAGGAAAAGCCAGGCCATGGAGTTCCTCAGACCTGCTTTCTAAGGGCAACTCTACCACCTCAGCAAGCCATTGAACTTCTCTGAGCTCAGTCCTTTCATTTATAAAATGGGGTGACAGTGCTCACATGCCAGGAATACAAAGGGATTGAAAGATAAAACACGTAATTAAGCACCTGTTGTTACACATCTGTCAGGGACCCCAATAAGGTCAGCTGTCTTCCTGTTGACTTCTGTTCTTGGTGGTTCTCCAAGATCATACCTTCCATCAACATTTACCGTCACTCCCCCACCCCATGCCCAATACTGAACAGTGGAGGGACGCTTCACCTACAGTTATAATGTTGAAACTTCAACCCAAAGCAAGTACTGTTAGGATCTCTGGAAACTTTCCCTCAAATAAGGGATTTGAATGGGACAAGAAGAAGTTTTACAGATAGCCAATGGAGATGATTTAATGGGGTTATGATAGAAACGAGAAAGTAAAACAAACCCATGCTTTAAAGTCTACCATTTCAGGTCCATATTTTCGCTTGAAAATTGAGATTCCTATTAAACAATGACATTTACACCAAAAAGTAGAGGAGTTGGTTGAAGGACAGGGTAATGCCAGGAGGAATTGGGAATTTGAGAGTCAAGTCAAAGGACTGAAATACTCAGAATACTAAGGGCACCTCAGGGCTCTACCAAGGACACGTAGAAGCTTTGAATTTGCAGCACCACCCTAATTTAACGAGCTACCTCAGCACGTAGTGGAGCCTTGGAAAACAGATGTCACAAACTCTCATTAGATTGTCAAACATTTTCCAGCATTTCCTCTCCCATCATAGCTGGTTATCAAGATATATAGACACACACGTGCATACACATAAATACCTTGATAAGTTACTAGAGAAAGCAGAAAAATGTCTGACAGTTTAATGAGATTTGGGTGAAAGAAAATTCTATATTTCATTGTTTTCCAGGCACTAGAAATAATTCATCAATGTTTCTAAGACTCATTCAGCGTGGCTGCATTTTTTAAAATATTTTCATAAATTTTGAGGAGCAAATACCATTATTAGGCACTAAAAAGGTTGAAGTCTAATAGATTAGCCGCTTCATCCTCCTTCACTCAGCTCAGCATTCGTTCAACTGGCTCTTACTGGTTAACATCCACACGCCTCCTGACTGGCTACTCAGTGCCGATGACATTTCCTTCACACACAGGGCTGGTTTTAAGATACATTGAGGTGACATCAGGTGGCCTGTAAAGTGGTCATTTTAGGATATCCTATTCAAAGACATCTGTGGAAGTGTGGACCAATTTATTGATGAATAACAGTGAAGGGGTTTCCACCAGCAAGTAACATAATTTTTTACAATGATGATGCTGAAGTAGAAAGAGTTTCTAGTCAGGGACTGGACAAATCAATTTGCAGACGATTTTTAGGAAGAAAAACATTGCAACAGTAAATTGTAATTGATAACTTCTAGAGCCACTTTAAGTACTGCTATTTTAGGATTCTGAGGGGAAGAAAGTGTTCTGCAAAGCAATAAGCAAAGTGATTTGTTCCAAGCCCCAAATTTAAGCAGTTTGAGAGGTAAAAAGAGTCATTACCAATGTGGGTATAGAACATGTGCTAGGCAAATCTCTTTCACATACATGTGGGGAGGTAATAAAATTATAATTTGAGGCCGGGCACGGTGGCTCATGCCTGTAATCCCAGCACTTTGGGAGGCTGAGGTGGGTGGATCACGAGATCAAGAGATTGAGACCATCCTGGCCAACATGGTAAAACCTCGTCTCTACTAAAAATACAAAAAATTAGCTGGGCATGGTGGCACACACCTGTAGTCCCAGCTGCTCGGGAGGCTGAGGTGGGAGAATCACTTGAACCTGGGAGGCAGAGGTTGCATTGAGTTGAAATCACGCCACTGCACTCCAGCCTGGTGACAGAGCAAGACTCCATCTCAAAAACAAACAAAAATTATAGTATGAAATAGGCATTAAAATATTGTGTATTTTAGAGGAGACTGAGGATTGGAGGCTGAAGAATTACTCTAAATTAATCAGCTTGTGTACTTCAGAGCTAAGATAGCTCTTTGGGTTCTAAATTCTGTGATCTTCTTTTTGATTTCTCTTGGAGCAATAATGAAGGCAAAACATCAATAAACATAACAAACTGGGTAAGGGAGACCATTGAGAAGGACTAAGGACACCTTCAAAGTTCTGAGTGAGTTTAAAAAGAAGAATGATGAAAACTTTGATAGAAATAGGAAAAAAAGTAGAGGAACTTGTTTGGCTTGAAACTTCTTAATGTTTAGGCTAATTATATTGAAGATGACAGTGGTCATTGAGAAAACAAAATCCCCAAAGCAATTTTGGAATAAGAGCCAACATTTAATACTTACCAGACAACTATTCTAAGTATTTTACTATATTCACTCATAGCAACTCTAAAAAGCAGGTAGTATTAACAGAGAAAATGAGGCACAGTGAGGTTAAATAGCTGGTCCGAGGCTACACAGCTAATCAGTGGGAGAGTTGGGACTTAGACCCAGAGGTCCAGTTTTGAAGTCCACACTTTTAGCCATTACACTACAATGGAAAGAAATTTAGAAGATATACACAGAAAACTATAGGCACATAGATTAGGGGTTAGTAGAATGCTCTGGGCAGTTAAAGGAACTCTTCTTAAAGGAGGTAAAGCTTGAATGAGACTGTTAGTAAGCTATTTTTCACTCATTGGTGAATGATGTTTTGTGCAGTGTGTTTTTTTCCCCATAGAAAAATAAGAAAGAAAAGAAAATTGAGAACTCTCTCTATAAAAATGTGTAACATATCTCATATTCCAAGAGATCCTTTTGGTAGTATTAATTTTTATCTGCTCACAGTACTGGCTTCATTATTTGGAGTTAAAAATTAACTCAACCAGATAAAAAAATCAGTGCTGTGTATTTGTTTATCTTTCAAATCTGTGTTCTAATTTTAAAAAGTTATTTAACAGAACGAAGCTATCAGCTAAGACAATGGCAAAGCCGTAAACAAACATAGGTTGCGTTTATGCGAATGGTCAGGTCCAAAGTAGATGCAGAATATGCCAGGTTCACTAATTTTAATCCCTATTCAGCCCAGGACTATGTACCATAAGATTACTGCTAGTGTTTTCTGAAAATGATGTATCAAGGCATTTTCTGTAGAAATACGAAACAGTGACATACAGTAGGGAGAGCTGGATTGAGGCAGAGTAGTATAGATGGAAGTTTCCTGAAAGCATTTTGGGGAAACATCTTTTGGGTATGGTTCTTGGATGAAGAGTTGATTTATTAGTACTGGAAGGGTGTATGGGAGAGAGGAAGTGAGAGGTTATGAGAGAATGACCCTCCCGTGATGGTGAGTGGGAGAATTATTGCAGTATGTACGTTAGCATTGCTATGTGGTGAAGTTCTTGGGATTTCCTGGGGTCCGTGCTGGACAGCATGCTTAGCCACCAGTCACATGTGGGCACTGAGCACTGACAATGTGGGTAGTCTGAACTGGGATATGCTGTAAGTGTAAAATACAAACTGGACTCCAAAGATTTAGTATGAAAAAAAGAATTTGAAATATCTCATTAATGATGTGTATTTGGTTTCATATTGAAAACAACTTTGGTATTATATATTGAGTTAAATAAAATGTCATTAAAATTAAATTTTACTTAAACTAAAATTTAAAATTCTATCTTTACCTTTTTTTTTTTTTTTTTTTTTTTTTGAGGTGCCGTTTCACTCTTGTTGTCCAGGCTTGAGTGCAATGGTGCGATCTTGGCTCACCACAACCTCCGTCTCCTGGGTTCAAGCGATTCTCCTGCCTCAGCCTCCCTGGTAGCTGGGATTGCAGGCACGCACCACCACGCCTGGCTAATTTTTTATTTTTAGTAGAGACAGGGTTTCTCCATGTTGGTCAGGCTGGTCTCAAACTCCCAACCTCAGGTGATCCGTCCACCTCGGCCTCCCAAAGGGCTGGGATTACAGGTGTGAGCCACCGTGCCTGGCCTATCTTTACCTTTTTAAGGTAGTGACTAGCAACTTTAAGATTCATATGTGGCTCATGCTGTATTTCTATTATGGAACTGCCTTATGACTTTCAATGGGTAGGATGGACACATCCTTGGTGGGATGGAGAAATCTATCATAGCAGCTGGTCTTGAAGGTGGGTGGGGATATGATAATAACTTAGGTGGGGAGGCTCAGGAGGACTCACAGAATAACTGGCAACCCTGCCCCTGTCTGTAAAAACCCCATCCTGGAGGAAATAAGTTAGGAAAAGGTTTTGCATTTTGTGGAATGAAAAGTCTGTTGCATCTAGCTTGAGACAGAGCAAAAAGAGTTGATTGTCAGCTTCATGAAGACCAGGGGGTCTAAAAGACCCAGGGATCAACAACCAATGAGAGCAGCATGGAGGCCAAGAACCAGGCAAAATGCTGATTCCAGGACTGGGATTCAGGATGATTTCCTTCTATGCAATAATCTGCTCCTTGAAAGGGTATCTAATTGGGCATTGCTTTTACTTGCTGCTTTCAATTCTTTTATGTTCTTTCCTAGTAAATATTTTTTCTTAATTTCATTGCAGCTCGTATTTATCCTGGGAACAGAGAGAAATGTTTCACAAGCTTAAGCCAGTCTTTTAAAAGGAGAATGGCAGGACTCCAAAAACAGACATGCTGATATGTACTGGGGAATTTTTAAGTGCTGAAACCTCCAAGACAAAAGAGACTGTGTCTTTATTGTTCTCTGAATTACTCGTACCCAGCTCGGTACCTGGAACATGATAGGGATCCCATAGTGGTTTGATGAATAAATTAGTGACTCCAAGAGTAAAGTAATCCTCAGGAGGACAAAGGCAGATAGCTTCCCTTCCCTATCAGAATGTACTTCTCTTAAAGCTTTTCTTGGTATAATTCTTGGAGAATTTTGCCTTACAGAAGTCAAATCACATACCAAAGTGAAAACTGGATCTTCTACAAATAATGGAAGAATCAACTCTATCAAAACAACAATTATACATATGATCAATGGAGGGGTTGTCACGAGCCAGGCTAAGAGCTTTACATATATTATCTCATTCTGTCTATGCCAGAGAATCAACTATGACATATGTAACATTAAATCTCATTTTATAGATGCAAAAACTGGGGTGTAAAGAAGTCAAAGAATCAGCCAGAATGTACAGAATTAGCAAAGGTGGAACTGGGATTTGAATTCAGACAGTCTGACTCCAGACGCCATCTCCGAATTATGCATAATTATATTTCAATTATTAACATTCATAAATTGAAATATGAGGGATAATGTACCTTTTCATGAAAGCTTTGCTCGTTGTGTGGATGAGTGTGTGTACATGTAACTGCTTATGTGTGCTATCACTGAGGTAGAAGACATCTCTCTCTCTCTCTCTCTCTCTCTCTCTCTGTTTTGGTCTACTTTTAGTAAGACTTGTATTTGATTGAGTTCAGAAGTTTGATTATCTTTTTAACTAACCTGTTTGTTTTAATTATATTAAAAATTAGTCACTTTCAACATATTTGCATAGGTAATTGTTAGGGTGATCTTTTGGATGATCAGATGTAATATACTACTACTACACACAGACACCCAGACACACACACACACACACACACACACACGCATGCAGACACATCCTTGAGCTCAAAGAGCTTTCTCAGGACTACATACTTTACATTTACAACAAGTCATTTAGAAAACTATCAATCCTATTCAAATCTCAGCAAAACAGAGATACCAGGCTCTGCCTTTCTCTTTAACTGCTCTTTTTTTGCTGTAGACAAAGCTGTTTCTTGCACTGCTACATATATAAAAAAGTGACAAATCCTTAACTGTCAAACAAGAGAAATAGTTTGATAAATATAATAATTCCATAAGATGGCACATTATACACTACTAAATTGTAAGGACAGTAAAGTTACTGTTAAGTACCAAAAAGTCATGATTAAATGTTAAGTGAAAAAATAGAATATAGCTAGATTTGAATTTGAATATTCAATCTGTATACCAGTATGTATAGAAGGAAGAGTATATACCAAATAGTAAGAGTATCTATCTGTTTTATAATTTGATATAATACAAATTATTCTACCTTAAACATATGAGAATTTGTGGTCCATGATGTTGTAGATTCTATCTTCTCACCCTGCATTTCCGAAGACATATGGTATTGGCTCATTAGACTATTTGTTGAATAGTCTTTATTCTATTATCATAGAAAAAATAAATGAGTGCATATATCCATATACAAAATAGAGGTCTGTTCTTCCTGTATATATTTATACTAAAAAAACTGAGACTTTTTTTTACAGTTGTATATATACAAACATATTTGTTTATTTATATACACATATATAAATCAATTTTATGTACATGTGGGTATACATACATCCATGCATATAACTCTGAAGTGCTGACTCTCTAAAGAAAGCCCAGGTATTGGTCAGAATTCATGCTCGGCTCAGGAGTATAGAATTAAGAGATACAAACCTCAAAAAAGAGGGAACCGAATCTTCAAATCTGAGCCACCTTACAAGAATTTTTAAGGTAACTGTTTTAAGTGTAAACATTATGGCAATGTAATAGTATAATTTGTATGGCACAAGATGGAGTCCTGGTGGCCAGAACTGAGTATGGGAATAGTCAGTGCTAATCTTTGTGCAAAGCACAAAGGAAAATTGGTATACAAGGCCTGAGAGAGAGGTCAAGGAAGCAAATACTATAAAGTCCCAGAAGGCAGTTGGATAGGACAAGGGGATCGGAAGAGCAGGATCAAGATCAGAGAGCAGGGAAGATGGGGCTAGCTAATCTAGGGAATGGAGGGAGAAGGGATACCCAGAAGCAGGATTCAGGGGGTTAGAGCACTTACACCATGCTCATGGCCATGCCCATGGACAGGAGAAGCATATGATGGGTGCACATGGTGGAGCTGGTCTAAAGAAGAGGGGGATTCATATCACAGTAAAATTAAGTGCAATTTATCCACAGAGCAGAGGAGGTTGTGAAGAGCAGGCATAGGCTATTTTTCATGTCTGAATGCTCTCAAGACCTCTTAGTGTTGTAGGTAGATGACGCACAATAAATATTCCTTGATTTGAATTGGCATAAAAGGTCAAATCAGAAAGCCAGAAGTTCTTTAAGGTTTCAAACTAGATTCTAAGAAGTCCAAAGGCATCTCAGAGGTCATCTCAGGGAGAAAAGGGGAAGCAATGAGGTAGAACTCTGAACCTCCACTCTACCTAAACAAGGCAGCCCTGCTGTGCTCCGAGTCATGTATGGCGACATCAGGGAAGATGTAAAATAGGATTGTGATAGGAAACAGCATTTGAAAGCCATTGCTTTACGAAGGGAAGCGTAGAACCCTTTTCCCCTTGTTAGCCAATTCAAATGAAGACTTTTGGGAGCTAGTGAAGAGAAAGACAGGATTTCTAGGGAGATGTTTCAGAAGCAGCCTAACTATACCCGTGTCTTCAGAAAGAGCAGTGTCGTCTCAGAAGTAATCACCTTCATCAACCAGCAGGTCAGTGTGGGTCTCCTGAAGAGCCCGAACAACCACGGGAAGCGACATCCACTGTTGTGCAGTCAAAAGAATCTTTGCTCTCATTTTCTCCACTCTCTTTCCTTCCCAAATAGGGTATCATAGGAAGATCCTGCCTTTCTTCCAGTTCCAACATTTATGAAGTGAAATTTCCATCAGACAGTTGCTTTTGACAAACAAAGATTGACTAGAAGCTTCTGTGAGAGAGCCTTAGGAAGTTCTCTGGGGAAGCCCTGCCTTTGTTTGGTTTTCTTTGCCTTTGGCTCTGTGATGTTTGCTGTAAAAAATGATTACTTTCAGGTGATTAAAAGTGGGGAAGAATGGTTTCAAGCTTTTCATGTAGCAAATAATATCCCTGTCTGTAGGATTACTTTAGTTGAAAAAAAAACATGGCTTCAGTGATGCCTTCTCAATGTACAAGATTCAGAGGAATGGAAAGAAAATGAAATAAGGCCGGCCTCGGTGGCTCACACCTGTAATCCCGGGAAGCCGAGGCGGGTGGATCACGAGGTCAGGAGTTCAAGACCAGCCTGGCCAAGATGGTGAAACCCCATCTCTACTAAAAATACAAAAATTAGCCAGGCATGGTGGCAGGCGCCTATACTCCCAGCTACTCAGGAGGCTAAGGCAGAGAATTGCTTGAACCCCGGAGGCGGAGGTTGCAGTGAGCCAAGATCATGCCACTGCAGTCCAGCCTGGGCGACAGAGCAAGACTCCATCTCAAAAACAAAACAAAACAAAACAAAGGAAAAGAAATCTGCAGTTAATATTTTGGCAAGCTTTCTTCACTTGTATGCATTTTTAAAATGCTAATGTTAATAACAGTTCGGGACTTCTAACTTCTATATTTAAGCAACAAATAAATAAATTGTCAGATGGTACTTCATCATCCTTCTCTCCCATCTTCTTAGAAATATAAATTGCTTTAGGTGGGAATGCTATAATTTTAGACCAGAAAATACATGCCAGATGTCTCTTATATGAAGCCGTCCCGCCCAAGGATATATATATGCCTTAGTCATTAGGATGTGTTCTAAATAATACTGCAAAGCCCTTGGAAGGATGGGTCTGAACACTCACTTATATTTAACTGCTGGCATGTTGCTTTGTCCCTGTGTCTTGTGCTACTATTTCCATTGATGTAAAGGAAGCACCAATTAAATAACACTCCATTATTAGAGAACCAGGCACAAGTCAGCTGAGGCAGGAGACCCGCCTTCTTTTCCAGAAACAATGTAAAGCCTGGGTGGGTGAGGGTCTCTGGGCTTCCGCCGTGCCTTGCTTTTGACATTCTCCAGCACACCCTATAAACATGTCTAAGGCTGTCCTGTTTAGTCTGATTATTCAAACTATATTGTCCAGGGTAGAGCAAAGGGAAACCTAGCTGAACCCTGGAGATGACAGCAGGGAGAGAGAGAGGGGCAAAGAAGGGCAAAACGGGAAAAACAGGAAACAGGCTAGTGAGAAGAGTAAAAACGCTCAGGGTGAGGAAGCAGGGTTTCTAAGCTCTCTAATCTCCCCTGTGCAGCTGGCTTGCTGTATGGTTTATACAAATCCAGTGGTGATCTCTGTGCAACGTGGTATCACCTGTTTAAAGAGGTCTCATCTTCATTTTCAAAGAGGAATACATGTTTTTTTACTTACTCTTCTGCATGGCTGACTCCTTTTCATGCTTTAAGTCTCAATCTTAATGCCACCTCCTCCTTCCAGACGTTCCCAGCTAAAGTGGCACTTCCCAGCCCCATTACTCTCTATGTTTATTGCCTGCATAGCTCTTATTTGTAATGATTTCGTAATAGTTTGATGATGATCATGATGAATATTACTTTACCTATTTATGGCCTCTCTTTTAGTATTAAATTCTGTAAGCCACATGAGCATGGGGACACATCTCCTTTGTCACTGCCCCATTGCTGGCATTTAGCACAAGCATGGTCTATAATAGATACCAAACAAATATGTATTAATCATGTAAATGACTAAATCCATGAATGAATCTATCAGACAGTGTAGATAGCAGCACATAAAGGAAAGGGAATGTAGTAAATTTTTCATTTTCCTTGAAGATGTAGCTATGTATTAGGAATTTGAAAAATACATTATCAAACACAAAGCTAAATTATGCCAGCTAATGACTACTAAATATAATAAAATCGGCTGGGCACGGTGGCTCGCACCTGTAATCCCAGCACTTTGGGAGGCCGAGGTGGGTGGATCACGAGGTCAGGAGATTGAGACCATCCTGGCAAACATGGTGAAACGCTGTCTCTACTAAAAATACAAAAAATTAGCTGGGCATGGTAGCAGGCACCTGTAATCCCAGCTACTCGGGAGGCTGAGGCAGGAGAATCGCTTGAACCCAGGAGGCAGAGCTTGCAGTGAGCAGAGATCACACCACTGCACTCCAGCCTGGGCGACAGAGTGAACCTCTGTCTCAAAAATAAATAAATAAATATAATAAAGTATGTAGAAAGTCAGAAATCTTGGGGATTATATTGCAAAGAATTTCCACTATATTGATAATGGAGAAAGGCTTTTAATATTATATTTTTTGAATATTAAGAAATTGGCATCTACTCACCAGTTTGGACATCGCTTTTAAAATACACACTAAACGAAAGCCATTTTGTACTTATAAGTGCTAGATTAAATTCCTGCATAGGCTGAAAAAGGTCTCTTTCCATGCCTTTCCAAATTTACAATTAACAAAGAGTTAATTATTCTCAGAGTCATTTCTTCCAATTCACCAATTAGGATGAGGGCTATTTGTTACAATCATAAAAGAGGAAATGGTGCATGGGCAAGAAGAAATTTGGAAAGGAAATGTGATTGGAGGAATTATATTGAAAGGTGAAACAAGGGAGAAAAGATAAAGAGAAGAAAAATTAGAAATTGGAAACAAAGTTATTCCAGCCCCTCTCTAATAACTACTACTCTTTGGAACAAGGGAAGCAGTACCTGACAAGAAATTTTTTTTCTTTTATTTTTTATTTTTATTATTATACTTTAAGTTTTAGGGTACATGTGCACAATGTGCAGGTTTGTTACATATGTATACATGTGCCGTGCTGGTGTGCTACACCCATTAACTCGTCATTTAGCATTAGTTATATCTCCCAATGCTATCCCTCCCCCCTCCCCCCACCCCACAGCAGTCCCCAGAGTGTGATGTTCCCCTTCCTGTGTCCATGTGTTCTCATTGTTCAATTCCCATCTATGAGTAAGAACATGCAGTGTTTGGTTTTTTGTCCTTGGGATAGTTTACTGAGAATGATGATTTCCAATTTCATCCATGTCCCTACAAAGGACATGAACTCATCATTTTTTATGGCTGCATAGTATTCCATGGTGTATATGTGCCACATTTTCTTAATCCAGTCTATCATTGTTGGACATTTGGGTTGGTTCCAAGTCTTTGCTATTGTGAATAGTGCCACAATAAATATACGTGTGCATGTGTCTTTATAGCAGCATGATTTATAGTCCTTTGGGTATATACCCAGTAATGGGATGTCTGGGTCAAATGATATTTCTAGTTCTAGATCCCTGAGGAATCACCACACTGACTTCCACAATGGTTGAACTAGTTTACAGTCCCACCAACAGTGTAAAAGTGTCCCTATTTCTCCACAGCCTCTCCAGCACCTGTTGTTTCCTGACTTTTTAATGATTGCCATTCTAACTGGTGTGAGATGGTATCTCATTGTGGTTTTGATTTGCATTTCTCTGATGGCCAGTGATGGTGAGCATTTTTTCATGTGTCTTTTGGCTGCAAAAATGTCTTCTTTTGAGAAGTGTCTGTTCATATCCTCCGCCCACTTTTTGATGGGGTTGTTTGTTTTTTTCTTGTAAATTTGTTTGAGTTCATTGTAGATTCTGGATATTAGCCCTTTGTCAGATGAGTAGGTTGCGAAAATTTTCTCCCATTTTGTAGGTTGCCTGTTCACTCTGATGGTAGTTTCTTTTGCTGTGCAGAAGCTCTTTAGTTTAATTAGATCCCATTTGTCAATTTTGTCTTTTGTTGCCATTGCTTTTGGTGTTTTAGACATGAAGTCCTTGCCCATGCCTATGTCCTGAATGGTAATGCCTAGGTTTTCTTCTAGGGTTCTTATGGTTTTAGGTCTAACATTTAAGTCTTTAATCCATCTTGAATTAATTTTTGTATAAGGTGTAAGGAAGGGATCCAGTTTCAGCTTTCTCCATATGGCTAGCCAGTTTTCCCAGCACCATTTATTAAATAGGGAATCCTTTCCCCATTGCTTGTTTTTCTCAGGTTTGTCAAAGATCAGATAGTTGTAGATATGGGGCGTTATTTCTGAGGGCTCTGTTCTGTTCCATTGATCTATATCTCTGTTTTGGTACCAGTACCATGCTGTTTGGGTTACTGTAGCCTTGTAGTATAGTTTGAAGTCAGGTAATGTGATGCCTCCAGTTTTGTTCTTTTGGCTTAGGATTGACTTGGCGATGCGGGCTCTTTTTTGGTGCCATATGAACTTTAAAGTAGTTTTTTCCAATTCTGTGAAGAAAGTCATTGGTAGCTTGATGGGGATGGCATTGAATCTATAAATTACCTTGGGCAGTATGGCCATTTTCACGATATTGATTCTTCCTACCCATGAGCATGGAATGTTCTTCCATTTGTTTGTATCCTCTTTTATTTTATTGAGCAGTGGTTTGTAGTTCTCCTTGAAGAGGTCCTTCACGTCCCTTGTAAGTTGGATTCCTAAGTATTTTATTCTCTTTGAAGCAATTGTGAATGGGAGTTCACTCATGATTTGGCTCTCTGTCTGTTATTGGTGTATAAGAATGCTTGTGATTTTTGTACATTGATTTTGTATCCTGAGACTTTGCTGAAGTTGCTTATCAGCTTAAGGAGATACTGGCAAAAACCACATGATTATCTCAATAGATGCAGAAAAGGCCTTGACAAAATTCAACAACCCTTCATGCCAAAAACTCTCAATAAATTAGGTATTGATGGGACATATCTCAAAATAATAAGAGCTATCTATGACAAACCCACAGCCAATATCATACTGAATGGGCAAAAACTGGAAGCATTCCCTTTGAAAACTGGCACAAGACAGGGATGCCCTCTCTTACCACTCCTATTCAACATCGTGTTGGAAGTTCTGGCCAGGGCAATTAGGCAGGAGAAGGAAATAAAGGGTATTCAGTTAGGAAAAGAGGAAGTCAAATTGTCCCTGTTTGCAGACGACATGATTGTATATCTAGAAAACCTCATTGTCTGACAAGAAATTTTATAGTCTGATGAAAGGGATTCTAAAGAGTCAGGGGCCACAGGTCTCAGGCTTCGACTGGATGTGATCATGTCTGAGGCCTTTCGATCCTCACTTTCCTTATCTGGAAAACAAGAATAGCTGAATCTCCTTCTAAGGGCGTTTGTGATATGAACTGAGATCTTGCATATGACTGCACCAAGTCTAGCTCAATTCGCATTAGTTCCCTCCATTATACCCCTCCCTCGAGCTTTACCCAGACTCAGAAGAAAGCCAGGCAACATTTCTACTTCTCTATATGCAAAAACAAAAGCAAACAAGTGGAAAACCTCACAAAAACAGTTAACTTCAACATTTGGGCTTACACAAACAATTCAAAAATCTCTTTTTATTTCATCCGCCATGATTATAGTTATTTTTCTAAAGTGAATGATTCTACTTCCCAAATGCAGTAAACCCACTGTTAAAGATAGTTAATTTTCCTCTAGATGATTGTGGCCCTTGAAAGTCATCAAGGTCATATTTTTAATTATTTCCCCAGAATTTTTCCTGAAACAGTGTCCTTTTGTCTAAATCAATCCAAGTAGGTTTTAGCATTAGTCATAAAGAGGGTGCTGTCAACAAAGAAATCAACTGAGTGGAAGTGATATTATAATGTAAATAACTTGACATAGGAATACATAACACTCATAAATATTTATTGATTTATTTAATAAATTAAAAATTAATGCTTATGATATGTAAACAAGATATAACAAGGCAGTCAAGAATAACTCTCTTTAGTTCATATGATTTTTTCCCATACGTAACTGAATAGCAAGAAAACAAGTAACCCAGTTTGAAAATGGACAAAAAACTGAAATAGATATTTCTCAAAAGAAGACATACAAATGGCCAATAGGATATTTTTTAAATGTTACTAGTCATCAAGGAAATGCAAATCAAAATGACAATGAACTATCACCTTACACTTGTTAGAATGGTTACTAGCAAAAAAAGACAAGGGATAACAAGGTTGGCAATGATGTAGAGAAAAGGGAATCCTTGTACATTGTTGGAGGGAATGTAAATTAGTATAGTCACTATGGAAAACTGCATGGAGGAGCTTCAAAAAACTGAAAATAAGCCTACCATGTGATCCTAATACTGGGTATATATCCAAAGGATTGGAAATCAATATGTTGAAGAGATATCTGCATTCCCATGTTCGCTGCAGCCTTATTCACAATTGCCAAGTATGAAATTGGCTTGAGTGTCCATCAACAGATGAATGGCTATAGAAAACATATACACAGTGGAATACTATTCAGCCTTAAAAAAGAAGGCAATCCTGTCATTTGCAACAACATGATGAACCTGTAGGACATTGTGCTGAGTAAAATAAGCCTGTCACAGAAAGACAAATACTGTATAATCTCATATGCAGAATCTTCAAAAAGTTGAACTTATAAAGGTAGAGAGTAGAGTGATGTTTACCAGAGGGTGGGGTGGAGAGGGGTGGGGTACAGGGAATGGGAGAATGTTGGTCAAAGAGTACAAAGTTTTAGTTAGACATGACAAATAAGTTTTCAATGCTATTGCACAGTGTGGTGACCATAATTAACAATAATGTCTTTTATATCTCAAAATTGCTGAAAGAATAGGCCTTAAATGTTTTCAGTATAGAAAAGTATATGAGATGATGCCTAATTTAATTAGCTTGATATAATCATTCCACAATGTATACATATATGAAAACATCACATTGTATCCCATAAATATATACAATTATTATTTGTTAATTACAAGTAAAAGTTTAAAAAATGGCAAGTAAATCATGTAGCCCCTGAGATAGATGGATATGTGAGCCTAGCTTGAAACAAATGTCATCATATATCCACCATTACACAAGACTTTGAGCAGACTGAATGCTCACAGAACATATTGGGAGGAGATATTTGGCAGCTGAAGTGGCAAATAGTCATTTTCCAAGGGAACAACAACAGTAGAGAGGTTTCCAGTTAAAGTTGCAGAGTTTCTGCAGAGTCTCTAGCAGTGCTGGATCCAAGGGTATGCGGTGTATCCAAGTAGCTCTTGAGGAAACCACAGGCACATCCTGGCATGGGGAGCACCTCAGGAGCACATCCTGAGTTTCAGGGCATTTGAAATGGATGTGCAGTCACATCCCACCCAACTGCAAGGGATACCCAGCCTACATGCAGAGGTCAGGAAAGCTGCCCACATTAAGACATTGCATGCAATAGGCCCCTCCCCACTAGGAGTCTATGGAGACAGAAATGCATTTTGAGGAGCAATTTCATGCAGTCATGGGTTAAGTGAACCAAGTGAGCTATGAAGCCAGATTTTCCCTCCTGGGCCACATATTTCAGAGGCACATAACTCAAGCTTGCAACACGTATTCAAAAGAGACCAGCTACACTTGGTAGAGACAGCCATAGGAAAGTGAAATGACCCTAGGGTTTAGTAAAGCCAGCTGTTTCCACTTCTGAAAATAATAAAATGAAATAATAAAATAAATTTAAAATGATACAAAGTTCAAAGTTTAACAAATACATTTGAAGCCATTTGCAACAAATACATCTGAAGCTAATTGCTGGCTCTAGAAAGTGTGGGGTCTTTGTTGTGGAGCAGTGTTAATGATTTAGCATTACTTATCTCTGGCAAATGGTATTTTTGAGATAACATGTTATGGAAGAAAGTGAACTGAACTTGGAAGTTTGAAGATCTCGATTGAAGTATCATTTCTGCCTCAACTACTTGCATTAACTTGTACAAGTCATTCAACCGCTCTGAACATAATGGAAAAATGGGATGAGAATACATGTTGTATACTCTCCAAAGACAGGGAGACTGCTGATATAAGAGGGCACTTTTAGTAACTGATGGAGCAAAATGTTGTTATATGAGTGTCAGCATAGGGCCCTGGGCTTACAACGGTGCCATGAGCCTTAGAACAGAGGAAGGACAGCTATAGCAATGAAAGGACTAGTGCAGATTCAGAAAAATAAGAAGACAGAAACCAAGGTGTAGTAACATGTTTTAGTATGGAGGGGAAGGCAGTTATAGAAACTTGAATTACATAATTTGTACATTTCTGGGAGATAGAAGGTAAAGATAGCAGCTAATGGAGACAGGACAGGACTGGTACTTGATTATGGAAGAAAGGAGGTAAATAGAAGAGACAAAAAGGGAGAGAAGAGATGTCAACTGCCTACTCTGGTAGCCTCTGTATCCAAAAGGTTGACTCAAACATTCGCTCATAACTTTGTCTGGCTTAATCCTGCTCATCCCAGCAGACTTATTTCAAGTGTCTCCACGTTTTGGGAAGTCATCACTCACTTCTCTGGGCTTTCATATGGGAGAGCATTTAATTCTGTTGAAAAACTATTTAATACTACATCTACCTTTCTCTATGGACTCTGAGCTTCTTGAGGGCATGTATCATGTATGTTCTATTCTGAAGCACCCATACCTAGAACAAAGCTTAGCACATAGTAGGAACTTAATAAATATTTCGGAGTTGAATAACTAGCCTTATGTAATCCTCACAACAACCCTAAGCTGGAGACTCAAACAAGGCTGGAAATAAGTAGGTGCCAAGAAGAACTGAGATTCAGACACATATTTGCAGGTAAAACATAGGAACACTGAACATTCACTGAGAACTGACAACTTGTGGGGTTGTTGTAGGATATGTGACCAGAGACTCTTGAATGCCAGTCTCTGTACCTGTACCATGTTGGCTAACAAGAATCGCATGGAATCCTTGCTGAAAATACAGACCCTAGAAGTTTTCTCAAATCTGGAGAGACTGTACTATGGTTTGAATATGGTTTGTCGCCACCAGAACTCATGTTGAGGCTTGGTCCTCAATGCAGCTGTGTTGGGAGGTGGGACCTAGAGGGAAGTGTTTGGGTCCAGTGGGCAGATCCCTCATGAACAGATAAATATTGTCTTGTGGGAGTGGATGACTTCTGTCTTGCAGGACTGGATGAATTACCACAAGAATGAGTTGTTGTGAAGCTTCTCCTCATGTTTTGCTGTGTTTGCACGCTGTCTCTTGACATTTTTCTTCTTTGCTATGTTGTAAGGCAGCACATAACCCTCTGCAAGCTGAGCAGATGCCAGTGCCATGCTCTTGGATTTTCTAGCCACTAGAGTTGTGAGCCAAATAACATTTTTTTTCTTTATAAATTACCCAGATCAGGTATTCTGTTAGAGCAACACTAAAGGGACTAAGACACTCTTATTCTCACCAAATCTTTATTTTGGTAATGATTTCTCACACCTATTCATTTGCTCCAGAAAAGGTAGTTATTCTCCATAGTCTATCTTCATCTTCCACTTCATGCTTATTCAATCCATTACCAATTCCTGTCAATATATCTTCCTAAATATCTCTTTCAACCACCAACTTTTCTATCCTCACTATTACTATCCTTTTACAAGCACATAGACCACTGCCAGGAACCCTTGACTTGCCGACCTGACTCTATACTAGTTCTTCTTCCTACTGCAGCCGGAGCAATCTTTTTAATCAAAGCTATGACTCAACATTTACTCTCTTGATGAAATCTCCTAGAAGACCTTTTGTAGCTCTTAGAACAAAGACTGAAATAAAAACTCTATACTATAGTCTAAAAGTTCCTTGTTGGTCTCACCTCTCCAGCTTCCTCCCTCTGTGCTCCAACCACATGGGCTTGCCTTCAATGCTTCACATATCACCCAGCTTCAAATTCCCTTCTGGCTGCAGGGCCTTGGCACAAACTGTTTTCTCTGCCTGATGTTTTCCACCCTTCCACCTACATTCATCAGTTTGACTTCTACTTATCTTTTGGAGCTCAGCTCAGACAAGGTTAGATCCTGCCATTGACATACTCATTAGCACCCTGAAATATTTCTTAATCACAGCGTATGATTATATATTTATTTGTGTGATTAACTGATAAATGACTGTCTGACCCCTCCTCCCTGCTTTAAGACTATAAGTTGTATTAATTCAGGGCCTATGTTAGCTTTACTCAGTACTCTGTACCCAATGCCCACCCCAGCATCCTCACAAGTAAGGGTGTTCAGTACATGGGTGTTGAATAGATGCATGAATAATACAATAAGTCAACAATTGGTCTCAGGAATCTCAATAATTTTAATGCTATCAAAGTGATTTGATGCAGATTTGGGAAAAATTATCTAAAAAATTCATCCCAAGCTAAGATCCTATGATTCTTAGCTATCACAGAATCTGTGATTCTGTGCTACTCCTCTGCGCTTCTCATGTACACTTACATGGGTATACCCATGAAAAATGTTTGTTGGTTTGTTTGTTTGTTTTGAGACAGAGTTTAACTCTTGTTGTCCAGGCTGGAGTGCAATGGTGCAATCTCGGCTCACTGCAAACTCCACCTCCTGGCCTCAAGGGACTCTCCTGCCCCAGCCTCCAGAGTAGCTGAGATTACAGGCGCATGTCACTACACTCAGCTAATTTTTATATTTTTAGTAGAGACAGAGTTTCACCATGTTGGCCAGGTTGGTGTCAAACTCCTGATCTCAGGTGATCTACTGCCTGAGCCTCCCAAAGTGCTGGGATTACAGGCGTGAGCCACCGTGCCCAGCCGAAAAATGTTTTAAAGCATCTAGGATCCTTGGCAGGCCTTTAGCACACTGCACAGAAGGGACATTCTGTGCCTGTCACTGGAATGACCAGCAACTCTGGTTCCCTGCTTTGCCCAGACTGTTTCTATGTCCCCTTCAGTTTAGTTCAGTTCAACAATTATCTAGTGAGCACTTTCTCTGAGCGGGGCATCTGCTTTGTGCTAAGTGTAAGCCCTGCCTCCAAGAACTCATTGCATAAGGAGAGACACACACATGAAAACCAACTAATTGTGATTCAGTGTAAAATACGTAGTAATTGACAAATGCATATAGTTTCATGACAGCCCTGTAGAAGGAGTAGGCAAGTGTTCTAGTATGGCTTCAAGGAGGAAATGTAGCTTAAAACAGGTTCGGAGGGATGAGTAAGAGTTTACCATACTTTTAAGGGGGTTGGGAGGAATATATTGAAATGAAAATTACATTTTGCAAATGCAGTATGAGGAGCCGTGGTACAGTTTAATGTGTTTAGAGAACAACGAGTAACTGTATGGCAGAAGCAGTAAATATGACGAAGGAGGAAGCTGGTGTGTTTGGAGAAGGCTGAGGGATCATGAGGCATATTACCTTCCTTTAAAAGCCATGCCCTATTCTCCCTCTCCTGCCACTTCAAATTCAGGTTCACCATTTATATGTCTATTAGTCCTGGTGTCTTTCTCATGCTCTTTGATTAGTCCTTAATCCACAAGCGCAACATTGCAATACTTGCCTAGCATATTTCACAGGCAGGGGACCTAATGTCCCTGTGAGAACCCATCTTGCTGAGATTGTCGCTGGCAGATTTACTTCCAGTGTGATTGTTGCAAGAATTTGTCTAACAGAATGAATGATCAACCTTGAGCAGAAGAGATTATGAAAAACTTAATAGCATTGTAGCAATGTGGCTGTTAATGAAATACAGTTGGCTGCTCCCGCTGTTTGGCACCAACCAACCTGACACTGTCAACATCACAATACGATATTTATTCCCAATTATTTTACGGCAACAACTGAAATACAATGTGTTATTAATCATATTTATTATAAGTATCAATTTGAGAAATTTCTGACATGCCAGAAGATAAATAGGTTTATTATGAAAAGCAGTTCTGCTTGGTGCATGCTGGCTGCTGCTGTGTAATAAATAGCCTCTGTGGGGAAAGTTTTTTAAAAGAAATAAAGCAAAAAAATAGCACTGAAAACAGAAAGGAAGCATCAAAACTCTTCAAATACCTGCTGTGTCCATTGGTCAAGCACATTCAGGACATCGCATGCCTTTAGAACTCCAGCAGGTTCCAACAGCTAGTAGGACATTCTAGACTCTGAGAGAGAGCAAGGGAGGTTTTATGACTGGGGACAAAGAAAAGAGACACTGAAGGCGAAGGACAATCTCTGAAAATGCAGTACCCTCCAGACTGCTCCTCCTCTCACAAAAACACCTTCCCAGCATGCACTGCTTTAGGGACTATGATTATACCATTGATTCTGTCCAGAAAACCTGTGTCCTGAATATATTACAGGGCTCATTCCTTCACTTCTTTCAGGTGCCTACTCAGGTATTTCCTTATCAGAACAGTCTTTCGAACGACCCCATTAAAAAAATAGTCCTGTCAACCCTATGTTAACAATTTTATTTATTTTTATTATTTGTTAACAATACATAATAGGTGCATATATTTTGGGGGTACATATAATAATTTGATACATTCATATTGTGCATAAAGATTGAATCGGAGTAATTGGGATATCCATTGCCTTAAGTGTTTTACCTTTTCTTTATGCTGTGGACATTCAAATTACTTTCTAACTTTTTGAAATATACAATAGAAGAATGTTAACTATAATCACCCTATTGATCTATCAAATGCTAGATCTTATTTCTTCTAACTATATATTGTACCTATTAATCTGTAATTCCACAACTATATTTACTTCTTATACTTTTCCCCTTCTAGGCTATAAACCAAATGAGAGCTGAGCATCTGTTTGGTTCACTGCCCAACACATGCATGCCTACTACATGGCAGTCAAAATATTTGTGGAATAAATGAATGAATGAAAAAAAAAAGAAATAGATGAATGAATCATGGATGAATGAATCAAATCAGTCAGCAATGTCTTTCTAAACAAAATTTGGATGATTTTGGATGATTACGCCTCTTAAAAATATTTCTTCATTTCCTACCCCAATTTAGTTTCTACTCAGGACTTTTTCAATATCTTCCAAACCTATTGTTCTTTTTTATTTGTTTGCTTTTTGAGGCAAGGTCTTGCTCTGTTGCCAGGGCTAGAGTGCAGTGGTGTGATCACAGCTCACTAAAGCCTCCAACTCTTGGGTTCAAGTGATTCTCCACCTCAGCCTCCCAAATAGCTGGGATGAAAGTGTACACCACAATGCCCGGAGAATTATTTCATTTCTTCTTTGTAGAGATTGAGTCTTACTCTGTTGACCAGGTTGCTTTCGAACTCCTGGCCTCAAGCCATCCTTCCACCTCAGCCTTCCCAAGTGCTAGGATTACAGGCGCGAGCCAACTTGCCCAGCCCTGGAATTTTTGAGCCTGTTCAATTCTAACTATTGTCACCAAAAGTAACCTTAAGAAAAAAAATGCATTATCTCCTTGCTTCATTGCACCATTAAAATCTTTCCTAAATTTTCCATGTTAAAGATGAAGCTCAAAATCCTCAGCATAGCATACAAAACACTTCATAATCAGATGCCTCTTCAAATACCTCCTATCAGAATGGTCTCTTTGACTACCCCTTTAAAAAAATTCCCCCCAACCCTATTTTTAAATTATTTACTTATTTTTATTATATTTTTGATACATAATAGATGGACACATTCAAACAGTGCCCCCAAAACTGGGGCAGCAGAAACAGGTCCTTGCTTATTTTCTCAGCTTCACCTCCTGCCTCCACCCCATCTGTACTGCTGGTCCAGACATTCCTACAGAGGTGTCCTCCTAAGTTGGTCTCTTCCTCTCCTGCTTCAGAGGCTTTGCCCTGCTCTTCTCTGCCTCTTGAGGCTCTGTCCTGCTCTTCTCTGCGTCTTGTGGTTGGAATGCCTGTCTTTTTCCTACTGAAGATCTGGATGCCTAAACCATAATGTAAAATTGCTGCTTTTTACTTCCATTTACAGCAGAGAAATTCCTCCTCTGGCCTCTCCTCTTCTCTGTGTTTCTTTCTTCATAATTTTTATTTATTTATATATTTATTTATTTATTTATTTATTTATTTATTTTCATTGAGATGGAGTCTCGTTCTGTCGCCCAGGCTAGAGTGCAGTGGTGTGATCTCAGCTCACTGCAATCTCCACCTTCCAGGTTCAAGCGAACCTCTTGCTTCAGCCTCCCTCCTGTAGCTGGGACTACAGGTGCCCGCCACCACCCCTGGCTAGTTTTCATATTTTTAGTAGAGACAGGGTTTCACCATGTTGGCCAGGCTATTCTCAAACTCCTGATCTCAAGTGATCTGCCCACCTTGGCCTCCCAAAGTGCTGGGATTACAGGCGTGAGTCACCGCACCCAGCCTCTCTCTTTATAATTTTCCTACTGTTCACCTGCATCAAACTCCTGAATTCTGTCATGCAACTGGAACAGTAAGAGGGAAAAACATGGAGCTCAAAGAAAGATGTTGAGAAACGTAGAGTTGCATAGAATTTACTGTATAAGAATGGAATCTGTCAAGTCAGACAAGCGACAGAGACCTATTTACAAAGAGACCCAGTGAAAATTACTGGAGAAATAATAAAGAGAAATGCTGTGACTTTGAAATAAATAATGTTCAAAAGTCACCTGCAATATTTAGGATAGTGTCTGAAACAGATACAAATATTTCTCAGCAGTAAAAGAATTTTGTATTTAGTCTAGTCATGGAATAGTAGTCAGTTGTCACTGAGGAAGCACTTTGGGGTAGAAGAAGCATTTGAATGTGTTTGAAGTCTGAGGCAGCAGGTGAGGTTTGATTTTATATTTTTGAAAATGGATCTATCAGATGGTGGAGCTACCCTCATAAAAGATTTGTAATACGCCTGTTTACCTACAAGATTAAATCAAGTGTCATTTCTTCAGGGAAGATTGCCCTTCACCATGTGAAATATACATAAAGTATATGTCACAATGTGTGACAGTTCTTTGCTCACATATATATTTCTCCACTTAAAGGAGAATTTTTTTTGAGATATGATCTTGTTCTGTTATCCAGGATGGGGTGCAATGGGGCAATCACGGCTCATTGCAGCCTTCACCTCCTGGGTTCAAGTGGTCCTCCCACATCAGCCTCCTGAGTAGCTGAGACTACAAGTGTGCACTATCAAGCCTGGCTAATGTTTAATTTTTAGTAGAGACAAGGTCTTGCTACATTTCCCAGGCTGGTCTTGAATTCCTGGCCTCAAGTGATCCTCCCACCTTAGCCCAGAAGGAGTCTTATTTCATTCATCGTATATTCTTAGTATCTACCTGTCATCAGGCCTATAGTAGATACTCAGTAGATGTAGATTGAGGTTTGAAGAATAAGAGATAGCTCACCAAGTAGAACACTGGATGGTATTGGAACTAATGTATTCCTTTATTGTCAGCAGAATGGACCATGCACATAGAAATAATAAAATGGGAGAATTGATTGCCATGGTCTAAATTTTGTGCCCCCTACAATTCATATGTTGAGACCCTGACCCCCAAGGTGCCGGTACTAAGAAGTGGGGCCTTTGGGCAGTGATAAGGTTGTGAGGGTGGAGCCCTCACAAATGGGATTTATGCCCTCATAAAAGAAACTGCAGAGAACTAGTTAAACCCTTCTACTATCTGAGGACATGGCAAGAAGCTGCTGTTCTCTGAACCTGGATAGAGGACCTCACTAGACGCTGACCAGCGCTTTCATCTTGGATTTCCCAGGCTCCAAAACTGTGAGAAATAAGTTTCTGTTGTTTATAAGCTACCAGGTTTAAGGTATTTTGTACAGCAACCCAAAGAGTCTGAGACCATAATGAAGCCATTGGAATGGTGGGAAGGCAACTTCATGTGAGTAACTACAGTAAAGCCAGGTGCTGGTAACAGTCATGTTGCCCATAGAGCAGATCCTACTATTACAGTGCCTAGCACATTACCTGCATATGATGATATGTGATCAATTAGTTAACTGATTAGTTTATGAATCAGTCTGCCAAAAACTAGGGCAGAAATTGATAGCACATTAAAATAAATATGCCTTAAAGTTTGCAAGGAGACCCTATTAACTGCGCACTGTTTTCTTTTTATTTTCTTTTTTTTTCTTTTGAGACAGGGTCTCACTCTGTCACCCAGGCTGGAGTGCAATGGCACAGTCTTGGCTCATTGCAACCTCCACTTCCCGGGTTCAAGCGATTCTTGTGCCTCAGCCTCCCAAGTAGTTGGGAATACAGGTGTGCACCACCACACCTGGCTAATTTTTATATTTTTAGTAGATAGGGGGTTTCCCATATTAGCCAGCCTGGTCCTGAACTCCTGGCCTCAAGTGATCTACCTGCCTTGGCCTCTCAAAGTGCTGGGATTACAGGCGTGAGCCACTGCACCTGGCTAGCCACTCACTGTTTTCATGTTAGGCTAAGTAAGCTTTTTTGAAGACCATTAACATAAATATACAACCTAAATGTATTTTACCTGAATAATTTTACTCATGTCCACAGCTTGTTCTTTCATAGGCTGCCATGATGAGGAAGAACAGAGATTAGTAGTAGCACTATTCATTTCTGATATTTTTGCAGTAGTGGTTCTAATTCTCACTCCAGTTTAGAAAAGATCTGTAGGAAATCACAGGTCTACATTTCGTCCTCTAAACTACTCTGTTGGGTAGAATTTATTTTGCAAAGACTTATGTAGGATCACTTTTTTACTACAGGTTTTGTCATATGGGATTTTTACAACCTTTTTTTCTGCTGAAACAAATGGCTTTTAATCCTTAAAAGGGCAGGGCTATATTTTCCTTCAAACATTTTTAAAATAACTTAAGAGAATTAATTTTTAGTAATAGCAAGTGAAGAACATTTTAATCCTAGAGCTTAAGAAAGGGGAGGCCCAATAACCAGATGCTGGAAATCTATTGAGGTTTTTTTTAAATTCCAGTATCCAGACAATTGGCATGAAAATAAAGGAGCCTAGAAAAAATGTTGAAAATGAAAACAATAAAAGTGACAACTAAACATATTATTTTGTATTTGCAAAGCACTTCCACAAATGGCCACAAATGTCATCTCTTTAAATTTTATTCCTGAGTTGAGTAGGAAATAAACCATTTGGAGATTCAAGGTTTAGCTTAAGATATGGGTGTTTCTTGAACCTGGGAGGTGGAGGTTTCAGTGAGCTGAGATCATGCCACTGCACTCCAGCCTAGATGACAGAGCGAGAGTTTGTCTCAAAAAAAAAAAAAAAAAAAAAAAAAGATATGGATGTTGTCAATACAATCGGGGGAAAGGAATACTTTGAACTACTTTGTTGGAAGGAGTTTGAAATCGTTGAGGACTCAGCAGCATGAAGTAGAGAAATTCACAATTGGTAGAAAGGACTATTGTCCTTCAACCTTCATTAAGGTTAACTATTCAACCTTCATTAAAAACAGAAAGTGACAATTTCACAGCAAATTCTAGAACTTTAGATCAAAAGTCAACTCAATATGGGGGATTTATATAAGAAAGAGTTAAAAAAAAGACGAAATGTAATATCTATGTTATTGCAAGTGAAAGGAAAACAGGAAGATAAATATCACAAGAAGACAAAAATGTATCTAACATTTTGGGACAAGATTGTGGGATCCACAGAAAATTGGAACTTGGAACTTCCTGTTCCACAGAGATAAGAAATACACTTGCTTTTATCTCACTTCTCAAAAAAAGTAAGATGAATGGGGTTTTAGGCCCCAGAGAGAAATTGTAGCTGCAATCAATTGTACTATCTGAGTAAAAATTGTCCTCAGAGGAAAGTGAGTAGGGAGCTGTCTGAAGGGACAGGTTATTAACAAAAGAGAGGGATAATGGATTGCGTTTGCAAGTGCAGTTGGGGCTAACATCAATGCCATCTTCATAGCTGGTTCAAAAAAATATTCTGGATTCTTTTAGTGTCTTGGTTCTTACCTGTTGTGGTTGCAGAAGGTATAAATGTACCCTTAAAAGAGATTAGGGAGAGAAGTGCCTCCCACAGCACCACGACCAGAAAGGGAAGAGGAAGGACAGGCAATAGCCAAGGACTCCTGGCAGTGAACTCATGTCCACATCAAGATCTAATGAGCTTGCACTCAACTCATTTCTAGCTCTGCCTTGGAAGCTGGAGCTCCTGCACTGACTATCAATGTGAGCCCCTGAGTAGGAGCAGCTTGGTAGAGTTGAAAGACCATTGATCTGGGTCAACAGACTCTGGTTCCTGTCTCAGCAGTGCTGTAATCAATCCAAGTCAAATATCATCTCTGGGACTTAATTTGCTAAATTTAAAATGAAAAGAAAAACAAAAATAGAACAATTAGACTAGATCAGGATTCGGCAAACCAAAGCCTGCTTATCAAATCTGGCATACCACCTGTTTCTGTCTATACAATTGTATTGAAACTCAGCCACACTCATTCATTTGCATATTGTCCATGAAAGAAGCTTTTGCGCTGCCTCAGGAGATCTGAGTAGTGGCCACAGAGATGTTGCAGTGGACCATGTTGCAACATTGTCCAAAATACCTAAAATATTTACTTCTTGTTTTGGAGAGTTTGCTGACTGGCACCAGAGAAATCTATGGTCTAAAATCATCTAAAAATTTAAGCACATATGTGTGACCACACATTTCGAAATGCCGTCTTCCCAATCTAGAACACAGCACATGAATCAGTAGGTAAACCTATCCATGTCAATTCTCAAATTTGAAATTCATTCACTTGAAAATCCAGCAATTTTTCATGCTTCATATCATATCTGGGTTTGGAATAAAGAAGTGTGAGGGGAGAAAAATTCCCTGAGCATTTTAAATCTAATTTCACCTTTATTATGAGACTACTGAGTCTTTTCTTGAGCAAAGGAGAGAGTGTGAAATAGAATAAGGTGCTCAAAACAATAGATTAAATTTATTGAAAGGATGAGTAATTGGAGTAATGTTACAGAATATTAAGCAGATTATTTAGATAGCATATACATTTCCAGTTTGATTAAGTCAATTCACAGGCCATCAAAAAGTACACAGAAAAATAGAGGGTTTGATCCGATAGCCTTCTGCGTTAGAATGTAGTCATTTGCTCTCTTTAGCTATTTAATCTCTTCTGCATGTTCAGAGGGAGAAAATGAGTGATGAGAGAGAGAAGTAATAAGATCATACTGCAAATCCTTACATCGATAAGATAACAGAAGGCTTTTCACACTGGCTAATATTTCATGTTGTATTTACAGCTCTTGTCCATGTACAGATTTGGGGTCATTAACAGAGGTGTTGATCAGCAAAGTCTTAGAGTGAGTCTAGGGAAATGGTTGCCAAATATATCTGGGTATTGGAACCATCAACAGAGCCTGTGCCCCAGACTTACTGAATCATGGTCTCTGGTGGTGGATCCCAGGTAGTCACAGCTTTAACTGAGTGATTAGGAGATTCACTGTGCAGCCAGTTCGGGAACCACCAGTGAAATCCAACCCCTTCATTTATTAGTGTTGGAACCGTAACTTTCTGAAGATGTACCACTGTCCCAGCCACTTCACCTGTATTCCCAGCTCATTTCTCTCAGAGAAAACTGCCAAGTCCCCACAGTGGCCTTGCATGGGCCATTTGTGATGTCACCTCTCTGACCTCATCTCCTACTTTCCTTCACCCGGTTGTGTCTAGCTATTGCCATGCTCTTTCTCCAACACACCAAGCACACTCCTGCATCAGAGGCTGTGAATTTTCCATTTCCTGCTTTGTTCCTCCCCAATATTTGCATGAACCACTTTCCCACTTAATCTAATTTTCTGTTCAGAAGTCACTTTCACAGAAAAGTCTTCCTCAGCCACATGTATTTTCTTCTTGGTGCTTATTATCACCTGACATTTTATATATCTATGTTTGTTTCTTGTTTGTTTCCTACTCCATTCGGTAAGCTCTAATTGAGAACAGAAAAGCTCTGTTTATTCACTGTTGTATCCCCAACATCTATATCTAGCACATCATTGATTCTCAACAACTATTTGTAAATGAATGAATAAATGGCTCTGCTAGATTTTTGTCACCTGGATTGCCAGACCAGTGCAATAATGGAAAGCTAAGTAATGTAAAGAGCTTTGCAATCAGACAGCTCTGGCTTGCATTCTTCATGTGTGATTTTGAGCAAGTTACTGATTCTTGCTGAGCATCAGTTTTCTATGTGTAAAGTGGAGGCATGGACACTGGAGGATCATGGTGAGAATTTCATAGAGCAGGCCAATAAGACCTCCTTGGGGAAAGAAGGCTAAAGTGGGCCTCGGGTTTAGGTTTCCCCCACTGGGAGTTCCAAGGGGCTATGGAGTTGATAGGATTCCCCATTTGGGCTGCAGAGGAGCCAGAAACATGCTTTAGTTTCTTAATCCTGAAGGAGTGGGGGATTGTGTAAGCCTCATTGGTGCCCTTTTGAACCACATTTCATCAAGATATTGTGAAATGGGGAGCAGCAGGCAGCCTTCTCTGGCCAACATGTATCAGGGCCTCGTGCTTAGTGGGATGTGCCCAGAGTAGACAGGGAATCCCTGGCAGCCTTGCATAGTCCCTCTCATGCCTTTGCTTTCATGGGGCTGGCTGGAAACAGGCCGGTAAGCCCCATGGAACTACCGGGACAAATTACCAAGCAATCTCCCATGGCCATGTAGAACAGCCATGTAGAACAGGATGTCTCCCAAGGTAAGATTTAAGGTTTGTGGTTTGCAGAAAAGAGAAGGGAGGAAATAAAAAAGCACTGACAATCATTGAAAGCCCACGTTCTAGGTAACTGGCTACTCACTTTCACAGCCCAGTAACAATTTTGCTTAATCCTATACATCTATAAATAGGATTATTGTCTTCATTTTCCAGATAAGGAAACAAGACTTGGCAAATGTGTAGTGTAGTGTTTGACAGTATTATGTAGTTGTTTAGCATGCACATGAACTTGCAAGACCTTGCTCTTCCCTAATAATTCTGTCCTTTACTAATTCTGTGATCTTACAAGCTGTGCCTTATGTATTTTGTGTTCTATTTTGTAAAACCTAATGACAACAACATAATAATACCTTCTCATAGAACAATTATTGTGATAAATTAAGCTGTTGAGAGTCAGGCACTCAACCCAACAACATGCCCATAATGTGTACTCAATAAATGCTTGCTAGTATTTTTAATAATATTGTTAATAAAATAACCCAGCCAGAGGTAGAACCCAAGATTCCGACTCTAGTTGACCTGATTCTAAGCCAACTCTTCTACAGCAACACATCGGCCCATTGATTTAGACAGCATGGAACTCATAGCCCAGGGAATTCACACTCTTAAAGAACTTAAACAGCACAGCTTAATATGGTCCCTTCCAAACATACGACTCAGTAATTCCAGTAGGAGGGCTAAACAACCTATTCTGAGAGGTCTCCAGGAAAGGAAGCCTGGAGTCTTCCCTGGAAACATGTTCCCTTATCGCACCTCCCTTCTCTTCAGGATGCTGAGGACCTCTGGCTCCATGGACTTCATCCTCCCATACAATTGGTTCCCCTCACAATTAGTTTCTGGCACTGTCATCAAAGTGATCCCTCTCCAAGGACATGGAACAGGATGAAAAACAAATTGTAATTGTAAACTCGAAGTACGATCAGGGCAGGCACAGCAAAGGAGGAAGGTTACGTTGTGGGAATCAGGGGTCAACAATAAAAGCCAGCCTGCTGCCTGTCCCCACCAGGCAATTTTCTGGGCTGTTCATGTCCCCAGTTATGCCCCCAAACATTCCCATGACAGCAATGCCTAAGGAAAATAACCTCTGAAGATTGAGCCTAAAACTAGAATCATTTTTCTCTCTCATTCTAATTCATAGCAGGGAAGTGGACTGGCTCCTTAAATCCAGAAAGTATCAGACTTATCTGATCAAATCATTAGGGCAACTGTGTTTTCCCTCATCTCCAGACAGCATGGATGAGGAGAAGGAGCCAAAAGACACAGCATCTCTCTTCAAATGAATACTCAACTTCAAAGAAGAAAGTGACCACTGTTAAGGAGGTGAAGTCATAGCCTCGGCAAACCTTTGAAGCTGGGGGAGAAGATGTAAATTAAGCACCGACAAGCAGGGTATAAAAATAAAATCCTTGAAGGAAAAGCAAAACTGCTTTGCAATGGGTGTGAAAGTAAAGGAAGCTGGCCAAGGCCAGAGGAGGTAAACAGGGTTGCATGATGTAACCACACTAGGAAAAGGCAAACTAGTTGAGAAATATAGAGAAAATACATGGAAGTTGTAAATTGTCTATTTTATCTGAGAACTTATAAGAATCAAAGTGGAAACAAGGTCAATTTTCTTAATATTCAGGCCATTATAAACCCTTGTGGGGAACAGGAAACTTGCTTTTATTTGCTGTTTCTGCAATAGTGTTGTTTGGGTACACGACAGGACCATGGAACTCTATAATCTTGTATAGGGATACATGCCAAGTGCCATTCCTGATTCCTTTGTAGTTTTTTTTTTTTCTTATGTCTCCTATTAGTTGAATAATTCATTTTTTGTTTATTTATTCATTCATTCAATAAACTGCTTTTGTGCTTACAGTATACCAGACACTCTACTAGATGCTAAATAAGCAAAGATGAACATGGCCTTGTCCTTACCCTTAAAGAACCATAACTCTATATAAAAACACATTTAATTTGTAAATTAGAGGACAGGATAGTTAGTTTGTGATAGAGAAAACCAAATGGTCCCAAAGGAAGACAAAGTATAAAGTTTTGAAAACTATCACCCCAAAATTCACATCTACCTTGAAGTGCAAAATGGCAACTTGTTTGGAAATACGGTCTTTGCAGATGTAATTAGTTAAGGTCATAGCAGATTAGGATGTGTTCTAAATGCAATGACTGATATTCTTAAAAAGGAGAGAGCATGCACTCAGACACACACAGGGAAAAAATCCATGTGATGATGGAAGCAGAGACTGAAGCCAAGAAAAGACAAGGATTGACAGGAGCCACCAGAAACTAAAAAGAGGCAAGGAAGCATTTTCCCTAGAAAGGAGCATGGCTCCACTGGCACTGTAATTTCAGGTTGCTAGCCTCTAGAACTATAAAACAATAAATTTATTGGTTTTCTTAAACTACCCAATTGGTGTTACTTTGTCATAGCAGCCCTAGGAAGCTAACATACAGGTGAAGGACATTTAAAGCTATAGTAGTAAGAGAAGAGATGTCCTAAGATGTTTCTTTGGTGACATCATGTGATTTTTAATATGGATTTTGCTCTAGGGAATTATCTCTGTCACTGCCAATCAAGGTACCTTGCTCCACTCATCAAGGGGTGGCCCATATCCAAGCTGGAGCTTTTTGATTCTCTCTTTCTGCAGTTTGGATATTTATGCTGATCATAGCTCCCAGAAAAAAAAAAATAAATTGGCCGTTTTGCTTCCTTGATTCCAGGAGCTGTCCCAGCTCTTGTGCATCCTACAACTCAGTTCTTTGGCTTTTCCTTCTTTGTTTGCTTAAGTGAACCAAAGATGGCATTTATTGCTTGCAGCAAAGAAGTCTAACTGATATAGGACCCATGATTAATGTTCTGGTTCTTCTTTTACAGAGAACATGATAGTGTTCTCTAATTTCATCTTTTTTTCTATTTTTTTTGTTCTGTTGCAAGAACAAATCTGCTATATTTATGGCAACTTGTGGCAATAATGGAAGATTCTAAGATACATTTTTATAAACATGTTTTAGCCCTGGATAAAATAACACCTTAATTCATCATGGTCTCTTCATCTGGAATCCCCTTTCTTTTAACCAATTTCACATACCAAAAATTATTTTTTGACCACAGAAATGCCTTAAGGGATAAATAAATAATACAGTCATCAGAGTTTAACTAAACTGGGCTTTAACTGAGGTGCCTGCAATCAATTGTATATGGTCTAAATTTGGACTTAGCCTTCCTGAGCCATGGGCTTCCCAGGTCATATCCACCAATGGGTCATTCTTGAAATCAGAAAAGTATTATATGGCAGGTACTCAGCCCAGTACCCGACATATAGAGATGCTAAAAATATTGTTTTTCTCTCTTTCTTTCTTCTTCCAATCCTGACCCTCCAAAGGTCATCCTGACTCTTCTCAAAGCCTGTCCTTTTTTCTCAAGTGGACCTGTAGCTACAGAAAGTTGAGAATGATAATTGGATAAATGAGGACAGATGTCTCTTTAGCCCCCTTCCTCTTTAGCTTGCTGGGGTCTCCTGACTGGATTACTCTCAGCTCAAGGAACCCCTCCCTCAACCTCAAAAAGAGAAGACAAGATTCATTTTTATACAATGTTGTTTGTCAATTCAATCCAATCTCAAAGTACGTTTTGCCTTCTGAAATCTAAATGTTCACGTTTCTTTTTCCAAGGTATCTATATTCATTTAATGGGGAAAAAACAATACCTGGAGTCATTATATGTGCATCTATGTCTTTCTAAATATGCACAAGCATTTTACTTGAATATTTCCAGGTCCTGCAAGAAATTCTGAAATTGATTTTCATTTGTGTGGCTTCAGGATTCATTTCAATGGCAGCCCAAACATTCTTCCAGCAGAATGGCCATTCAGACCTGCTTAATGTTGTGAATCCATTGATATTTTTACCCTTCCAAAAGCATACACTATTGATTCTGCCTCTCTCTTAATTGCACAGAAGAAAAACTGACTTCTCATGAACACAACTTGATATCTCATTTGATATCTTCATTTTCATACCAGTGTAACTGAGTTATCAATGTTTGCTTGGACCAGACTATTAAAACAGCCACTTGGATAGTTTGGGTTTTTAAAAAGTCTGGCAAGGTATTTGCCTCATTGTTATTATTTGGAAATTTCTAGAAATATGTCATCTGTAATATCAGTGTACTGGCCCACCAACTGGGTTAGAAGTTTCTGTTTGATGTTCTTCCCCCAGGACTCCCATCCTATTCTATCTTACCTCTAGGGTGGCAATGATCACATTGTCCCAGAAAAATGACCATATAACTTTATTTTTCAAACTGGAACTTTCAAGAGTGAAAGGGAGGATGGTTATTAATTAAGCTAGGAAAAGGGAATAAACTCAGAATGTCCTAAGTAAAAATAGGTCACTCTGATTTTCACCATTAGTTCAGTGCTGTGTCTCTTCCTCTAGACATTAAGCCCCTGGCCATATTTAGCTTGTTCTCTGCTCTCTCTCTAGCATCTGACATAGTACACAGGGAAGGATCTGCACTTCAGTCATGGTCCTGTGTCATGGCAAGAACAGATAAAACAATCTCCCTCAAACTTACAACTCTTTTGTTGTAATCACTAGAATATATTATATGTTGGTATCACTCAAAGTAGCAATTGGCCAATCATCTCTTCTTTTCTGGCTAATTGCTTATCCTTCAAGACACCTGATGTCAACTGCATTGAGGTACATTCTTATATTTGTGTAGCATTCTGTCTTGATATCTTTGTGCTTGATCATGTTCTATTATAATTGTTTCTTTAATA
Organism: Homo sapiens; assembly: GCF_000001405.40. NCBI lineage: Eukaryota > Metazoa > Chordata > Mammalia > Primates > Hominidae > Homo > Homo sapiens. Next base: position 127,130,291 of record NC_000008.11, read on the forward strand.
GACAGCTGAGAACTGCTGTGAACTCCATTTCTTCTCTATACCAGTATTTAGCTCGGAGCCTGTCACAGAATAAGGAAATAGTACATAACAACTGAATGAATGTATGTGCAGATTCGTGAATGAAAAAATGAAATATCCAGATTGGACATTAGAATATTCTATCTGTCAACTGCTGTTTGGTTTGCCTGATACTGATTATTTGCCTACTTGGTAATATTTATATAGCTAGAATCATGGACCCACAGACTACTATAAACTAAGAGACAATTCCAGACATTAGTAAGACAGAAAAGTTTTCTAGTATATCATAAAATATTAAATCTGATAGTAGCACTACCAATGGCATGATATATTTAAAGGTGAACATAGAGCTAATGTTCATATAAAAATCATCCTGTGATATTTGTTGCTGCTTAACATTTTTAATTCAATTTCATGGGAGAACAAAAGAGTGATTAAGAGCTAGAAAATAGAATTCATGAGAAAAGGTTAGAGGAATTGAAATTATTTAGCCCAGAGGAAAAAAGTATATGTAGCCATTCAGTGATTCAGTGAAACCTCATTATCCAATATCAGTTTATTCAAACGATGGCATAAGTTAAACTGACAGCTATGTTTCCAATGAACAAATGACCTACCATTTCTTAAAAAATAAAAAAAAAAGATAATCAGAAACCATTTAACTTAAATATCTTTTTTTTTTCTGTCTGATCTCGTCTATTTTGGATTATAAAGGATTTATTTTACATGAAATCTTCTGGGTCACACTTTGCATGGCAGTAGAGGTAGTAGATCAGGTCAAAGTGGGTTGTGCCCCAATTTTTTTTTTTCTCTTAAGTTTCTATTTTCTAAAATGCTGTTGTGTTTTCATTCATTCAACAAGTATTTATTGAGGAACTATGCATGTCAGCGTCCATGCTAAGCACGAGGGACATAGAAGCTATGACACACAAGCTATTTGCATTATTATAAGATGTTTCAGTTAAGTTCCTCCCTTACCGAACTTAAGTGTGTTGGGAAACATTAAAAAGTCATACCCCTGACACAGTGAGATGGTATCTCACTGTGATTTTGATTTTCATTTCTCTAATGACCAGAGATGATGAGCTTTTTTTCATATGTTTGTTGGCTGCATAAATATCTTCTTTTGAGAAGTGTCTGTTCATATCATTTGCCCACTTTTTGATGGGGTTGTTTGTTTTTTTTCTTGTAAATTTGTTTAAGTTCTTTGTAGATTCTGGATAGTAGCCCTTTGTCAGATGGATAGATTGCAAGAATTTTCTCCCATTATGTAGGTTGCCTGTATACTCTGATGATAGTTTCTTTTGCTGTGCAGAAGCTCTTTAGTTTAATTAGGTCATTAAAACGTCAGGAAAAAACCGATGTTGGAAAGGATGTGGAGAAATAGGAATGCTTTTACACTGTTGGTAGGAGTGTAAATTAGTTCAGCCATTGTGGAAGACAGTGTGGCAATTCCTCAAGGATCTAGAACCAGAAATACCATTTGACCCAGCAATTCCATTACTGGGTATATACCGAAAGGATTATAAATCATTCTACTATAAAGACACATGCACAGGTATGTTTCTTGCAGCACTGTTCACAATAGCAAAGACTTTGAACCAGCCCAAATGCCCATCAGTGATAGATGGGATAAAGAAAATGTGGCAAATATACACCATGGAATACTATGCAGCCATAAAAAAGGATATGTTCATGTCATTCACAGGGACATGGATGAAGCTGGAAACCATCATCTTCAGCAAACTTACACAGGAACAGAAAACAAAACACCACATGTTCTCACTCATAAGTGGGAGCTGAAGAATGAGAACACATGGATACAGGGAGGAGAACATCACACACTGGGGCCTGTCGGAGGGTGGGGGGTTAGGGAAGGGATAGCATTAGGAGAAATACCTGATGTAGATGACAGGTTGATGGGTGCAGCAAACGACCATGGCATATGTATAACTATGTAACCTGCACGTTCTGCGCATGTATCCCAGAACTTAAAGTATAATAATAATAATAGTAAAGATATCACCCCCCAAAAAAGTCATACCCGTAGGTTAAGGCATCTCTAAAGTACACGTATTCTTATGTTGGGGGCAAGGAAGTAGCAAATTAAGCTATTATCTGTATTGTTTATGGAATTATTTTTCAGATGGGTTCCCATTGAAGAGAAAATGGGATATAGATCAAATGAGCTTTGAAGGATAAGAAAAAAGAAATGAGCTTTGAAGGATGAAAAAAGGAATTTTTTTTAAAAAGACAATCATGTTGGGAAAACTGGATATCCATGTACAGAAGAATAATAATAGACTCTTATCTAACCACTTTTACAAAAATCGACTCAAAATGGATTAACAGCTTAAATGTAACACCTGAATCTATAAAGCTACTAGAAGAAAATGTAGGGGGAAAGCTTCATTATATTGGTTTTAGGTATGACTTCAAAAGCACAGGCAGCAAAAGCAAAAATAAAGAAATGGAATTGCATCAAACTAAAAAGCTTTTGCATAGCACAAGAAACAATTACAGAGTGAAGAGATCACCCACAGATTAGGAGAAAATATTTGCAAATCATATTGCAAGTCATAACTGTTAAAGAGCTAATATCCCAATTAGACAGGGAACTCAAAACTATTCAATTACAAGGAAACAGAGAACCCAATTTTAAAAACGGGCAAAGAACCGGAATAGACATCTCTCAAAAGATGAAATACAAATGGCCAACAGCTATATGAAAAAAATCCTTAAAATTTTTAATCATAGAAATGCAAACTAAAACCATACTAAGATATCAACTATTATATTGGCTATTATCAAACTGATGAAAGATAAGTGTTGGCGAGGATGTGGAGAAAAGTGAATCCATACACACTGTTGGTGGCATTGTAAATTAGTACAGGCATTTTGGAAAATAGTATGGAGGTTCCTCAAAAAACTAAAAACAGAATTATCCATATGATCCAGCAATCCCACAACTGGATATGTACCCAAGTAAATAGAAGTCAGTATACCAAAGGAGATACCTGCACTCCCATGTTCATTGCAGCATTATTCACAATAGCCAAGATATGAAAAAAATCTGTGTCCAAAAATGAATGAATGGATTTTTAAAATGCAGTACATCTACACAATGGAATACTATTCTGCCTGAAAAAATAAAACAGGAAATTCTATCATTTACAACAGTCACACTTGAAGGATATTACGTTAAGTGAAATAAGCCAGGCACACTTACATGTGGAAGCTAAAAAAACGGGACTCATAGAAGTAGAGAGTAGAACTGTGGTTATCAGAGGCAGGTGGGGGCTAGGAGGGTAGTGTATGGGGAGATGATGGTCAGCAGGAGATGTTGGTCAACAGGTCCAAAGTTACAATGTTAGGTTTGTGCAACAGTAATTGCATTTTTGCCATTAAAAGTAATGACAAAACGCATTTATCCACTTGCTTCAAATCATAATTGCTAGGAGGAATAAGTTCTAGAGTTCTATTGCAATGCGAGATGACTATAATTAATAATAATGTATATTTCAAAATAGCTAAGAGATATGACTTTCGATGTTCTCACCCTAAAGAAATGATTAATCTTTGAGATGGTGAATATGCTAATTACCTTGATTTATCTTGCTATCTTGCAGTGCTTACATGCGTCAAAAATCACATTGTACTTTATAAATATATAGTTGTCAACTAAAAATTAATTTTTAAAAATATTATTAAAAATAAAGGTTATTAAAAATAAATATTTTATTATATAAAATGTTATTTTAAGAATTTAGTATTAAATTCTTAAAATTTAAATTTCTAATTTAGGATTAAAAAAGTTAGAGCTATAAAGTTCATAATATTAAGCTGAGAAATATAAAATTCACAGAAGTCAGTTGACAAGTTAACACAATAAGTTAGTAATTACTGTGACTATACTTCCGGTCTCAGATATCTTACTATCTAGTACTCTTTTCTTCTTCCAAATTAGTATTTGCATTTATTTACTAATAGTAACTATTTGTATATGGTTGTGAATAACAGAACCCAACTATGATGGCTTAAGCACATAATATTTATCCACCTACATCAAATCCACAGCTAAGCAGTCCATAGCTGCTATAACAGTGCCACAAAGTCATCAGAGACCTAGACTCCTGTCATTATGCTTTACCCTTTTTGTTATGTAGCTGTAATCTTTTTTTTTTTTTTTTTTTTGAGACGGAGTTTCGCTCTGTCGCCCAGGCTGGAGTGCAGTGGCGTGATCTCGGCTCATTGCAAGCTCCGCCTCCCGGGTTCACGCTATTCTCCTGCCTCAGCCTCCTGAGTAGCTGGGACTACAGGCGCCTGCCAACACGCCCGGCTAATTTTTTGTATTTTTAGTAGAGACGGGGTTTCACCGCATTAGCCAGAATGGTCTCGATCTCCTGACCTCGTGATCTGCCCGCCTCGGCCTCACAAAGTGCTGGGATTACAGGCGTGAGCCACCGCGCCTGGCCTATGTAGCTATACTGTTTAAGGCTACAAGAAGGCTGCTTGACATATATTTAGTTTTGTTGCTAAGTGAAAAAAAAAATATTGGGTAGGCAACTTGTTATCTTTACCACATCGTTGTTAAGAGACAATTTTCTATGGGTCTCCAGAATTTCTGCACATCTTGTAGACAGAGGCACTGCCTCTCTTTGTTCCGAAGTGATTTTCCAAGGTTGTGTATAAGCCTTGGAAGCTAGAGATCATGTGTCCCTTCAAAGCAGAGAGAAGTTTCTTTACTGTCCAATATAATAAAGGTAATGTCTGTCTCTCTGGGGCGAAGATTAGGCATGAGCACTGCCAGTTATAAAAGATTCAAATTTGCTAAACTCAGTATTTCTTTCCTGTAACACGATGCATCATGTGTGCAGGCATCACATGGCCCTATTCATGTCACCCTATGGGAATTGAGGCCCAGGGACTGGCTTGAGAAAATGAAGTTACTGGTTACTGTTATTGTTGTAAGTAACCAGATGTCTTTTGTCTCTGACTCTGAAATATCATGCCATGTGCCGATACCTATGACACTGCAGCAGGCTACCTTGTTAGCTTGCAAGTAAGTTTCAGACCCTTCACAGTTCTTGACAGTCATCCATAACTCGCTTTGTATGCTATAATATCTAAGGTGTCTAACTCCAAGGTGTCTAGAACAGAGTAGGTGACTAATACATACTTAAATAAATAGAGAGTCCCAAAAGGCATTTTAATGAGTCAGACCAGTTGACATAAAGTCCCAGATGATACCACTGAGGAGCCTTATTACCTTCCACAAAATCACTTACCCTCTCTAACCTCAGCTTCTTAAATTAGTAGTCTGCATTTTCTCCTTCCCCTTGCTCAACTGTTGTTTATTTCCTAACTTACTGCTAATTGGCTATGGGCCTCATCCCTTCAGAGAAACTGTTCTTCCAGGGTCTCTAGTGACCCACTAACTGGCACAGCCTGCTGACCCTTTCCACTCTGTATCTCACTCCCTGCTGTTCTGTTAACATTTAACTCCTTAAAACTCTTTCTTTTCTTGCCTTCCATGAAACTTTTCTCTCCTGGTTTCTCTTATATCTCCAGGAAACTATTTATCCGTCTCTTCTTCCATTATTTACTCTTAAACATTGATATGCCATAAATGCCCACCCTCCCTCCAGCCCTCTTCTCACTCTGTAGAATAAAGTTTATACCTTTTTTTTAAAAGAAAAAATTGGTTTTGCTTACCATGTTTGTGCTTATAACTTTTGAATTTCTATCTCCAGTCCAGATTTTTCTCCTAAGCTTCAAATCTATATTTTTAACCCCCAATTCGTTACCTCTACCTGGATGTGTTATTGGAATTTCAAATGAAAACATGTTTGAAGTTACACTTATTATTTATTTTCGCACCTCCCAAACTGGTAGAGCTGGCATCCCTTTCTCAGTGAATGGTATCACCATTCATGATTTTTTTTTTTTATTTTATAAACCTATCGACTCTAAGGCCAATAACATTCCCATCCAGTACTATGGCTGTCTCATCAATACTTCTCAAAACCCTTGTCTTTCTTCCCACTGCCTCCCCATTAATTTAGGCCCTCACTATCTATTACGCTGGCCCCATGTTCAAACCGTGTCTCCAGAATCTGTCTTACTGGATCATAAAAGCCCCCAGAATAAACTTTCAGAACCAAACTCACATAATGCTGCTGCCCTGATTAAAATCTTTCTTTGGCTTTTCTCGGTCAGAAGAATGGGAGAAAGTTCAAACTCTTTAGTATGATACACACAACCCTCCTTAATCTGACAGTTCCTGCCTCTTCAGCTTCACTTCCTATTTCTCTCCATCTCACAGCCTGTGCCCCAGCCATAATAAACCACTCACATTTTCCAGCACGTGCCCTGTTAATATAGACCTTGCACCGCTAAATAGACTGATTCTTCTACCTGCTATTTGACATCACCCCCAAATCCAGTCTAGGGAATCTTTCATCCTTCAAAAGCTATAGCTTAACTTTTTCTAGCCCTGGGAAGTTTACCCTTAACTATCAAACCCCTCACTCTTAAGACTGGTGGATTACTGCCTACCTGGTGCTTCTCTCTACCTTGAAGGATTTTTTTTTTTATCACATTTATCATTGCTGTACCATACTAACTCGTTAACATACCTGAAACCACTAATAAAAGTTGTCTTATTTATCGTTATATGTCCAACACAGAGCACAAATCCAGACGCAGAGTGGAGGCTCGGTAAAATTATTTAAAGAGTAAGAAAGCTGGAGAATTTGAGTAATACCAGTAAAAAGGCAGTTACTGAAGTGGAATGAAAGGAAGAAAGCACAGAATTTACCTTTTTCATAGTTTGCCTTAAGTAAACTCTGGAATGTTCTTAGGCAATGATCACCCTCCTGGGCCCCAAAATGAGAAATCAAGTTCACCAGGAAGTAGCCAATTGGGAATGGCACATACAAGGACAGTGTCCTTCACCTCCCAGTCGGTCCAAAGATAAGCCAGTGGGGAAAAGGGCAGCTACAGGGCAATGGTTTGTCTTGAACTACAAACCTAAAGAACAAACTATGACCATTGGGAAACTTTCTAGTTAAGGAGCACACAGTCTGGCCCAGACTGAGTTTGCCAGATTAGGAGAGAGAGAGCACTGGGCAGGAGTAAAGGTCAGAAGGCTTGGGTGCAGGTGCCTCTGCTAACCTCACCACTCCTGGGTCCTTGGACAGTTTCTTTCACTTCTCTAAACCTCTGTGTCCCCATATGCAAAATGGAAATGCAAAATACACATTTTACCGAATTCATGAGTTTGTTAAGAGAATTAAAAAAGAGAATGTGTATGGAATGTTTTCACAGTGCCCAGAACAGGGTAAGTGCTCAGTAAATGTTAATTATTGTTTGTAATGAAATACAGAAAACACTCAAGTAGGACTCAGCTCTGTTCCAGCTATTCTTCAAGAGGTGTGACGACCAAAATGTGTGTAAAATTATTAATTATTTGGCTCAAACACCTTTCCTCTTCAATGTGTAGTGGAGTTCCTTTATAGATTTATTACAAAAAAAATAAGTTTAAACAACTAAATACACCCTGTGGAATGAAAATCAAAAATAGTTACTCTGGTATTAAATAGCTACTGTAGCATTAATTGCTAAAGAAATTACATAGAGAACAACACACAGGCATAATGTACCATAGCAATACCGTTAAATTCCAGGCCCTCCTTCATGAAATGTCTCTTTTCTGGCCTCCCTTTTAATCTTCCTACTTTCTTCATGCACATCCTAAAAGTCCACTCCTGTCTTCTATACCCCCAACACTTTCATCTCAGATTGTTTATACTCATGTAGTTGCTTCTTTTATTACTAGTTTTTTTCTAACTGCAATGAACTCTCGGTTTTTTTTTTTTTTTTTTTGTAATCATTTTCTTAGAGTTTGCACTTTAGGTGCAGTTTTTATTAATTTTATTATAAATATTCACTTGCCTAATTGCTATTCCCACTGGGGTATTCCACAGAGAACTTAAATTTCACAAGTCTCAATTTCAACTCATTTTCTTCTTCTTAATGCAAATTCTTCTCCTATGACTTCTAATGGCAAACACAAACCTCATACCCAGGATAGTACACACCAAAGCCAGATTATTTGAATTTAACTCCCAGATCTAATAGTCAGTTGCTGTGTGACCTGGAATAAATTATTAACCCTCTGTGCCTCCTTCTTCTCATCTGATATTGATATTACTTAACTCATAGGGTCTTTATGAGGGTTAAATGAATTATCACGTGTAAACACTCAGAATAGCTCCAAAAACATGGCAATTGTTACATATGCAAGTAGCAACTCACCAAGAAAAACTAATCTGAAAGCCATCTCTGAACTCCTACTTCCATTTAGTCACTTTTTTTTTTTTTTTGGAGAGAGTCTTGCTCTGTCGCCCGCACTGGAGTGCAGTGGTGTGATCTTGGCTCACTGCAACCTCCATCTCCCAGGTTCAAGTGATTCTCCTGCCTCAGCCTCCCGAGTAACTGGGGTTACAGGTGTGCACCACCACGCCTGGCTAATTTTTGTATTTTTAGTAGAGACAGGGCTTCACCATATTGGCCAGGCTGGTCTTGAACTCCTGACCTCAAGTGATCTGCCTGCTTCAGCCTTCCAAAGTGCTGGGATTACAGGCATGAGCCACCATGCCTAGCCACTTCTTTTCTAAATATTTTAAATAGATCCATATCAGGATATCTCTACTTTCATTACCATTGTTTAAACCCAATCTTCTTTAACCTAAATAGTGTAACAGGCTCTGAAATGGTTCACTCATTTGTTCATCCATCATGTAACAGGTAAATATTCACTTCTTACTTTTAACCTGACGGTGGGAAGTATTAATGTATGGGATAGTCATGCTCTCCTCCTTCTGGTCTTGCTTCCCCTAATCCAGAATAATCAGACAGTGCCATTGCCCCATGATCCCCAATGCCTTCATGTCAAAGTCAAAACATTTACTGTGCCATGATCTGACCCTTATTTACCACTCCATCCTCTCTGCTTTCCATTCCTTGTTTGAATCTCAGCTGTAAGCACTCGTCTCCTTGCTTTGTAGAGAAGGAGCCATGTTGCTACTTTCCTCTGGGACTTTGCACCTGTCATTTACTCTGATTTCCTCCCAAGTCCACCCTATCCACACACTTTTGAGGAGCTAGTTCCTATTGGCGGTTTCAGCAAGACGTCTTCCCTGGTTCCCAGACCTATGTTCTGATAACATGTAGAACTCAGTCCTATCATGACACAAAATTGCATTGAGTTGAGTTTTCTGGTTTATTCATCTGCCCGGCATACTGTAAGGGGTATTTGTTAAGGAAATTCTAACCAAAGGAACAAATAAACTCTGAAACTTCAGTGGCTTAATATAGGTTTTATATATATGTATATACAAAATGTATAGATTATATATTTTATATATGTACAGTATGTAATATTTTAGAAATAATACACTATACAAAAATAGGTTATATACATATTCTATAGTAATATATTAACATATTTATATATTATATATGAGATATACATCTAGAATATATGTTATATATTTATAGATTGTATATTATACATAAAATGGTAGAATATTTTTATAAAATAGAAAATATATAATCATATATAATATATATTTATATATTATATATTATATTTACACATAATATATAAATACATTTATAAATAATATATTTATATATTATTATATTTATATATTATATATAAATATTATATATTTCCTCGATTCATTTATTATAATATGTACATGTGCATGTCCCTTTAAGAGAAGAGAGGTATTTCTGGAAAGGAGTTGTCCAAGCAGAGATGACTTTTCCTAGCCTCCCTGATAATCATATGGAGTCAGGGACTGTGTCTTGCTTATTGTTTGTTTTCTCTGCCTAACATAGTACACAGCTCAGAGGATGTTCTCAATAAATAAGTATGAGATAAATTGATACTTTACCTCTCTGGTTGCAGCTTGTCTTTTTGCTAATTACACAGATATGGGAAGGTTGTAGGATTCAAATAAATTTTACAATAAGCTGTTTCCTTTTTAAACTTAGAGAGCATCTCTCAAGTCTAGGGGCATGTCACTTTTCCATCAGCTTCCCTGCTATGAACACTTTGTGAATCATCCTAAATTACATCAAAAGAAAAGACATCATGTTCTCTTCTGCTTGGTGATACAAGAGGGCTTTTCCACTGGAAAAAATACTAAATTTTCTATTTCCTGTGTGTTACCAGCAAAAACTTTTTTCACAAGCTGCTGCTTTCTGGGTTAGAGTGAATAAGTAACTAACCAATTAGCTCGTTCATTTCCAATTCAAGGACATCAACAATCCTCTCATCTATTGGTGGCAAATTCTTGTCCTATGTGATGTCAACACTTTAATCTGTCTATGGCAAGCATTACTAATTATTCATACTTACCTTTTAGCCCTGTCTGTGGCTTCAGAATAATTTCCAACGCAACCATCCAAATTTTGACCCACAGCGTGTTACATTTGGCATTGCGGTGACTCAGTTCCTCATCTTTAGTGTACTCCTTCATCGTTTTTGCAGATATAAAGAAGTTAAAGGAAAGGAAGGTAAAGTAACTACAAAGAACATGCAAGATGTTGGTAGCAAAGCAAAACGCAAAATTTTGGGATTCTGATCCTCAGCCACTATTTTTTTTTTAACCACTTGGAAATAGACATCTAAAGCAGAAAGAAATGTTCCAGAAGCCTTGGTGTGTGGGGGGTGAGTGGATGTGGCTGTATGCCCTAAAGACAAATTTTAAGTCTCACAACTTGGCTGCGGGCAAGCTCTGGTGTTTAGCAAGGTCTTGTATTTTGGGTTTACAAGATGCTCATTTGTTTCTCAATGGTTCCAGCTTGTCCTTTCACCTGGAATGTTGTCAGGAACCTGGGGCCTAGAAACAGCTGATAAAGATAAGCTTTGAGCCACTGAGTGTCCTTGGGCAAGTTGGCATGCTGCTCCGGGCCTCAGTTGCCTGCTCGACAAAATATGGTATTGGGTTTTTGAGGTAAATTTAGATTAACTTGTGTGAAGCACTGAATCCAATATATGGTGTCTTTAGGTCCAACCTCAGGTCTCCCTACATGTTGTCAGAAAAAGACATTTGAGCATTTTAAGAGTGAAATCAAAAGTGCACTACCAAGGTTTCTAACAGCCCAGTTCTGTCCTGGCTTTTCTTCCTGCAACTGTTTTCAGCTTGGGTGAGTCACTTTTCTCTCTGGACCTCCATTTTCTCACCTGTAAAGTAAGGAGATTGGAAAATGATCTTAAGGCCCTTTCATCTTTGAATATCTATGATTCTGTGCCTCTCTGTATCTGAGTCCCCAGAATTCTTTTTCTTGGAATATCTCCCTCAGTTGAGAGAAAATTATAAGAAGGGCTGCTTCCCAGGTTTATTTTGGGTGCAGTGGCCAGTCTCCCTTGAACTTGGCATTTGTAACTAATCTCTATAAGCAAAGTGTGCTCCAATTATGACTTCACCCTACTGGCCCAGCAGAGCTATTGGGTGCTGCCAGTAGGGATAAAGGAGTGTTCCAGCCATGAGGCAACTATTTTGTTACAATTAATGGACATGGGGTTGAGAGACATGTCCCTCAGGCATTCTCTTGTGCCACCTTGAAGAGGTCATCCTAGGTAAAAGTTCTCTGAAGAGAAATATTGGCAGATACATATGGCAAAACACAGCCTCCAACTCCAGTCAAACCACCACCACAAGCACAGTGAAAAGCAGAAAAGAACTGTTGGGTGTAGTAGGGTGGAGGTGAAGACCTTGGTCCTGCCTTTATGAAGCATACATCACTTCGCACCAAGCATCACGCTTGGTGCTGGACACAAAGAGATGATGAAGATGCAAAATGTGGTCCCTGTTTTTAAGGAGATCACAGTTTTCTCAGGCAGTCTTACAGTAACTATGGCAGTCAAGATATTAATAATAATATATATCTTGGACATTCACCTAGAGATTAAAATGATGATTCTAGCAAGATAAGTCATCAGGTAATTTAGATTATAGGTGGGAATAATGAATCTTTCAGAATTACTAAGTGGGGCCTTCCATAGAAGAGTATAATTCAAGACACATTGGTTTCACCAGTGGTGACCTCCCCTCAAAGTCAGATACAGGGGAGCAGACTTAATATTGTTGGAGGAAAAGAGAGTCAAAACCTACCAGAAGGAGCATCACAAGGGAGACAAAGAATTGAATTGTTTCTGAGTTGGTAATGTGAAAGTTGCTAGAAATAATCCTTGCTCAGGTGCTCTGGGACTAGTTTATGTGCCAGCTGTGTGCACAAAGTGAAAGGCTTAATTGCTAGAACTGTATTACTTTTGGCTCTAGTCTGCTGGACCTTCCATCTCCCAAACTGTAGCTCCCTGGAGCTTTCTGGAAGTGCTTTTGTATTCCTGGACTTACCTATAGCATACTTTTAAAGGCAAGGGAAGCTTCTTAACTCCTCTTAAATCAGCTAAGCTATGCTGGGGTAGTAATAAACACCTATATCTCAGGGACTTAACACAGATTTCTCACCCACATCACAGTCCAGTGAGGGCTTCTCTCCATCCTAAAACTTTCCCCCTGGAACTCAAGTCTCTCTATGTTGCCTTGAAAGGGAAAAGAGAGCCGCAGGGTCAGGATTTAAGGACCATGCCTAGAATGGCTTACATAATTTCCACCCACATTGCATTGTCCCAAATTCAGTCATATGATCCCAACTTATTGTCACCAAAATGCTAGGGATTTGGTCTAGGCCCTGCTGCTCACAGCACAGAATGCCAATCAAAGAGACAATGAGTATTGCCATGGAAGAAGGCTTTAATTGGATGCTGCAGCTGAGGAGTTAGGAGATCAGTCTCAAATTTGTCTTTCAAATTAGCTAAAATTAGGGGTTTACATAGCAGGGAAGAAATGTAACCATGTATAAGAAAACAGGAATTAGGGAGGGGTAAGGAAGAGAAGTTGGTTGACAGGAAGTAGGTGGAAAGTTAGGCAATCCTCATGGGTGAGGGGTCTGGCATCTCTTTGTCCAGATGCAGTGATCTGGTAAGTTTCACCTCCTTGATACTGTCTGGGAGGTGTGATGGTTGGTTTCCTGAGAAAGAAACTGAGATAAGACAAATGTAACTTTCTTGAGTTTCAAGACTGGGGGGATCAATTTGTATGTTTATTCAATAGAAATAATAGACATTAGTTCTGTAGAAAACTTGGACCAGTTTCAGTCTCCCCTTTCTATTTTCAGTTCCTCGATCATGGGAAATTTGGTCATTGATCTTTCTGGCTGCTTCATGCTGAGGAGGGGCATTACAAGCAGCTCCATACTAAGGGTGATGAATCAAATGTTAATCTAATACTGCAGTCTCCTTCTATGACACAATCTTTCTCTCTCTAGTCTCCCACTTCCACCAAAGACAAATCATAGCAGGACCAACCTACCTGCAAAATTAGCTTCAGTCCCATATACTTGGCCCGATTACCCACAGAAAGTACAGCAAGCATCATCATCCACATAGGGTCTCCAAAATTGGCTTTCCTGGAACCATTCACAAGGCCATTTCAGTCAAAGCCCTGGGAAAATAACCAGTTCCTCCAACTGTGTCTCATTGTAAAAGAAAACAGATTATTATTGAACTTATGTAAGCAACCATATTGCCATAAATTAAGAATATTCACAAATAGTTTACAAATTCTACAGAAATCAGGCAGAGAGAGAAATGTGCTTCAAATTCTATTGACAAGAGTACACTCTACTCAATTGCTAAAGGTTGTAAACAGCTCAAAAGAAAAAGTGTTCTCCAGACTCTGAAAAACAAAACAAAAAGAATCAGCAATGTTTCAAAGAACCAAAAAAAAAAAAAAAAAAAAACCATAAAAATTATTTCTGTCCTCCATTAGCTCAGTCCATGCAATCAACTCCCACTCTGCTTCATATTGGGTTAGTAATCTTTAAGAACACATCAGCTTTTCAATTAATATCCTGGAAGTTTTCTCTCTAGCCCAATGGCAAAATCTCCAAAGTTATCAGAAACCTGCATTCAAGGATTCTTTTAATGAATTCCCCAAAAGAAGCAAGTTCCAGACTGTAGCTGATGATAAGCCTGTTTTTAAAAACAATTGAAGCAAAATAATTATGGATGAGAAAAGTCTCAACAGACACAATTGACAAGAAAATTTGGTTATTTCTGTGACATACAAAAATTTAACATAATCGTAATTATTACTGATAACGTATATTAAGACATCAGAATTTTAGGAATCTCATGCATTAATGTTAAAGCTAATTTTAACAAAACCTTATAAACAAATCTAATTTGAATCAGTTTGATCATAAGGTAAGAAGTCTTTTATAACCTTTTACAATGTTTTTTATTAAAGATAAAATCATTGCTCTAAGAAAACTGTGTTATTCCATCACAATGGCCCAGATACTGGTATTGCATCAGTGTGCTTTTGATATTAACATTTAATTTATAGAAAACCTTGAACTAATTTGTCCCTTAAAATTAGCCCTTAAAATCTCACATGCGCCCACATCTTCCACAATAGTTCCTGGGCCTACAGGGATTGAATAGTTTCAATTTCTAGCCCTGTGTCTCGGGCAAGTTGTTCATTTTGATTGTCACCTTCTCCTGGGTCTGAAAACAAGGCTTTGACTACTGTCAATGTTCAAGATTTGGCATGAGTCTGTGCCTTTTTTAGACCCAAGAGTCAAAGTCCTAACTTAACAGTACAAGGACTAGTTAATAGGACATTTATATTATAGAAAGTCCTGTCATTCTCCCTCACATGTCACAAATTAAAGCACTGTGAATTGGTGTCTAGTAGTTAATGCCTGCAGCACTTTAAATCACTGTATTAAAGTGGCTAGATTATTCCTTGCATATATCTAATTTCTAACATTGTAGTGACAGAACTGTGACCCAAAGCATCAAAAATGTGATAGGTCCAATGCCAAACTTATCCAAGTAAGACAATTAACTTTATTCTCCATCATTTAAGAAAATGGTAAATGCAAATATCGGTTTTGGAAATTCAATATGAAGATAAATAATCTCTTTTTGCTTAAATACTATACAGTGAAACAGGGACAAAGTAAAAACAAGCACAGAATATTTTTTTCTGCTATTTTAAAAGAGCATCATCATACATTTCCAAGACTGGTTTCTAGATACGGTACTGACAACTATTAGGTAGATTTCAACTCCAGAATCTTCAAAACAGAATAATACTAGAATATATTTTGTTTTCAAGTACACACATTAAGGCCTAATAGTGATAACAGATTTGGAATAAAAAAGAATCACTAGAAAGCCTGACATTTTTACTACTACTTAATCCAAGTGAATGTCACTTAGTTTTGATAGTGGTAAATACAACTAACATAGTCTGAGAGAAATCCCAGTCAATATAATTTCTTTTAAGGACAAAGCTAGTCTTTCCTGAACATTAAAACTTTGTACCCCTATCACAATTTTTCCTCATTACCTAAAGAAAAAGATCTGAAACCGATTCAAATTATTGATTGAATTGAATTTCCTTAGGGAAAAAAACTGTCTAAACATTTCTTCTCTTACCTGCTTTTCCAGATAAATAAGTAATCTACTATTTCTGCTCAGAACTTATTTAAAGAAACAAGGTTTTTTGTTTTTTAGGGGTTCTTTTTTGACCCATAGCTTAAAGCTCTTGTAGCTCTCTAGATCATCAGAGTCAGCAAAACCAATCAAATTTTTAATGGCTGGTGTCCCCTATCCATTTTTGCAGGCCTGACAAAGATAGCTTAAGAACTTTAGATAAATAGAGCAAATAATGAATTGTTGGAAATGCATAGGAAACAAAATGACTATTCATAGAAGAAAATACAAGCCTTCCATTAAAAACTAAAACTATCAATGGTTTTTTATATGTGTATATACCAGTAAAACCCAAAGGAGAACAAATAGCAAATAATTAAAAATTAAAAGCAAAAACAAACTGGAAACCAACCCCCAATTTTTCACCTACTCAGTTTACTTTGAAGGTTACAGTATAATCCAGAGCCTAAAACAAACATATGTTGGATATTTTGTTCCTATTATACAAATTAATGTCTCTAAGTCCAGCAACATCACTATACCTTCTGTGCAATTAAGAAATTTACTTCAAGCACGTGACCAGTAAGTACTTTAGTGCTAGTACTGTCTATGCAGAATAGCAAATACAGTGTGAAACAAAGCAATGCAAGCCTGTATGTAAAATTTGGCTCCATGCTAAATCTGGATTCATGCTTAAGTATGTTAAAAAAAAAAAAAGAAAAGAATTGCCAAGCTGCCAATATATTTCTTTACAGTATTTCTTAATTTACCTTCATCAATACTAAGATCTTTAGCTATGAGCAATGTTAATTAGCCAAATGTCTCCAATTTTCTATCAGATTTTAAAGAGTATTTTACTACTTATTTACACAAACCATTCAACATGCTTGGACTTCGTTTTTGTCCTAGATTTTCTTTCTTTCTTTGTTTTTTTTTTTTTTAAAATGACCAATTATTTTATTTTAGGACAAAAGTTTACCATGGTCCATAATTTGTATCAACCTTTACATAACTTATGAATTAGACAAAATAATTTGTTTTTCTCTGTAAAAACACATCTTCTCTCACACATTTTATATACAGAATAATATATTAATTGCCATTCTGATTCTTAGTAACTTTAAATTTTAGTGAAAACCTAGGAAGTAAGACATTCTGAACTAGCTGTCAGATATTAACATTTCAGAGATGAGAACATTCCACAATTTTAAAAAACATGCTTCCCAACGTCATAACCCTTTCTTTCTCTCCTTTCTCTTTCTTTCTTTTCCTTCCTTCCTTCCTTCCTTTCTTTCTTTCTTTCTTTCTTTCTTTCTTTCTTTCTTTGTCCCTCCCTCCCTCCCCCCCCTTCTTTCTTTCTTTTCTTTTTTTCTTTTCTTTTTTTTTGACGGAGTTTTGCTCTTGTCACTCAGGCTGGAATGCAATGGCATGGTCTTGGCTCACTGCAACCTCCGCCTCCTGGGTTCAAGTGATTTTCCTGCCTCAGCCTTCCAAGAAACTGGGATTACAGGTGCCTGCCACCGTGCCCAGCTAATTTTTGTATTTTTAGCAGAGATGGGGTTTCACCATGTTGGCCAGGCTGGTCTTGAACTCCGGATCTCAGGTGATCTGCCTGCCTTGGCCTCCCAAAGTGCTGAGATTACAGGCCTGAGCCACCACATCCGGCCCCATAATCCTTTCTTAATTGGAAGTGACCCAGATGGCCAAAAAGCATCTATTATTCAATCCTAAATAACTTCAAGATTTCAAATTACATTAAAAAGTGCAGCTACAAGCATTTATCCCATTTACATGTACATGATTCTTTCATTTTTTCAAACGATTTATCTAGATTACTTCTGAAAACTGAAATATTAGACAAAGCTAATCATCATTTCAAGTTATTTCCTTGTTAACCTTTTTTATAGCCTGCGAAGATCAGATGTTCACCTAAGTAAGAACACTTTTAAAGTTAAATACATGGGTATTGTGTCAATAATTCAGAAAATTCAGCTATTTTCATTAAACTAACATTGAATTAGTCTTACTTATTGAAAAAAGTCACACAAACAAAGACTATTTAGTTTTGGCTGGGTATATTGTTTTATAACCTTTTATGCTAAACCCCGACACCCCAAAATATCTAGCAGAGACAAATATAAAACCCAGACAAAAAGGTATGCTGGCAATTCCAAAGACATTTCTATTTTTACCTTACCAATAATTTTAAAGCTAGTTTTTAAAATTAACAATTTACTTAATCAAGTGAATTTAAAAAATTCTTGAACTTATTTACTTAATTTACAAGCATTCTTTTGCTTATAAGCAAAGTTGGTAGACACAACATATAATAAATGTACATACACATAAACACATCTAAATATGTATACACACACAGACACAAAGATCCAATAGCATTTACCTCAAAACTTTAGCTATGAAATAGCAATAGAAACTCACCAGTTTACAAACAGGTTCACATGGCTAAACTATTTTTGCCCCAATACATAATCAAATGAAGGCTGTGAACCAAAATTTGGGGTAGAGCAGTTCTCATGGCAGTTTGCTTTTTAAAGGCCATACCTTCCCAGATGCCAAAGAGCACTAGGTCCAGATAGCACCACAGAAAAACATCATCTATAACCTACTAATCAGGCCCAACCCTGCTTAGAACAGCAGCGTAGGAGTCTGACTACATGGAATTTCATCTTGCCTTCTCATTCAACAGCAAACTCCAGATCCCAAAGAATACTGGGGCCAGGCCAAGTGCAGTGGCTAACACCTGCAATCTCAGCACTTTGAGAGGCTGATGTGGGAGGACCACTTGAGTCCAAGAGTTAGAGACCAGCCTGGGCAACATGATGGGAACTTATCTCTCCAAAAATTAAAAAAAAAAAAAGCTAGGCATGATGGCATGTACCTTTACTCCTAGCTACTTGGGAGGCTGAGCTGGGAGGATCCCTTGAGCCCAGCAGTTCCAGGCTACAGTGAGCCATGATGACACTATTGCACTCCAGCCTGGGCAACAGCGTAAGATCCTGTCTTAAAAAAAAAATGGAATATTGAAGTCAAACAGCATTACAGAAGAATATCAGTTATATCAGTTTATCAAACTCTAATTTCCCATGACTATATCAACACACACAACCACAAAAATATAAACCAACTGCTGTAACAACAAGCTCTAAGAGTATCCAAACTGAGGCAGTCAGGGTGCTTCCCTCTCTCAGTTGGGCTTGTTCAACCTATAAATGGAAATTCTTTAAAAAATTTCCCAGCCAGGTGTGGTAGCTCATGCCTGTAATGCCAGCACTTTGGGAGGCCGAGGCAGGGGGATCACGAGGTCAGGAGATCGAGACCATCCTGGCTAACACGGTGAAACCCCGTTTCTACTAAAAATACAAAAAAATTAGCCGGGCATGGTGGCAGGCTCCTGTAGTCCCAGCTACTCAGGAGGCTGAGGCAGGAGAATGGAGTGAACCCGGGAGGCGGAGCTTGCAGTGAGCCGAGATCACGCCATTGCACTGTAGCCTGGGCAACAGAGCCAGACTCTGTCTCAAAAAAAAAAAAAAAAAAATTCCCAAATTGAGAGAAGCAGATACCGTCTAGGCCCACAAAGGACACTTTTACCTATCCAGATGCAGATGTCTAATTTCTAAGGCTGTTTTTCCTAGGTAATCAGGAACATGGTTGGGGCCAGCAGTGGTGGGGCTGGACAGAGAGAGAAACTGAGACTCACCTCTGGCCAAAAAAGGGTCTGGCACCTGCTTAGGAGGGCTTCCAAAACTTTTTCAGCCTGTGGAAACAAACCCACAAGCAATGTGTTACTGGTCAGGGAACTAAAATCTGTTACCTAAATGCCAGGGGTTTATTCTAGGTTCTGCTGCTTGCAGCGCAGAAAGCCGGTCACTGAGACAGTGAAGATAGCCAGAGAAGGCTTTAATCAGGTGCTACAGCCAAGGAGATGACAGATAAGTTTCAAATCCATCTCCCCAAGCAACCAAAATTAGGGGTTTATATAGTAGGAAAGAAATGTACCCATGTATAGGAAAATAGAAACTAGGGAGGGGCAAGAAAGAGAAGTTGGTCAACAGGAAGCAGGTGGTTGGTTACGCAATCATGATGGGTGAGGGGGTCTTATGTTTCATTGTCAAGATGCAGTGATCTGCTAAGTTTCAGCTCCTTGATACTATCTGGAAGGCCTGATGGTTGTTTTCCTGAGAAAGGAACTCAGATAAGACAAACATAACTTTCTTGAGTTTTAAGACTGGAGCATCAATTTCTATGTTTATCCCAAAGAAACCATACACGTTAGTTCTATGAGACAACTGGGACAATTTCATAACCTGCATTAGAGGTTGGGAAATGTCTTCCCATATTTCCAAGATAAGAAAATGGTGCGGGTGCCAAAAGGCATTTGTCCCAGCCATACTCCCCTGTAATGTACACTTTTCTCAAACATTTTCCAAATTCACTGCTACAATGCTCTGAACCCTATTTTCTGCAGATGCAACTTTAACACTGTATATTCCCGATCTGATATGAAACAAACAACAGCACCACATTTTCCCTGGATATTGTTTTGCCAAGGCTTTGATCGCCACTGCAATGTGCCAGTAAGGCAAGAGGAAAATGAGAGATCTTTGAGTTCAATGATCTTGTCTAATTAAGCTGGAGCTCTTCCTTGGAACCCCAAGCCATCATGTTTGTGGTCAGCATTGGAGCTGTGAACATCCTTGCAACTGGTGTTTGGCACAACCTACTTTGATCAGCTTCTGTTCATCCACCAGCATTCCTATGCCATAGAGAGTCAATGAGGTAAGACTAAGCCAGATGGACCACCTACAAATCACCTGGAGACCTCTGAATCCATAGCAAAGAAATTAAGACAAAGTTGAGGAAATCTGAACTGCTGGTTCTCCAGCTACTGTAGTCAAATGAAGAGGACACAGAAGCCCTGAATTTTTGAATTCTTAGGATGAAAAGGGACACATTGGTTGTATGACTAACTTTATAGGGAAAGACCTTCAATACTTATAATGTGAACTCAATAAATAGTAATGTAGCAAAGAGAAGTTTCCATGGGGAAAATAACATGTAAAGTCAAAACTTAAAAAAAAAAAAAAGTAAGATTTTTCCAAGTTGCATTTCAGAAGAGGGAGGAGAAAAAGCAAAGGAACATGAAACGATGAAAAACAAACTATAACATATTCCTCACCCTTCAACAATAATCTGGAGGTCAAAAGCTAAATTCTTTATCACCAAAGAATCTTTTGACCTTCACATTGGCTTATTGGGTGTAATTGTATTTCCAGAGTCACTCTCTGATTCCTGATACTCCCTTATAAAGTGGCCATCAATGAGCTGAAGAAAGAAAGAGTGGAGCATCTGGATCACTGAACAACGGGCTGGTTTGACCTCAGAAAGATTGTAAAGGTGGCCTTGTGTTAAATGAGTCACTAAGACAAGCCCACACTTAGTTGCAAAGAGCCAGAAGGAAAGCTTGTCTCTGTTGGTGTGAAATGGTGCAGTCTTCTCATCCATTCATGAAAGGAGGAAAAGACTTTGACCATTGGTGCAGAGCAAAGCTAAAGAGGAAGACCAAGATAATGACATATTTTCTCCACATGCCTTTCAAAATGGTATTTTATTTACTCTTCTTTCAAGTAACGTGAAATAAGGGCACCACTTTTCACAAAATGCAAAATACTTTATGGTTTAATCCTCTCAGCCATTCTCAAAATGGGTACCAATCTCTATCTTACCTATAAGGAAACCAGGGCTCAGAACAAGTGAAGGGTTTGTTCAAAATCTCCCAGTTAGTCTGAAGCAGAGCAAAAATCACACACAAGATGATCTGAGTTCAAAACACAAGCTGTGGTCACTAAATGGTCAGAATGAGCTCCTCTGTGCTCTGAGAGCCTGGCAAAGACTGGGAATGAAATGGACTTCCTTGCCTTAAATGGAAGGTGTTGAGGAAGAAAGAGTTAAGGTCTCACAGAGTTTAACTAAAGGCAAGTTTTCTCTTCCCTCAGGAAGGAATCGTGGATCATTCTCCAGCTTTTTCTCTAGACCATGTTCTAATAACCTTTCTCTCCACTTGGCTCCTGATCTTATTTCAATTTCTGAGTGTAGGGGCTTTTCATTCTGAGCACATTATAGTATTCCAGCTTGCCCATCACCCATCTGTCCCAGGAGTGTATCTTGAGGGCTTAAATGCTCAGTGTGGTGGAGGAAAGTTTAGCACTAGTTTCCTTTGGTAAGGGAATAATTTGCTTATCAAATATTAAACAGAAATGTTTTAGCAGGTTACTAGTTCCTCTGCAGAATGGAACACTGCATAGTACTTCATTACCAGCTAATTTCTTCTGCAAATGAATGACTACTTTCTGAATTTAATTAAACTATGTAAACATTATTGTGAGGGGTCCACTCCGCAACAGAGCTGTGCTCTGCTAGGAGATACAAAAATGAGTAACTCATAGTCTCTGCCTTTGAGACCTCTCAATTCATTTGAGTAAAGTCAGTAAGTGAGTAGCATTCCATGGATGGGGGTTCTCATAAAGGTGTTTTCGTTCACCTTAGATGTCATTGAGGAATATCAGCAAGTCCTAAATTATCTGATTTTTAAATAATAGAGTCTTTTACACATGTAGCTATTTTTCATGCATTGCATGTAATTTTCTTTGGTATCTATATGGATATGCTTTGTGTTAGCTTTGATACTGGTCACAGTTCTTTCCTGAGGACAGAATAGCATATAACTATTAATAATAATGCCAGCATTTGTTGGGTATTTATTATGCATCAGATGTTAGAGCTCTTCTAGTAGAGAATCTGTGGCCAGTGAATGTCATGTACTACTGTGGAGCTTTATTCTCCAAGCAACACAGATGATAAATATAGCTATTACTCCAATTTTGCAGATAAAGAAACTGAGACTCAGAAAGCTTATTAACATGCCCAAAGTCACACAAGAAGAACTGTGGATCCGTTTGACTTTTTCTAAGCTTATTTTTAAACTTTATTAAGACTAATCCAGAGATGTTAGTTTTGCATCCCTTTAAGTGTCATCTTGCATCTGTAACAAAATCCTTGAACATTCAGCAAGTTCTCTATCCTGTAGGTGGCATAAACTCAACCAATTCCCCAGGTCTGTGTGAGCCCTGGCAATTTTTCAGCTTAGAGTTCCCTGATAATTCTTCTTTCCACAAAGTTTTTCTTTGCCCAGCCTCTTGGAATTTGGAGCAGTTTATCTTCTCCGGTACTTTGCTCCACAAATTTGAGCTATCGCTGCTTCTGCCCCAATGGTGTCTTCATCCTCAACTCAGATTGCCAAGCTGTTTTGATCTCTGTTGTTTGCCCCACAGTTCATAGATTGTCTCTAGGCAAAAAGCCAGAATAATTGTGGGGCTTGTCTCATTTGCTTCCCTTCTTTGGGGGTCTCATTCATGCTCTGTCTGCTGTCCTGTATTGGAAAACTGTTGTCAAATATTTAATTCCATTTTCTAGTCATTTGTGATAAGAAAGTATGCTGCTAGCAGCAGACATTCTCCCAAGATGTAAAAATGTTCGTGGTGTTTTAAGTGAAAAAAAAAATCACACTTTAATGCGACATATACAGTTTATGCTTATTATGGAAAAATATGTTAATATTCTATTGAATGGATCTAAAAATACAGACATAAAATGTTTGAGATGCTTGATATCCCAATTATCATGATTTGATCACTACACATTATATACACGTATCAAAATATCACATGTACTCCATAATATGTACAACTATTATTTATCGATTAAAAAATGTCAATAGTAGTTTCTAGGTGGGTAAGATTGTTGCCATTTTTTTCTTTTTTTTTTTTTTTCTGAGAGGAAACCTACATTGCTTAGATAACATGAAAAGGAAAGCTTCAGGAAAAATTAAATGACAAAATATACAGTCCTTAAAAGCAGAATTACAACTAAAATATGGCATCTATTTTCATCATTAGAGCTGAGTGATGTCAATCAGAATCAGAGCTATCCTACTAGAAAACTTAATGGTACTATTTAAGCATTCAAAGATCAATCACTGCTATTTTACTTAACCCCAATTTCTCTCTATCTCAGACTAAAAAAAAAAATGTATCCAAGGTGTTTCTTTATTGTTCCCAATAATTTCCCCAAATGGTAGCAATGCCTCCACTTTACAAAGGGTTTCTGCCTAAAGTTTTTCTTAACACCTTTGTCCCTCTGAGCTGTGTTGGTAATTTGTTTAAAAATTGCTATTTTATTTTTCTCTTTCTCTGGTCTGTTTTATCCTGAGAGGAAGAAGGAAGTTGACGTTTACCACTATGGATCCAGCACTGTGTTCTCATTCATATACTTGATTTTATTTGATTTTCAAAATAATCCTGCAAAGTATTTTGAATTCACTTTAGGTTGAAAGTGGGGAGACAGTCTCAAAAGACAAAGCACTTGCCCAAGATTATAAAACTAGTAAGCAACAAATCTAGAATTGAGCTCTGGTATCTAGATGTATTTTCCAATTTCTTGAAAGACTATTATTTAGGAATTAGGTAGAATTTCCCCTCCCTTTATGTCCTCTCCTCAATTTCCATCAAAGTTTTATAATATGCAAGTTAGTTCACAAAAAACATGTGGCTCTCTCCTCTTCCAACCATGTGCCTGGGCACAACTCTGCATAGTATATATACCAAAATAGTCTCTGAGCATATATATGCAGATTTGTGAGGTCATTTTCATTTCAGTTATCATCTTCTCTCTACTTCCATAGCACTCAGTTAATTCATTTATATATTCTTTCCTTTAACTGATATGCCTGGGACCCAGGTTATGTAGTAATAAGTAAGACTCGATTTCTCCTTTCAGGGTGCTCAGAGTCTAATGTGAACACACATCCACTCAGTGTAGTAAGTATAGTGTTAGAAGTGGCCATGGAGTCCTACAGATGCATAAAGAAAGGGCTCTTTATTTAATTTGCAGAGGAGAGGAGATCAGAAATGGCTTCTTGGAGAATATCATAACTGAGTCAAATATCAAAAGCTATGTAAAAGTGAGGCAGGTGGGTAACATAGGAAAGAGGATTCAGGTGCTGGGAATATTACACAAAAAATACTTGTAAGCATGGAAGAACACAGTGTAAGTGAAAACTCATGAACATTTAAAGCTAGTTGAAGAACAAGTAAGATGGCGGAATGGTGAGAAGGAAGATGGAAACTTAGACACAATTCAGATCTTAAGATGGAAAGTTTACATCTTAAACCAAAGATTGAATAGTCATTGAAGATTTTCAGGAAACAAATGATGTAATCAGATCTCCTCTTAGTGAAATCATGTAGGATACCAATATAAAGAATGCTCACATATTTTACTAAAAGTATTCCAAAAGATAAAGAGGGAATACTCCTTAAATTATTCTATAAGGCCAGTATCATCCTAATACCAAAACCAGGAAAGGATATAACAAAAATAGAAAAATACAGACCAATATCTCTGATGAACATAGATGCAAAAATCCTCAACAAAATGCTAGCTAACTGAGTCCAACAGCATATCAAAAAGCTAACACACCATGATCGAGTGGGTTTCATACCAGGAATGCAGGGATGGTTGAACATTTGCAAGTCAATAAATGTGATACATCATAAACAGAATTAAAAACAAAATTCATCTTAATAGATGCATAAAAAGGCATTTGACAAAATTTAACATCCCTTTATAATTAAAAGCCTCAGCAAAATCAGCTTAGAAGGGACATGCCTTAAGGTAATAAAAGCCATCTATGACAAACCCACAGCCAACATTATACCGAACAGGAAAAAGGTGAAAACATTCCCCTGAGAACTGGAACAAAACAAGGATACCCACTTTCACCACTTCTTTTTAACATAGTACTAGAAGTCCTAGCTAGAGCAATCAGACAAGAGAAAGAAATAAAGGGCATCCAAATCAGTAAAGAGGAAGTCAAACTGCTGCTATTCACTGATGATATGATCATATACATAGCAAACCCTAAAGACTCATCCACAAAGCTCCTAGATTTGTTAAATGAATTCAGCAAATTTCCGGGATACAAAATCAGTGTACACATATCAGTAGCACTGCTATATGCCAACAACCAAGCTGAGAATAAAATCGAGTACTCAACGCATTTCATAACAGCTGCAAAAAAATAAAATAAAATACTTAGGAATATACTTTACCAAGGAGGCAAAAGAGTTCTGCAAGGAAAACTACAAAACGTTGCTGAAAGAAATCATCCATGACACAAACAGATGGAAACACATCCCATGTTCATGGATGGGTAGAATCAAAATTGTGAAAATGACCATGCTGCCAAAAACAGTCTATAAATTCAGTACAATTCCCATCAAAATACCATCATCATTCTTCACAGAACTATAACAAAAAATACTAAAATTCATATGGAATCAACACAGAGCCCATGTAGCCAAAGCCTGACTAAGCGAAAAGAACAAATCTGATGGCATCACATTACCCGACTTCAAACTATACTACAAGGCTATCATTACCAGAACAGCATGGTACTGGTATAAAAATAAGCAGGTAGACCAATGGAACAGAATAGAGAACCCTGAAATAAAGCCAAATACTTACAGCCAACTGATCTTTGACAAAGCAAACAAAAACATAAAGTGAGGAAAGGACACCCTATTCAACAAATGGTGCTGGGATAATTGGCAAGCCACATGTAGAAGAATGAAGCTGGATCCTCATCTCTCACCTTATACACAAATCAACTAAAGATGAATCAAATACTTAAATCTAAGACCTGAAACTATAAAAATTCTAGAAAATAACATTGGAAAAACTCTTCTAGACATTGGCTTAGGCAAAGAGTACATGACCAAGAACCCAAAAGCAAATGCAACAAAAACAAAAAATAAATAGAGGGGACCTGATTAAACTGAAAACCTTCTGCACAGCAGAATAAATAAACAGCAGAGTAAAAAGACAACCCGCAGAGTAAAAAGACAACCCACGGAGTGGGAGAAAATATTCACAAACTATGCATCCGACAAGGGACTAACATCCAGAATCTACAAGGAACTCATAGGAATCAGCAAGAAAAAAAAACAAATAATCCCATCAAGAAGTGGGCAAAGGACGTGAATAGACAATTTTCAAAAGCAGATATACAAATGGCCAATGAGCATATGAAAAAAATACTTAACATCCCTAATTATCAGGGAAATACAAATTAAAACCACGATGAGATACCACCTTCCTCCTGCAAGAATAACCATAATTAAAAAATTGAAAAATAACAGATGATGGCATGGATGTGAGGCAAAAGGAACACTTTTACATGGCTGAAGGGAATTTGAACTAGTACAACCACTATGGGAAACAGTATGGAGATTCCAAATAGAACTACTATTTGATCCAGCAATCCCATATATATGGCATTCCTATATATACCATGGAATACTACACAGCCATAAAAAGGAATGAAATAACGGCATTCACAGCAACCTGAATGGAGTTGGAGACCATTATTCTAAGTGAAATAACTCAAGAATGGAAAACCAAGCATCGTATATTCTCACTTATAAGTGGGAGCTAAGCTGTGAGGATGCAAAGGCGTAAGAATGATATAATGGACTTTGAAGACTTAGGGGGAAGGGTGGAAGTGAGGTGAGGGATAAAAGACTACACATTGGGTACAGTGTACACTGCTCAGGTGATGGGTGCACCAAAATCTCAGAATCACCACTAAAGAACTTTTCCATGTAACCAAACACCACCTGGTCCCCCAAAACTATTGAAATGAAAATAAAAAGTCTAAACAACAACAACAAATCCTCTTTTTTTTTTTTTTTTTTTGAGATGGAATCTCACTCTGTCGCCCAGGCTGGAGTGTCGTTGTGCAATCTCAGCTCACTGCAACTTTCGCCTCCCGGGTTCAAGCGATTCTCCTGCCTCAGCCTCCTGAGTAGCTGGGATTACAGGTGCATGCCACCACACCCGGCTAATTTTTGTATTTTTAGTAGAGGCGAGGTTTTACCATGTTGATCAGGCTGGTCTCGAACTCCTGATCTTGTGATCCACCTGCCTTGGCCTCCCAAAGTGCTGGGATAACAGGCGTGAGCCACCGCGCCCGGCCCTTCACGTATTTTTGAGGGCACAATTCAATCCACAGTAGAAGGCATCAAGAAGGAGGAACTTGTAAACAGTGTAATATTCCATTAAAAGGGAAAATATATAAGGACTGTGAAATGTCTGTTGTGTTTGGCAACAGTGGGGCCATTAGGACTTTAAGAAAACTGATTTGAATGGAGTAGGTTACTCCTGGGACACTGAGAACACTATGACACAGTCTGTACTTGGCAGAGCTCAATCTAATGAAGAAAACAAGCAAAGAGTTAGAGAAAGTCTTCACACTTTGCCTTCAAGGGTCACAGAAAGCTTCCTGGAAGAGACGACAATGGAAATAGGTTTTAAAGCAAAAATAAGTCATTCAAAAGGGAGGGGGAAGCATATCAACCTAGAGGAACAGGGTGGTCAAAGACAAAAAAGGTGGAGAATCCAGGCATGGTGGCTCACACCTGTAATCCCAACACTTTGGGAGGCCAAGGCAGGCAGATTGCTTGAATTCAAGAGTTTGAGACCAGCCTAGCCAAAATGGTAAAACCTTGTCTCTACAAAAAATACAAAAACTAGCCAGGGGTGATGGCAGACACCTGTGAACCCAGGTACTCTGGAGGCTGAGGTAAGAGAATGACTTGAGCCTGGCAGGAATAGGTTGTAATGAGCCAAAATTGCACCACTGCACTCCAACCTGGGCAAAAGAGCAAGACCCTGTCTAAAAAAAAAAAAAAAAAAAAAAAAAAAAAAAAGGGAGGGTGGCAGGAGGTGGGACAGATAAATCACAGTTTGTGAAGAGCCATAAAATAATTCAGCATGGCTAAAGAGTAGAGAGAGCAGTTAGTAGAGAGCAGAAGGTAAGGTAGAAAAAGATTAATCCAGAGAAGGCATGAGCAACCAGGTTTCAAATGCAGGACTTATGAATTCTGCCTTCCCACTACTAAGCTTCTTAGCATTTTTTTGTCCTGGCCCAATTTAGAAAACCATTTTGTGGGGGTCCCATTAGGTTCAGCTTTCAGTTGCTGGAAGAGCATGGACTGACATATGCCACAAAGCAGGTCAGAAAATGACTTTCTGTCAACATTCATCCCTACTCCACGCTCCCCACCTCTACAACATTAACAAGAAAATGAGAACGCCTGCCCAGATGTCCTGTTGGATGTCACTGGGTAAATTATCTTTTATTAAGAATCTGTAATTGTTCTTCACTGAGCCGTGACCTAAATTTAGCGGTGCTGAAGAGTGAGCCCCAGCCAACAGGATTTCCCTGAGAACACGATGAAGTTCCTGTATCAATTCGATTCATTAACTAGAAAGAGGGAACAAGCAGCCAGCTTTTTTTTTCTGCCCCCATTCTTCAGTGAATCATTTGTTAGTTTGACCAGAATTTTTGTGAGATCCAGTCTACAATTCTGTAAGAAAAAAAGACAGCAAACCTCATTCAAATACTTCTTGCGACATTAATTCCGAGGCAGAAACCAAATTACATTAAGCAGATCTGATTGTCTTGCTATTAAAGACCTTGGGTTTACTCACTGAGTATTTTCAGCCTGAGGAGAAGAAATGCTCTCAATTTGGGTAGGGTGTTTGGTAACTCGGGATAAAATGAATAAGAGCCAACTTGGCTCACAAGTGGATTTAAAAACAGGAAGAAAGAGAGAGAAAAAAATAAGAAAAAGGCAAATACAATACAAACCTAGTACAAGCTTCCAGTGAAAATTTGCGTGTTTGTAATAAAGCTTATAAGAAGGAAGAGAACCAATATAAATTCTTGCTATGTCTAAGAACGCCTTTAATTATGACAGCCCAGTTGAGGTCCAGAGAGGGACACACAGTTTCTAAAGAACTGAATCAAAATTTAAAGCTACATCTTCTGACTTAAACTCCAACGTTCCTTTACCCTAACAGTAATTTTTGAATTTTGACAGTGTGAACTGCTGACTAGTGATCAAGAATGTCTTGGAATCTCATAGGCTGATACCTGCACAGGTAGAAAGCAAACAGACCTCAACTCGAGTATCATTCCTCATTTTTTGACAGCAATCCCCAAAAAAGAATCATTTCATGGCTCCATCTCCTGCTTCCCTGGCTGGAACCACCTGATGGCTAAGGTCTTATTGTTTAGGCATTTCACGCATCCTTATGTGAGAAGTACAAAAGCACCTGGAATAGAGAAGACAGTCTACAACATACCCTCCTGAAGCTCAGTCTTTAGTCAGGAGGCTAAGAGACATACACATTCTGATATTAATGTATAGTGACATCATGCTTTCACTGACATCATCTCAATGGAGTCTCACAGCAAATTTGTAAGGTAGTCTGAACAGATGACATTATCCCTATTGTATAAGTGAAGAAACTGAGGTTTAATGGGTTGAGTCACTGGCCCAATGTCACAAAGATAGTGAGTGGCAAAACCTAGCATGAAGCCCAGAGTATGTGGCTCTGCGTTAGTATTTCTCACAGCCCACTGTAATGACTGTCAGGTTGCTTTTAAGATTATGAAAGTCCTATATTGAATTGTCATTCGAATTGAGACCTTGAAGTCTGAAGACGGAATTACTTGGGAAGAAGCATCACAGTATCTTAGAAGAGTGTCCCTCCATGAAGCAGATTTGGGGTCTCATTCCGTTTCTGTACTTACAGTAATGGACCATGTTAGGCAAGTCATTTAACACATTTGGACCCCAGCTTCCAAATCTATACAATGGAAGGTATAATTGGAGAGAGTATAAAGCCTTTAGTGCCCACTTTACTTGAGAGATTTTCAGAGCAGTCAATGAGACTTTAGAAATAAAAGTGAACTTAAAACATAAAGTGCTTTATAAACCCCAGCATTGCCTGAAGCCCTGAGATTGCTTGATGGCCCATTGCGTATATTCACAGGCACTGCCCCAACTGGCCCTTACTACAACTCTAGAAATGACAGGCATTCATTCTTCCAATCCACAGATGAGGCAACTACGAAGTGTTATTTTTAACCCCTCATTTTTTAAGGAGAAAAACTGAGCTTGAGCACATTAAAAAATGTGGCCCAGAGTCAATATGGTATATGTTGACCTTGGAATTCGAGAAAAGTCTTCTGTCACAAGAGCAGAAGCCACAAACTCAAATACTTTTAGGGTTATGTTACCAATTGTGGAACACATGTGCATGAAATGAGCTGAGTAAGATGCCAAATGACCTGGTATTGGAGAGGCAATAGGGAGTGGTGGGGCCTGTAGCAAACTAGAGAGAGCATGGCTCAGTTAAAAGAGAGTGGCAGCAACTCAACTCCAGCCAATTGTTGCCATACAATATTAAGCCCAGGGATTTCAGAACTTCTAGCTAGAAAAATAGAGGCTAGATATGTATATTCCTGTTCAAAATTGCCTCAATTAGAAGATATTAGCAAGTAATTCAAATGCAATACACTTTTGTATTATCACTATACTGGTCCACCTAATAAGGGGACAGTTTGCTTCCTGCTCTCACAAAGTGTTTCAGACTAAGTTATGACCACTTAAGTATGCAAAGACAAAACAGTGTATCAGTAATGCAGTGATTGTGAGCATGTACTTCAGAAACAAATGATCTGGGTTCAAATCCTGGTGTTGACATTAAGTAGTTTAATAACCTCGGGCAAGTCACTTGACTTCTCTATACCTCAGTTTCCCTATCTGTAAAATGGAAGTAATAAGAGTACTTACTCCTTTCAGTGGTTGTGACTATCAAATGAATTGACATAGGTAAAACAATTAGAACAGTTCCTGACACACGGTAAGAGTCATGTAAATATCAATGCTTATGAAAGCTCTCATCCCAGGATAAGCATCTCCTAGAAAACATCTTCGTCCATGTACCAGATTAATCATATTTATTCTGCAGTTGATATTTATGCCACATGTTCTTTCTGGGTAGAGAAGCCTGAAGTTATTCTGTTTATCCTGACCTTGGAAAAGACAAAGCAGCTCATGTCCCCAGGGATCTAAAAATTTCACTGGGAATGATCACCCAGTGTCTCCAAAACCTCAGCCAGCATTTCTCTATTCACAGCTGCACTGAAGAGCTTCCTTCCTGGCTTGTGTCTCCAAAAGGGGATACGATGGCAAGGTCTGTAAGAGGAAGGAAAGGGGACCTTTTTAATTAGCTTTCTCTTTTGAATGACGCCATCACAGATCTGATTCATTTCCATGAATTGAAAAAAAAAAAAAAGCAGGGTAGGTGGTAAGCACTCTGTAAGGAATGAATGAAACTGTCAGGAGAGCACAGATTAGAGGAAAGCTGAAGCTGGAGAAAACAGCCATGTGAACTTGGCCCTCCACCATGACCCACGTTTAGGCCAGGAGATGATGTCAAAATCTAAATTTAAAATGGAGGTGGCAAAAGGTTTGCTTCCATGATTGGCAAGGAGAGGCCAAAAGAGAGATGGAAATGTTGGTCTGATTCTCAGTGTTATAGAAAGTACCAAATGGGCTATCTGGAAACTTTTATGAAAGGGTCTCCTGTTTGCAGATCTAGTTCTGTGATATTCCACAGGAAGATTTTCTGCTTTCAGGTCACCTTATGGTGTGTGTGTGTGTGTGTGTGTGTGTGTGTGTATGTGTGTGTGCACATAATACATTTACATGAAAGTTCACAAGCCTGAGGCAGCCTACTAATTGCATGGCATGGTCTTTCCTGCAGACATTTACTCGATGATAAGCCAATGTGCCTCTTTGGAGACTGAAGAACAGGACTCAGATCTATGGAATCTGGAGGTAGCACCATTTCTCCGCTAGTTTTCATGTTGTAGGCTCAGTATTAATGTCCTTATTACATTAAATCATCTTTCCTCACATCAGTCCTTGGAAGTAGATATTAATTCTACACAATAGATGGAGAAACAGGCCCATAGAAGTCTACTAACTTGCCATAGCTACATAGCTACTGAGTGGGATTTTGGTTAGGTCTGACTTCTTCAAAAGCCTATGCTCTTTTTACTGCCCCCATGCGATCTTCAAAAGAATTACTTGATAAACAAGAGGTTTTTGCACACAAGGCTATTAACCATTCTCCAAACCATCACTTCCCTCCATGCCATTGAGTTTCTTTACTTCTGCTGGGAAACTTCTACTGTCATTTTAAGACCTAATTCAAAAATCCTGTCCTCAGTGAAGGTTTCACTGACCTACCATTCCCTCAGCCAGATACCATCTTTGTCATTTCTGGGATGTCACAGCCTATAGTATAGGGCTCAGCTGTGTCAGTGATTATACCAGATAATGGGCAGGAATGGCTTTCTGAAATTTGATGAACCTCGTCATGTCTAGGCCAAGTCATGCTCATCATCGACGTCCAGTCCAGTGCCTGACTCATGGTGTCAACAAACCTATCTTGTATGTGTTTGTAGAAGGAAGAAAGGAAGGAAGGAAGGAAAAACCAAAGGAAGGGAGGGAGGGAGAGAGGCAGCAGGCATACAGACATGATTTCATTTTCATAGGCAAAAGAGACTTAAGTAAGAATCATTACTCTTTTTACTGAAGTAAAAAGTCTTTTAGATTTTGATTCAACAAATTGATTCCTGGTCTAGGCTCCACTACTATATAATAGCTCATACAGAGCATGTATGTATGTATGTGTGGACCTCAGTTTCCCTCAACTGACCAGAGTACATTGCTTGTCTCCAAATGTTCATTAAATATCCTGCAAAGCCTTGAACTCATCAATTCTGCTAACATTTTATTGTATCCTGGCTAAAGTTAACTCAACTCTGGCAGCAAGGAAACCAACTCAGATGGGAGCAGATGGCTTTCATATACGTTATTTGCTCTGTTGTCAGTTTGAATTCTTGCTGTTTGTATTTGTTTAGTTCTAAAGCCTTCCCCAACCCCACCTGAAAAAAAAAATGTTTCTATCTGGGTCAACAGGTGTCACTGTTGAGCAATACAACTAAGCCCCCCTACACCCCAACATTTTGGTGCTGAAAACCCTGGCTGCTTACAAGGCCCACCCTCTGCTCAGTCCTGATGTTATCAAGTGAGTGAAATCTATAGTCACTGTGTCAGTTGCCTGAACAGACCTCCAAGGAGCACCAGTATAGATTTTTCTTAATGATCTAATTTCTGAATGCAACTGTAGACCTTACTACCCAGAAAAGGAGGCAACTAGGAAGAAGAAACTATAACTGTTTCCATTTGCAAGAGGTAGCATTAGTGGAGGAGTCTTGTTGCTCCATTTAGAACGTCTAAACTTTAGTGCTTGCACTATCCCAACCAGCTGCCTCTGTTATAATGGGCTCAAGCCAGAGGAGCCCCCACAGCAAGTTGGCACAGGAGTGAGATAGGTTGCAGATCACCAAACAGACCAGATTATTAGTTTAGATCATAGATCTTCCAGGACACCCAGAGTTATTCAGGAAGAATTTAAGGGGAATGTATTCACAGAAAGTAGGTGGGGATAGAGCAAAAGAAATGCGTCAATTGCTACCTGTTTATTACTCTCAGGCTGATGTGGCCGGGGAGATGTGGAATTGTGTAGAATGGAATGCGATGGAATATGAAATGGTGTGGAATACACTATAGGAATGCAAACAGAATGAAATCAAATGAAATGGACCAGAACAGACCAGGACATAAAACAGATTATTGTGTCAAAATTACGAAATGAAATACAGAATGCAACAGAATTAGATGGACTTTTTCATTAAATGCTTTGAGACATATAGAGATGTGTTTAATTGGCTTGAAAGTCATTAGCAAATTCAGGAAATTGTCATTATAGTTCCAGGCCAGATGATTTAGCTACATAGGGACCTAAAAGTCTGGTGCTTTTCTTGAGTTATTCTACTTTAAAATTAGCACAAGTGGTCACCTGTCATGGCCCACAACTGGCACTCTGTTGTCACAACTAACATTTATTGCCTCTTTGCTGGACCCTCTGTATGTATTATTTCATTCAATTATTCTGTCATTCAAATGGCTGAGGTCCTATTTTGATCTCCATTTTATAGATGGGGAAATCGAGGCACCAGAAGGTTAAGACAATTGCCCAAGACCACACGGCTGGAAAGTAGTGGAATCAGAATTCAAACATCAGGCAGTTGGGCTTGAGCTCCTACATGCTAAACCACCACACACACTGCCTCTTATCATGCCAGGGGCTCATATCCTATGACACTTAAATATAGAAATATTAAGATCTGCGTATTCTGTTTTAGCCACAAAATATTACCTGCCAAAAGGCTGGAAAACTTGGGAGAGTCACTGCTCTGATACAGAAACGATAACACAGCAGCACTTAACTCTTCTGCCATACTCAACACAACCAACACCACACTGGTCCCTTCTATTTTTAAACAAGGTTTCATTGGAGGCTTCCCTGATCCTATTAAACATTCCTAATCCTGATACTCATTTGCTCAGCAAACATTTCCTAAGGGTCTGCAATGAATGCAGGCAATCCAATCATTCATTTACTCATTTAACATTTGAACACCTATTCTTTCTCCTTAGGTTTCCTTTTTCTCTCTCTCTCTCTCTCTTTTTTTTTTTTTTTTTTTTTTTTTTTTTTTGAGACGGAGTATCTCTCTGTCACCCAGACTGGAGTGCAATGGCACGATCTCAGCTCATTGCACCCTCCTCCTCCTGGGTTCAAGTGATTCTCCTGCCTCAGCCTCCCAAGTAGCTGGGACTACAGCCATGCACCACCATGCCCGGCTAATTTTTGTATTTTTAGTAGAGACAGGGTTTGCCATATTGGCCAGGCTAGTCTTGAACTTCTGACCTCAGGTGATCCGCCTGCCTCTGCCTCCCAAAGTGCTGGGATTACAGGCGTGAGCCACTGTGCCTGGCCCTCCCTTAGGTTTCTAAGAAAGTGGATTCAGTTATTGTAAAAAGATACTCAGCAATAATTTTTTAAAAGACAATGCAAGAAAAATATAGAATTAATAATTAAGTAACTAGGATCTCCCCTAACTGAGATCCTAGAATGCCCATTTTTTAAAACGCCCCACTGAGGCTACTGATAGCTGCCTTTGTTAAGTGTTTACTACTTGAGAGAGGCTGTACAGTCTGCTCACTGAGAGAGACTGCCTGAGCTCAAACCCTGGCTCTAACACCAAATAGCCTTGTCTCCTTGCGTGAGCTACTAAAGCACTCTGTACCTCAGTTTCCTCATCTATTAGATGGAGTTAATAGTATAGCTTGAAAGATAAAACAAGTTAATGTACCTGAAGCACTTTACAGCTTAATACAAATTAAGAATTTCATAATGTCAGCTATTATTATTTTCCAGGCCTTGCATCATGTACTTAGTAGATATTATCTCTTTTTTTTAACACTGAGTAACAAGGAGTTTTTAAAAAATAAACTTACTTTTAGGGAATATTTAGATTCACAGTCAAATTGATCAGAAGTTACAGTATTCCAAAATACCCCCTGCCTCCATTCACGTATAGCCTCCCCCATTCTCAATATCCCCTACCAGAGGGGTGCGTTGGTTACAGTCAATGAATCTATATTGACACATCATTATCACCCAAATTCCATGGTTTACGTTAGGTTTCACTCTTGTTGTACATTCTGTGGGTCTGGACAAATGGATAATGATATGTATCCTTATTATAGTAGCATACAGAATAGTTTCACTGCCATGAAAATCCTCTGTGCTCCTCATATTTATCCCTCTCTCTCCCCAACCACTAGCAATCCCTAATCTTTTTTACTGTCTCTATAGTTTTGCTTTTTAAAAATTGTTACATAGTTGGAATCATACGGTATGTAGCCTTTTCCTGTTCAGATTGGCTACTTTCACTTAGTAAGATGCATTTAAGGTTCCTCCATGCTTTTTCATGAGGCTTTATAGCTCACTTCTTTTCAGTGCTGTATAGTATTCCATTGTCCACCATACCACAGTTTATTTATCCATTCACCTACTGAAGGACATTTTGGTTGCTTTCAAGTTTTGGCAATTATGGTTAAAACTGCTATAAACATCCATGTGCAGGTTTTTGTGTGCACATACCTTTTCAACTCCTTTGGGCAAATACCAAGGAGCACGATTGGTGGATTGTATGGCAAGTGTATGTTTAGTTTCATAAGACACGGCCAAACTGCCCTCTAAACTGGCTGTACCATTTTGAATACCCACCAGCAACAAATGAGAGTTTCTCTTGCTCCACATCCTTGCCGGCATTGGTGTTGTCAGTATTCTGCATTTTGGCCATTCTAATAGGTGTGTACTGGTATCTTATTGTTGCTTTAATTTGTATTTATCTGAAGACATATGATATGGTGCATCATTTCACATGCTTATTTGCTATCTTATATCTTCTTTGGTGCAGTGTCTATTAAGATTGCAGGTCCGTTTATAAGTAGGATTGCTGGTTGTATTATTGTTGAGTTCTTTGCATATTGTGAATAATAGTTCTTTGTCAGGTGTGTCTTTTGCAAATATTTTCTTCCAGTCTGGCTTTTCTGCAAATTCCTTGACATTGCCTTTCATGGGGCAGACATGATTAATGTTAATGAAGTCCAGTTTGTTAATTATTTATTTCACAGTTTGTACCTTTGGTGTTGCATATAAAAAATTATCACTATACCCAAGGTCATCTAAGTTTTCTTTATGTTATCTTCTAGGTGTTTTATACTTTTATATTTTAATTTAGGTTTACGTTCATTTTAAGTTAATTTTTGTAAAGGGTATAAGGTCTATGTCTAGATTGAGTTATTGCATGTGAATTTTCAGTTGTTCCAGCACCATTTGTTGAAAAGATTATCTTTGCTCCATTGTAGTGCCTTTGCTCATTTGTTGATTATCAGTTGACTGTATTTATGTAGGTCTGTTTCTAGGCCATCTATTCTGTTCCATCTATCTATTTTCCTATTCTTTTGCTAATATCATGCAGTCTTTGTAGTAAGTTTTGAAGTTCAGTAGTAATAGTCCTGCAACTCCATTCTTCTTCATTATGGCTATTCTGTGTATTTTGCCACTCCATATAAACTTTAGCATTAGTTTGTGGATATCCACAGAATAATTTTTTGAAATTTTGATTGGGATTGCATTGCATCTATAGATCAAGTTGAGAAGAACTGACATCTTGACAATATTGAGTCTTCTTATCCATGAGCATTGAATATCTCTCCATTTATTTAGTTCTTCTTTGATTTCTTTCATTAGAGTTTTGTAGTTTTTCTCATATGTATCTTGTACATATTTTGTTAAGTTTATACATAAGGATTTCATTTTGGGGGTACTAATGTAAATAGTTTCGTTTTTAATTTCAAATCCCTCTTGTTCATTGCTTGTATATATGAAAGTAATTGACCTTTGTATATAAATCTCATATCCTGAAATCTTGCTATAATCATTTATTAGTTTCAGGATTTTTTTGTTGTTGATTATTTTGAATTTTTTGCATAGAAAATCATGTCATCTGCAAACAAACACAGTTTTTGTTCTTATTAATATAACTTTTTTTTTTTTTTTGCTTATTGCACTAGCTAGGACTTCCAATATGATGTTGAAAAGCATTGGTGAGAGCATACATCTTTGACTTGTTCTTACTCTTACTGGGAAGGCTTCTAGTTTTCTACCATTAAGTATGATTTTAGTTGTAGGTTTTTAGAGATATTCCTTATCAATTTGAGGAAGTTACCTTCTATTTCTAATTTACTGGGCATTTTCATTGTGAATGGGTGCTGGATTTTGTTAATTTTTTTTTTCTACATCTACTGATATGATAATGTGGTTTTTTTTCTTGAGTCTGCTAATGTGATGGATCACATGAATTGATTTTCAGATGTTCAGCGTGGCTTGTATACCTGAGATAAATTCCAATTAGTCATGGCATGTAATAATTTTCATACATTGTTGAATTCAATTTGCTAATACTTTGTTGAGGTTTTTGCATCTAATTCATCAGATACTGAACTCTGATGTGTCTGTACCTCTGGACTGTGAACTTCATGCCTGCTTCTCAGGTTTCTTCCACTTCCCCTTTATGTGGGACAAGATAGCTGAAGTGGGCTGGAGTTGGGTTTTCTCCTCCTCCATTTGGAAGGCTGGAGCTTGCTGGAGTTGAGTATTTCTTTTCCTCAGGTCAGTTAGGTTCTGATAAAACCCTAGTGGGTTAGGCTCTGGTTAGACAGCTTCCCCTGAGGGCAGACCCTGTTTAAAAAAAAAAGAATGCATTGCTCTATTTCAAAATGCTTCCTTTTTTTCTCCTCTTGCCAAAGCGTGAGGAAATTTTTCTCAGATATTCAATGTAAGAATGTATTAGAGCTTCCAGAGGTAAAACCCATAAAAGTATGGTACTCCCTACTTCTGGATCCTCTGGGAGATTTATCTCTGACTTGTTGACACTGAGCCTCCAGAAATAAATCAATGTATAGTTCAGGTTTTCCTACCCTGGCACTGGTTCCAATGGATGTTTCAGCCCATAGGTTTCTGCTCCAGCAAGTTGTGATTCTCTTTATCTGCCTATCTGTCCCTCCAATTCTGGGGGCAGTAGTTTCCCTTGTGATCTTCCTTCTCTTATGTATCTAAGAAGAAGTGTTGATTTTTTTTTTTTTTTTTTTTTTTACCATTTCTTCAGATATTTACTTGTTTTTACGATGGAGTGGGGACCTTCAAGCTGCTTCTACGTCAAACTAGAAACAAGAAATCCCTGGCATTTTTAATCATGATAACCATCCTATGAAGTAGATGTTATCATAATTTCTACCAGTTTACAGGTATGAAAAATCAGGTACCAAGAAATTAAGTAATCAGCCCAAAGCCTCAAAGTTAGTAGGTAATAGAACTACTATTAGGTAGTTCTATTACCTACTATTAGGTAGTTAGTAGGTAATAGAACTACTACAAATCCAAGCCAGTCCAACTCAGAAGCCAGGGCTCTTAAACATTGTGCAATAATATCTCCTTCTCAAGCTGTTTGGAGGTCTAATAGAGTATAGGGAAGAACATCCAGAAGTTGGGCAGAAATGAAGGGTTTCAAGTGGTCCTGAAATAAGGAGGGTCATGAAAACAGGAGAGGAGTACATGGGTAGAAAGTGGTGAACTTCAGGCAGAAAAATATAAAAACCACTAGGCCATCAAAGAAATGTGCCAGCTCTTCCTGGAAATAGCTCATAGCTTCCTGAGGGCCCCACCCAGAAAACCACATTTAACTTCCTCCTCTACTTAATCTATACCTGCTGTTGCCTCCTGTCTTTCTCCTACCACAGCTCAATTCAGCCTTTTCTGATTTACCAACTACCGCCATGCCTATATGACAACTAGGTACTAAGGAAGATCATAGAAATTAGTGCTTCTAGAATGGCCCTGCAATATTGGCCTATCTAATGTGATGACACCCTGGTCCAAGCCACTGTCTTCTCATTCCTGATCTCTACAGTCATTTCCTAGCTAGTTCCCCTCATTTACACTACTCCTCCCAAATCTGTTATCCAACCTATAGACAAAGTGAGCTTCCAAATCATAAATCTATTTATCTCACTGTGTTGTATAATGTAATGCTTGCTTTTAATCATTCTTAGATCACATCCAAATCCTTAACAAGAGGCATCCTGTGCAAGGTCTTTGTGGGGAGAGGGGACGTGGTTAGCAGGAGAATAGAAAACAAAAGGGACAGTGGAGGATATGAAATTGGAAAGTTACAGGGTCCAGCATCTTTCAACATTAGCACTCATCCAGATTTGTAATTTTAGCCTCCATTGAGAAATTCTTTGATTCATGTCAGTAAGGGACAACCTCATTCATTCTGAGGTTCATATGAAAGCTTTGGAGTCATCTTTGAGTTCTCTCTTCCTCTTACACTCAGAATTTGATCTTTCTGTATATGTGACTGCTTAACCTTCAGAATATCTTAACCAACATTGCTGTCAGCAGCCTGGTCCAAACCACCTACTTCTTACATGGAAAATCATCACAGAGGCCTTTCTAATGATATTGCTGCTTCCCGCTGGCCTCATACAGTCTGGTCTCCATATGCTAGACAAAGCAAATCTTTTAACACCTAAGTCAGACCACGTGACTCCTCTGTCCAGAACTTTCTAGTATATTATCATCTCACTCAGAGTAAAATTGAAAATCTTCACCAGGGCACACAGGGCTCTACTCAAAGCTGCCCACCGCTCTCTGCTCCCATACCTTGTCTGATGTCACTTCCCTTTTTCTCTCCACTCCAGTGCACTGCTCTCTTTCTTGCTTCTCAAACACTTTAAACATAATCTTACCTTCAGGTTTATATCCTTGCTGTTCCTTCTTAGAATATCCTGTTCCCAGATATCCACACAACTTTCTTTCCAGTTTCCTTCAAGTCTCAGTTCAAACGTCACTTTATCAAAGAAAACATCCCTGATCATCCTGCCTAAAATCATCCCCCTCATTGCTCCTTTTCCCATTTTTCTGCTTTAATTTTCCCCTTGTCATATCCTACCACCTGGCACATCATTATTTTGTGTCTGTTGCATACCTCCCCAACCTACCCCAGTACGATGTAAGCTGTAGAAGTCAGGGACTGTATCTCCTCATTCTCTACTGTATCCTTCATTTTAAGAATCATCCCTGTTATGGCCAGGTGTGGTGGCTCTGGCCTGTAATCCCAGCACTTTGGGAGGCCAAAGCGGGTGGATCACGAGGTCAGGAGATTGAGACCATCCTGGCCAACATGGTAAAACCCCGTCTCTACTAAAAATACAAATATTAGCTGGGTGTGGTGGTGTGTGCCTGTAATCCCAGCTACTCAGGAGGCTGAGGCAGGAGAATCACTTGAACCAGGGAGCTGGAGGTTGCAGTGAGCCAAGATCACACCACTGCACTCCAGCCTGGCGACAGAGCGAGACTCTGTCTCAAAAAAAAAAAAAAAAAAAAATCCCTATTACATAGAGGGTGCTTAATAAATATTTGTTGTCAATAAGTGAACATCTGTCAACTTTAAGAAGCTACAGCTTCATAAGACTAGTGTTGTTCTCCATTAGTCCCCAATGCATGGCAGAGTCTGGCTCATGAAAGACACTTAAAATATTAATAGAAGAGTGAATGAACAAACAATTAGGGTAGCTTATTGACTGTGAGATGAGGATCCTAAAACATGTAGCGAAAGGGTCTGGAAATGTGAGGCAGGGTGATCTGCCACCTATGAAGGTCATTTGAGAAGAACAAGTCAATACCCCATTTTCAGAGGCCCAAGGTTAGATTCTGGGCTGGAGGATAGACACAGGGTTGAGGGAACATCCTGGAAGTCAGAAGTGTGGCAAAGTTGGGCCTGTAGGAGTGAGCACTTGATGCTTTATCCCAGGGCATTAGAGCCTATGAGCTCTCTCTGGCCTCTGTTGAGGATTAACATTGGAAACAGTAGGAGGAAGTCTCCATTGAAGTGTCAAGGGCTTCCATGCAGCTGGAGAAGCTGAGCAGTGCAGAGGCTGGGAATGGCAGTGTCTATGCATGAGGCATTTCAAAGGTAGATTTTTGTTTTCCCAGGGAAGTTTTTACTTGGGTGGTCAGGGGGACTGTTAGTCCATGGAGAGTTTCCTGGCTTGAACTGAATGTGGATCCAATTCTTCTAAAGAGGCACTGTGCCTTCCAACATGTTTTATTTCAGTCAGTGCAGGCACAACTGTAGTGCCACATTTTGCTGACCCACCTGAAATGCAAATAGGAAGAGCCTGCTTTGCTTCAGAGGTTGCCTCC
The DNA here is from genome assembly GCF_000001405.40 of Homo sapiens. NCBI lineage: Eukaryota > Metazoa > Chordata > Mammalia > Primates > Hominidae > Homo > Homo sapiens. The sequence continues at coordinate 127,172,643 of NC_000008.11, forward strand.
CCTCCTACTCTGCAAGAAGCCAATCAATAATAATTTTACTGAAGACACTAGGTTCCAAGGGACTGAATCTGAAGAGATGTCTTGATATAATGAGGAAAAGTAAATGGAGGGTGGAGGAGATGCCATTCAAATTTAAAAGAACATAAACAATGAGTTATCTGTGCTACATATCTGAGAGGCAGCGTGATGGGAAGGAAAGAAAGCGAGCTGAGCACTCCAGACCAAGCCTTACTCCAGAACCTACAGAATGTGGGGCTTTGAAATGGCACTTAAGATTTCTGAGCCTTTTTGATCCAAAAAATATTGTTTCCTATATGCTTCTTAAAACTCAATCAAGAGGTTAATAATATTTGCATAGTCTTTTTTGAAATACTCACATGAATTTGTTAATGTAATCTTCTCATTCATTCTACAGAGTAGAAATTAGTGTCATTCTCATTTTATAGAGGAGGAAAGTGAAGATTTAAAAGTTGCAGGAGCCTACCCCAGCCCTGGTGGTATTGTGGCAACCCAGCCACTCAGCTGTCCTCCTCTCAGAGTTTTCTGCTGTGGAAACCATGCTCCAGGGAGCATTAACTATATAGAAAATAAACTAACACCATAAATAACCAGAGAAACCCCAAATATCTCTAAATGTGGAACTCTCTAGTAAGAAACTGGGATTGCAGGAATGTCTGAATCCTACCCCGTTTCTCAACAACCCCTCTATGAGATATCTGGGAAAATTCATGCTTGAAGATGAAGGAGAAAAGATAAACAAAGGTCTGGAGTTTTCTGAGCTAGATTGATGCCCCAAAGTCTTAGTAAACTGAACATAAATGGCCCAACTAATAGACTAGAGGGGCTCTCCAATTCTCAGTTTTCTTATCAAACCACAGAAGAGTTGCAAAAGTGTAGAAGGACACACACACATGCACGCACACACACACACACACACAGAGAAAACACATACACACACAGAGACACAGAGAGAGAGAGAGAGAGAGACTTCTAGAGGGTCTTTTGTCATAAAGAATGGAAGGAGAGAGCAGAGATGCCCACAGGTAGATAACGTTTCAACAACTGTTGCTCCCATTTAATAGTCAAATTGAGCACTCCACAGGGCAAGGTGAGGGTGAGGCGAGCAAGGCCCTTCAGGTGAAAATTTTACAGAGGCATGGATTCTCAGATTTGTGACACCTGCAGGGTCAGCACCTGCGAGTGGGTGCTTCTGGAAATGTTGCACCCTGTGAGCCTCACTTACATTACCCTAGTCCCAGGTCTGCAGTCAGTATCCTAAAATCAAAACAATTTATCAGTAAATTCTGCTCTTATGGAGGATCTAGGTGAGAAGAGGTGTGGGAACCTGTATCTCCCCACAACCCTAAGCATGGACCTTCCTATTGCCTTGCATCTGCCATTCCTCTAGACTCTCAGTCCTTCTCAAACTATACTGCACCTGGGGATCTTGTTAAATTGTATTCTGATTCAGTAGGTCTTGGATAGGGCCTAAGATTCTAAATTCTAACAAGCTTCCAGGTAATGTTGATTTGTAATGGTCCACTTACCACTCTGAGCAGCAATGCCTAGAAATGATGGTTCTTCAAATCCAAGTGATAACCCATAGTAACTAACTCATTAGCTTAGTTCTGCCGTAAAGTCAGAACAAAGCAAGGAGAAACAGAACCTCTGCAGTGAATGGAGGAATTTCTGAGGGTCACTTGAAAGCAGAAACTCAAGAGCCTGAAAGAATAATAAATACATAAGCTTCTGGATATTTGCAGAAATGTAATAAAGTTGTAAGATTCAGGGGCTTATAATAAGGTTGGCTTAAACCAAGAAAATTATGCTTGTTTCATACTGCTTCCATTCCAAACGGCTTCTTTCCAGATAGATAGACCTGTCCTCCCAAAAAATCTAGTCATCTCATAGAAAGAATCAAATGGCAAATTGAAGCTTTTAGGTACTGTCCTGGATCATTTTGTGTTGTGAGAAAAGAATACCTGAAGCTGAATAATTTATAAAGAAACGAGGTTTCTTTGGTTCACAGTTCTACAAACTATAAGAAGCCTGGTACCAACATCTGCTTCTGATGACACCCTCAGGCTGCTTCCACTCACAGTACAAGGCAAGGAAAGGCTGGTGTGAACTGACCACATGGTGAGAGAGGAAGCAAAAGGGAGGGGGGCAGGTGCCAGGCTCTTTTTAACCACCAGTTCACTTGAAAACTAATGAGTGAGAACTCACTCACTTCTCCTCCCACTCCAGGGAAGGCATTAATCTATTCATGAGGAATCTGCCCCCATGACCTGAACACCTCCCATTAGGCCCCCATCTTCAAAATTAGGATCCAATTTCAACATGAGGTTTAGGGGGACAAACATCCAAACTATAACAGACACCTTTGCACATGCATCAACTCTGCATAATTCCTGATATCTTACGGGTGCAAATAAAGTGACTCAACATTGATTTAGCTACCATTTTCAAAAGTGTCCATAACATTAAGCACAAAAATTTATACCATTACAGAAATAATTTATATTGCATGTATATCTTCTTATTCAAAATTCCTTATTTTCACATGATGTTGTGCTTGGCAACCTAGAAGGACATGCAAAACACACACACACACCACACACACACATATACACATGTACAAACACATGCACATACACACAGCAATACTCACATACACACACACACCCATACACACACACATATACCACACACATACACACACACACCCCACACACAAAAGCATATCTACAGCCACAGGAAATCCTTGACAAATTCATAAGACATTTAAAGTTTTTGAAAACAATTTTATATTGACAAATAGGACAAAAGAGGATTGAGTAGCTGCTACGTAAGAAATATCATGTGAAACATGGTAAATCATGTTAGATCAAAAGTATCATTTACTTCTATATCCCCAATTCCCAGGAAAATGTTTCATATACAGCATGTAGTTCATTTCTATTTTAATGTATATAAATAAATTGTTGAAAAAAAAAACAGAGAAATGGAAATGCCATGGTAATGATTCCATCTTAAAGCAGTATTTTAGCCAGGATTAGGGGAGGAAAGACCAGGAACAATCTCTACCAGTGGGACCTGGAAAGAGCAGATCAGGGAACAAGTTTTCAAGTGAAGCTTGAACATTTAAGGCAAAACTTTAGTCTTGGTGAAATAAAATCTGGGACAGGAAGTGAGAGAAGAGTCCAATTATTTTGGCCAGGCCAGTTTGAAGGGCATCAAGGAAAACCTTCAGAGCAGTCAACATTCCACCATTCAGTGTTGACACCAGATACAGCAGGAACTAGCCATGCGCAGGAAACCATTCTTGATTTGGCCATTGCTGGCTAGGGTTCCATGCAGACAGCTTAACCTTGCCAAATAGACCTGGAGCTGCTAATATTCTCCCTTGTGCTATCTAGGTTTCCTATATATTTTGCCTCCTTGATCCACTAGAACATGGGCTCCATGAGGGCAAGAATGCCTCTTTTATTATACCAGCATCAAGAAAAGTGCCTGGCAATGGAATATTATGCAGCCATAAAAAAGAATGAACTCCTGTAATTTTCAGTAACATGGGTAAGCTTGGGGGACATTATGTTAAGTGAAATAAGCCAGGCATAGAAAGATGAATATTGCACATTCTCACTCATATATGGGAGCTAAAAAAGCTGATCTCATGGAAGTAGAAAGTGGAATGGTGCTTACCAAAGGCTGATAGGGGAGGCGATAAAGAGGCTTGTTAGTTACAAAAATACTGTTAGAAAAAATAAGTTTTATGGTTCAATAGCACACTAGGGTGATTATAGTTAATAATAATTTATTGTATATTTCAAAATACCTGGAAGAGAAGACTTGGAATGTTTTCCATACAAAGAAATGATAAATATTTGAGATGATGGATATCCTAGTTACCCCTATTTGATTATTATATATTATATGCATGCATCAAAATATCACACGAACTTCATAAATATGCAGTTATTATGTATCAACAAAAAGAAGAGTGAAACAAAATACGTACTCAATAAATATTTATTGCATGAATAAATAAATGAAGTAGAAAAATTAATGAACGCATGAATGAACTGAATGGACAGAAGCTTTGTGGGAGGCTTAGAGTACTTCACTTTGAATCAGGAATGATGATGCAGAGTATCAATATATGAAGTCCGGCTTCAGAAGAAATTAAAAATAATTGAGAAAACATTGCAGAAACATAAGAAAGGTTAAATAAAGATATGAGAATTAACTAGCTAAGTAATAATTTCAGGAAATGATAAACATTTTTTGCATTTGAAGTCATGTCATTTGATTGGGAAATGAATGTAGAAAAAGAAAGGACAGAGACATGTGGAGTGGCCACCACAACATTTTTAGAGATGAGGTTTGATAATACTTTTTTAAAAATTTCATGGATCATCAAGATCTTTTCCAAAGAGTCAAAATCATGAAGATTAAAACCACAAGTGTTTATTGTCTGATAATGCTATCAACCTTGATTTAAAATTTGCATGGAAATGCCATCAAAAAGGCTATCTTAAAGACATATGTCTGGGCCAGCCTAGCTGAAGATATTCCTGAGATTTATAGATTCTTTAAAGTCAAGGCAAACTATTCCAAGATACAAAGAAGCTTAAGATAGAAGGAGAAATGATATCTCAGCAGCACTCTCTCTCTGAGCCCAGGTCTCCTTACTTCTGGCTCTATAGGCATCAGAAGTTATCTAGAAAGTTGCTCAGCTTTGCTCTGTGTAAACACCTTGGGCTAAGTGACCCTCCCACATCTTTGTTTTACATTTATAAAAGAGAGGGTGTGATTAGTTTTTGTAGGCAGCAATTGGCAGAAAGTGGGTCAGTTGGTAAGAATTCTAATCAGTCACCTCAGAGGCAGTGAAAATGTCTCATGCTCAACCCAAAGATGGGAACTTTCTTTGATAACACAAAATTTAATTTGTTGTGGCCCCTTACAATGTCTCCAGGCATGTGTGATATCAACTTGGAAGAGGGGGTGAATTACTGGGACTTTTCCTTTAAAAAGGCACAGGGAAGCACAAAGACATTATCAATTTTTCTTTATGGGTAACGGTATGTTTTTAAAATAATTTCTTAGTTGCTTCTTACTAAAACCTTTATGTTGATCTGTTAAAACTTAAGACGATATAGAAGTCATATTCATCTGATAGAGGAGAATTATTGCACATAACTTTCAGGTCATACATAGCTAATGACTACATCATCCTGATGTTTCCCTCTTCTATGGACAAGAGAAAGTTTCTTTCTTCTGATTAGGAGAAATTGGTCATGAGGACTCAATAAACACAATAATAAAACAAAGCTATGTTATTGTCCTCTCGGTTCTTCAGTGTGAGAGAAATAAAAGATAACTTATTAGGAGCTAATGTTGATAGAAATCATTTCATTACCAAGATATGGAAAAGCAAATATATTAATAATTCCTTAATTAGAATTACGCATTGCTAGAAAGTTTGAGAATCCTGTGATTGAATTTTAACATCAAGTTGGTCTGAAATTACACAATAGTACTCAATCTCATAAAGATAATAATACAATAGTGCTCAATAGTACAATAGTATTCAATCTCATAATTTCAGACCAACAACCATCAGGTTGGTCTAAAATTACACAACAGTACTCAACTCATAAAGATACTAACAGCAAAACTTGGCTACAGAAGAATAGAAATAACCATGTATGGTTTTGCTGTGACTAATAATTAATAAGGGATAGTGAAGAAGATACATACTTTTATCTTTAATTTCTCTAAAACCATTCATACATGTAGACATGTAGAGTTTCACATACATATGCAGCTATTCCTGCACACCTGTATATATAATCTTTATAATTATTAAAACTATAATTAGCTATAGACGTTCAGTTTTAGTATTAAAGTTTACATTTTGAATTTTAAGAGATAGCAAGTAAAAAGGCATATCAACCTTTTCAAGCTGCCATGAAAAACGAATGAATGTATGAATGAACAACTATTATTCAAAGATAGCGACCACAAGTGAGGCCCTCATTGCCACCTGGTGGCAGCATACCCTAATTGAAGAATTAGTTTTTAAGTGAAATTGAGAAGCCTATACACATCAAGTGACGAAAGCCACATCACGTGAGATACATGACACACATGAGATAGTAGAGGGTCACAACCCCTGGTAATTTGAATGCAATACTTCTATTTTTATTTTCTACCTCAAGTAAAGGGGAGTAACACAACTCCCTGGTCACCACGGAGCATACTTTGGTTCCAGGCTGGATTCCCCACAGGCGATATTTAAGAGTGCTCATTTAATGAGCCACAAAGCTATTTTACCCATAAGGTCACCTGAAGCCTATTCAGTTGCCATATTGACTAAAAATGTTTTTTAAAAGTTTTATTATGTCATTCTATAGGCAGAGTGTAGTGAAAATAACGTTGGTTATCCATCTAGATCAGCAGCGTGTTCTAGGAATACCTATCCTTTACTTCTCAAAAATTCTCTGTAGTTCAATGAATTTGTGCACAAAATTATTTACAAAAGATTATTTTATTAAATTAATCCCAACACCTAGGCCACAATTCAGACCAATTATACTAGAATCTTTGGGAATGAAAATAGGCATTGATATTTTTGTTAACATTCCAATTTCCAGCCAGTGTTGAAATCATTGAACTGGAGTAAAGGCTGAAGCATAGGCCAAGGAAAGATAATTTTCCTATTTAAAATTAAGCAAATTTACAGCAAAGATCAATATAAAATCCAAGCATATATAAAATATACGAAACAAAAAAATGCCATCAGCGTCTATCCTTCAGTAATGAAAAATTACTCTTTCCGTTATTGAAGAGCAGTGGAAAGTAAACTAGCTTTAGCTGACAGCTTACTGTGGAGGAGCTTTCTGTTTACATTTCATGTAAGAACAATGTATTTAATCTTCCCCCACATCTTCACCCATACGGTAAGCAGACTGTATTATCCCCGTGCCCCTTACCGTTTCGGAAACTGAAGCAAAAATTGATTAATTAGCACAAGATCATGCAAGTTTTAAATAGCATAGCATGGATTTAAACTTGACTGTGTGACTCCATATCTTCAGTGACGGCTTGCTGAATTCAAATTGTTTGAGAAACAGAATAGCAGCCATCAGACATCCAAGGATCTCCCTTGATTCATGAACTGGATTCAAGAACTGGAATAAAGAGATACTTTACTTCTTTACAAGCCTTACAAACCACTAAGGCCAAGGGCCAAAGTCTTAACAGTAGCACTGTACCCTGATTCTAAGCTTGCAGTTGTAATTGATTCAACAGTAGGAATTTTCACTAGTACTTTACAGGTTTAGAGAGAGAAACTCGGTTCAATGATGCATCTGACTTGCCCTGTGTGTTTTCTCCTTGTTTACCCGCTGGCCTACTAAAAGAAATCTACTTCAAATGCAAAAAAGGTAGAAGGTCAGCTGATTAGAAGTTAAATAAGTCAAAGGCAAATTTTCAATGGAAAATCTTGGTAGAAAGAATGAATTTTTCAGCCATAATACAGACTACCCCAGTAGTTTCAAACTGAGGTCAGTCATGGTAGCTGGTTCACAGTGTCCTCTACTTTGGACTTCCCCTAGACACCTGAGCTGTTTCAGTTTTGCCTCCTGGGTATCTTCGTGATTTAATCAGTCAAATAGTAAAATAGGATTTACTCAGCTTCTACTCAGCCTCTACTTTTTTTTTTTTTTTTTTTTTTTTGAGACAGACTCTCACTCTGTCACCCAGGCTGGAGTGCAGTGGCGCGATCTTGGCCCACTGCAAACTCCACCTCCCGGGTTCAAGCCGTTCTTCTGCCTTAGCCTCCCGAGTAGCTGGGAGTATAGGCGCCCCCCACCATACCTGGCTAATTTTTTTTTGTATTTTTGATAGAGACGGGGTTTCACCATGTTAGCCAGGATGGTCTCGATCTCCTGACCTCGTGATCCACCAGTCTCGGCCTCCCAAAGTGCTGGGATTACAGGCATGAGCCACCGTGCCTGGCCAGCTTCTACTTATGTGTGCTTAATGTAGGTCCCTTCCACCATAAGTTTGCGCCTGGTGAAAAAAAAAAAAAACAATATATGCACATGTGCAAGTCTATTCATGACACTTCTGAGCTCAAAATCTCTACAGTGACTTTCTCTTGCTTTTAAAGAAAAAAATTGAACTCACAGCCGAGCATGCTAGCTCATGCCTATAATCCAAACACTTTGGGAGGCTGAGGCAGGAGGATTGCTTGAGCCCAGAAGTCTGAGACCAGCCTGAGCAACATGGTAAGACCCTGTTTCTACAAAAAATAAAAAAAAAAAAATAGCTGGGTATAGTCATCCACACCTGTAGTCCCAGCTAGTCAGGAGGCTGATTGCTTGAGCTCAGGAGGTCGAGGCTGAAGTGAGCTTTAATTGTGCCACTGCATGACTGCAGCCTAGGCAATAAAGAAAGACTTTGTTCCAAACAACAATAAAAAGATGAGATTTTTGACAGATTCTAAGACACTGCTTTTAGACTTGGGCCTTGCCTAGCCCTCTGAAGTCTTCTATCTCATCATCTTTCTTTCAGTTCTCTAAAAGTTTATTCTTCCCTCCTCAGGACCTTTGCCTATATCTTTCCCTCTTCCTAGAATTCAGTCCCAGCTTCCATACTTCTCTCAGGGTATCAATAACTGACTGCCATGTAACATGCCAACCCCAAACTCAATATATTATAACCACAGCTGTCTTATTAGCTCATGGTTCTATGGCCAGCAATTTGGGCTAGGATCAGCAGGATGGTTCTTCTGTTATTGCCTGGAATCACTTTTACAGCTGCAGATATTTGGCATCTGTAGTGGGGCTGAATAATCTAAGATGGCCTCACACAGTCGCTGCAGGCTGTCAACTGGTTGGACTCAGGGGACTCAGCTGCAACAGTTTTTCGCTTTTCTACCAGCCTCTCATCCACTAATAAACTAGACTAGACTAGACTTCTTCAGCTGGCAGTCTCAGAACAATATTCCAAGGGAGCAAGAGCAGAAACTTCCACTTTATCTGTTGGACACTGCAAGTCAAAGGCCAGTCCAGATTTAATGCATGGGGAAAGCAATTCTACCTCTTGGTGGATAAGCTGGTCATCTTTTATATACCACACCTGGCTAACTAACACTGACACTTCAGATGTCAGTTCCCACATCTCTTCTATAGGAGAACATTACTCTGAATCATCAGATATGATAAAATCCTATTATATGCTCTCAAATCACCCTGTTCATTTTCCTTATAGCATTGGTTTCATTTTACGAGCAAATTTTTGTGTGGTTATTTGATTAAATCTGGTTTCCCTCCTGAACTGTGAACTCCATGAGGGCAGGGACAAAGTCTGTATCTTCAGTGTCTACCATAAAGTAGGGCCCAGCATCAGGATTCCATAAGTGCTTGTTGACTGAACACATGAATGTGAAACTAAACTGGGAGGAAAGTGGTTTAGAAAGTTACTCTACCACTTCCTAGTTGTGGGACCTTCATTAAGTTACATAACCACTTTGTTATTCAGCTTTCACATAAGCAAGCTGAGTGTATTCACACATAGTAGGTGCCAATAAATGCCTTTGAAAGCAATATGAGGTTAGTCACTTAATAGTGAATGAAAATTGTATATTTTATCTTAATATATTTTTGGTGCATGAGAAATCACAGAAAAACAGGGAATCGTTAACTCCTATGTTGATTAACATTGGCACATTTATAAATACTGTTCTAACTACTCTTGTATCATTGTATTAGTCCATTTTCACACTGCTGATAAAGACATACCTGAGACGGGGCAATTTACAAAAGAAAGATGTTTAATTGGACTTACAGTTTCACATGGCTGAGGAAGCCCCACAATCATGGCAGAAGGCAAGGAGGAGTAAGTCATGCCTTACATGGATGGCAGCAGGCAAAGAGAGAGAATTTGTGCAGGGGAACTCCTCTTTTTAAAACCGTCAGATCTCATGAGACTTATTCACTATCACAAGAACAGCATGGCAAAGACTTGCCCCATGATCAGTTGCCTCCCCCCAGGTTCCTCCCACAACATGTGGGAATTCAAGATGAGATTTGGGCAGGGACACAGCCAAACCATATCAGTCATGTATGTATAAACAGGGGCAGAGCAAAGTAATGTATAGATTCAATGCTACTCCCATCAAGCTAACATTGACTTTTTTTGCAGCATTAGAAAAAAACTACTTTAAATTTCATCTGGAACCAAAAAAGAGCCCATATAGCCAAGACAATCCTAAGCAAAAAGAACAAAGCTGGAGGCATCATACTACCTGACTTCAAACTATACTACAAGGCTACAGTAACCAAAACAGCATGGTACTGGTACCAAAACAGATATATAGACCAATGAAACAGAGACCTCAGAAATAACACCACACATCTACAACCATCTGACCTTTGACAAACCTGACAAAAACAAGCAATGGGGAAAGGACTTTCTATTTAATAAATGGTGCTAGGAAAACTGGCTAGCCATATGCAGTAAACAGAAACTGAACCCCTTCCTTATACCTTATACAAAAATTAACTCAAGATGGATTAAAGCCTTGAATGTAAAACCCCAAACCATAAAAACCCTAGAAGAAAACCCAGGCAATACCATTCAGGACACAGGCATGGGCAGAGACTTCATGACTAAAGCATCAAAAGCAATGGCAACAAAAGCCAAAATTGACAAATGGGATCTAATTAACTAAAGAGCTTCTGTTCAGCAAAAGAAATTATCACCATAGTGAACAAGCAACCTATAGAATGGGAGAAAATTTTTGCAGTCTACCCATCTGACAAAGGTCTAATATCTAGAATTTACAAGGAACTGAAAACAAATTTACAAGAAAAAAATCAAGCAACCCCATCAATAAATGGGCAAAGGATATGAACAGATACTTCTCAAAAGAAGACATTTATTTGGCCAACAAACATATGAAAAAAACTCATCATCACTGGTCATTAGAAAAATGCAAATCAAAACCATGATGAGATACCATCTCACACCAGTTAGAATGGCAATTATTAAGAAGTCAGGAAACAACAGATGCTGGTGATGCTGTGGAGAAATAGGAACGCTTTTACACTGTTTGTGGGAGTGTAAATTAGTTCAACCATTGTGGAAGACAGTGTGATGATTCCTCAAGCATCTAGAACCAGAAATACCATTTGACCCAGCAATCCCATTACTGGGTATATACCCAAAGGATTATAAATCATTCTACTATAAAGACACATGCACACGTATGCTTATTGCAGCACTAATTACAATAGAAAAGACTTGGAACCAACCCAAATGCCCATCAATGATAAAGCAAACATGGCACATGGCATATACCATGGAATACTATGCAGCCACAAAAAATAATGGGTTCATGTCCTTTACAGGGACATGGATGAAGCTGCAAGCCATAATTCTCAGCCAACTAACACAGGAACAGAAAACCAAACACTGTGTGTTCTCACTCATAAGTGGGAGCTGAACAGTGAGAACACAAGGACACACAGAGAGGAACATCACACCCTGGGGCCTGTTGAGGGGTGGGGCGCGTTGAGGGGTGGGGCCCAAGGGGAGGGAGAGCATTACGACAAATACCTAATGCATGTGGGACTTAAAACCTAGATGACGGGTTGATAGGTGCAGCAAACCACCATGGCACATGTAACAAACCCGCAGTTCTGCACATGTATCCCAGAACTTAAAGTAAAATAATAATAATTTAAAAAAACAGGGCAGAGGTAAAATGGTAAAAAAATAAAATAAAATAAAAGACAGGAGCCTGAGGTCAGCCACCAACAGTCTTTGTAACCCTCAGGTGGCACATGTCTTTTTTTCTCATAGATGGAGAAAATTTCCAGGGTTAATCTACTATCTTGCCAAAAATACCCATGATTTGTCAGTTAATCCCCTGATATTCTTTGTGCTGGAAAATCTGTCAGAATGACCAAAAAGGCTTACATTCTACAGTCTATGAGAAACAAAACCACTGGGGTAGACTGAAATGAAATACAGTCATTAGTAGTAAGTTTGAGGTTGACTGCTCTTTAAAAAAAGAAACAGTTTTTTTTTTCTTCTGTTTTTCCAGTAGTGTCACTCTTCAGGGGCCCCTCTTTACTTTGTACTCTTTGACAGTCAGAAATATACCTACCCATTTCCAATTTCCTACTATTGTACTTGAAATATGGATTTCACATATTTGGGGTAATCACTTCATCAGTAAAGTTGGCCTTCGTAAGTTAAAAACACTCAAATTTTAGAAACTCAATGTTCTGTGGGTTACAAATGACTGCCCACCATGCTGTGGGGCATGACACCCTTTTGTAATTTCTGAAATACGAAGTACTATTTTTTCTTTAATGCATTCTCTCTTTTTAGTTTCTCCATCCTGTGATATGTCTGTCCAAAAGGACTTCCCAAAAACCACTGTATGGCAGAAAAGGTTTTCAAAATGCATGAGAGAATTATAGCAAAGAGAAATAACTCACACTAAAGTTTTTAAAATATCTCCGGACTATGGCTAGGAACTATTACTATGGCTAACAAGTGTAATTTCAGCATTTTGGGAGGCCAAGGCAGGCAGATCCCTTAAGTCTAGGAGTTTGAGACCAGCTTGGGCAATGTGGTGAAACCCCCCTCTGCAAAAAATACAAAATAATTAGCGGGGTGTGGTGGTGCACACCTGTGGTCCCAGCTACTCATGGAGGCTAAGGAGGGAGGATCACTTGAGCCCGGGAGGCAGAGGTTGCAGTGAGCTAAGATTATGCCACTGCACCCCAGCCTGGGAGACAGATTCTGTCTCAAAAAAAAAAAAAAAATCTCTGGACTATAAACTCTCATGAATCTAGCATTATTTGGATCAGAAATATATTCATAGGATAGACTGTGATGACAAATAAATCAAATTTGGGATGCCTCAACACAAGAAATATTTTTATGTATCATTATGTAACAGTCCAGGGAGGCTGAAAATAGAGTGTATGTTGCAGGTAAGAAATTTTGCTCTGCAGTCATTCAGGAATTGAAGCTGATAGTGATTCTGCCATCTTGAACATGTGGCATCGCTGTCTGTCTGGAGGGTGCCATCACAGTCAGCTAGAAGGGGAAAGGACACAGAGAAACACATATGGAGTGGCCACATCACTTCCATTCACATTCCACTGCCCAAAGCTCATGGCCACAATTAATTGCAAGAGAAGCTAGGAAATGCTATCTCTATATATACACGAAGGAAGAAGTGGAAGGTGGACTTTGGTAAACCGTATCTCATGTAAGAAAAATTAGGCTGGGCATGGTGGCTCATGCCTGTATTCCCAGCACTTTGGGAGGCTGAAGACGGTGGATCAACTGAGGTCAGGAGTTCAAGACCAGCCTGACCAACATGGTGAAACCCCGTCTCTCCTAAAAATACAAAATTAGCCAGGCATGGTGGTGCATGCCTGTAGTCCCAGCTACTGGGGAGGCTGAGGCAGAAGAATTGCTTGAACCCGAAAGACGGAGGTTGCAGTGAGCCAAGATTGCGCCATTCCACTCCAGCCTGGGCAATAAGAGTGAAACTCTGTCTCAAAAAAAAGAAAAGAAAAAAGAAAGAAAGAAAAATTAAAACTTTCAATAAGAGAATATTATTCTTCAGTATTATTTTCCATCACTTCCCAAAGTGATGCTTAACTTCCTGCTAGACCAGCTTTCATGCTGATCTCAAAACACAGTGTTCTTCCAGTCTGTCTCATGCTCTCCCATATCTGCAATCTTTGCTCTGCACAGTGGTAAGGACCATTTTTCTAATTCTATATTCTTGAATCACTCCCAGTTATTCCCTGGATAGAGTAATATGAGGCATGGTGTCTCTCTGAATTTCTTTCTTTATCTCTAAAATGGGAATACTACTAATATCAACCTCATTGTTGATACGTATTAAATGTAGTTGACTTCATATATGTAAAGCACTTAGTATAGTGAACGTGTCTGAATTATTGTTCTATAACCTTACCTTCCATGATTCTATCTAATACACATCCCAACTCAGTGATACACAGTGTCAATGACAGAAACATAATCAGCAAGAATAACAATCACTTATGCAGTGCTTCCTATGTGCCAGAAACTGTGAGATAATAAATGTTTGTTTTTGTTGTTTTAAGACACTAAATTTTAGGGTGATTTGTTACATAGTAGCAGATAAAGTGGTAAGAGGTTATGTCTACTCTGTTTAACTGTTCTGGGCCTAGTTTCCTACAGTCTCTAATGTTTCATCTGTAAAATGACGACAATTCCCCTTTTATCCATTTGTTACAATTACATTAAAGTATTACCTTAGACTAAGACACATGTTACAAGGGATATGAAAGTGTTTCACTCAATGCCCAGCACATGGAAGATATTTAGTAAATATTTCCATAATACTTCTGCTGCAACAAATCACACAGCTCTCTCCTCACTACCAGCTTGGATTTCTAGCAATGGAGAGAGTTTCTTTAATGAATTCCTACACATAATTATAAGATCCTACATAGGTTGCTATCCAAGAAAATTAAGGAAAAAATCATTTCTACACTAATTCTCAGCATGCCTGAGCAGCTTACAAAGGAAGCTCTTTCCACGTGTCAGTGTCACACTCCAGGATTTTAATGTCCCATTTCTGAGAAACCATTCCAAACTGCGGTAAATGCAGTCCAAATGTATAAGGACTTGGTACATTGGTAACAAAGCACATGCAAGAAAAATATGCAAACTCAGGAAAAATGCAAATTTGAAACAGTAAGTGATTTCACTTGGTCATGAAATACCCCAGGGAGTGCACCAGGGCAGTGATTTATTAAGAGAACTTTTAGAAGTAAGTGTACAACCCCAAGCGCTCTGTGGGTTTCTATAAGACCCCACTTTTACAATTGGGAGAGACTAAATTCTCTTGGGCCTTTAATTATCTGTTCTTAAAAACCTAAATAATAAACATTGCAAGCACTCAGCCAGTTCATAATTATTTTCATGACAGTGACCCTCTTGGGGTTTTGCTGATTGGTCCTTACTTAGAAGGTGTAAATAGAGTAGGCAAGTAAGAAAAACAAAGCATAAAAGAGGCAGTGCATCTCTCTGCTTGAGGAAAACTCACTTTGGACAGCACCTTGAATGCTATCAGGGAAGCTAGAGTGTTCTCCTGTTCTTTGCTGTCCTTGCCAGTGTCTTCTCCTGAACTCACATCAGAAGCATGCCTTCAAGGGGAAAATGCAACAATAGTAATATTAATAATAATGAGTGAAGTGTATTAAGCACTTTTGTGCCAGTACTGTTCTCAGACAGGCAAACAGACTATTTTTCACAATATTTCACAAATGAGGAACAGAAAAGTTAATAACTTGACCAAAGTCTTACAGTAAGCAGGTGGTACCAGCAGGGTTCTAACCCAGGCACTCCAATTCTAAGGTCAACTTTGTTAGTGTTATCTAAAAAAGAAAAGCAATAATAAATTATCCACAAGAAAATTTTACAACTCAAGTTTTTCATACTCTTTAAAAAGGCATTTTTTCACATGTACTCTCATGTTCTATGATTAGACCTAATCATTGTCACTTCACGGCTAGAGAAACTAAGACCAGAAGAGCTTCCAGATCTTGACTAGCACCACTCAATGAGTGGGATGACCAGAACCCTGTACTGATCATGCAAACTTCACCACATAACAGCTTGTGATATTGAGTGAGTTGTTTCACCTATACGACCCCTCTAAACCAATTTATTAATCTAGAAAATGGGAATAATAGCAATTTCTATGTAATAAGTTGTTGGAGCACAAGATAAAGTTATATGTATAAAACATTTAGCACAGTTCCTGGTGCATAACAGGTCTGTAGTAAATATTTGTTGTAATTAGCAGCAAAATCATCTCCCTCATTACTGCAGTTGATTTTCCTTTATTATTGGAAAGAAATTTCTCAACTGAGTTTCAGTTGAATACAGTATTAGATTATTCCTTAACTGAGTTTCAGCATTTTAAATGTATACTCCCTACTCAAAACTACCTACTAAATCACGCCTGTAATTCCAGCACTCTGGCAGGCCAAGGCGGGTGGATCATGAGGTCAGGAGATCAAGACCATCCTGGCTAACACGATGAAACCCCATCTCTACTAAAAAATGCAAAAAAATTAGCCAGGCGTGGTGGCTGGCACCTGTAGTCCCAGCTACTTGGGAGGCTGAGGCAGGAGAATGGTGTGAACCCGGGAGGCAGAGCTTGCAGTGGGCCGAGATCGTGCCACTGCACCACAGCCTGGGCGACAGAGTGAGACTCCGTCTCAAAAACAAACAAAAAAACACAAAAATCTACCTACTAAAAAGAAGTTCTTCAATGCTTAGACTTTGAGCAAAGAAAAAGTCTGCTCTAACAGGAAGCTGGTGATATAGAAAGGTAAAGTTTCACTTCACAGGCACTTTGATTTCCCTTCGAGGTGGATACTGAATGATTTGTGTGTGCGCACATTTTTCTATGCATTATTCAAAATTAAAATTCCTTAGAGGAAACCACTGAAAGCCAATCATTTACAAAACTTTAAAAATGACATCTTGAAGAGTTCTTTGGTGCTCATTCATCAAACTTAGCAATGATTTAACTGTAATTCTTTATTCAGATTCATCTCCCACAAAATAAAAATGCCATAAAGCTTTACAGTACTGTATCCTAATGAATAGAGAAACTAAAGAAAAAGTAAGATGAGCAAGTGAGAGGAAAACCCGAAAATGAGCCTGTCCTGGCATGTTTCTAAAAAGAAAGAAACAAACAAACAAGCAGCCCCTCCTCTCAGCTCTTGGGAAAGAAATATTGAATCTTGACAATATCTGCACTTCATAGTTGATTCATAGCATGACCTATCTCAAACAATTTAAGATTCAAATGAAGTTTGCAATTAATCTTTCGATATCACTTTGCAAAACATTCTCATAACCTTATCCAGCCCTTTTACAAATCAATCCTGTGAGGTGAACATCACTGTGTTCCCATTTTACAGAGAAAGGCACTGAGCCACAGAGAGGTTATATACTCATGATCAATAAGCTGGTAAGACTAAGAACCAGGAATGATACTGTCTTCCTTCTCCAAATATCCTGTTCTTTATTATGAGTACCTAAACAGTATTAAAAATTAATTACAGCTCAACAATAGTAAGTAAATGTCCTCATGTGAAATCCACCGTTTAAAACTTAAGGTTATCTATTTATCAAATAAATTAAATCCTACTCACTTAACAATATTCATTGAGCTCATTCTGTAAACAACCATTAGGCCAGGGGCAGATATGAAATATGAGGCTCAATCTGTGATCACAGAGATGAAATATACAATTTAGAGAGAGAAAGATAAGCATGATGACAAATAAATAATGTATGAAAATTAGCCATTATCTTAGGCCAACTTTTTCTAAGCTGTAAGCTGTCTGCCTACTTCTGCCAGGTGTTAGTAATTGTTTTAAAAAGTGGGGGAAGAAGAGTACTTCATGGTGGGAAGATATTCATTGAGGACATAAGCATCTTCCTCTTAGAAATTAACAATGCACAGTGGCCTATTGCAAGTTTTGAAAGCCCTGCAAACAATAAAAGCCTGATTAGTTTTTATTGAATCAGTATCTCCTAAACACTTTTTCATGAAACAAGGTTACTCACAAATCTTGTCGAGGAACTAATGTCCTAGGAAAGTGGTTTTCAAGCTTGAGCATGTACATAAGTATCATTGGAAAGGTTGCAAAAATACAAATGTGTGGGCTCCACTCCAGAAATTCTGATTGAAGTGGTCTCATCTGTCATCTGAGAACTTGCATTTTTGTCAGATTCCTAGCTGATCTGATGTTTCAGGACTGAGAACTTAATTTGAGTAGTATCTCTACAGAACAGTTTTTAAAATGTTCTCCTGGAGTAGGATGATTATACTTAACAAAAATGTAATACACTCAGGTGATGGACACCCTTAGTATCCTGATTGGATCACTACACATTATATACATGTAACACATTTTCTCAAGTACCCCATAAATTTGCACAAATAAATAAATAAATAAAATTATACTTTTCTCAAATAAAAAAATAAAATAAATGTTCCTCTTGAATGGTAGAATCTTTGTTTTTTTGTGATAATCATAAATACATATAAATATTCTCATCATTACATGCATGTAGTTACCTTCCTTTACATGATGCACCAGAAAGAATACCCACTCTAAGAAGGAAAGAATGAAGAGAAGAAGGCATTGTTTAAAAGACCTATTATTAGAATAAGTCAAATTCTATGTCTACCATTATTAAGCTGTTTGACTTTGAGCAGGGATTGGAAGGCATTTTAAATTGAGGTGGAGATATGCACAAAGCCACGTGGGAAATGTCATGTGTCCCTGCATAAAGAGAACAAGCTATTTTGCTTGGTTGGAGATGAGGAGACAGAGGCTGTACATAAGAATGTGTTCAATTTAAAGCAACAAAATATATCGACCAAACTACTTTGAGCAATCAAGGGGATATATTGGCTCACATCACTGAAATATATACTGGCACAGCAGATTTCCAGTTAGGTCTGATCTGCTAGCTCTGTCCCCTCCAGAATACAGGCTCCAGGCAGGCAGGAAGGAAGAGGACATCAGTTCTCTTGGTGTCTAGCACGCTGCCTGTATTAAGGTAGGTCCTCAATAAATTCATGTTGTAGGAAATGAATGCATGTTCTCAAAGATGCGGTTACTTTCAGTATCACTGCTTTCCTCATGGTTTCCACTTCAATATTAGTCTAACTTGCCTTAGGGACCCAAGATGGCTGCTATTCACTTCAATTAGCTAAACACTTCTCTTTTCATGGCTGTGAGAGACTAGCTACCTCTTCCATAAATGAATTTTCTCTTCTTTCTGGGCACAATAGTCTCTATTTCCCAGCCTCTTTTACAATTAGGTGTATCCATGCAACTCAGTTCTAGCCAATGGCGTGTGAGTAGTAGTGATATCCACCACTTGCAGACCTACACATAAAGGCTCCCAGACACATCTTCTGTGCTCTTTACTGGAACACTTGCTTGATTCCAATAAATACAGCAACCTTAGCAGCTACATATTGCAGTTGGCAGAGCTTTCATGTTTCAGCTTCTTCATATTTTTTAGTTTTGTTGTCACTGTTGGTTTTTTTTTTAATTGATTCAGGAGATGACCTAATAAAAAATTGAAGAAAAATAAAGCATTTTGTTCTGGATTTCTCATTAGGAACATGAGGTTTACTCTATTGCAACTGGCTTAGTTCATATGATCATCCCCTGAGGTGAGGGAAAAAGATGCGTGAATTGATTAAGCCAAGGTCACATGGTCGAAATGTAGAATTGGGTTTTGAGGTCAGTTTCCCTAAATCACCCAGATATCCAAGTGGAAATCAGGCTCCATTGACAAAAGGGAACAGTTCTTAGAAATGCAACTACAAATGTCCAATCCCAGTTGGCAAGTTCGAAGCAAGGAAGGGCTTTCCATTAAAGAATGTGGATGCTACCTGGTGGGCAACTGGAGGCCACTGGCATATATTTTTTTTGGGGGGGGTTTCATAAACTATTGGTTTTTTTAATTATTATTATACTTTAAGTTTTAGGGTACATGTGCACAATGTGCAGGTTAGTTACATATGTATACGTGTGCCATGCTGGTGTGCTGCACCCATTAACTCATCATTTAGCATTAGGTATATCTCCTAATGCTATCCCTCCCCCCTCCCCCCACCCCACAACAGTCCCCAGAGTGTGATGTTCCCCTTCCTGTGTCCATGTGTTTTCATTGTTCAGTTCCCACCTATGAGTGAGAACATGCGGTGTTTGGTTTTTGTCCTTGCGATAGTTTACTGAGAATGATGATTTCCAATTTCATCCATGTCCCTACAAAGGACATGAACTCATCATTTTTTATGGCTGCATAGTATTCCATGGTGTATATGTGCCACATTCTCTTAATCCAGTCTATCATTGTTGGACATTTGGCTTGGTTCCAAGTCTTTGCTATTGTGAATAGTGCCACAATAAACATACGTATGCATGTGTCTTTATAGCAGCATGATTTATAGTCCTTTGGGTATATACCCAGTAATGGGATGGCTGGGTCAAATGGTATTTCTAGTTCTAGATCCCTGAGGAATCGCCACACTGACTTCCACAATGGTTGAACTAGTTTACAGTCCCACTAACAGTGTAAAAGTGTTCCTATTTCTCCACATCCTCTCGAGCACCTGTTGTTTCCTGACTTTTTAATGATTGCCATTCTAACTGGTGTGAGATGGTATCTCATTGTGGTTTTGATTTGCATTTCTCTGATGGCCAGTGATGATGAGCATTTTTTCATGTGTTTTTTGGCTGCATAAATGTCTTCTTTTGAGAAGTGTCTGTTCATGTCCTTTGCCCACTTTTTGATGGGGTTGTTTGTTTTTTTCTTGTAAATTTGTTTGAGTTCATTGTAGATTCTGGATATTAGCCCTTTGTCAGATGAGTAGGTTGTGAAAATTTTCTCCCATTTTGTAGGTTGCCTGTTCACTCTGATGGTAGTTTCTTTTGCTGTGCAGAAGCTCTTCAGTTTAATTAGATCCCCTTTGTCAATTTTGTCTTTTGTTGCCATTGCTTTTGGTGTTTTAGACATGAAGTCCTTGCCCATGCCTATGTCCTGAATGGTAATGCCTAGGTTTTCTTCTAGGGTTTTTATGGTTTTAGGTCTAACATTTAAGTCTTTAATCCATCTTGAATTAATTTTTGTATAAGGTGTAAGGAAGGGATCCAGTTTCAGCTTTCTCCATATGGCTAGCCAGTTTTCCCAGCACCATTTATTAAATAGGGAATCCTTTCCCCATTGCTTGTTTTTCTCAGGTTTGTCAAAGATCAGAGAGTTGTAGATATGTGGCGTTATTTCTGAGGGCTCTGTTCTGTTCCATTGATCTATATCTCTGTTTTGGTACCAGTACCATGCTGTTTGGGTTACTGTAGCCTTGTAGTATAGTTTGAAGTCAGGTAGTGTGATGCCTCCAGCTTTGTTCTTTTGGCTTAGGATTGACTTGGTGATGCGGGCTCTTTTTTGGTGCCATATGAACTTTAAAGCAGTTTTTTCCAATTCTGTGAAGAAAGTCATTGGTAGCTTGATGGGGATGGCATTGAATCTATAAATTACCTTGGGCAGTATGGCCATTTTCACGATATTGATTCTTCCTACCCATGAGCATGGAATGTTCTTCCATTTGTTTGTATCCTCTTTTATTTCATTGAGCAGTGGTTTGTAGTTCTCCTTGAAGAGTTCCTTCATGTCCCTTGTAAGTTGGATTCCTAGGTATTTTATTCTCTTTGAAGCAATTGTGAATGGGAGTTCACTCATGATTTGGCTCTCTGTTTGTCTGTTGTTGGTGTATAAGAATGCTTCTGATTTTTGTACATTGATTTTTATATCCTGAGACTTTGCTGAAGTTGCTTATCAGCTTAAGGAGATTTTGGGCTGAGACAATGGGGTTTTCTAGATATACATGTCATCTGCAAACAGGGACAATTTGATTTCCTCTTTTCCTAATTGAATACCCTTTATTTCCTTCTCCTGCCTAATTGCCCTGGCCAGAACTTCCAACACCATGTTGAATAGGAGTGGTGAGAGAGGGCATCCCTGTCTTGTGCCAGTTTTCAAAGGGAATGCTTCCAGTTTTTGCCCATTCAGTATGATATTGGCTGTGGGTTTTTCATAGATAACTCTTATTATTTTGAGATACGTCCCATCAATACTTAATTTATTGAGAGTTTTTGGCATGAAGAGTTGTTGAATTTTGTCAAAGGCCTTTTCTGCATCTATTGAGATAATCATGTGGTTTTTGTCTTTGGTTCTGTTTATATGCTGGATTACATTTATTGATTTGCTTATATTGAACCAGCCTTGCATCCCAGGGATGAAGCCCACTTGATCATGGTGGATAAGCTTTTTGATGTGCTGCTGGATTTGGTTTGACCACTGGCATATTTTAAGCATGGGAGTAACACTGTCAGGTTTTTTAAATTACAAAATGCTTTAGCATAGAGAAAATTATAAAGAACAATATAAGTAACAGATATGCACTCACTATCCTGCTTAATCAAATGTCACACTTTGCCAAGCTTGATTCAAATTTTTTAAAGCAAAGAAACATTACAGATATGGCTGCAACATCCTATGTGCCCCACCGCTGATACATACCTCTCTTCCCAAGGGTAACCACTTTCTGACTTTGATACTTATCATTCCCAGGCATGATTAAATGCTATTGCTGAATTTGCATATATACATAAATAATATATACAGTTGTTTGCATGTTCTAAAACTTTGCATTAAATAATATCAAATAATTAAAAATTTTCACAAATTGCATTTTTAACTCAGTCTTTTATAAGATTGCCAATAATGATATCTCTTCAGATCATTCATTTTGACTATTATATTATTTTTCATTGTATGACTATGCCATGGCTCACTTATCCATTCTGTTATTGATAAACATTTGTGTTGTTTCCACAATTTTGCTATTAAAATAATGGCATTGTGAACATTCTTGTGTGTATATCACTGTGTACACATGCTAGAGTTTCTCTAATGTATTATGGTGTATATTGCTGGGCCAAAGGCTATGTAAGTCTTCAACTTCCCTAGATGTCATACCAACTCATACATATATGACCAGTGTGAGCATTCTCAGTGCTCTACATTGTCCAGATTCTACATGAAGCACTGGTGGCCTATTGGTCAGGTTGACTGATATTAGAAGGTTATTGCCAAAGTCTATGTGAGAGAGACTGAGGGTCTGAAATACCTAGATGTAAGGGATATAAAGTGAGAGAGGAAAGAAGTTAACATATTTAGGAGCAAAATCCACATGACTTTGTGATTGATTATGGAGAAAATAAGGAGAAGAAGGGAACAGGAAGACTCTCAAGTCTCCAGATTGAACACAAGAGGAAGCTTATGTGCCGTGAGACTGATGACAAATTCCTTTTGAACATAGTGCCTTTGAGGGCTTGGTAGTAAAAAAGAAAGCACTATCCATCAGGCATTTGGATATTTAGGTCTGGAAGACTGAAAAGAGATCAAAACAGAAAATACAAATTATAGAATCATCGAGATGGGTAAAATCAGAAGAGTTGGATCAAGAAAAGTACCTAGAATCAGTAGAGAAGTGAGTTAAGAAAATATCTCTGGGAAACATTAATATTTAAAGGTATATAAAAGGAAGAGAAGACTGTGGAGAAGACAGAGACTGAAGAAGGAGACAAAATGTGTCATACTGTAGTAGCCAGAGGAATAGAGCTTCAAAGAATGAGTGGTCAACCACATTAAACACAGCTAGAAAACCAAGAAGGTAAAGAAATGAAAATTAAACATTAACATACAATGAAGTTATTGAGTCCATGTTAAAATGGTTTCAATGGAATAGCATCAATGGAAATAATTGCAATTAGTAAAAGAATTTTAGAAAAAGAAAAAATTAATACAGCTAACTTTCTCAAATTAAATTTTTTGAAAATAAAACAGTGAGATGGAATTCGAGTGCAAGATGTTTGTTGAAAATCAACACACATGAAAGGAAAGAGAGTGAACCTAAAAAAATTGGCTCCAGAGTCTATTAATGTAAAGACTATGTTATATTGTCTCTCTATCTTTAGGGAAACATATACCCAATTCATCTTGTGTCACCAGAATCAGATTCATCAAACCCATTCTGGACCACTCTGATCACTAGTTTCACCCTCACAGTCATAGTAAAGAAACTAAAGCAAAAGACTACAAGAGCAAAGGACAGAAAGGGAAATGTTATTTTCTCCCCTCACCTTTGCCCTCTTTGATTTTCTCCATTGTTGCTAAAAGGAACACTTAGAAAACTATGAAAGAAACTTCTGCCTGTAAATGCAGCTCCATGATTATGAATTCTGAATCCTTGTAACAGAAGAACCAATAGGACTGATCCATGACTTCTATTAGTAGAGACTGGGAAGGTAGGTGACTTTAGCTCACCAAGCCTGATCACAGCAAAATAGAAAATGATCACAGTGTCCCCTTTTTATCCTGGGGTAACAATGAACATTCAGTGGGAGCCAACTACTGTATTAAAGTCCTGGGTGCAGCTCCTGGCACATGACATGGCCCACAAGGTAGTAGTTCTGAGTACCCTTGCCTATCAGTGGTGCTGGGGCGAGAAGGGAGGGCAGCCTGCTCACTAGGGAGAGCAGGAATGAGGCTAGGAAGTACAGGGACCTGGCAAAGATGTCTCCTGTTTGAGAGAGACTTCAGTTAATGTTCAGTCAACTTCCTGTGGTGCTAAGAAGTGAAAGTTGAACTTGACTATCAAGGAACAGAGGCAGGTTGTTAGCTGGGCCCCTGGGAGGAAGTCAACAAGCTCCACCACATCTGACAACACCTACTGCTTGCAGCCCTTCCCCCAGGTCAGGCAGCTGCACACCTCATGCTTCCAACTGAGGGGGAATGAATGGGTACCAAGAGTAGGTGAGTCTACTTCTTTCCCAGGGGTGAGTAGCGGGTGAAGAAATCAGCATGTAGTGGACATTTACATGTGCCGGATACCTCATATATGCAGTGTGGTATCATTATCCTCACTGTGCAGATGAAGACACTGAGGCTCAGGGACTTGTTCAAGACACACATCTGGTCAATAGGGAGCCAGGATTCAAAATCACGTCAGTCTAGTACTCAAGTCCTCTGTTCTTTCCACGACTACATTAGATGTATCCCTAGATAGTCTAGGTGTAACAGCATGAGTCTCCCATGAAAGGAAGTGGGGGCTCTTGGAACATACCTCTTTAGGAAGCCTTCCATCATTGTGCTGCCTTCCTCCTCTGTGCAGCCTCAGCACTCACTGTTGAGCCCTTCTCTAGGAGTTTGCAATCTACGGGGAGTGATGGGCACATAAGGAAATAATTTCAATGTAGTATGGCAAATGCTGAGCTAGATAAATGCGCGAATGACTATGAAGAACAGAGGATTGGGGTCACCTAACTCAACATGAGACTCATGGAAGTCTCCTGAGGAGAAACCTCTGAGTCCTAGAGAGTGAGAATTGGCCAGAAAAATTAAGAAGGGGCAGGGAATTCCAGAGAGAAGTAACAGGTAAACAAAAGCAAAGAGGCATAAGATAGTCTGGAGTCTGGTCAAATTACAATCAGTTGGAAGTAGTAGAGAATAAAATACAAAGTGGAGAGAGGGGAGAAGTAAAGCTGAATAGATAAACAGGGTCAGCTTACAGAGGGTCCTATGCAGGCTAAATTCCAGATGCTGCTATAAAAATACAGGAAAGAAAACTCATGAAATATTTTAAGATTTTTGTGGAATATTTTAAGAGCTTTTGTGAACATCTCATGAAGCACTCCTGTGTTTGGAGGCAGCACTGGCAGCAAATCAAACATAATAAAAGGTCTGTACATCAAACATTGACACATTTATTCAACAAGCACATATTGAGCACCTACTATGTGGCAGGAACTCTCTTCATCAGCAAGTATTTTGGCACTAAATAAAACACAGAACACACCGCCCTCTTTGAAATGACAATAAAGAAAATAAGTGAATTATATATTATCTCAGCAGATATTGCATGGTATATGGAAAGCATATCAGGGAAGGGGGTGTAAAGTGTCATGAGAGGAATTACAATATTAATAGGATGTTAAGACAGCTCCTACTGAAGCCATGTTTAAACAGACACTTGGAGGAGAGGAGGGAGTTGGCTAAGTTGATATTTGGGGTAAGGCATTCCAGGAAGGGGGATCAGCCAGTTCAAAGCCCTGGGGGGTGGGGGCTGTGCTTGGCATATTTGAGGAGTGGTAAGGAGGCCAGTGTGGCTGGAACAGAATGATCAAAGAAAAAGGTGGTAGTAAATGAGGTCAGATAAACAGTAAGAGACAAGGGATTTTTAGGTCATCTAGAATTTAGATTTTTTCCTGAGAGGGCAGAGGAGCCACGAGAAAGCTCTGAGATGAGGATGAGATGATCTAATTCAGGTTTTAACTGGATAGTTCAGAGCAAGAGTGGGGGCAGGGAACCAGTGAGGAGACTGTGGCAATAATCACGAAAAGTGGTGCAGCGGCTTGGACCAGGGAGTTAGCAGTGGAAGCAGAGAGAAGTGACAACACTCTGCATATGGGAAAGGGTGGGCAGGAGAGAACAGTGCCCAAGATGATCCAGTATTTTGGCCTGAGAAGCTGGGGAAAAAGAAACAACAACAACAACATCAGTGGAAGGGGTTTCAGGGAGTCCAGGTGTTCTGGTTGCAGCTTTGTTTTGCCTTAAAAATATTTGAGTACGTAACTAGTAATGGGATTGCTGGGTTGAATGGTAATTCCGTTTTTAGTCCTTTGAGAAATTGCCACAGTGCTTTCCTTAGCAAACTAAGGCAGGAACAGAAAACCAAATGCCACATGTTCTCACTTGTAAGTGGGAGCTAAATGATAAGAACTCATGAACACATAGAGGGGAACAAGAGATACTGAGGCCTACCTGAGGGTGGAGGTTGGGAGGAGGGAGAGGATCAGGAAAAATAACTAATGAGCACTAGGCTTAATACCTGGGTGATGAAAGTATCTGTATAACAAAGTCCTGTGACGTGAGTTTCCCTAGGTAACAAACTTGCACATGTGCCCCTGAACTTAAAATAAAACTATATACATATATATACATATTAGAAAGAATTATACTTTTGAGTTTTAATAGCACATTTTCTGTAAGATTTTGCAATTTAAACTTCACTATATTTTATATAAACAATTAAGAGTTGAGTTGACCTTGATATTACATATTACAGATATTTTATTAACATCTATTAATTTTTAATTATTTGATTTTTTCAAAATTTCAAATAATATACCTATTTTTCAGATTTCAGGCAGGCCATTGAAAAGCTCCTAGTTCTAATTACTGTTCCTGTAATGCTTTATGAATATAACAGTCCGGCCTTTCCTCTTAGAGTTTGCAGTCTAAGGTAGAGAAATATAATAAAAGAAAATGCATGAATTTTTAACTAATATGGTGTGGGTTCTAAAGCTCAGATAAATTATTTCGTTTAGTTCTCACAACAACCCTCTGATGCAGGCACTATTATTTCCCCCATTTTAATAATGAGGAAACTGAAGCACAGAGAGCTTGGTTGACTTGCCCAATATTACCACACTCTGTGTGGCTAAGCTGGGATTTGAACCAAGAAAACTCTCTTCCCATAGGTCGTTGAAAAATTATGAAAGGTTAAGCCACCTCTCTGCTTGTGTTGCCTATTTCCACCATGTGAGTCCAATGTGTGGTGACAGAGAAGGGTAGATGTTTGGCATCTGTGAATTCTGTGGATTGTGTGTCATGATTCTTTATTTCTGTCCTCTGTATCCTGAATTGCCACTACCCTGAGCAGGTGATAAGAGTAAAATTCCATTACATTGGTCTTGAGGGGATGGGCAAACACTTTGGACTCTCTTGATATTCTAGTTATTAAATATTGCTCAGCGTAAGTTAGACAATGAATGAGACTTGTTGATGTTTTCATTTCAATTTGTCTTATAATGATCTGTGCTCAACATGTAAAACCAATAGATGTAACACCTTTGGAATATTTCTGAGTAAACATGGGGCACCAACTCAAAGAGCAAGAGGTAAAAATGCCTAGTGTGGATCAAAATCTACTCTATGACAGGGAATCTCATGGGCTCTGAAGGATTCTGGTCACATAGGGAGTAAATAGCAGACTCTCAATTCAGAGTCAGATGTGAGTTCACACGCAATGTTTTGGGACTTCATCCTGTCTTTTCCCTGCTCTGGGAGTCATAAGAATTAAGTTCTAATCCTAATTCTGTTGTTATCTACCTGAGTGACACTAATTAGATATATAACTTCTCTGAGGCTCGACATTTACATCTACAAATAAAGAAGGCTAGAATACTAAAGCCTCTTCTATTTCTTCCAATTATTGATTGTATCGGCTCTTACTCTATAAATGGTTTCTTCTATTTTAGGGAAATTAATTATTTTGTTCTTATGGTGTTGCTGGACCTGTTGCTTTTCATTGCTGTAATTACTTCTCTTTGTTGAAGACCTTTGCCAGACGAAATGTGATGGGTGTATAAGGCTCTGGCATTTTGCCCAGGTCTGTAGCACATAGAATTCCACTAATGGGTCTGCTGGGCATCTGAGACCACAGAGCCATTTGTCATAACATGACAATTCCAGTTGGGCAGGGATAAATGTTAGCTTTAACGATTTTGGACCAGAGTTTGTCTAGAGAGAGAGCAGAGTACAAAGCCAAAAGCATCATCTTTAGAGCTAAGCAGGCATGAGTTCAAATCCCAACCCAGCCACTTACTAGATATGTAGCCACAGCCACCGCCAAGTCTCAATTTAAATGTCACTTTCTCAAACAGGCCTCCTAGGGTCTCCCACGTTGGCTTAGTCCAGAATACTGGTTTATCCTTACGGTATAAAATTTATTCCATCATTATGCACCAGTATTTAATAAATGCTGAGGAATGTGGAACAAATATTTGTTAAATAAAAAGTGACTTAATCCTTCTCTGTCTCAGTCCTCACTTCAGTGAAGTGGGCAAAAGGGTAGAACAAGTTTCCTGTGCAAAAAGAATCAGGTCAAAGTGCCCTAGAAATAGCAAACACTGTCACAACCCTAGATAGCATGATTACAATCTGAAATAAACTAGTTCAAAAAGCAAATCTCAGACTCAAGTGGGGCTTTTTCTAGTTTAGAACTTGGAGTTAGAAGAAGAAAGAAGGGGGCTAAAGTGTGCTGCGTGTCTAGATGTGCCAGGCACTGTACGTAATAGAATGTCACACATTTAATATTTGTCTAAAAGTGTGAAAGTGTGAATTTCCATAAGAGGGACACAGGTTCTTGGTAAAACCAAGGTTTGCTCTAACTTTTCACACACTTTGGCAGACGGTTTTGCCTTTTTCTCCTAAGTTGGAACTTTTGAGGCCATTACTGCCAGGAGGGAAAAGTTAGTGATGCTTATCTATGTTCAGAACTAGAAAATGGCCCCTTCTGGTCCCCAGTTTGGCCCCATTGTTATTCACATGCTGCCTATAAAAAGACAAAACCTCCAGAAGGTGGAAAAGATGAATATGCAGAATGCTACACATAGATACTCATGTAGGTGAGATGGCGAACACAGCAGATTTAGGTCTACCAATAAGATACTACCCCATTTGGGATGACACACCTTCCTTAGAAGTGACAGTGGCAGAACATAGACAAAGGGACTAATTAAAAGTATGTGGGTTCTGCAGATTGCATCTGGAGTAAGAGTCCAGTGATCTAAATTGTAGGCCAAGGCCTCTTGCTTGCTAACATCCTCTGTCTGCCTCAGTTTTCTTACCTGCAAAATGGATCACTGAACATCACATTTCTCTTTATTAATTTATTCATTCACTGAAGAAGCAAGCTGTCAAAAAGCAACTGCTACATATGTCAAGAAAGATGCCAGATGCTAAAATAAAATACAAAAATTTGATTACTACAAATTGCTACCATCGAGGAGTCATAGTCTAATGAAAGAGAAAAACATGAGAGTGAATAATGAAGTCAGCAAAAAGTTCAAAAGAAAAATAAATAAAAGGCATAGATATTAAAAATGAAGAAGTAAAACTATCTTATTCAGAAAGGATATGATTATGTACGGAGAAAATCCCAAAGAATCTACAACATCAGACTCATCAGTGAATCTAGCAAGATCACTGGATACAGTTTATATATAAATGTTATCAATAATTGTATTTCTGTGCCTGACAACAAAAAATTGAAGACAACTTTTAAAACAACAATGTTTATAATGACACCGAAAAATATCAAATTAGAAGTTCATGTAAATTGTAGTTTCCAAGAGCTCCCGCTGGAAATTGGAAGCCATTGTTGAAATAAATTAAAGAAGATTTAAGCAAATGGAGAGACTTACCATGGTTATGGTTCGAAAGACTCTACATTGCTAAGATGCAATTTACTCCAAAATTGTCTACAGATTCAATACAATTTCAGTTAAAGTTTCTGAAACTTTCATTTGTTGTTGTTGTTTTTGGAATAGACAAGCTGATTCTGAAGTTTATATACAAATGCAAAGGACGTAAAACAGCTAAAGAAAATTTGCAGAAGAAAGAAACTAAAAGAATTACACTGTCAGATTTCGAGACCTACTACAAAGCTACGATTATTAACACAGTGCATATTGGTACAAGAATAGGCAAATAGACTAAAGAAACAGAAGACAGAGTCCAGAAACTGAACTACACATACACGATCATCTGATTTATTACAAAGGTGCCAAGGCAATTGAGTAGGAAGAGAACGATGTTCTACGTAAATGGCAATATTGAGTATCTGTATGGTAAAAAATAAATCTTGGCTATATGTCATATAATATGGACAAATTAATTACAAATGTAGTATACACCAAATGTGAAAGGTAAAACAAAATAACATGTTAAAAAAAGTATAGTATCTTACCTTGGGATAGCAGATATTTCTTAAACAGGACACAAGAAGTGAAAAGGCAAGCCACAGCCTGGAATAATAATTTTATCATAATATATGTATATGTTTCTATCTGAGAAAGTACTCATACCCAGAATACATTAAGAACTCTTACCAATTAATAACAAAAATGTGTTATTAATATATACATATTATGTATACATTATATGTATCATATGTATATGGACCATGCACATGATATGTATGTATCATATGTATATGGACCATGCACATGATATGTATGTATCATATGTATATGGACCATGCACATGATATGTATGTATCATATGTATATGGACCATGCACATGATATGTATGTATCATGTGTATATGGACCATGCACATGATATGTATGTATCATGTGTATATGGACCATGCACATGATATGTATGTATCATGTGTATATGGACCATGCACATGATATGTATGTATCATGTGTATATGGACCATGCACATGATATGTATGTATCATGTGTATATGGACCATGCACATGATATGTATGTATCATGTGTATATGGACCATGCACATGATATGTATGTATCATGTGTATATGGACCATGCACATGATATGTATGTATCATGTGTATATGGACCATGCACATGATATGTATGTATCATGTGTATATGGACCATGCACATGATATGTATGTATCATGTGTATATGGACCATGCACATGATATGTATGTATCATGTGTATATGGACCATGCACATGATATGTATGTATCATGTGTATATGGACCATGCACATCATATGTATGTATCATGTGTATATGTACCATGCACATCATATGTATGTATCATGTGTATATGTACCATGCACATCATATGTATGTATCATGTGTATATGTACCATGCACATCATATGTATGTATCATGTGTATATGTACCATGCACATCATATGTATGTATCATGTGTATATGTACCATGCACATCATATGTATGTATCATGTGTATATGTATAATATACATATCATATGTATGTATCATGTGTATCTGTATCATATACATATCATATGTATGTATCATGTGTATATGTATCATATACACATGATAAAAGCACACACACACACACACAAACTTTGATGAGGCACTTCACACGGATTGCTCATTAAGAAAATGCAAATTGAACTACTCTGAGTTACCAATACATACTCATCAGCATGGCTAAAATTTTAAAAAGACTAATACAATCAAATATTGTTAAATATTGGGAGTAATTGGAACTTTTATATATTGTTATTTATTGTGTGTGAATTGCCTCAACCCCTTTCAAAAACAGTTGGTTGTGTCAATTAAAGCTGAACATCTGCCTGCCTATACTATATGACCAGTAATCCCGTGACTAAGTATATATTTAAGAGAAACAAAATAGACTAAAAACATGTGTAAAACTCTTCATAACCAAACTATTCATAACCATGTTGATTCATAACAAGAACATGAAAACAATTCAAATGTTCATTAACATGAAGGATAAAATATGGTCCATTTATACAATGGAACACTGCTACTTAACAAAAACAAACTGCTGATATACACAACATGGACTAAACCAACAAGTACGTTGGGTGAAAGAAATCAGACACAAAAGAGCATATACAGTATAATTACATTTATATTAAGTTCAAGGACAGGTAAAACAACTCTGCTGATAGCTGTAAGGAGAGTGGGCTCATCAGCAGGTATTGGTGGGAAGAGACACAGGAAATCTTTTAAGATGATTAAAATGTTCTCTATCTTGACTTAGGTAGTGGTTACACAGGTGTACACAGGTATACATGTACATAAAAAAATCACATAAGATTTGAGTTATTGACATACCTTACTACATGTATTTTATACCTCAATAAAAAAATGAAAAAATATTCTTTAAAAAATTATTATATGTCACATTTCCTTGGTTTCTCTCTCCTCTCTCTTTCCCCTCTCCTGTTTCTCCCCTCTTTCTGTGTTTCTCTCTTTTGGCAGATAAGTCAAACCTCAGAGAAACAAAGAAATCCACGTGCACATATTTGAATTGAATTTGTCTCCATTAACCACCACAATGGAGACAGTAAAGTCAAGCTGGGTCTTGAATTGCCTGCTTTGGATATCTGTAACAAAGTCTTGATGGATAATTGTCCTGAATCCCACTTTACTTTGTGGCACATACCTTCCTGGTTTCTGGCTTGAGTATTAAGCAGGGAATGCAGCAGCAGAGGAGAACAGATTTCCAATTGCAATAGTCTTGACTCATCAAGTTCACTAGAATCTGGAAATTAAGGCTTCCGTTCTGCTAATTGTTAGCAGAGTGGGCTCCAGGATGATAGCATAGCCCTCTGGGTATCTGAACCCTCATTGAAACATGAAGGGGTTGAACTGCATGTTGTTCTAATGAAAATGCAGCCTTCGTTCATGCAACTAATATTTCCTGAGTGCCTGCCACAAACCAGGTGTGTTACATAAGGGACTGGAACTCAGGAGTTCATTTTTACTTTATTCAATATTAATTATAATTTTACTTTGTGTCAAAGAAAAAAAAACACAATATCACTTATTTAATCCAGGGATGACCTGTAAACCCTAGCAGTGGCGGGCGGGGGCCGGGGGGGCGGTGCAGGGGGATGGTAAGCAGGGGCACAATGGCAATGGCGACAGTAACCAGAAACGCCCTGCTTCCCTCAAAAGAGAAAAAAACCCAGACCTATTTCCATGACGGGGTTCTTACGTGTCCATTTGGGAATCTGAATGTTTTGGGTCTTTTCATTTCCCTCCTCCCACAAAGAGAAAAAGCTAATTCCATATGTGTGTGCGCACACGCGCATGTACATTTGTATGTGTGTAAGGGTGTTTACATGTATAGTGAAAGTGCCATAGCTATGTATTTAATTTTGTGTACATGTATGTTTGTGTATGCGTGTGTTTCTTAGTGTTTGCGCATAAGGATGTGGACATGTGTGGTCTGTGTTTGTATTATGTATGTATATGTGTGTGGGAGGGAGGGTGTATATAAAGTCTGTTCTAGATTTTACCTTACTCTAAGAGCTGATTAATAACATGAAAAATGTGAGTCAGAAAGCTGAAGGGTTAACTGTTTAATGAACATAAAGTTCATTCAGAAAACCGTGGTTTGTAACTGGTGAGAGGAAGTATTGAGCAATTTCTTGTAAAGTTACAATAGCCAGATCTGCAAAGGAAACCCCTCCCAGCCTGGAATTCCAGAGTATTTCCTAGAGCT
Organism: Homo sapiens; assembly: GCF_000001405.40. Taxonomy (NCBI): domain Eukaryota; kingdom Metazoa; phylum Chordata; class Mammalia; order Primates; family Hominidae; genus Homo; species Homo sapiens. The sequence goes on from NC_000008.11 coordinate 127,206,412, forward strand.
TGAAAGGTAGCCAAAAAATGAGCAGGCATTTAAAAGGGAAGGGAATGGGGGGAAACCTGGAGTGAAGAACATGAATCCATCTGTCTTTCCCATCCACTACCCCATCCGCCTCTTTCATAAATAGTTTTAAGAGGAACTAATAGACCTCTACTTAATATCTTCTCTCGTACCTTCTCACTTTTGTCTTCCTCATGCCTTCTCTTCTAGTGTGGCTCAGTGCTTAGTGCAGGAGAAACCAGTAACCCTGAATTGCAGCTCTTCCTTTCTCACTACATGAATTCAATTTCCTCATCTGTCAAATGAGTATACCAATTCATATCTCGAAAGCTGTTGCTGTGAGAATCAGATAAGCATAACCTCACAGCTTATGTCTATTAGAACAGCACTTGGCACATGGTAAACACTCCAAAGTATTTGTTAAATGAATGAATAGATTAAAAGGTGGCATGTTTTGTACTAAACTGTTCAATGATAGTGTAAAACCATTTGGTCATAATGCGGAAAGGGAAGTAAGGCGGAATTCCTTTAATCTGTGTTTTACGCAGGTTCCAAAGGAGCGTGGTGGAGAGAAGGATGCAGATAGTCTGGGTGAGAGCTAGAGGCTGGAGTCAGCAGGAAGGACTGAGGCCGTTGGTGCTTGGGGAGTGAGGGCTCCTTTCTGCTCTGTCCTAGGCTAAGTTCCCCACCCATTCCTTCTTGAGATCTACCTCAAACACAAATCCCTCAATTGACCACAGGGGGCGCCCCTTCTATGAATTTGGCGCTGATAGCTGTGATCTGCCCAGCACAGTGGGGAAAACACAAAATTTACAGATCAGGCATGTCCGGGCTCAGATTCCTACTCCAGCACCTGGTGGCCAAGGGACCCCAACTGTTAAATAGGCATGGTGATGCCTGCTTTCCAAGCCTGTTGGGAAAGAGAGAGGGGAGCGGGGAGGAATGGGAGAGAGAGAGAGACTGAGCAAGCATGCCAAGACTTAATATACTTATATTTATATTAAAAGAAATAAATATCAGATGATTACAATTTGGTTGAACTAAGATACACAGTAGAATATGGAACTAATATCCAATATCACAAAGTATTCTAGCGAGCCTTCCTACAGAAAGAATTGTGGGTGGCTGGGGAGTAGGCATTAGCTACTATGTGAGTGCAGAGAATACTCAGCCTTCTTCCAGATGGTGAGCTAAAGTTCAAAGATCAAGTCACGTACACACCTTCTTTCTCATCCCAGGTCCTAGTCTGCTTGAATTCAAATGGCCATCCACACCTTGCCTGAAATACTTGCAATAATTAAGATACGGCTTTCTGCCTGCTTGGGGTTTGGTCCACAATTCCCTTAAGAGGCCTCATTTCAATTAGGACTCACACATCCCTTCAACAGTAATTTTGTGTCAGGCTTGGTTAGCAACTCAAGGCTCAAGCATAAATGGGACAGAATTCTTTTCCTTTTGAAACTCACCAATATAGTGATTGTAGCAACTAGCTACATTGTTTTTGTTTTTTTTTTCCCCCTCAATTCTAAGCACTATGCAAAGGCTTTAAAGCAGTGGTCCCAAGCCTTTTTGGCACCAGGGACCAGTTTTGTGGAAGACAATTTTGTGAAAAGACAAAATGTGGAAGACCGTGGACTGGGATGGTTTGGGGATGATTCAAGCACATTACATTTGTTGTGCACTGTGTTTCTATTATTATTACATTGTATTATATAATGAAATAATTATACAACTCACCATAATGTAGAATCAGTGGAAGCCCTGAGCTTGTTTCCTGCAACTAGACACTCCCATCTAGGGGTGATGGGAGACGGTGACAGGTCATTAGGCATTAGATTCTCATAAGGAGCGCACAACCTAGATCCCTCGCATGTGCAGTTCATGACAGGGTTTGTGCTGCTATGAGAATTTAATGCCACTGCTGATCTGACAGGAGGTGGAGCTCAGGCAGTAAGGTGAGCAATGGGGAGCAGCTGTAAATAACGCTGATCTCACTCACCCACTGCTCACCTCCTGCTGTGTGGCCCAGTTCCTAACAGGCCACAAAATGGTACCTGTCTGTGTCCCCAGGGTTGGGGACCACTGCCTTAAAGGCCTTCATCTCATTCAGTTTTCATCAAAATTCTGTGTGGTAGGTACTCTCATTAGACCCATTTTATGGGTAAGGAACTGAGGTAAAATTGGTTATATAACTTGCCTAAAATAAGTCAAGTCTCTGATGAGAGGGCCAGGATTCAAGTTCAAGCAGTCTGACTCCAAAATCTCAAAGCACTTCTGTGGTAGGAAAGAGAAATGAATGGAATGGCATAGAGTCATCTAAATGACTGCAGTAGGAAGGGAGCATTTCCCGTGTGCAGTGTTATTTTTTCCGGGCTTTGAAAGATAAATAGGAGCATGCAGTTAAAAAAGAGAGGAGAAGGCATTCTAGGCAGAAAGGCCAGTGCTTACACAGAATCTCAGAATTGTAACAGTTCCTATTACACCCTGGCAGAGTGATGCCAAGGCTGTTATTGTCAAGCACCCTCCTGCCTCCCAGTGGGGTTGAGAAGGGGTGAAGGGACACTGGCAGAAGTGAAGCTGGGAAGTTTGCACTTGCTAGTTGGGACTTGCATAGCCATCTTCTCAATGCCAAAGAGGACCTCAGTCTCTGTGTGCGCTTTGTTTTTTGTTGTTGTTGTTGTTGTTGATTTGTGGCCCAGGCTAGAGTGCGGTGGTGTGATCTCTGCTCACTGCAACCTCCATCTCCCAGGTTCAAGGGATTCTCCTGCCTCCAGACTCCCAAGTAGCTTGGATTACAGGCGCCCGCCACCACACCTGGATAATTTTTATACTTTTAGTAGGGGTGGAGTTTCACCGTGTTGGCCAGGCTGGTCTGTGTGTGCTTTGGATTTGAGACACTCTGATGATTTAGAGTTGAAAATGGGAGTAGATTGGGTGATTCTCTAGTTATCATGTTTAGTCAAATCAGATCCGTGCATTCAAAATCATAAGGCAAGTTTTCCTGTGTGGCTCAGTAACATCCTTAAAGAAATAGTTCTGATGTCCATCCGGTGTTTTTTCAGAAAGAGCGTCAGGGTTGACAGTAGCTGTGATGCTCCAGATGGAGCTGCGGATAACAGCATATAAGTTTCAGGGCAGTGGTTGAGGGGCTGTGGGAGGGTGGGGAGGGAAGATGGATGACTTTTCTCAACCATCTGTATTTGATTGGAATATTGTGTGACTTGTGAAATAGAATTAAAGATATGATCTTCTTATGGTCTTCTCACAGTTTTCAAGGGATTTTAGGAGAAAACGCTTAGCCATACAGAGCTGTGGACAAGAAAATCACCTATCAGAACATATTTATCTAGAAAAGGAAAATTTAAACAGTCAAATAGAAGAGTTATTAGCTTTCTTTTTCCTTCTCTCTAAGAAGGTTAGTTAGAATCAGCTTTCTTACTCACTACATCCTGTACTTAGAAAGGAATAACCTGCACATGACACGTTCAAAAAATCACCTTTGCATTCTGAACCTAGCTGGGAAATTATGACAACAATGAAGAGATATGTGGGCGTCCTCACATTTTGTGTCTTAAAATGTCCAGCTCTCAAGGTGAAATATTTTCCCCCATGAAATCCCCATTGAAAACAGAAACCAGAACTATGATCTAAAAGAAAAATATCTATTTGAATATTTCTACTTGTGAACTGACATTTTTAGCTATTTTAGTACCTTTTTTTGGTGACTGAAGCATAGCAAATAGAGTTTTGTTTCCTTCCCACAGATATCAGATTTCTTCAAACAGTACATAGAATGGTGCACATTACAAGGCATTTACCACACAAAAAAACAAAGGCACTGGAGGAAATAAGGGTTGGGGGAGAGGGAGGAAATGGTAGGTACCATCTCACATGGGGATATAGTTCTCACAGATCACCAGGTAGGGTCATGTGATCTGCGTGAGTTTCCTAAGGGAGAGAGGGGCTCTCCTTTTGTTCGTGTTGGCTGCATCACTGCATTTCATTAATTCTGAATGGCAAGTGAGCAAGACCCTCGCTGCTGAAATCTGATCAGATGTTATTGATGAATCATGGAATTCCAGAGTTAGGAGCTGGAAAGAAGGTCAAGAGGACATCTGAGTCAGTGTCTGACTAGTAGCAGGTGATGGGTTATGATGTCAGTTTTGGAACCGGACAACTAAGGCCCAAAGGTGTTCAGGCATCCTCTTCTGGTCCAAAGGTCAGCTCCAGGGACCAGGCTGCAGGTCTCTGACAGCAGAGGATAATTCTCTTTCTGTATCACACATGCCGCCTCAACTAACCAGCATGAACATAAAATCTGCATTGTAGCCAAGTCTATAGCTGTGGAAAACACAGAGTTCCTTCCCACACCCACTTTTGAAGAGTTTACTATAAATGTGTGGCAGATCATCACCCCTGGGGCTTAGCTTTGGGATTTCCTAAATCTCAGAGCAACGTAAGCACAACGGCCCCACTTTGCATACCTGAACTCAAAACTGAACAAAATCATACTGGGCGTTTTGTTTTCGTTTGCAGCCAGATATTTTTAAATAGCCTTTTCTTATGCAATATAAAAATAATACATACCCATTAAGAAAATAAAAGATAAATATAACAACGCTTTTTCAAAAATATCATTCTGCATTTACAAAATTGGCACAGAGCACAGTCAGCAAACTTTTTCTCTAAAGAGCTAGATGGCAGATATTTTGGACTTTGAGGACCTAGGGTATCCATTGCACATATTCAATTCTGCTGCTGTAATGCAAAAACAACCATAAACAATACATAAAGAATGAGTGTGGCCATGTTCCAATTATTTACAAAAACAGGTGGCAGGACAGATTTGGCCTGTGGGCCATAGTTTGCCAGCACCTGGCATATAGAATTGAGAATTTTTTTCCTATGTTTATCACATCAGATATCCAACTGTGTATACTGTTCTTTTCACTTCATATTGTATTATAAATACTTTCTTGGATTATTGAATAATCTTTATGTAGTATTTTGCACAAAATGGTTGTTTATTATCTCATTTTATGAATGAAGCAATATTTGCATGACCATTGACATTTAGATGCTTTCCAGTTTTCTTACTATTTTGCGTATTGTGATAAACATCAGTATACCTTAGATTTTTGTCTTCATTTCGGGTAATTTCCATAGGGTATATTTTGGGATGTTGAATTAAAAAAAAAAAAATACTCTTAGGAAAAAACTGCTAATTCTTTATCTCAAAAGGCTTCACCCATTTACTCCCAGAGCTGTGGATGAAATTGCTCATTTCTCCCTAACCAGACCAACACAGAATATTAGACTTTGTAAAGCATTGCTTATTTGATAAGAACAAGGATGTCTCAGGCAAGTGAGGAATTGAGCAAATATGATGCTCAGGTCACTAAGCCTCCTCATCCTTTACTCAGTAGGCCAGATGACCCTCCTCACTCAACTCCCCCAAACCCCACCCATGGCCCCAGACAGAGGGCAGAGAATGAAACCTATTATCTTTCTGAACGTTCCTTCCCTCTTCCTGTCCACCTCACATCTGGATGGAATACAAATCCCCTGACTTCCTGTTTCTCTCCCTACAATAGGTCCCAAATGTCAATTTCAAATTAACCCTTTTTTTGCTTTTTGCTTCTCCCACTTCAACCCCAAACTCTCTTTTTTTGAGACAGGGTTTCACTCTGTTGTCCAAGCTGGAGTGCAGTGGTGTCATTACAGCTCACTGCAACCTTGATCTCTCAGGCTCAAGCAATCCTCTTGCCTCAGCCTCCCAAGTATCCGGGACTAAAGGCTTGTACCACCAAGTCCTGCTAATTGTTTATATTTTTGTAGAGATGGGGTCTCACCAAGTTACCCAGGCTTGTCTGGAACTCCTGGGCTCAAGCAATCCTCCCTCTTCAGCCTCCCAAAGTGCTGAGATTACAGGTGTGAGCCACCACACCCAGCACAAACTCTTTATTGTTGTATTTTCTCAAAATGAGTTTCATAGAGCTTTGCCTATTTAAGAGTCTCCATTTGGCCATTCTTTGTTAATTTCTTTCACTAAGGCAGGCAGTTCACAGGAGTATGTGAAAAGACCCTATGAGCAATAGGGAATAGTGAGGTGTGTGGTACAGAGAGTCAAATGCAAACACTTTCAACAATGTTCCAGGAAAAAAAGATAAGTCTATTGATTAGATTAGGCCTATAAGGTCTTTCATTTGTGATCCTGGTTCTAGATAATTCACTTCTACCTTTTATCGTTCACTAGCCAGGCACACAAACCTTCACAACCTGCCCTGCCCAAAGTTACACTGCTTCCTTCCTCCACACCCCACAGCCCACCCCCCGACTGCATGGGTAACCCATAACCAGCTAAACTGAACTATTCCAACACACAGTTCACCCTGTCTAGTCTTTTGTTCATGATGATCCCTTCTTCCTCAAATACTCATTCCTTTTCTATAGTTTTTATCAGTAAAGGCTCAAAATCACTACTCTGATACTACCTGTCTTTCAAATGTCCACCCACTGGGGCATATCAGTCTTCTAACAAATATTTATTGGGCAACTAGTATATGCCACTACCTGTGCTAGGCACTGGGAATATAACTGGAGCAAGACAGACCCTGCCATTCTCATGCAACTTACAATGTAGCTTCTGCATATTGATCTTTCTATTACTTGGAAGCCAGGGGCTCCCCACTCCCAGACTGGGAGCCCCCTGAGGACAAGGGTGATGTTTCATTTATCACTAAGCTCTATGCCAGGCACAGAGTAGGTGCTAAGAGGATGTTTATGGAATGACTAAATGCTGTGTTGCTAACAGGAAGCAGGGACATCCTTGAGGACAAGATAGTGTCTGATTCACTTCTGTATCCCCCACAAGCCGCTAGCACAGAACCTGGCACCATAAATCCTAAGTCAATAAGCATGGGAGGAAATGAGTGACTGGCTTTAGTTTACCTCTTTACTCCTTTCCCTATAATATCGCCAAAGAAAAAAAATCCTGCAAAAAAGCAACCAGCAGATGGTGGGAAAACTGGTTTCTAAACCTGAATATCACTATATATGAGAAATACTCTTTTATTTTTGGGAAAATATGAGTTTTGCATCTTATTAAGATTGATGTGTTTTAGTTATAATTAATAATCATCGTCACTGCTGATGGCTGGTTCACATATTCACCACTTGTTGGCTGAGGGAGCTTGGGTGAGGGAGTGATCTCCTCTGAGCCTCAGTTTTCTTTTGTATAAGATGGAGATATGAAAGCATATCTATCTAGAGTGTTGAAGGACAAGTTAATCAATGAGATAAGTATGTTTTAGTGCCCAGTACTAACACGTACCCCTGCTATGTTTTACTAGGGGTACGTTTTACTCCTAGTACAGAGTAGGTATTTAAGAAGTTGTAGATTTTTTTCCTTCTCATTATTATTCCAATAATCTAGTGTGACAGCAAAAATTAAGCTTTCATTTTAATAAAAGTGTCTCCTATTTTTTCTCCAATCAAAACCACAGATTCTTATTTTAGGGGAATCATGTCTATTGGTTGACCCCAGAGAATTCTGAATTATCTCAGTGTGCAGTGTGATGTCATATTAAGGAACTATAGGGCAGTGGTTGAGAGGGTTAAGGTTAACAAGTCAGTGTTGAGTGTGCCTGGATTGAATTCATTCATTTATTCAACACATATTTATGGAGGACCGATCATGTGCTAGACAATATATTAGGTGTGGGATACAGTGAAATCAAATCCTTGCCCTCATGAAGTTGACATTCTACTGACAGAAGACATTCAAGCAATACATGTATACAATTTATACTGAATTTGTATTATATGAACTGAGAATGAGGGTGATGGAGGAAAATTGAAAAGGGAAAGAGGCAAGGGTACGCTGTGGGGGAGATTGAATCTCTGTTTTTAAACTCATAAGATGCATGGCCATAGGCAGGATGACCTCCACAATTTGTAAAACGCAGTGCAAAATGAAAATGTAGCACCCACCGTTCAAAATTTTGAGTCCATGACTGCAGAAAATTGAACCAAGCACAGGTCCTTTTAAGTACACGCAGGACCTGTGCAAACCCACAGAGCAGACACCCGTGAAGCTGATCCTGAACTTGAGCAAGTTGTTTGATTTTTCTCAGCCTCAGTTTTTAATTGGGAAAGGACTTGGAAATATTGAAACATGTGATAAGAGAAAGTGAATCTAAAGCTTTTTCCTCTAGGTACAGTGTTAGACAGTACAAAGGGCATTTTTACCTCCAACACATCTTTCATGAAGAGTTTTTTATCTAGGTTTCATGGAGCCCTACGGTAAATAAATTTGCCCAAGTTCTAACAAGATTCTGGAATCTCATATGTGGGTATGTTCATGTTGGGGTGTGTGTGTGTGTGTGTATGTGGGGTGTATGGGTGTCTGTGTTTTTCCTCTGAAAAGCACCATAGTCTCTGCCACATTTTTAAAAAGGTGCATAACCCTTTAAACAGGAACCATTTACTTTAAATGGAATCAGAAATCTCACTATAAAAAAGCAATAATATTAATTTCTACTGTGTGTGTCTCTTGCCTTTTATTCCATGTTCACAATTCATCTTATTTTCATTTAAGACAACCAACTGGGCTAGTTAGAGCCGAGATTTGAGCCCAGTTTTTCTCACTGACTCTAAAACCTATCCATGCTCCTAAACCTCCTCACCATTGGAGGGCATTGCTGTTTACCCTTTCAGTTTCAGCTGTACTATCAAAAGCAGCAAATCAAGGGCAGGGACCACAGCTTGACCTTAAACTATTCAACTGCACTTAATTACCCATTGTAGTGGAAGCACATAAATACAGGATGTCCCCTCACTCTGCCATTCTGCTTTGCATCATTATCAAAAAGACAAAGGTAATTCATGTCTAATTACTCACTCACCGCAAGGTCAGAATATTTATTTTTATCATACTTGTGATTTTTAGGATTAGTGATATCAGTATTTATTCATGGCTAACCTAAATCAAACATCCTGTTGATATCTGTAAAGAGCCATATAGTTATTGTCGCAGGTATGCTGAGTCACAAAGCAAATACAAAGTTTATGAGTTGACAGGGAAAAGGCTGCAGAGAGGTAGAGATAAGTGTGCCTGGGTAATCACAAGTGTCTTGTGAAATATACACATTGTTTATTTATATTGTCCATTTATCAAGCTCAATGGGGGCTTGGGAAACTGAAAATAATCAAAATAGGAAAAATTATTGGTATTATTTTCTAAATTTGCTGCTGGTGCTGACTTTTTGGTTCAATTTATTAAATACTTACTTTAGAAATTATTCTCTGTTTTTAGTGGAATAGAGCTTTGACCAGCTTGAGAAAGACAAAAGGAGAAGTAGAAGAGAAGGGGAAATAAATGAGGCTCATGTGACTGGGATTAATTTACTCAGAGATCTGGAGTAGCAATAACTTGTGTCTTTCCAAAACCCCCGCAGTCAATTAATGAGATCAATTTAAAGTGGCAGTATTGAAAGGGAAAACCCAAACACTTAGATATAGCAGTATGCAACTGACCTATTCCTTTTTCCATTCAGATTCAGTCAGTCAAATATATCTTATTGACTTTGACTACTGTCATCATAACTGTGTTAGCTAATTGTCTGAAGTTTTCATTCATTCTCTGTCTTTGCAGATGTCACTGCTATTCAATCTGTATTTCCTTGCTCTGTCTCGCTGTCTATCTGCACTAACAGGATATACACGTGTGTGTACACATTTTTTTTTCTTAGTCTATCCCATTGTTTCTCTTGATGTCCTTGGACAGATCAGCAGTCTGAAAATCAGGCTTCTAATAGAGAGTCTTACTAGAAGTAACTAGCTGTGAAACTTGGGCAAGTATTTGACCTCTCCCTTCCCCCATCTATGAAAGGAAGATGTGAAAACAAATGGTTCTGTGGGTCCTCTCCCACTTATTCACTCGATATTTCTATAATTTTCTATCTAGTTTCCATGGAGCACAAGGTCATTAGTAATGTGCCCCATGACTCTCAGATTAATCAGACAAGCCAACACTGGGGGAGATGTGAACAAAGTCTTAGAGTCTAGTTGATAGTAAGAATATGAAATGAATATGACTCACTGATGTGATATAGTCTTCAAAAAACTAAATTTGGTGTTTGAATGCGTAGAAATATATTAGGTTTTACAACATAAAATTTCCATTTTGGTAGATGGAAAATGTTGAATAAAGGCAATTTCATAAGGTTCATAGTCTGTAGAGTGAAATGGAAGTGGAAAAACCTCACTTTGCTCTGTTCTGCTCTACTTAGCTCATACTTGAAGTAATCATTCAGTTCTTGATGCCATACAGACAAAGAAGGTAGTGGACAAAAAGAGACACACATATTCAGTAGATAGCAACCAAGCTGGGAGGGGAACTTTAAGGCATGTCTGGTTAATGGGGAAAAAAATAGAGGCTCTTTAACTTGGAGGTGTTAGCAGTCTTTTAGTCTTTAAAAGACAGGTGCAAAAGACTAAATTTTTCTGTGTGTATATATATATATATGTACATATATTTAATGCAATATATGACTGAGTAGTTCATATAAGTGACAGTAGTAATAGTGACTAAGAAGTTCAGAAAAGATTCAGATCCGTGTAAGGAGGAACTTTTTGAATGGAGCTGTCCAAAATTTAAATGTGCCATGTCAGCTGGTTGCAGTGTGCCATTGCCAGGGTTGTTTAAGTTCAACTCAAGCAGTGCGAGGTGGTAGGTCTAGGACACTGGCTATCTACCTGGGGTGAGTTTGTCTCCCAGGGGGCATTTGATAATGCTTGAAAATATGTTTGACTGTCACAATTTTGGGGGTTGGTGGGAGGGTGCTATTGGCATCTAATGAATAGAAGTCTGAGATGTTTCTAAACGTCCAACAATGCACAGAACAGTGCCCTCGCTATAAAGAATTACCCAAGCCAAAATGTGCCAAGGTTGAGAAATCCTAGTCTAAACAGTTTGATACAGATGTTTAATTCCTAACATCCCTGTAGCTGGGGAGAAAAAAGTGAAATTGATCTATCGGACCAACGGTTATGTAGGCAATTGTTTATAATGACATTTTAAAAAGAATGTTAATGACATGCAGACATGCAAATTTTAAAACATATAACATTAAACATAAAACATTAAAAAAACTCTATTTTATAAATATATCAAAATATTGAGTGGTTAATTTTGATCAGTGAGGTTATTCATGCTTTGGTTTTTCTTTTTTCTCTGTTTTCCAAGTAGCTATAATATACCAGTCCTGCTTTTAAATTCAGAAGAAGAAAAAAAGAATCTAAGTTGAATTTTTAAAACCTGATATGTCCCTGAGGACTGAATGGCACATGGTAATAAGAATAACCCTAATAGTAACTTCAATTTAGCTAGCAGCATACGAGGAGACAGGCCCACTCATTCACTCCCAGTCAGAATGTAAATTGTTATAACCCCTTTGGAAGACAATTTGGCAATATGACTGCAGAACCTCAAAAATATTCATATGCTATGACCCAGTCATTCCAATTTTGGGAAGCTAGCCTAAGGAAATAATCGAAAATAGGCACAAAGATGTTCATTTAAGCATGATTTATAATAATGAAAAATTGGATTTATAATGGCTACAAATTGAAAACAGTCTTAATTACTAGAAATAGGTGAATGTTTAACTAAATTATAATAAATCCATATGATGTAACACATAGCCATTGAAAACAATATTTACAGTTACTGATGATGGGGGAAGAAATTTAAGATGCACAAATAACTGTAAAGAGTAAGGGTCCAAAATAAATAAAAAGGATAACCCCCAAAATGTAAGTATACAAAGAAACCATGATGTTTGAAAGTATATGTGTTAAAGTGTTAACAGAAAGTAAAGATCTTTAGGACATGAGATATGAGTGTTTTAAAAAAATTTTTTTCTTTACAATTAGAAAAGGTCATAAAAATATACACAATGAAAAACATAAATTTTATAACCAGACAAAAACTTTAATAATATTTGTCAAATGCCAAATCGGAGTCCAAAGCCATTGTCCATTTTAAGAAAATCATCTGACTTAACATCACTACTGCTTTTCAAGAGAGCATCATGCCCATTTCACAGAAGAGAAAATTTGGCCTCATACTCCTCAGTCTCCATGTTTTAGCTTAGATATTGTTTCCTCCAGGCGGCCCTCCTTGACCTTCCAATTCTGGTTAAATTGCTCTTTTTCTGAGTTCTCATTACTTTACTGATTTTATATATGTGTGTGTGTATATATATATATACACACACACACACACACACATATATATACACACACATATATATATATGTTGTGCCTAGCAAGTGTATGACACAAAATACCCATAAATTGAATGAATGAATGAATTAATAAAGAAATGAATAACTTACCCAACCTGGTAAGTGGCAGGGCTGGCCAGGTCAGTGCAACTTCAAAGTCGATGTTGTCAGTGAATGCTCCAGATGGATTGCAGAGAAGACCAAAGTTCATGTCTCGGCACCTTTCCCAATGTACAGGGCTTATTGTTGGGACAGAGTAGTGCCTGGCCTAGAAGTTAAACATTCATCCAGCTAGCTATTAAGGCTTGAATGCCTTCAAAGAACAGCATGGATTTTTCTGTGAATCGTGAGCGTTTTCGCAATGCTTAACACGGCAGCTGGTAATGATGATTGCTCCTGTTTCCCTTTGAATTTCGTGTTCGTTTACTTAACAGGGCATTGCTAATCTAGAAGAAGGGAGTGGGTGAAGAATCCCATTTGTAAAGAGGATAGCAGGTTAATGAAAAGAAGCAGAGGTATGCGTAGGTGATAGTGTTTCTACAAGGCTCGGTTCAATTGGTATGATTTAAAGGCAAGCCTTGGCTGGCTGGTCATAATAAGGGCCACATAATGGAGGGGATTTACGTGGCAATTACCATGGTCCTTGCTAGTGGGATACAATGTTTTAGGGCTCCCTGGATACTTAAGATTAATGTCTGAATCAGTAGTGTTATTGTTGCAAGATCTTAGTGTGATGGGAGCCATGTGAGGCACGAATTTTTATCCCTTATCAGAATGTAAAATATCTCATAGTCTGCAAGAACACCAGTGACTATGGCCTGAAGTTGCCCTAAGACAGTTTAAACATCCTGTTGATTGTTTTGTTTTTTTTTTCCTTTTCCTTGGCAACCAGAATGCATGAATGAGTCTAGCGTTACTTTTGTTCATCCAGGTAATATGATTGAAATGGGAATTATACATGTTCAATCATTTAGAGAAGAAGGACTAAAAATCATAGACCTATAGCAAATTAAATGATTATAGAGAATCTACCATGTAAATGACTGCAATTAAGGACTTCTTCATGTACCCCGGGCCAGATTCACAGCATCTGGGACAAACTCTCCATGGTTTTTCCCTCGGTGTATTTATTAAGAATGATGATCCTGAACTTCAAGGAGACTTGGGGAATTTTTGGATTCCTGCCAGGTATGTACCTGGCCAAGATTAATTTGGTGAATCAGAAGTTCCCAGGAACCATATCATGAGTACTAAGAGAACAAATTGATTTATCTAGTAGTATGTTTCTCCAACTTAGATATCTGTGCAAAAAAAGTGCAGCGGACATGGTGCACATTCCAAGAAGTTCTCCTCCAAGGAAGTGGTCAAAATATGTAATGCTTATTTATTATCCATTTTGAGACCCAAATTATCCAGTCAGTGGGATCAATACCTTACTCCTCTTCCCCAGAAGCCTCACAAATAAAGTCTTAACACCATCTCAACAAAAATAAGATAGGGACCTAGACATGGAGAATATGGCTGTCTCATGGATTCTAAGCAATCAGGTAGAGTATTGAGAAATGTTATTGAAACAGGAAGTTCCTGCTAAAGGTGTTGGTGGGATTGGGATGCCAGTGCAGAGTGACACAGTATTTGGACAAGAACACATAACACGAAAGTGTCTGAATCCTGTTCTTGTCTATAATGGCATCTTGCCATTAAATCCTTGAGAACAAAGAAAAATAATATATATTAGCTGAATTGTTTGCTAAAACCCAAATGTAGACCTCAGTAGAACAGACAGGACTACATGGAAGATTCCTTTTTCCTGGACAGGGTATTGCCAACTAGCCTCAAATTAAAGCAGGGCAGAGCCATAAAACTATTATAATCCAGGGGAACCTGGATTTGGGGCCTTTTCATTTTGAAAGCAATATCCAAATCTACCCAGAAAGTCTAATTAAATCCTTACGGATCTACTTCTAATTGGCTGCTATCCAATTAGCATTCTGAAACCTGAATGCTCAGATCAGCCCTCCTTCCCATCTTGGTGGAGGGGCAGGGGGAGTACATTAGAGGAACAAAAGAACAAAAAAGAGGCTTTAAGCTTCTGCTAGAAGCCAGTATCACAAATCTAGAATGACAAGCCAAAGCCAAGATATAGTTGGCCAGGGGCAGCCAGTATCCTTCATTTTCTTATTCATTCATTAATTCACTCATTTATCAGGTGGACATTTGCAGGGCACCAGTGATGCTGTCAGGCACCATGTTTGGTGATGAGTTACCAGATGGTCCTAGCAGATGAAAAGACTGGGAACCCACTGGGAAGGATACAAAAATTATTACACAGCTATCAGAGCAAGAGGGAGGTTAGTAAAAGCTGGTGGACCTTAAAGTTTCTCTACTTTTGCAAGTGTAAAAACTGGGGTAAAGATAGAGTTTGGGATAACGGACACAGCCATAGCCAAAGAATGAGTCTAGTGTCTATAGAGAAGTTGTGATATTTGGAATTTTCCATGTGCAAACACACACGCACATGCACGCGCACACGCACACACACCACACACTCCTCACCTTTGCCATTTTCATAGGGAAACATGAAGAAACAAGTATATGGATTTTGGAATTGGGCAGTGTTTTATTTCAGCCCCATGTTCGCTTGCTAGCTATGTGATATGTGACTTTGGGCAACTTGTTTATCTTTTCTGGGAAAACATATACCTCTAGGGGTGCAGTAAGGGATAACTGGGAACAGTGGAGTGTGTGCCTGGTACAAAGCCTGCGGTGTAGATGCCATTTAATAAATGATGGTTTTCTCTATCCTGCATCTTGAGAGTAGATCCAATCTATTGTTTATTCTTTACAGTAGGCATGGTAGAGTAAAAGGAACAAAGGAATCGAGGGAGGAAGGGAAGAAAAAATGAGAAAAACCATAAGGCCAGGCGCGGTAGCTCACGCCAGTAATCCTAATACTTTGGGAAGCTGAGGCGGGTGGGCGGACCACGAAGTCAGGAGTTCGAGACCAGCCTGACCAATATGGCAAAACCCCATCTCTACTAAAAATCCCAAAAAAAAAAAAAAAAAAAAAAAAAAGTTAGCCGGGTATGGTGGCACGTGCCTGTAATCCCAGCTTCTGGGGAGGCTGAAGCAGGAGAATTGCTTGAAACCGGGAGGTGGAGGTTGCAGTGAGCCGGGATCACACCACTGCACTCCAGCCTGGGTGACAGAGTGAGACTCCCTCTCAAAAAAAAAAAAAAAAAAAAAAAAAAAAAAAAGAAAAAGGAAAAAGAAAAAAAAGCAACCATGAGACGAGCAAGAAGCTAAGTTTACAAATAAATGTGATCCACACTTCTCAACATCAGGACAGGTCCTTCATGCTTAGATTCCAGGTCTCTTCTTGCGAATGGGAACAGTCATCACTTATCCAATGATGCATTTAAGAGCACCAAGTTTTAAAAAGAGACAAATGTCGAAAAGAAATGCCATTTATCATCAAACACCATTATTAAACACTAGCTTGTTGGCATATCTGTAAGTCTGGTTGTCATTTTGCTAGGTGGAGAGGGCAGAATTTTGGAAAGTATCTAGGCCACACCCATGTTTCAGAATAGTAAGTACAAAAGCCACAATGTATTGATCACTTAGACTCATCATATGTTTGTCCTTTTATTTTAAATACCCCAAGGATGGAGGTCTTTCTAGCCTAATTTTCCAGCTAAGAAAATCAAGGATAAAAAATTTTCTTGTGTTGTTACTTTATCCTTAGTACCCCCCTGGGAAGTAGGTATAATTAGCCTCATCTTAGAGATGAGAAAACTGAGGCTCAGAGAGGACTGTCCTGTAACCAGAAAGAGGATGTGTTAGGATCTGAACCCATCTGACGAAAGGCTATGCTCTTAATTAGTAACATTTCCCTGCCTTGCAAGGACACATGTAGGTCACAGGATACCCAGGGAAGGTAAATGCTCTGTCCTTTTCTCACCAGTACTACAACTTAGTAACAGCCTCTGGCCCAAAATGAGACTGGACATTGACTTTAATGGATGGAAGTACACATTCCTAACATGGATTCATTCAGAAGCACCCAGATTTCACAAGAGGAAATGATGAGGCATTTTTCTGAGGTGTTGAAATTGTGCCCTTTGTCAGTCACAAACCAACCAAAAAAAAAAAAAAAGGCTTTGAAAATTCCTCAAAGGTAAAAGGTAGCCTTTCTTCTCTCATAGTTCTGATATAGTCCCAAAAGGAAACAAAAGCTTGCATAATTCTAGCCCCAGTGATTCTTCTTTCCTTCTTATTAACTACAAATCTTCACCACATTTTTTCTTACTAATTAGTCACATGCTTAAGCTCCTGAGTCACGGAGTTGTCTACTGGTTATAGCTTGTTCTAGCTCTTCCACCCTCAAATGGAACTTGCAAGGAATTAGGCCCTCTGAAGATCGCACATTCAAGTCATGAAAACAAGCCAACAATGAAATCAATCACTGCCGAGAAGGGTGGACAAGCACAAGCATTAAGACCCACTACTGTTGAGTCAGGGCCTTCAGATATGCTGCCAATGGGAAGAAGAGAGAAAAATTATGTTTATTCATTTATAAATATGTGCATTCTTGCCTCCAAAGGTCCCAATTTCACACTGGTCCAGTTGGGTTCTCTTTCCTTTGCTGCATTCAGGAGCACAGTTGTATTTCATCTACTGCTTGAGAATGCAGTGGAGCTTGTCGCCAGCAGTGATGGAGCCAAACATAAAGCCAATTACCTTTCCCTAGGTGGCTAATGGAGGCTCCAAGAAGCCAGAGTTTGCCCACAGCCATATGGTCCGAGAGAATAGACCATGCATTTCTGGAGGCTTTACCTGACTTTCGCCAAAAGCATGCACAGAACGTGGAACTTGGCCTCCTGAAAAGGCGTGTCTTCAGCTTAGGTTATTCCTTTCTCGATGCTCACCATGATGTCAGGCTCCTAGTAGGAGAGCCATTAATAACTGTCATGTAAACCACAGGAAAAAAAGCTATGAGTGGGATTCTTTAGCTATACTTATTGAAACAAACCCTTTAGTATGAATGTATGACCTTCTACTGATTGGCCCTAAACACTTTTCCAAAGCTTCCCTCCACTTTACTCATCAGCAATGCAGCTGCCAGAATTCTCACCATTCCCAAGCAGCCATATTATCCCAGGCTTCTCTAGTTTACATTCTCCACCCTTCCTTTGTCACCAAGTATCATCTAAAAGTCATACCTGATTATGTCACCTTCGTGCACATGCACATACAAGGACACACACATACCCCTCATTAGTCCGGATCTCCCTGTTTGCATATAGAATGAAGTCTAGGCCTGTTAACATAGCATGTAAGACCCTCCTCAGTTGGCCTCCAAAACCGCCCATCCAGCCTCATTTCTACTCTCCCTCCTTCATCTTTTTCCTTACTGATGTTACCACAAAATTCTCTTATACTCCTCCTCCATTTCCAAAGGAGACCAGGCCTGGACTCAGTACCTTTGTGTACTGCTGCTTTGCTACCTGCTGTTATCCTCTCCTTTATCTCTATGAAGCAAACTCTTTCTCATCCTTCAAGAGCTAGTTCAAATATCCTCCTCTGGGAAGCCCTTTCTGAAGCCCACAGATGGAGTTAGTTATACCCTTTACTGTGAGCACACCAAAGAAAAACAGCTTTACTCGTGTGCATATCTCACTGTGTTGTAATAGCTTACCTGCCTATCTCACCATTAGACTGTGTACTTCTAGAAGGCAGAAATCTTTTTCTAATGATTTCTTATTTCCCAGAACCTAGAACAACACATATTAGAAAGGGTTGCTTAGTGGATATTTTTAGAATAAATGAGTACCTTCGGTGACTTGGCATTTGATGGGCAATCTTGGCCATCCTAAAGCATTCCATGCCATCAGATATACCCTGCATTGCCATGAGCTTTATCATTGGCTTTTAGAACATCATCCTCCCACTTTGAATAAATGGTCTAGCAGACAATACAGTCCTAAGGAACAGAAAACCTAAGTGTTAGCTCCAGGATTCACCAGCATCTTATACTTGCTCAGGACAATAGAGGATGCAATTAGGAGCTGAAATGATTATCTAATTTCCCATGCATGGTAGATCCTAAGTAATGTGCTCAGCAAATCATATTTATCCTTTGAAGTTGAGAACTAACTGTACAGCAGAAACAGGACCAGGTACTCTCTAGATCTTGTTTCTGTTTGGAGAATCCTGGTCAAAGAATGCCAAGGCTAAAAAGACTGCCAATATCAATCACTCTATTTTAGAGATGACAACATTGAGGCTTGAAGAGGAAAAGAAGCAGGAACATGAATAAAGGCAACCAATTAACAAATATGCCACAGATAATGGTAGAAAACCCTCCACGGCATAGAAGAAAGAGGGTGTTTGTTGAAGGTTCTGGATTTTCTCTATTTGCCCAATAAACAAGTGCAACTCTGAGCCACTCCACTGTGCAGTAGATCCTAGACCCTTCTGTGAGGCAGAGCAGATCTAAAAAGCTGCCTTGGGCCTTGGCACCTCTCACTGTGCTTATAGAACATTGACATTTTTGTTAGGGGTGACTAAGAGAGAAGATTTGCATTGGTTAGAAATTAGTCAGATGGCATTTCCTTAGGCTTTGCTTTCATTTCTCAGTGAAAGGTTGTGTAGGAAGCATTTGATTTTCCTGTTATATTACTTTATTAATAATCTACAGTTATTGGCTAGTTTCCAGAAGCCTAAAGCAAGAGAACTTGATAATGAAGGATACCCTAAAAACCAGAGACCTTTGGGCAGACACTGACTTGGGGCATTAGGAGAACTCATTACAAGTCCTGGATCTTGATTTTCCCCTTTGTAAAATGAAGGACTTTAACCAGGTACTCTCTGGGTCCTGTTTCTGCTTGGAGAATTTTTAAGACCTCAGAGTCTATCTGTGAACTGTTTTTTACTGAGCACAGTTCTCTCATGCATCCTGTTTGTGCTCATTTCTCAGGACACAGTGATAACAAGATGGGCTTCATTCCTGCCATCATGGAGTTTTAGCCTAGTGGAGAAAACAGATAATACCATTGGAAAACCCACACTGAAGAAAGATTGTTACCAATCCTTATGAATGCAGTGAAAAAAACAATGAGGCTCTGAGGGTTACAACTACACAGTATAATGAATTACGCAGAGGGGGTGTTCAACTTAGACTGAGGGCCGGGGTGTCTTAGGAGGAGGTTTGTAATCTGAAACTTAAAGGACAACAATATCTAGTCATGGCCTAGATCATGGCTCATGGCCTGTAATCCCAGCACTTTGGGAGGCCAAGGTGAGAAGATCACTTTAGCACAGAAATTCTAGACAAACCTGGGCAAGATGGTGACACCCTGTCTCTAAAAAAAAATAATTAAAATTAGCTGGGCATGGTGGTGCATGCCTGTGGTCCCACCAACGTGAGAGGCTGAGGAAGGAGGATTGGTTGAACCCAGGAGGTCAAGGCTGCAGTGAACTTTGATCATGCCATTGCACTCCAGCCTGGGAGACAGAGCAAGACCCTGTCAAAAAAAAAAAAAAAAGTTAAGACTTAAGCATTTCATGGAGAAGGAAAAGAGTGTGCAGGAGACTGAGGTTGAGAAAAGTTTGGGCTGTCTGAGAAACCAAAAGGAGAAAAGGAGAGAAGTGTCAGTAGAGTTCAGTGAGTGAGGGTGCAGATGGGGGATTATAAAATATGAGATGTGAAAGAGGGGCAGGTGCAGAAAGATCAAAATTGAGGTTTCAGTATTATGTGGGGAGGTAACCTAATTTGGTTTATATCTTAACTCCATTATTCCAATGGCCATTTAGGGAATAACCCAAATTAGGGCCAGCACAGAGGCAGGGAGAAAATTTAGGAGGCTTCCACAGTAGACCCAGTCAGAGATAATGGTGATCAGATGGAGATGGAAAGAGGTAGATGTGTTTGGTTGGTATTTTGGAAAAGACTCTGATAGAATTCCTTGATGGACTCATACTTGGGTAATCATTGAAGAGCAAGTCACTGTGTTAGGGGCTGGGTGAGATGAGTATACAAAAGTAAAGAGAACCTGACCCTCTGGCCAAGACCTTCAGAAGCTCAGAGTTCACGTAATTTTCATAAAATTCAAGTGAGTAAGGGTTACAGCAGCAATGAGATGTTCTTTTGCTTTCACAACAGATGAGGCCTCCATGAATGGGGAGTAAGAAGAAAAGGTTTCACAAAGGAGTAGGCCTGTGAGCTGGGCCATGAAGGGTGGGCTCTGATCTATCAAGCAGAGCAGGGGGAAAGCCCTCAAAGCAGAAAGAGCAAAGCTGCATGGTGTGAAGACTGCATGTGATTCAGGAACCGTGAGCAATGGTAGACTCGTGCCAAAGCACAGTGTGTAAGGAAGACAAGGCTGGAAACGTATGCTGAGGTCTGACTGTGAGAGTTTGAAGCCCCACTGAGAGGTCTGCACGAATTAAGAATTTCAGAGAAACATGATTAGTTCTACAATTGGAAAAATAATTCTGGTGCTAAGAACTAGTAAGGTATAAGATAAGCCTAATCACGGAGTGATTTGAAGTTGAAAAGAGTTTATAAGTTATTCTTTAAGAAATCTCTGTTATTGAGGTGTGAGGCAGAGCCAGTACATAATGTCTACGTTCTGAACCAACTGAACGGGGAAACAAAAGGCTAACATTAATATCAGACATTTGTAGAGCATTTACCTTGTGCCAGGCAACATTCTGGATGCTTTATGTACATTAGCTCATTGAATCATTTCAATTCAATCATTCAACGCAGGGGTTTGAATCTTAGCTGTTTGAGGTCATTGTCCATGCACTCACCTATAACATTGTTCTGTCTCTTTCTGCAAATGTAAGATAAAAATATTACCTTCATTCTAGAAAACACCCCTTTGTAGAATAGGTTTATACCTTCAGGCATGTGGACTTTCCAATCCAAACTCCAGGAGTAGACAGATACCCACCAGGACTAGGCAATGCAGGAAAATCTCAGGCTTCAGCTAGGACTGTTTCATACAATTTCCTGCATGGCCAGGAACAAGGGTGAAGGCATGCACTCTGTGAGCAGCCCATTTGTGGACAGTGGGTCATGGGACTGAAGGAACCATGTTACACATGCCTGAGTTTTCTTTCCAAGCTCAGAAACCATATCGAACACCCCTCCCTTGGGGAGAAGTGAGTGAGCAGGTGGAGAGACGATAGTAATGTTAGTATGGTGGAACTTCTTCCCCATAGATGGAAACACTGAGGGCTAAGAAGAAGGGCCTCTCCTCCAACATGTGTTATCTAGCAAGGCTGGTTCTATTTAAGAATGATATATAGTCTAGTGTAATAGAATACAATATGCCTAGCTCTAAAATTATGTTGGAAAAAAATCAACATTACGATGTGCTATATTCAGTCAATGAGTAAATATTTCTGTGCCTGCCACATGCTCAGCATTATAATTAGAGCCACCGTGAAAAATACTTATCCGTGATCCTTTATGCTGTCAAAGCCTAAATTCCCCACTTAACCAAGAATCCTGGATAATTCCCAAAAAACAAATTTATTATTTGTTTCTATGGTTGTGTGTTTGTCAAAAATTGAAGCATTAATAGAAATAAGAACAATTTAGACTATAAAAGCCATAGGCTTATAAAAATGCTAGCATCAGCACATTCCAAAACTGCCTGCCCCATCCCTTGATGGTATGTGTGATTGCTGTCACAAAACTAGCAGTTAGAATCTTTTGTAACTGAGGATATAAACCAAATTTAGAAATATGTCTTTACTAAAGGGTGGAAACTTAGAAACTGAAGTGGATTTACCACAATGAACTAGAACTAAATGTACCAACACAGGCTCAAAACACTCTAAGATAATTTTTCAAATTTATTTAAAATTAAGAAAAGAAAACTGGGTAACATTGAATCACAAACAGTTGAAAACACTGGGGTTACATAGTATTAACATATAATTACATGATCATTTGTGATAAACAGAAAATTTAAAAAAAGAAAAAGGAGAAAAAAATAAAAAATAAAGAAAAACAAAAAACAAAAAAATAGAAAATGAAATGAGAAAAAAATTGATCAATGGCAAATCACTGGAGATAAATCATTGTGTACAGATTTCCCTATTGAAAAAAATAACAATAATTAAACACCAGCTAAGCCTTCTTTCTTCTTTTGATTTTTGTGAAAAATCGCAATAAGATGTATCTCTAGATCGTGTGCTTGCCAGAATCTTTGCTGTTTCTTAGGTGAAAGATCATTGATAAGAATCTGGCATGGAGAACAGTCAAGGAAGCATTGCAGCTCAATACAAAACGGTGGCCAGGGAAGATCCACTGAATTAGGAGTCAGCAGTCATTATTCTACTACCTGCTAATCTTCTATGAGCTTCGTCAAGTCATTTAAGCTTGGTACCCGTCAGTTTCCTCATCTGAAAACTGAGAAAAGTTGTTTCAAATTGTCTAAGTCCATTCCAGCTTGATCATACTAGCATCTTATGTGCAGCTTCTTAAAGTCCAGCTCACACCTCTGTCAACTCCCTGTATAATATGACTTCCAAAAAAACACCTGTGGTTTGGTTATACATATATATGGACATATATATGTTATACATATATATTGGTTATACCTATATATGGACATATATAGGTCCACTCTTCTCATATCCACAGCTGCTATCAATATAATAAATGGGCAGTATCTGTAGTATCACTTATTAATAAAATGAAGTTTTTCTGACATATACACAACCCAGACTATTAGGTCATTATCTCAATAATCCCTTAGTGTAGGGAAAAGGGCAGAAAACACTTTCATTTTCTGTCTTGAGCATTAGCAAGCCACAGTCCATATAATTTAATTAAAATAACAAATGAATAATCTATAATTGACCTGTGTCTGTTTCTCCAAGCCAAAGGGTAAGTCAGATATACATGATTTTAAAATCTCTTGTTATTTTCAATATAAATTGTTCGGCTAAGTATCCAACAAATTGGAAGAATTAAAATGTTAATATCCAGTGCAATAATCTAAAACCTACTGGTCATCTACAATATAAAATGTTAGATTTTAAGGAAACTTCAGAGCTTATTTTACACAATTCTTTCACCTTTATGGTTGAAATTTTAATTTTGCGATTTCCTTTTATGAAGATCTGGAAGTTACAAAGACAGAAAGGTAACCTTATATCTCAACAGTTGAGAATCAAAGGAAGTTAAATAATGTACCAAGATAAATCAGCTTCTGGCATAAAAAATCCTGTCACTTGGACTTGAAAACTGGTGGTCCTGGGATAGAGCCTAAAAATAGGTCTTTTATCCTAATATATATATATATATCTATATATTATAGATGGAGAGAGAGAGAGAGAGAGAGAGAGAGAGATGGAGTCTCACTCTGTTGCCCAGGCTGGAGTGCAGTGGCACGATCTCGGTTCACTGCAACCTCCACCTCCCGGTTCAAGCAATTCTCCCAGCTTAGCCTCCTGAGTAGCTGGGATTACAGGTGTGTGCCACAACATCCAGCTAATTTTTGTATTTTTAGTAGAGATGGGGTTTCACCATATTGGTCAGGCTGGTCTTGAATTCCTGACCTCGTGATCTGCCTGCCTTGGCCTCCCAAAGTGCTAGGATTACAGGCATGAGCCACCACCCCCGGCCAATCCTAATTAATATTGATTACAAATTATTAAAAGTCACTCAAACTGTAATTATAACATTCTTATACCAGCCGTTCTCAACAACATAGTGTCTGCCAAAAAGTAATTAACAAATACTCCCTGTGTTCTTGTTGATGAAGGAAGTAGGATGAGAAAAGGAGACATTTAAAGGTAGTCTACAGGAGGTATAGATTCATTTTTCTATGATATAGGGTGTTTATTTTTAATGTGGACTACACATTGGAAGTAATATTTCTTGATTGTAAAAAAGGCTGGGAATAATTGCTTACTGCTGGAAAGCAGAGGATATAGATCTAATAGAGAAACAAGTAGCCCTACAAGAAACAGCAAACACAGACTCAATGTGTATGAGAGAGACAAGGGCTGCAATTAAGATGACCAACCATTCTGATTTCTCCAAGACTGTCCAGGCCTTCTCCCACATCTCCAGAAACCACCCCCATTGTAGGTAAACCAGGTTGGTTGGTCACCTAAGCTGCAGCATCTTGCTGCCATTCTGTAACAAGCAAAGACAAGAAGGTTTTAATTGGTAACCCAAGCATAGAGAGCTAGACACACCTAGCCAGTATGGACAATGCAAGTCAAGAGAAGTGCTGGACCTGCTGAAAATAACAGGACCAAAATGAGATGGATCCCTTACCCATGCTGGTAAAGAACATCAGCAAGTGTTTAGTAAGGGAGGGCCAGTGCCTAAATTGAGAATGCATTATGTGTTCTCTATAGTGTCCTCTGTGCCTGTATATGAAGCCAAATTGATAAATGCCTGATTCCCAAGGCACGAGTCCATCCTCTGCCCAGGCAGACACAGAACATTTACCAGAGCACATTTTCCTGCTGACATCTGTTCCAGTGGGAACACAGAATCTGCTCAAGAAATGGCTCTAGACCAGCGGTTCTCAAACTTTAATGTGTATTGGAATCACCTTGTTGAAATGCAGATTTGATATTTTGATTAGGGGAATGTTGGCAGGGAAACTGAGGTTTTGCATTCCTAACAAGCTTCCAGGTGATGCCCACAGACCACACTGTGAGTGGCAAGGCTGTGAGCTCCAGTAATCAACCAGGTTGGGAGGGTGATTACTGGAGATGAAAGATGAAACCTATTTGACACACCCAACCTAAAGCAAAACTACCTACTCATAGGGCTGCTCTGAGGGTTAACTGAAATAAGTCACACAACGCTCCTAGCACTGTGCCTAACATCTAAACCACGTATAGTTTCCATGCCAAATGATGGGTTCCATCACTCTTATTAGTAGTCTTGTAAATGCAATTTATATGAAAACTTCAGAAAGCCTGGTTTGTAGAAGTCAATGAGAAGAGTGGGGTTATTAATATATATACACTCAGTTCTGACTCGCACAGAGAACAAGCCTTCTGCACAGCAGAATTCAGAGGAGGTCTACTCTAGTGCAGGGCTTCCCAGCCCCTGGCTGTACGGTGGAATCACATGGATATCTTGCAAAATACATGAATGCCATTACCTCACCCCCGATCAACTGAATAGGAATCTCCGGTAGTCAGGTCCAGGCTTTCCAGAGTACAGAAAATTTGCAGGTTATTCTAAAGTGCAGTCAAGTTTGAGAGACAGACACATAAGGAAACTAGAGCTCCCCGAGTTCTGAGGTGGACTCTCATCTCTGCTTTGACAAACTTTCTGTGCCCCATTTTCCTAATTTGTAAAATTAGAGTAATGGAAATAACAGTAGTGTCTATCTCAAAAGGCTAAATAAATCAATTTATGTAAAGCCCTTATTACAGCTTAATTTATGACTATGCTACATTTGGCCCTACCAGAATGGATAGGTGGTGCATGACTATTACTATCAATATCTAAGACCTAGTACCTAAGTAAGAATTAATTCTACGGAATTCTGTATTTAGACCTGTTTGTATTCAGGATGTTATATCTTATACAAGCATTATTTTAGGGATAGTAATACGACAATTTAACATATTGTGAGCACATACTATTTATCAGGCATAAATACATATTATATACTAAATACTGTACTATTAACATATGAAAGGCAAAAGAGTATAATAGGAAACAGATTCAAACATGAATTGTGGTTCTACCATTTACTACATATGTGACCTTGAGCAAGGTACTTTTCTCATCAGCAGCCTATTTCCCTATCTATCAACAAGTATGATGGTAATACCTACCATTTAAGGATTATTTCAAAGAATGAATGGAGAAAATCAATGTAAAGAATCTGGTATAGCACTTGGCACTGAATAGGGGCTTACTAAGTGCATTTCTCCACCCTATCCATGTATTTTGGGGGTATAGGAATGAATAAGATACCCCCAGTTTCTATAGTCTACTGGAGAATACAGGAAACAGACATACAAATTTCATTGTTTCCTCTTTAAAATCCTTGTATTAGAGACATACAGTGATAAAGAGCTAGAGTCTATTTATAGGAAATAGGAAGTTCATTATGTATATGTGCTGGGTTCCTTGATATGGTACATCTGGGAATTTTATTTTTTTGTATGTGCATGGTTAGCCATCGTTTTGATTTTTGGTGGATTTTATACTTGTTACAGTTTTTAAAGTAGATATGATTTGGCAGATGTTTAGAGTAGTAGGTGTGTGTTGCTTTTGATGTCTTTGAGAACACAGAGTCCTCGAGGGCTTGGATGTCTTTCTATAGTTGTATTCTCTAACTAATAACTATGCAGTTCATGAGCGTTAAACAATGTCACTCCAAGTTGCATAAGAGGCCATTCTACAGGAAGCAGAGGGAGTTAGTGTAAGAAAAAACTGAACATTCCACATGGATATTGTTCCATCCCACTCGACAAGGGGCAAAAGTGACTGAGAAGTTCATAGGGGATTCTGGAATGGATCTTAAAATCTTCGTAGAACTTGAAAGATGTATTCAACCTACCAATTCCCTGATAAACTGATGATGGCTAATAATAATGATTCATTCGAAACACTAATGCCTACTCAAGACTCAGAAGATGGGTTGAATTTGCATTTATATTCCTAACTAGATGTTTAATTGCATTTAAATACTATTTAACATTTAAATGACACTGTAATTTACAAATAAATATTTCTACCACCATTTAAGTGGTGATTAAATCATGATTGTTTGATTCACACATCATTCTGTGTACTATTACTATCCCATTTTACAGATGAGCAAGTCAAGCCAAAGAATTCATAAGTAATCAAGACACAGGTATTCATCTAGTCAACAGCAGCAGTACCTATGAGCCCCAGCCATGTCTCGTGTCCACTGACTATGCTTTTCCCACTAAATATTGGCCATGTTGGGCAATGTGTCTTGTTACTTGCCTGTGTGTCAATTTCTTTATCTCTTGACTCTACTTCACAGTGAAAATATGATAAAAATGAAGCTAATTAAGAAATTCTGGAAAAAATAAAGTTTTGTATAAGCCTAGAATGTGGAAATGTGGAAGTGGACCAGAATTAGGTGTGTGTACAAGTAAACCTACCACCCTCATTGAAGCCTACAAACCAGGCACTCTGAAATTTTAATTATTTTTTGGTTAACACTGCATTTCTAAAAGCCTCCTGGAACATTTTACTTCCAATTGCCAATTCTTTAAAATCCTCTTGGGTTGAGTCCAAGCTTGAAAAATTTCATCTGAAAATGAATGTTTTGGTTGTTTTTTTTTTTTTAACATTCATAAAGTTCAGGGCATAAAGTACTCTTTCACAGAGAATAAAAACAAAGTTTACAGTGGAAATCATGTCATAGACAGGCCATGGGGCACTTTTCTCCCTAGCCAATCAGCCAGAGCTGGGTAAGTGAAGGATGGAATCTGGCCTCAGGGAAGAACTTTTTAGGGTAGACCCAACCCCCTCTGTGAGACTGCTCCTGCTAACTACGCTGTGAGCATACTGGGCTTGCAATGAACTCAAAATTCTCATCTGAAGTTTGACTTTATTTCACCATGCATTGTGAAAGGGTGACTTCTCCAATCATCCAAAGGAAACATGGTCTCCTTAGCAAGGCTGTACTAAACCAGCCTAAAGCCATTAAACCTGAAATCCAGTGCTGTTAACAAGATGGAACAAGTGAGCTCCATGCCAACTGGTTTTCAGCCCCAGGTAGACTCTATTTAAACAGGCTGTGAACTCTTTCCACCACCTGCGTTCTTTAATACTTCTTAGTGAATTTAAAACAAGTGATCCCAAGCCACAGTGATGGCTTAGGAGCTGCCAATACCAAACGTATTGAAATGCAGTGTTCCCTTAGCTGCCTACTCTTTGCCCGTATTATGCTGCAACTGTACTGAACCACCTACAGATGCCCACACATGCTATGCTTTCTGTTGTCTTTGTGCTTTGGAACCTAAGAGGCCCCTCCCTGAATTTTCTCCCTCATGGCTCCAACAACACACTCACCTCTCTTTCTGGTTCAGGACATAGGTCCGATCCTTACTTCTCCCTTAGTCCTTGGACTATTCTGCAAGATCTCAGGTCTGCACTCACAACACACACTATGTTTGCTTCCATCTCAGCACTTCTCTTCCTATTACTTGCCTGTATTTTTCTTCATTCAACCAGTTATGAATTCTTTAAACATTTGGTACATTCTACTCTACAAAATTTGAATAAAGAATGACATACATACAAGCCATTCACTGTTGTTTAGGTGACAGAAAACTACTAGTTATCAAGTGCCTTCAATATGCCAGGCACTGTGCTTGGTACTTCAAGTGAATTTTCTCATTATGTTTTTCCAAATATGCCGTGAAGGTGGTATTATTACTAACATCATCATTTTATAATTGAAAACCTTGTGCTCAGAGAAGCTAAGTAATTTAGAATTGTTCCAAGACCATACCAAGAGAAATTGTATTCATTTTGGAATACAATTCCAGTTCTGGAGTATTCTGAATGGAATCCCATGTCTGTCTAACTTCTAATCTCAAATAATTTCCATGCCATCATATTCCTTTCCTTACTTCTAGGGAATAGCACTGGTTTCATACTTTCAGACTTTTTTTTTGTTTGAATTATCCAAGTGTCAAATGCATTTTTAAATTTCCTTGAACAGGGACCTGAAAATGCTCTGGTGTGTCATTTAGAACCCGCTTCAGAGCGAAGGCACTAATTTAATCAGTTGATGGGAGTGTTGAATGCTAATTGCATTGCCCTCTTTTGGAGACCACGAGTTTGCCCACAGTTACACTCCCTTCCCAGGGTCAGTCTGATCTAACGTTAGTCAGTGTAGATGTGCTCTTTGTCCCAGTTCAGGAAAACTCTGCGGGGCCACCCTAGTGCTAGAGCTCCCTGTGGAATGGGCTAGTCATCAATTGCAGCTGCCTCACAGTTCAACTTCTCCCTCTGCCCAATCCTGTTTCCCTCACTCTCTCTCTCTTTTTTTTTTTTTTATTATTATTTAAGTTCTAGGGTACATGTGCACAATGTGCAGGTTTGTTACATATGCATACATGTGCCATGTTGGTGTGCTGCACCCATTAACTTGTCATTTACATTAGGTATATCTTCTAATGCTATCCCTCCCCCTCCCCCCACCCCACGACAGGCCCCAGTGTGTGATGTTCCCCTTCCTATGTCCAAGTGTTCTCATTGTTTAATTCTCACCTATGAGTGAGAACATGTGGTGTTTGGTTTTTTGTCCTTGCAATAGTTTGCTGAGAATGATGGTTTCCAGCTTCATCCATGTTCCTAGAAAGGACGTGAACTCATCCTTTTTTATGGCTGCATAGTATTCCATGGTGTATATGTGCCACATTTTCTTAATCCAGTCTATCACTGATGGACATTTGGGTTGGTTCCAGTCTTTGCTATTGTGAATAGTGCCACAATAAACATATGTGTGCATGTGTCTTTATAGCAGCATGATTTATAATCCTTTGGGTATATACCCAGTAATGGGATGGCTGGGTCAAATGGTATTTCTAGCTCTAGATCCTTGAGGAATCACCACACTGACTTCCACAGTGGTTGAACTAGTTTACAGTCCCACCAACGTGTAAAAGTGTTCCTATTTCTCCACATCCTCTCCAGCACCTGTTATTTCCTGACTTTTTAATGATCACCATTCTAACCGGTGTGAGATGCTATGTCACTGTGGTTTTGATTTGCATTTCTCTGAGGCCCTATCTCTCTTATAAGTGTTGTTCCTGAAGACACTATCCAGTGAACTTTCTGCATGCAAGTCTCCATCTGAGACTCTGTTTCTCAAAAAACTCAACCATAGGTATGACAATGAGAAGTCCATGACTACAAATTACTAATCAGAGTAAAAAATTGCAAGCAACATTTTAGTGATGGTTTAAGGATAGAATGCATGTCTCTCCAAATGCACTCTCTGGCCCAGAAAGTACTATGGATTTTACAATTGGAAACTGGACCTGCTTTGCAATGAGAATGGTCAGCCCTTGAGCTTCATAACTCCACCTGTTCACTCTGTGACTTTGTCTAGGTCATGTAACTTTTGTAAGCCTCTGTTTTGCATGGAACTCCACCAAGGCATCAGGCACATTTTTCAAGTATGCCCTATGGTTAGGGAGGGAGAGCTCTTGGGCGCTGGCCACTCCAAAAAGTCACTCATCTCTTAATGGGATTGTTTATCTAGTGGCAGCCTCCACTTTAAGAAAAAGGAAAACCACTTTTCTCAGTGGAATAAGCCACTACTATGCATGCCAGTCAAGATTTTAAACATATGTGTTTTTAATTATGACTATACTCAGATAAGAGTGGCCAATGATATAAGTAGGAATCACAATTTATGCCATATAACCATTCAGCCATCACACATTCCTTATTAGTCCTGATACCTGTAGTTTCCAATATCGTACCTCATTGTCACAGTTATGGTGAGATTATACTGAAAAATATAAACAATGTATATCTAGAAATGGCAAAGGGGTTCACCCTAGAGAAGAGAAATCTCAGGGAAGACATGCAATTGTAGCTCCCTTTATGGGGTTATTACTGTATGTTACTCTATGCCAGACCTGCATGGGGAGTTGTTGATCAATCGGTATAAAGAGTTAGGTAAGATGGGTCAGTTCTAGTGATCTACTGTACAATGTACAGTACTTAGCAATAGGTATTGTGTACTTTAAAACACGTTTAGGAGGATAGATCTTATGTTAAGTGTTCTAACTACGAAAGAAACACAAAGGAACAAAAGGGACTTCTTTTTTTTTTTGAGATGGGGTCTCGTTCTGTCCCCCAGCCTGGAGTGTAGTGGTGCGATTTCCGCTCGCTGCAAGCTCCGCCTCCCGGGTTCACGCCATTCTCCTGCCTCAGCCTCCCGAGTAGCTGGGACTACAGGCGCCCGCCAACACGCCCGGCTAATTTTTTGTATTTTTAGTAGAGACGGGGTTTCACCGTGTTAGCCAGGATGGTCTCGATCTCCTGACCTCGTGATCCACCCGTCTCGGCCTCCCAAAGTGCTGGGATGACAGGCGTGAGCCACTGCGCCCGGCCCAAAAGGGACTTTTTAGAGGTGATGGGTACGTTTAGTACCTTGGTCTTGGACTGTGACCATGGTCTCATGAGTGTATGCACATATCTGAACTTATCACATGTGTACATTAAATGTGTGCAAATCATACCTCAATAAAACATTCTTTTTTTCTTATCTTTAATTCTGCTATTTTTTTTCTTTAGATACCACCAAATTCACTGGCCATTTACCATTCAAAAATCCAGAACTATGCAGAACAGGCACTCTTCCTCTCCATTCTATGGATGAGAAAAATAAGGCTTACAGTGTTTTAATACCTTACTCTAGTCCACAGAGCTAGTAAATGCCTGAGCCACATTTTAAATCCAGGTTTTTCAGAATTTAAAACCTTGATTTTTATTTTGTTTGTATTATGTTACCTTCTATGTTTATTTTTCGCTATTTTATTGTCACTTTTTCAACTTTATTGTAATAAGATCATTTAACATGAGATCAGCCTTCAGCAATTTTGAAGTGTATAGTCACTGTTGACTATAGGTACAGTGTCATAGAGCTGATATCTAGAGTTCATTCATCTTGCTTAATTGTAACTTTATACCAATTGATGAGTAACTTCTCATTTCCTCCTTCCCTTTAGCTCCTGACCATCTATAATTCCAGTTTTTGACTTTATAAATTTAACTATTTTAGGTATCTCATAAAAATGGAATCATGCAGTATTTGTCTTTCTGTGACTGGCTCATTTCACTTAGCATAGTGTCCTCAAGGTTCATCTATGTTATCTATATTGTAGGATTTCCTTATGTTTTAAGGCTGCATAGTATTCTATTGTGTGTAGAGACCATATTTTCCTTTTTTTCTTTCTTGCTTTCTTTCTCTTTCTTTCTTTCTTTCTTGCTTGCTTGCTTTCCTGCTTTCTCGCTTTCTTGTTTTCTTGCTTTTCTTGCTTTCTTACAGGGTCTCACTCTGTCACCCAGACTTTACTGAAGTGCCACAACCATGGTTCATAACCTCAGACTCAACCTGTCTTGGCTCAGGTGATCCTCCCACCTCAGCCTCCTGGGTAGCTGGAACTACAGGCAGAGGCATGCGCCCCTCTTTATTTATTTATTTATTTATTTGTAGAGACAACGGGTTTCAGCATGCTTTGCTCACGAGGCTGGTCTCAAACTCCTGGGCTCAAGCAATTCACCTCAGGCTCCCAAAGTGCTAGGAATATTGGCATGAGCCACCACACCCAGCTACTGTATTTTCTTAATCCATTCATCTGTCAATGAACATTTAGTGTGTTTCCACATCTTGGCTTTTGTGAACAGTGCTGCAATAAACATGGAAGTGCTAATATCTTTCTTCAGTATTCTGATTTCAATTTTTTTGGATAAATACACAGAAGTGGGATTGCTTGATCACATGACAATGATGGCCACAAGAACATTTGGGCTCACAGCCTATCATTTTAGCAGTCCCAACAGAGAGAATAGTTACCCTTTCCTAATTGCTCTAGAAAAATCTCAGGATTGCATCTGAGTAAGTTGGCTTTGATCACATACCCACTTCTGAACCAAGCACTGTGAATATTAGACACTTTACAATTATTGTCCAGAACCGAGGAATGTACTAACTTTCAAGCTAGAAGTTCAGCTAAAAGGAGCTAAAATCACCTCCTTCTAAATTATGTGAACAGAGACGAGGAAAAGGGAGATTCTCCAAAGGAGGGGTGAACCAAAGGAGAAGGAAAGAGGTTGGGATGGCTGAAATGGCAGATGCCTTCTGTGGGAAAGAGATTTTCATACCTGCAGTGCACATTGTTGGAACTCTTATCTCCTCCACTCTTACAGTGTCTGCACCGAAGCCTGACTGCCAACTTCCAGCACTATGCTCCTTTGCCACAAGGCTGAAGTTAACTCTGCCTGTACAAAAGGCAGAACAGCAATTCTGGCCTGCCACTTGCATGGAAGTTAACTCCTTTCAATAGCAAATTCAATAAATAATTGTGCAATCTGGTACATAAATACCCCGGCTCCCTTACCCCTTAGGTTAGGTAATTCTGAGATATATATGCTAGGAATATCGTCCTTAAAGTTCTCTAACAGAATTAAGCTTCATTTATCTGAAGCTGAAAATGTAATCAAAATATATCCCATATTGTGGCCGGGAGTGGTGGCTCATGCCTGTACCCCTAGCACTTTGCGAGGCTGAGGCAGAAGGATCACTTGAGCTCAGGAGTTCAAGAACAGACTGGGCAACACAGTGAGATCTTGTTTCTACAAAAAAAAAAAATTTAAATAGCCAGGCATGGTGGTGCATGTCTGCAGTCTCAGCTACTTGGGTGGCTAAGGTGAGAGGATCACTTGAGACTAGGAAGTAGAGGCTGTAGTGAGCTGTGATTGTGCCACTGTACTCCAGCCTGGGAAACAGAGAAAGACCCTGTCTCAAAACATATATGTGCATATCCTGTATTGATTTTCTTCCATTCTCTGTGTCACTTCTCCATATCCCTATCTTATATTATGGAATAACCTCCCAAAGAAACTAATTGTGCTTGAATCCTTGTCTTACAGGTAAAAAGCAATGAGATAGGCTGTTCCATGAAGTAGCAAGTTTCTCAGCAGTAGAAGTTTTCAATAATGAGTAGAAAAATGGATTTGGGGAGATTCAAAAATAAAATAGGTAATTGGATTGCAGGACCTACATTTAGACCATGCAGTCCCTTCTAAGGCTAAGTTGAATTATTACTTGTTTGACTTGTGACAGAGTCATTCTTGCAGAAAAAGAGATGTATGTTCATGCCTTGGATTCTGAAATTTGTGAAAGGAGATAATATAAAAAGTTATCTGGGGAGGGAATATTTTTTAAAGGTTATTTGAAGGTACGAGGGTTAGCTTCCTCTTTTGTTGTAACCTATTCTTATAAAAAGACCTTTTTGAGTGCTTCCTTTGCCTGGGAAGACCTCAACATTACAGGAGGATGTCATTTCCTTGGCTCTGACTAGTTTTAAATTTTGACACCCACCATCATCCAGGCAGAGAAAGAGCCTTCCCAAGATAACCTAAAGTCAGGAACATACATGGCTGCCACATATGTTCAATAGGAGGTGAGAGTGTGTCATCATCTAAAGTTCTTTGTGTTGGTTTGGACATGTGCCCAGGAGACAGAAGTGTAAAGGAAGTGATTTCTCTCAAAATAAACACATCAATCAAAAAAAGATACAGAATATAACTATTTTACCTTTTTGATGTGTGAAAGAAAGCAATGTCGTATGAAATTTATTCCACCATGATGATTTTACTTCCCCAGTGGTAATTTTCTCCAGCTCACTCATAAAAATACTAATAATGGACAAAATTTGTTGAGTGTTAACTATGTATTGGGCACTGTGAAAATGACTTAATATAAATCATGCATTGAATCCTCCCAAGAAATGGGTCCCATTAAGTTGTCCACATTTTACAGAAAAAGTAACCAAAGCCGAGAGGCTAAAGAGGCTTGCTGAAGTTGACACAATAGTGAGGTGCAAGTCTCCCTGTCTCCAAAGATATATTAGTTAGTAATCGCTGTGTAACAAATCACTCCAAAATTTAATGCTGAAAATAATAAGCATTTATATTGCTCACAAGTCTACAGGTCAGCTGGGAAGTTTTTTCTGGTCTTAGCTGGGTTTATTCATGCATCTGCAATCAGCCCTCAGTTGGGTAGGCCGCTGCTGCTGTTTGGACTCACTCACATGTTCGGAGGTTAGCTGACAACTGGCAAATCTAGGATGTTCAGAATTGAAATAAGTGGACTTTTCTCCAGCTGGTCTCTCACCCTCCAAGTGGCTAGCCTAGGCTTGTTTTCATGGCAGTGGCAGTGGTATGATGTCTAGGCCCCAAACGGACACAGAATCATTTGTATGACATTACATTGGCTGAAGTAAGTCACGTGGCCAGCCCAAATTTGAAAGGCAGGGAAAAAGATCCTGTCTCTTCATGGGAGGAGCTACAAAGTCATGCTGCAAACACACGGGGAGGCATGCGGGATTGCAGTTAATCCTCCATGGACGCTTATGTTTCTACCACTGTGTCCTTCCTTGCATCCTGGCACCTCTCTGGCAAAGTATACCAGCAGGTGTTCTTCACCTTGGTTTTGCCTGAATGAACATCTAAGAGAGAGATAGCCCATTAATTGCCAATTTTGAAAGAGACTTTCAGGTCTTGTACTTATCTCCTACCCATGTTAAATCTCCTCTTTCAAACCTCCCACAAACAGGCCTTCGGCACCTGCCAAGACACTTCCAGTGATGGGGAGCTCAATATTATTACGTTAAATTGACTTTTGTTTCCTTTTACAGTAAGTGCTTTGGAATAGGGCTCTCACCTCTATATTTGTGCAATTTCTTTTTCAGGCATCCTGTTCCTATGCTCTTCCTTCTATACACTGAAATCTTCCTTCTAGCAATTCCCCATCTCTGCTCTTTTTCTTGCTCCCTGGAGCAGACTAAAACAAATCTGTGGCTTCTCCTATATGACAACTATTTTATATCCAAAGACATTTATCAATTTCTTCATCAATTCTCCAGGTCTTTCCAGATTTAATTATTCAACTGCTCCTCTAATGAGATCAATACACTTTACTGTGTGTACACAGGTTGTCAATGTTCTTTCTTTATGTGGTACCCAGAGTCATCTACATCCTCTGAGTAAAACAGAACCAAATTGCTTGTTTTTCCTCCTCTACCTCTTCTTCCTTTTGTAGTTGCAGGTCATTCTTACTGCATTAAATTGAATTTGGTTTCTCACTCACAGTAAGTAATTTGGAACAGGACTGAGAGCCCTATTTTTGTACAATTTGTTTTCGAACCAAAGGAGAGGCATCATCTGACTTTCTCCTTTTATTATTTCCTCTGTGAGTTCAGTCCTTTCCTTCTAGTCAGTTGCTGTAAACCTTGATGCTTTTATTTAGACTGTTTATTCATCACTCAGTGGTCTTCTACTGAGATACTTTTCAGTACCTTTGTTTGTGATAGCTGCTTGGGACACAAAACTGGGTAAACCCCAGCACTGGTCCTTAAAGAGTTTTCAGGCTACTGGGTGAGGCCGTGGTTTAAAGCAGTCTCTTTCGGGCAACCTCAGGCTATTTTAGAAGCATGCTTGTTTTTCAGGGTTTCTCCTATACCCTTCTTCGACATCTCAAGAGGACACCTGAGAAAGAAGACTGTGTGGCCCTGCGGTGTCAGGGGAGCATTGTCTGGTTCCCATGCTGTCTTCTGCTGTGGACTTCCTCAGCATGTTGACGATTTTATTGGGTCTGGATGTCAAGGATGTCGATGCTCTTATTGTCTTCCTCTATAATGACCTCAGATGTTTCTGTGGCCTCCAGTCTTGAAGTCCACATTCTGAATGTGCCCTCATGTTGACTCCCGGCTTCCTCCAAGCTCAGGATTTCCATGTCCCCTGAGGGCCAGTGGCAATAATGCACTGTGGCTCTCTCTCTAGTTGGTAGTGACATGTGAGAGATAGCCTGAGCCATGTCTTGGCTTCCCTATGACTTGCTCACTACAATGGATTGTAATTCCATGATGACTATGGAACTTCTTTGAGGGGCTTGCAGACTCCCTAGGCTTTTTCTGAGGATTCAAGGATTCCAGTTCTGTTTTACTTACTTTCTCCTAAATGAGATTAGGTTTCTGTACCCTCCAGCTTGACATTTTACACCAAGGGGTGAGCTGGAACTTGGATGGTCATGTTGTACATCTTGAATAGTCATTCTATTCTTTTATCTTTAACACTCAGACTCCTCCCAAGCACTCTGGTGACTCTCTGAGCCATCGTTTTCCTTCTGTGAGAACTTCCCTGCATCAGTCAGTTCTCACAATTTCTATAATCTGCTCTGTAAGTGCCTTCAAGTTCTGCCTCAATGGAAGTCACAAGACATTTTTTGTTTGTTTTGTTTTTTTCTCTGTCAACAAAACCAGCCATCTGTACATCAAAAGCATTTGCCTTCATACCATTGTCTTACTGTATTCTTAGAACAGTATTCCAGAACTCAAAGCAACAGAGTCTCTGTGTTCAGACTGGTTCTTCTCGTAAACAAAGGAAAAAATGGTCATTAATTTTATAGGGGCAGAAAGAAAAGGGACAAGGACTTCGGGAACTAAAGGTTCTGTCTACATGGGGATTTATGATACTATTCTCTCAATGATAGATCTGGAAGTTTGATTCACCATGAAAAAAAAACCACACTTTTAAATGCTTAATTCCTGTTAAACTTACAAAGAAATTTGACATGCCAAATAATAAACAAAGAATTCAGGAACCAGAGTGGTGAGAATGATGTGATTTGAGTGAAGATTTTCTAAAGGCTTAATAGGATTTCTTCCCTTTCTCTTATTTTCTGTACCACCTAAATTCTAATAACAGAGGACAGTTAACTTTCTGTTATTAGAGCTCTAATCCAGTCACAAAAAGAGAAAAAATTAAAGAGAGAAAAGAAGAGAAAAAGGGAAGGGAAGAAAAAAGAAAGAGAAAGGAGGGGAAGGAAGGGAAGGGAGGGGAGAGGAGAGGAGGGAAGCGAGGGAGAGGAGAAGGAAGGGGAGGGGTGAGATGGTGAGGTGTGGAGGAAAAGTTAAATATTAAATTTGAACTCAATTGAACATCGACACAAACAATGGTCACCAAGTCCCAGAACAGGTTGTGTGTGCCCCTTGAGGCGTTCATCCAGCACTGTTTCAGAGAAATCCCTATTTCAATCTATTCCTATACGTTAGTTATTGAAAAGCAATAGACAATCACAAAAAACAAGTTGACCTTTTTGTGTTCCTTGAGCCAAAGGGCCCTCATGACTGGGCCTCACACCGAATAACTCGTTACAAAAAGAGCTAGGGTCCCAGACTGCGCCAAAGCTTCAGGAGACTGCTCCTCGTCTGTGCACAGATGAGTGGCCAACTCTGGAGCCCAGGTTGTTGCTTCCTAGTCTGGTGGTGAATCCTTCATAGTCTGGTGAGTATAAATATATATATATATATATATATATATATCTTCCCTTTTCATTGCAATTTGCTTATTATATTATTTGCTTATTATATCAACTTGCTTATTATATTGATTTGTTTATTATATCATTTGCTTATTATATCTGCATCGCCATTTACATGGGATAAAGGTTGTTTATCCCTAAAGGCATTGTGTATGTGTCTTTTCTTCTCCCCTTGCACGTTTCCTGCACAGAACAGGAGGAATAGAAAAAAAAAAAGGAGAGGGGAGGGGAGGAAAAGGGAGGGGAGAGGAGGGGAGGGGAAAAGAGAAAATCAAAATGGACCAATGACTAGTGTTTGGAACACTAAACCCCAAATTAAGTCTTAAAATGACTGAACATTCTGAGATAAAAGTGACACACACCCATCCCCACCCCAAAAGCAAAAAGGACAATGTAAGTGACAGACAGAAAAGAATGTGGAGACTGTGACATGGAATCCCTTAATTTCTAAGATCGCTCATTGTTCTGTTGGAAACAGAGGGTTAGGTAAGTGTCTAAGACAGAGCCAGTGCACAAGTGAGTGGTAGAGAGAGTGATAAAGCATCTCCTATTTTGAATGAGATCTTCTGTCTCTTCTCATACATATCCCAATCCACAACAGCGAAAAAGTAATACGTAGATTCATTCATTCAGTGACTCAGCAAATAGTAAGTGCCATGCATTTTCCAAAACATTAATAATACAATTGGGAGCAAAGCAGACAAATGTCCCTTGCCCTGATGGGAGAACACAGGCATTAAATAAAATAAGTAGATCAAAATATAGTATATACTAAGTGATGAGAATTGTTATGGGAATAAGTAAAGCAGGTAAAAAGGAATGAAGGCCCTCTGTGAAGGAGGATGCTGTTTAAAATAAGGCGAAGGCAGGCATCTTGAGACAGTTGCATTTCAACAATGGCCTGAAGGAAGTGAAGGGCACCTGAGAGAAACATGTTCCAAGTAGAGGAATCAAGCACAAAGCTCCTGAGGCAAGGCTTGTGGACTTGTAGCAAAAAAGGCCAATATGGATGGACCACAACAGGGAGGAGAGCCTGCAGGTAAAATTGGAGACATAGTGGGAGCTGGCCATTTTAAGAATTTAGACTTTTATCATGAGTGAAAGGAAAAGAACTGAAGGAGTTGGGTGTGGTGTTTATAGGATGTACACAACAAAGTCATCGCTTAGCTGCTGTGTTAGAAGTAAACCATAAGTGAGCCAAAGGCAGAAGCAGAGAGACCAGGTATCAGGCTGTCAAAAAGAAAAAAAAAAAAAAAAAAAACAAAAAAAAAACACAGAGATGATGGTAACATGGACCAGGGTGGCATTCCAGGTGGTGAGTGGTGGATGGACCCTAGACAGATTTTGAATACAGAACCAGTAGGATTTGGGAATGTATTAGATGTGAAATGTGAGCAAAAGGAGGAGTTAGGCACTTTTGTTCCAATTGAAGGATGGAGTTGCTATTTTTTGAGGTCAAGACAGCAGAAGGAGCAAGTTGGGGAGGAAGGAAACTGGGAGTTTGTTTTGGGCAAACTTTTAAAGACATTCAAGTGCAGACGTCAAATGAGTAGTTGTATATGCAGCTCTGTTGCATTCACAGATTTGGCAATGAATTTGGGAGTCATCAGTGTATAGATGGTATCAAGGCTGTAAGACTATATGGGAGTGAGTATAGACAAAGAAAGGTGATGTTTAAGAACTGAATCCTAGAGTATACCAAAGTGTATTGTTTGGGAAGTTGAGAAGCAAACAGTAGAAGTGACTGAGATGGAGCAGCCTGTAGGGAATATCAGAATGGTATCCTGGAAGAAATAAGAAAATATTTTCAATGCAGAGGGAGCTGTCACTAGGTCCAATGTTGCCACTAGGTCACTTAAAAATAGGAATGAGATCTGCAACATGCAGGCTTTTGGAGACATTAGCAAGACACATTTTTATAAAGAGGGAAGAATATAAGCCTAAGCAGAGTGAGTTCCAGAGAGAAAGGGAAAAAGATTTAAGAGATAATGAGAAAAAGCATCTCTTTAGAGAAGTTTTGCTAAGAAGGGGAGCAGGGAAATGTGGTATCAAGGAAAGGAGTTTTGAAGATGGGAGGAATTACACACAGACTTCATTTGCAAATAAAAATATTGGTATGGGAGATAAAGAGTGCTTTCTGAGGCACCATCCTTGAGTTGGTAAGAGGGAATGGGTTCTGGTACAAAAATGCAGAGACCGGCCTTGCACACAAACATGGATTGTTAATTCACACTGAGAGAGAGGTGAGTATATAGGGCAGATACAGGCAAGGTAGACGTGGTGCAGGGATTGGGAGAAAATTGCCTTCTGCTCCCTTCTCTTCTCTCAGTGAAATAGGAAACAAGATCCAGACACTATAGGTCACTGTGCAGTCACATTTTTTTGGATTCAAGGTCCTGGAATGAGTGAGTTGGAAAGATGGAGTGTGGTGGTTAATAAAGTGAAATACTTGAAACCGAGATTACAGGGAGTGGCAGTGATTTTAATGCCAAGACCTAAAAAGAAGAGAGAAGAGGTAAGAGAGTTAAGGTCAAGTTACTGGAAAGATTATCTTGACTGCTAGTGAAGTCACCAGTTTATGATATGAACAGTATGATTATGATTATGAGAACAGGTCAGGAGTTAAAAACTTCAAAGAATAAGGGGGAATTCTCTGAATCATGGGTTTGTAGATGCCTGCAATAAACAGGGGCAACTGAAGGTATAGATGGATGACATAAACTTCAAAGCGAGTTTTCAGAGAGCAGGCAGGGAGAAGCATCTGGAGGCTGGAATGAGGAAATAAGAGGACACCTAGTCAACCTCCAGGCTAGTGATAGAAAGAAGCAGAAGAAAAAAAAAGTGACAAATTAGAAGGACTTTATGAGGAGGCAGGGATCCCAGGAGTATCTGAGTTTCCATTAGAGCAAAAAGGCAAAAAGGGATTTATAAAGAAGTGGCACAGGTTATAAGGGATTTTGCTGATGACTGATCTGGAATTGTACAAGGGAGGGTGAGGGAATTAGAAAGAGGTGAAGATGGGGTCAGATTAGGTGGTATACAGAGCAGTATTGGGGAAGTATATGGGAGCTAAAGGATGAGCTGGGTGTCTGGGGCTTTTGTAGTATTTTACGGACGTGGAGATCAAGGGAGGATCTTCTGCAAGACACCAGTGGTGAGATTGTGAATGTCAGGGGAGATAGGGTGTGGGGTCTTTCTTGGAGCACCCAGGGCTCTGAGGCATTCTCTTCTCCCTCCTGCCAATGGCAGTATGGAAAGCAAGGAAGAAATAGTGTTACTATAAACAATTAAGCATGAGCCCCCTCCTCATTCTAGCCAATGTTTTTGCTTTCTTCATTCATTATACAAATACCTTTTCAGGGCCTCGTAAACCTGAATACTAGAATATAATAGTGAGGAAAATGTCAGTTTCTTCTCTCATGTAGCCTTCAGAGTATTGGAAAAAACTCCGTTCCAAAACCCAAGACTTATTCATTATTCTATACCACCTCTTCAGGGGCTGCTTAATTACCTAAATCTGAGTATCTATGACCTCAGAGAAGGGATCTGGGCTGAAAATACAAACTTGAGCCATAATCAAGTACAATATGGCCTAAGGAAAGAGTCTACACTCAGAAGAGAAGGACTATCAAGAGTCTGAAAAATTGGGGGTAATTGGAGTGGTTCCAGAAAATTAAATATTGGGAAATGTTTCCTTTTTTATTTTATTTATTTATTTATTTATTTATTTATTTATTTTATTTATTTATTTATTAGAGATGGAGTCTTGCTCTGTTGCCAGGCTGGAGTGCAGTGGCCCGATCTCGGCTCACTGCAACTTCCACCTCCTGTGTTGAAGTGATTCTCCTGCCTCAGCCTCCTGAATAGCTGGGATTACAGGTGCGTGCCACCATGCCCAGCTAATTTTTTTTTTTTTTTTTTTTTGTATTTTTAGTAGAGACAAGGTTTCACTATGTTGGGAAATGTTTGCTTTTTAAAA
The DNA here is from genome assembly GCF_000001405.40 of Homo sapiens. NCBI lineage: Eukaryota > Metazoa > Chordata > Mammalia > Primates > Hominidae > Homo > Homo sapiens. The sequence goes on from NC_000008.11 coordinate 127,248,801, forward strand.
AAGGAGTGTGTTAGTTTTGCAGGGGTGGCATAACAAAGGACCACAAAGTCATGACTTATCACATTCATCCTCTCACAGTTCAGGAGGCTCGAAGTCTGAAATCAAGGTGTCAGCAGAGTCAGTTCCTTTAGAGAGCTCTCAGGCAGAGCCTGTTCCCTGTTTCTCTCCTAGCTTCTGGAGGTGCCCGCAATCCTTTGATTTCCTTGGCTTATAGATGCATCACTCCAATCTCTGCCGCTATCTTCACATAACATTCTTCCCTATGTCTCTGAGTCTTCAAATTTTCCTCCCCTTTTAAGGACACTAGGCATTGGATTTACGGCCCAACCTATCCCAATATAACTTCATCTTAAACTGATTACATCTGCAAAGACCATATTTCTTTTTTTGGACGATGTCTCGCTCTGTCACCTAGGCTGGAGTGCAGTGCGCAATCTTGGCCCACTGCAAGCTCTGTCTCCTGGGTTCAAGCGATTGTCCTGCCTCAGCCTCCCAAGTAGCTGGGATGTCAGGCGTGTGCCAACACACCAAGCTAATTTTTGTATTTTTAGTAGAGACGGGGTTTTGCCATGTTGGCCAGGCTGTTCTTGAACTCCTGACCTCAGGTGATCCGCCCGCCTCAGCTTCCCAAAGTGCTGGGATTATAGGCATAAGCCATCGCGCCTGACCTGCAAAGACCATATTTCTGAATAAGGTCACATTCCCAGGCTCTGAGTGGATATGAATTTTGAGGTGGCACTATAGGGCCCACTACAGGGGAAAAAGATAAAATTATAACAAACCCATGTGTCATTCCATGTTGATCATGTGCCAGTAACTTCCAGGTTTTTTTTTTTTTTTTTGATCATTTAATTTGAGTTCATCAGAAAGAGTCCATTTTCCTCCTGTTGGGAATGTTTTTGATCTACATGTAAAGTCACTTGGTCATGTCTCTTGCCAGGTGATCATTTTCCCTAGGTCAGTGGTCATCATTATTAAAACGGACATTGATTCCAACCCCTGGGGTTTCTGATTTAGTGGTTCAAGGATGCGGCCCCAAAATTTGCATTTTTAAAAAAGTTCCCAGATGACGTTGGTGTTGATGTTGCTCATCCCAGACAACACTTTGACTCCCAGAAATCAAATTTCTCTGACTCTGTACTTAGAGAAAAGCATTTCTAGTTATGTCCAGTCATTGATGTCTCTATTTCCTGTGTGTGGTTGATGACTAGGTATGTGGAAAGAACCCTATATACAGGACTGTTGTGCTAAGGTCATTATCGTAATATTGATAATTATTCTTTGTATCCCATTACAAGTTGCAAGGTATCTTCCCATACTCTATTTAATGTAACTTTTGAACCAGTGATAAGTTGGTTACTGTTGCTCCATTTTACCCAGGAAACTAGTTCAGAGGTGTAGTGTACCTTGAGACACATCATTGTGAGCTCATGGTAGAAGCTGGGTGGCAAATTCTCACCTTTTTATTCTAGAGCCTGTGTAATCTGCCACCCAGCAGCTATTTTATAGCTTTTGAACCTAAATTTTGATGAGAACTATCTCGGTGGTGCTCTGAAAATCACTGCAAATTAAGACAACACACAGGTTTGTTTCATAGTGTATTTGTGCTACCAGCTGCATCATCAAGGTGGTGACGATGGTGTTTCCCCTCGCTCTTCTTTTCTAATCTTAGTAAAGGGCTTGCCAGCCCAGTTCATCCGAGTTCTTTGCTCCCTGTTCCCTGATTGTCCGAATGGCAAGTTTTGTATATGCTAAGGTTCACTTCCTAACACGAATTCTCTGAGGTTCATTGGTTAATGACCCTTTCTTCTCAGGAACCAGAGAAATAAACATGATGTGGGTTGTGTTCTGTGCAGGTTGCTTCAACTTTTCTCCTCCATACTTTCTCTCCGTAGCATCACACATCTGATGAGTGGGAAAGCTGAGATTTGAACCTGTGCCATCTGTTTCAAAGCCTGCCTCTAACCATTTCACATGGCCCTGCTCACTGCCCTCAACAGCACTTCCTGTTCTATCAGAATCTTGCTGAACTCCAATCTGACATTGCGGGTGCTCAAGAAATTCACCCCACACATTTGCATCTTCACTGTGCTCCACCCAGGCTGGCTGTTCCTGGTGGAGGAGTTTCCAGCTCACCTGGGGTTCCTACCCTCATGCAGGTGACAGGTGTCTGAGTAGCTGAAAACACAAGCTTTAGACCCAGGCAACTCTAAATATGACGCACCACTTTTTCTTCTTACTGTATAACCTTGAGTAAGTCACTGATTTTCAGAACCACTGTTTCTTTATCTGTAAAATGGGTACAAGAATATCAAGTGTGCGTAGTTGCTGTGAGAATTAAACGGATAATTTATGCAGCAAGAAGCAGCTCAATCATTGGAGCTTTTATTATTTCTGTCATCCTATTGCCTCTGCCTAGAGCCCCTAATCTACTCCTTTTCTCTCTCTCTCTCTCTCTATCTCTCGACCAGGCTGGTCTTGAACTCTTGAACTCTTGCCCTCAAGCAATCCTCCCTTCTCAGTTTCACAAAGCATTGGGATTACAGGCATGAGCCACTGCAACCAGCCCAAGCTTGATATTTTTATACCCATTTTACAAATGAAAAAGTGGTGGCTCAGAGAAGTCAGTGACTTGCTCAAGATTACACAGGAAGGAAAGGAATGGGGAGTCATACCTAGAGTTGCCTGGATCCAAAGCTCGTGTTATTAGCTACACACACACACACACACACACTCATCATCATCATCATCATCATCATCTCATTTATCTCCTTATGGAGGCTGCAACTTTCTTAGCCACTTTTAGTCCTCATCAGTCCCAAGCCCTTCAACCAGAATAGAAAACTGAAAGGCCCTGACTCCTCCCTTTTTTTCTATCTGCCAGCAGCACCAAACAAACCCTGCATGTAGGGTCTCTCCCCTAGGTATGCATAGTCATCCCTCGGTATCTGTGGGGGATTGGTGCCAGAACTCCCCCATGAATACCAAAATTCACAGATGCTTAAGTCTCTTATATAACATGGTGCAGTGTTTGCATATAACCTATGCACATCCTCCCGTATACTTCAAATCATCTCTTGATTATTTATAATACCTAACACAATGTAAATGCTGTGTTAATAGTTGTTAACTGTATTGTTTAGAGAAAAATGACAAGAAAAGGATGTCTGTGCGTATTCAGTACAAATGCAACCACCATTTTTCCCTCAAATATTTTGACTGTGGCTGGTTGAATTCGTGAATGTGGAACCCACAGATAAGGAGGGCCCACTGTATTTTGCTCAGCTAGCTTTCCTTCTCCTCCCTCCTTGCTGCTTAACCCTGAGGCAGTCTTTCTTCTCTCTTTATCCTCCAGGGCTAGGTGAGGGGCTCACAAGCTGAGTCACCATGCTGGAGTGCAACTCTCTTTGCATATCTCTCTCTCTCTCCCAAATTAGGAGCCTCTTGAGAACAGGACCTGGGGCTTTGCTCTTTAGCTTATCTGCATGGATCCAGTATAGTCCCTGCATACAGCTGGCTCTCAGGATTTATTGAATGGCTGATTGCTTCCTGAATTAGTATAAGAATGCCAGCCAGGCATTTTTCAGCTGGGTGTGGTGGCTCCTGCCTGTAATCCCAGCACTTTGGGAGGCTGAGGTGGGCAGATCACGAGGTCAAGAGTTCGAGACTGGCCTGGCCAACATGGTGAAACCCACCCCCGCTCCCCGTCTCTGCTAAGAATACAAAAATTAGCCAGGTGTGGTGGCGTGCGTCTATAGTCTCAGGTACTCGGGAGGCTGAGGCAGGAGAATTGCTTGAACCCAGGAGGCAGAGGTTGCAGTGAGCCAAGATCACGCCACTGCACTCCAGCCAGGGCAACAAGCAAGACCCTGTCTCGAAAAAAAAAAAAAATGCCAAGCACCATGGTGAGCACATGGGTGACCCTGCATCACTGCTTGCTGACTTGGTCTTAGTAAATATGACACTTCTGGGGCTCCTGGTGAATGTCCTGACAGAGGTGGCTTGGCTTGAATTGAAATCTGGGAGTGCTACATGAAGGCACTGTGAGACAACTTATGCCAACCCTGACTCTCTTCATGGCATCTCACTGATGCCACCTTTCTTGCTTTCATTCACAGTATTTTTTTTTTAAGAAATGATCTTATTTTATTTTTTAATTTTTATTTTTTAATTTTCTTTTTTTATTTTATTATTATTATACTTTAAGTTTTAGGGTACATGTGCATAATGTGCAGGTTAGTTACATATGTATACATGTGCCATGCTGGTGTGCTGCACCCATTAACTTGTCATTTAACATTAGGTATATCTCCTAATGCTATCCCTCCCCCCTCCCCCCACCCCACAACAGTCCCCAGAGTGTGATGTTCCCCTTCCTGTGTCCATGTGTTCTCATTGTTCAATTCCCACCTATGAGTGAGAACATGCGGTGTTTGGTTTTTTGTTCTTGAGCTTCTCTCTGGCCAAGGGGAAAATTGCCTTCGGGATTGAAATGAATAGGGTGCGGGCAAACCTCACCTCTGGATTGTTATGGTTGTGAAGTTGCTACAAGTCAAGCTATTTTGCCAGGAAGTTTCCATTAATTTACATGGCTTTCCAGTAAGGTGCAAACAAACATCTGAGGCTTATCGCTTCCAGACATCACCCTTCTCTTCCAATCATCCTTTGGAGCATCCTATCTTGAGAGTCTTCTTCCTTTCCATCCCTGCTGCTCTCCTCCACCCCCGCTGGGAGTTGCCTCTGTGATGCCTTAATAAGTTCACATCTTGCAACACATCAGACCAGATCGACCCTGCTTCCAGCCAGCCTCACTAGCTATAAAATCTTTGCTGGACTTCAAAACTCCTTCTTACCCACGTTCATGTTGGTAAGCCTGATGCAGTTCTCTGTTGCTTCAGGATGAGGAAAATAACACTTGCTTTATTTTCATTTCCATTCCAGTCACTGAGGCAGCCATGCTTGGTGACAAGGCTCTGATTATGAGGCTGCAGGCTGGCACAGTCAGCAATGACTAATCCTAACACAGTAGTCAATGTTAGTTAAGCTGCAGGGGAAAAAGCAAAAAGAAAACAGAAGCATCAGCAATTGCACGGTTGGAAATAAAATGCTATCAGGGACAATAGACTAAATCAAAAGATGTTAATTCACCACTATTCAATAAAGAGGAACTGAGGGAAATATAAACAGTGAAGAAGACATGAAGCCCGCCCTTGCTGTGCTTATGGGCTGGTTGGGCACTGGACTCACCCAGTGTGAGCCTTCAGAAGGAACTCCCTCACCAGGCTTGCTATTAAAATAGGGAGTCTGATGGAAGTACTGGTATCCAGCCTTTTTAGTACAAGGAATGTCTCTTTTGTTGCTTTTGTCCAAGGATCCGATGTTTGGAAAGAATCTGATCCAAAAATAAATGATCACCGTTTTCGTGAGTCCTTAATTCCTTGTATCAGTTTTCTATTGATCAAAGATATACAAGTCACAAATAAAAACTGCTGATCAACAGGAATCAGAAAGTAAATCCAACTTGAAGCACAGTTTATTTAACATTTTAGATAGTTTATAAAGTATTAACAAATTAAGCTGGGTGTGGTGGCTCACCCCTGTAATCCCAGCATTTTGGGAGAATGAGGTGGGTGGATCACGTGGAGTCAGGAGTTCGAGACCAGCCTCGCCAACATGGTGAAACCCTGTCTCTATTAAAAATATAAAAATTAGCCGGGTGTGGTGGCACAGGCCTGTAATGCCAGCTTCTTGGGAGGGTGAGGCAGGAGAATCACTTGAACCTGGAAGGCAGAGGCTGCAGGGAGCGGGGATCATACCACTATACTCCAGCCTAGTTGACAAAGCGAGACTGTCTCAAAACAAAAACAAAAGCAAAAACAAACACAAACCAGTATTAACAAATTAATGAGTTATTTCCTTGGGCTTTTAAAAATATTGGGAATTGCTCATGACCTCACTGCTCTCAACTCCACAGTACCTTTGCTTTAGTTCTCAAAGTGTGATATGAAGGAGGAGTGATGGTCTGTGCATTTGTTCAGATATTCAAGCTGTCCCTTTGCTTCTTATGTGCAAGTGATTTTCAGTTCCATGGACTTGAGTTTTTGCACTTCTTGGTGTTAACCTATTATGAGAATTCTTCAAGGGTTACTAAAATTGGGTTATTTACAAAAATAAATCCTGTCTGTTACCAGCAATTACTGAGGTCTCTAATTCAGGACTGTCCTGAGTGTTGGATGTCACATATGTCAAAATATTGCAAAGCTCCTACTGCAAATGGCTCATGTAACCAACACTATTAGAGAATATTTCCTGTTTAGAAATTTATTTTAAAAATTGAAATTAAAATTTTAATTTAAAAGTTAAAATTATTTTACCACTTTAAAAATCTTTCTAGCATAGATTATACCCTTAAACAGAGGATATGAACCTATTTACCTTTACTAATGGCCATTATTAAATTCACTTTTACTCTGTTTCTTGCACAGAGAGAGAGAGAGAGAGAGACAGAGAGGGGCAGGGGTGGGGGGAGGGTTCTGAAAGCCTGATGCACTGGAATCCAGCATATCTTTAATTGGCAATTATATTTCCCCTTTTCCCCAAAACCTGTTTGAAATAGGCTTCTGTCATTTACTACTTGAAAAAGTTACTGATACTCTTCTTGCAGAGTATCAGTGCAGTACAAATTACACCTGAAGGTGTTAGGTTAAATAAAACAGCATCAGAAATCTCTTTAACAAAATTGATCCTCAATAAATTAGTTGGTAGACACATTCTTCCGGAAAGACAGTGAACTCAGTTTTCTACACATGCTTTTATTTGGCCTGAAGAAAATAAAATCATGCCTTACTTTTTTTATTCTTTTCTCTTTTTTTGTGAGATAGGGTCTTGCTTGCTCTGCTGCCCAGACTGGAGTGCAGTGGTACAATCACAGCTCACTGTAGCCTCAAACTCTTGGGCTTTAAGTGTTTCTCCCTCCGCATTCCTCCTGAGTTCTGGGACTACTGGCACATGCCACCATCTCTGGCTAACTTTAAAAGATTTTTTTTTTTTTTTTGTAGAGATGGGAGTCTCGCTATATTGCCAAGGCTGGCCTTGAACTCCTGGGCTCAAGCAGTCCTCTCATCTTGGCCTCCCAAAGTGCTGGGATTACAGATGTGAGCCACCATGCCCCACCTACTTTATATTTTTAAAGAGCACTTCAGAGTCTTCTAAATACTTACACAGCTAATATTTTACCTCATCTACAGACACCTCTCTAACTCTTTCAGCTATTTCATAGACTGTTGACCATGTAGCCAAGCAGAGAGGATGGAGTTTAGGAAGAAGATGTATTCGTAAGGAGAGGGATTTCATTCCAAAGGCAAAAAGATCTACTAAAAAATATTTCTTGAACACCTTCTATGATAGGCCCTCGGACTATAGTAGTGAATAAGACAGGCAAAACCATTGGCTTCACAGACAGGAAAATGCACAGAGCAAGCAAGACTGCTTTATTTCACTCAGAGCTAGAGAGACTGGCAGGCAATTGCCTGTCATCTCCTTTGTCTATCTCAGATGAAAACATCAAAATCTGATGAAAGTAAAAGAGATAAATTTGGGACACAAAATTTAAAGTCACGATCTAGCCTGCATTAGACTTGGGTCATATAGCTTACTCAACCTTTCTAAGCCTCTAATGGGACTTACCTTCCAGGGTTGCTGGGAAGATCCAGGAAGATGATGCATATTATGCAATGTACCTGGTACTCCCAAGTTCTCAGTGAGGGAATGGATTCTAAATAAAGGAGGACTGAAGGAGTCCACTGGCTTTTCTCAGAAAAGTCTATTTCATATTACACAAGCAGTGCCAAGGCACTATATACAAATATATACATGTATAACTCATTCATAATTTCAACACCTCCTAAAAATACTGCTTCCATCTGCCTATGTCCTTTCTCCCTGTGACCACAAACACACATGACATTTGAGCTTTAATCAGTGTAGTTACCATTTCTAAATTTATTGTTTTATTCTCTGAATATAGTATGAAAAGAGTCCATGTTTACACACTACATTTGCTACAGCTATAACACATTATTTAGACATTATTTTTAAGTGCATACTTACATTCATCCAGTTTTCAGCAGTATGAATAGCGTGGCAAAGTATATCCTTATGCAGAAAAGGTGACACTTCTTTCACTGTAAATCCTTAGAACAGGCCCTTGGGATGGTAGACTTAAATTTTATTAACATCTCTCCACGATGTTATTATAAAATATTTGTTCAATTATCAAAATCCTTTGGAGAATTTAGGGAAATTGAAGGAATGGGGCTTCTCGTGGCATGTGAAGTGGTTATGTGGAGAGAGAACAAGGATTTAGTGTGGAATGAGATGTATATAGGGAGGGAGCATTGGAATCACTGTGTGAAGTGGTTGTAGGAGATATTACTAGGGATTACGAAGGAGTAAGAAGTGGCTGTTGGTCGGAGGATTGGAGTTTATCACGGTGTGTGAAGGATGTGTCGTATTTGAGGATCGGTGTTACTCTGGCATGTGATTGGGCTGTGGGCACGAGAGGATTAGGATTTGCTGTGGAGTGTAGTCATTTAGGGAGCATGGATAGGGGTTTATTGTGGAGTGGCTTTAGGGATGGAAGAACTGCAAATAACTAAGGGGTTAAAAGTGGATGTTAGCTTACAGAATGAGAATTTACCCTGGGGTTTACCTGGGAATGTGAACTGTTTGTAGAGAGGAAGGTTTGGGGATTCACATGAACTGCAGAAGGGCTGGGAGAGGGGAGAGCGTTCACTGTGGAGTCAAGCATTTTGGGGAGGAAGGATTGAAAATGACTGGGGAGTGTGAAGTGGGCTTGAGGATGGGGGTCCTGTGGAGTGAGAAGCGGGTGTGAGGATAGGGGGACTGCAGTTTATTGTGGGGCATGAAGCCGTGTGGGAGAGGAGGTTTGAGGATTCCTGTGGCGTCTGCAGCATGTGTAGAGTAGAAAGATTGGTGATTAACGCGAAGGTAAAAGAGCTGCAGCTGTCCTGTGGAGTGTAAGGCATCTGAGGCTTGGTGAATTGGGGTGTATTGTGGCGTGTGAAGTGGTTGATGAGAGGGATGAGTAGTACTTGATTTCAAATATAACCTGGTTTTGTGGAGAGACGACTGAAGCTTTCCATGGGCGTGAAGCAGGTGGTTGTGGGGGAAGAACTGATACCTTCCATGGAGTGTGAAGTGCAGTGGAGGTGGGAGGCCTTTCCTGTGGAGCTTGACATGGTTATTGGGTGGGGGATTGGAGATTGCTGTAGAGCAGTAAGGGGCTTTGTGGTGGGAGGGTAGGGTTTACTTTAGAAGGTCAGGGTTTCTGGTGAGGGAGGATTCAGGTTTAGTGTGATGTGTGAAGCAGTTGTTGGAGGGAGGACCGGGTTCTTCTTGGAACATGAGGTGGTGTGGGCAGGGATCATGGAGGATTGCTAGCAAGTGTGAAGTGGCTGTAGGCGTGAGAATTTTACTATGGGGTGTGAAGCGTTGGGCCTCCTGTGGAAAGGTGAATTACTGTGGGGGAGGAGGTTAGGGCTTCCCACGGGAGGTGAGGAGGTCTGAGAAGGGTAAGATTGTAGTTTGCTGTGGACTGTAAAATGCCTGTTGGGTCAGACGATTGGATTTACTGCAGAATATGTAGTGATTGTAAGGAGGGACAATTTTTGCTTGATGTGGAATGTGAATTGGTTGTATGGAGGAGGATTTGTGTTTATGATGAAGTGTGAAATGGTGGGGAGAGGGTCTGAGGCTGACTGTGGAGTGTTAAGTAGATATGGCAGTGGGAGGCTTATGGCTGATTTTGGAGTGAGACATGGTATCCTGAGTTATATTTTGCTCCCTATCTTTCCATAAACTATCTCCTAAATCTGACTAAACATGTCCCTCCCAGGGAAGCCACTTAGAATCATGGGAACCCTTCCACCACCTATACATCCCTCTTCTCCTCCACTTAGAAGAAATTTATTTGAGCACTTTAATGTACCTGGCCCAGTCCTAGGAGCTGGAAATATAGAAAATACAAGCTTTTCCTTCAAGAAGCTCTCAGTTTAAAAGAAAATGAGAAGCTCAAGAGCAGAGAAAACAAGTTACTGAGTTTTGGGGTCAGCTCTATGCTTCAGAGAGAGTGGGCAAGAGCATCTTCAGGTTTCCACCTTAAGAATCCATTTCAGTTCTTCAGGAAGAAATAGTGCCCAGCATTTGGGTGTGACATGCCCTTCTAGATAGTGAGCATGGGTCTAGAAGCAGCTATCCCTTTTGGAATCCTGAATACCATATGTGAGGTACCATCTATCTGGAGATCCTAACCCTGGTGAGCCCTGGGTCCTCTGGGACAAAGGACTTAGAAAGCAGCATTGGATAGAGCAGGGACCCTGGAGTTGGCTAGATCTGGGCTCAAATTTCAGTTCTGCAACTGTGATGGGCATCTGCCATTTAGCCTATGTGAACACCCTCTCCACATTGTGGTAGTTCCCTACAGTGTAAGTCTCTCCATTCCAACATAGAATCCATTTTCCCTTTTTACATCAGGGCCGACAGGTGACACAGGCCCTGCTCATCAGACAAGTTCTGGGAGATACATTTTGAGGGGTCAATGATATTAATGGAAAGGGAGGCAGGATGCAAAGAATTTATTCAGCTGTTGTAGACTAATGCAGCTGTAGCCTGGTTCTATAGTCTCCAGTTGGGGTGGCAGCTCCTGGCTCACAGCATCCTGATTATGGTAGGGGCAGCTGCCCTCTGGGTGTATTAGTTCCAAGGTGTGGCTCTGGGAATCTTTCCTGAAATTTTAGTCTGTATATCATAAAAGCCATTTTATCGTTGTGGTAGCTATCTACCACCTTTAATAGAACTCTTTCTGCTGAAAATAGCTGCATTGAGTTATGCTGTCTACGTTAAAGAAACATGACCATAACAAATACTAATAAGCTTTGAAACCACGAATAAATCAACCTGCACAGGTCCCTTGGCCCATAGGGGCAAGCCAGCTTAATAGTTACCGGTATAGACTTGCGAGCAAGACCATTTAGGTTTTAATCCTGGCTCTGACACAAGTTGTGTAAGCTTGAATAAGTTATCTCCTGGGGTGCCTGTTTTCTCCTCCATGAAGTGAGAATAATGTTGTTTACTTCATGGGGTTGTTGTGAGAATTAAATGGACTAATTCATATCAGGTGCTTAGAAAAGTACCTATGATACACAAAACACTGAATAAAGATTAGTCATAATGATCACTCTTTCTGAGCCTCAGTTTCCATTTATAGACTCAAAGCGAAAACATTTACCTCATAAGTTTGCAATGACAATCAGATTTTAATAATGCATTTGATTATTTCCTTCCTTCCTTCCTTCCTTACTTCCTTCCCTCCTTCCCTTCTCCCAAAATGAGGAAAGAATGAAATGGTATTGACAGGAATCTGAGGACCACCTAAGGCAAACTTGACCTACTTACCAGTTTTGAAGTGTTTCATCTCCTTTGGGACAGCTAGAATTAGAACTACACCCCAAGAAAAATGCATTGTCCAGGGAGTGACAGAAAACAGCTATGCATGTTAACTAAACTAAGTTTACTTAAAGAGTCAAGCAGTTAACATTTATATAAGTTTCTACTGAGTAAAGAACTTTCAACTAGATTTTTATTGCTGTTTTTTAATTGTAAATTGACAATTTATATAAATGTAAGAAGTAAAAGGTGATGTTGGCCAGGCATGGTGGCTTATGCCTGTAATCTCAGCACTTTAGGAGGCCAAGGTGGGCAGATCACTTGAGCTCAGGAATTCAAGACCAGCCTGGGCAACATGGCAAAACCTTGTCTCTACTGAAAATACTGGGCCTGGTGGTGCACACCTGTGATCCCAGCTACCCAGGAGGCTGAGGTGGGAGGATCACTTGACCACAGGGGGTGGCGGTTGCAGTGAGCTGAGATTTTGCCACTGCACTCCAGCCTGGATGACAGAGAGAAAGAGACCCTGTCTCAAGAAAGAAAGAAAGAAAGAATGAATGAAACAAATTATAAAGTAATGTTATAGTTTATGAATACAATCAAGCTAGTTAACATATTCATCACCTCAAATACTTTTCTATGGTGAGAACATTTGAAATTTACTCTCTTAGCCATCTTGAAATGTACAATGATTTATTATTAATTATGTTTACCACAACATGCAATAGAATTCTAAAACGGGAAAGAATGTATTCCTCCTGTCATTTTATACCATTTGATCATCTCCCCATTCCCCCCACCCTAGCCTCTGTAATCGCCGTTCTGTTTTCTATTTCTATGAGTTTGATTGTTGTAAATTCCACATTATAAGTGAGAACGTGCAGTATTTCTTCCCATGCCTGACTTATTTTACTTAGCATAATGTTCTCCAAGTCCATCTATGTTATTGCAAGTAACAGAATTTCCTTCTTTTTAAAGACTGAATAGTATGTCATTGTGGGTTTATATCACATCTGCTTTATCCATTCATATGTTGATGAATGCTTAGGTGGATTCCATACCTTGCCTATCGTGAATAATGCTGCAGTGAACATCAGAGTGCAGACATCTCTATAACAAACATTTCAAATCTTTTGGGTAAAGACCCAGAAAAGGGATTGCTGGATCATGTGGTAATTCTGTTTTTTTGTTTTTTTGGGAAACCTCCATACTGGTTTTTATAATGGCTGTACTAATTGGCATTCCCATCAAAAGCGTGCAAAGGTTTCCTTTTATCCACGTCTCTGTCAACACTTGTTATCTTCTGCCTTTTTGATAAAAGCCTTTCTGACAGATGATATCTCATTGTGGTTTTAATTTGCATTTCTCTAATAATTAGTCATGCTGAGCATTTTTTCATATGTCTGTTCACCATTTGTATATCTTTTGTTAAGAAATATCTATTCACGTCCCTTACCCATTTAAAATTTTTTTCTTGCTATTGAGTTTTTTGAACTCCTTATATATTTTGGATACATTAATCTCTTATCAGAGGTATGGCTTGCAAATTTTTTCTCCCAGTCCATAGGTTGTCTCTATACACTGGTAATTGCTTTGTTTTTTGTTTTATTTTGTTTTCTTTTCGTGCAGATTTTTAATTTTATCTAATCCCATTTGTCCATTTTTGTTGTTGTTGCCTGAACTTTTGAAGTCTAGTCCAAAAAAATCATTGCCCAGATTAATGTCATATAGTTTTTCTTCTAGAGGTTTCAGAGTTTCTGGTATTACATTAAAATCTGTGATGCTTATGAGTTGATTTTTGTACATGTTGTGAGATAAGGATCCAATTTTATTCTTCTGCATGTGGAAATCCAGTTTTCCCAATACCATTTCCCAAGAACATTTATTGAAGAGATTTTTCTCTTTCCATTGCATATTTTTGGTACCTTTGTTTAAAATTGGTTAACCGTATCTGCATGGGTCCATTTATGGGATCTCTGTTCTGTTGGTTGACATGTCCATTTTTTCTGCCAATACCATGCTGTTTTAATTACTACAGTTTTGTAGTATAATTTGAAGTCAGGTAGTGTGATATCTCCAGCTTTTTACTTTTTGCTCAATATTGCCTTGGCTATTCAGAGTATTTTGAGGTTCCATATGAATTTTAGAATTGTTTTTTATATTTCTATGAAAAAAGATGTTGGGATTTTGATAAAGATTACATTGATGCTATAGACTAATTTGGGTAATATGGGCATTTTAATATTATGAATTTTTCCAATCCATAAACATGAGCTATATTTTCATTTATTTTTTTCTTCTTTAATTTTTTTTTCAATATATAGCTTTGGGGGTACAGGCCTTTCACCTCCTTGGTTAAATTTATTTCTAAGTATTTCTATATTTTTGTAGCTATTGTAAATAAGATTGTTCATTTCTTTTTCAGATAGTTCATTGTTAGTGTATAGAAATGCTGTCAATTTTTGGTGGGGCACGGTGGCTCATGCCTGTAATCCAACACTTTGGGAGGCCGAGGCAGGCAGATCACGAGGTCAGGAGCTTGAGACCAGCCTGGCCAGCATAGCGAATCCCCATCTCTACTAAAAATACAAAAATTAGTTGGGCATGGGGGTGTGTGCCTGTAGTCCCACCTTCTTGGGAGGCTGAGGCAGGAGAATCTCTTGAACCCAGGAGGCGGAGGTTGTGGTGAGCCGAGATCGCACCACTGCACTCCAGCCTGGGCAACAGAGCGAGACTCCATCTCAAAAAAAAGAAAAAAAGAAAAAAAAAAAAGAAATGCTATTGCCAGCAATTTTTGTGTGAGATTTTTGTATCCTGCAACTTTACTGTATTCATTTATTAGTTCTAATAGTCTTTTTGGTAATGTCTATAGGGTTTTATATGTATAAGATTATGTCATCAGCAAACATCGACAATTTCACTTTTACTATTTGGATGGCTTTTATTTTTAGTTATTTGTTTATGTATTTATTTTTGCCTAATTGCTCTGGTAACGCCTTCCCATATTACACTAATTAGAAGTGGCAAGAGTGGGCATCCTTGTCTGGTTCCAGATCTTAGGGAAAAAGGTTTCAACTTTTCACCATTGAGTATAATGTTAGCTGTTGGCTTCTAATATATGACCTTTATTCTGTTATGGTACATTTCTTCTATACCTAATTTGGTGAGAATTTTTATCATGAAAGAATGTAGAATTTTCTCGAATGCTTTTTCTGCATCTCATGAGATGATCAAATGCTTTTTATTCTTCATTCTGTTAATATAATTATGAGTTTTTATACTGCCTGGTTTTAAATGACTTTTATGTTCCTTTTTTGCAATATTACAGCTTTTCCCATTTTGTATCTTGAGTAAAACGTTTTGATTAAATAGAAGCAGTTTTCCTTTATTCTCAATAAATGTTTTCCTCTAAGAAAGGTAAAATGATTTAAACATGAGCTTTTTCCTCAGGCAATTATTAGAACCACTGTAAACAACTCAGATTTTTGGAGAAAACAGTGAAGAAGCTTTAGATCAGCAAAATAGTCGACACATGGTCCATTGGTATCTTTCTTTTTTTTAATGTGAATTTTAGCCTCTATATCAATTAACTTTCATTATAAGCCATGAAAAACCCAACTTAAATTGTTTGTGGGCCAAGAGAAAGTTGGTGAGAGTGGCAATGTCAGCTGCATTGCAAGGATGAAAACTCATAGCTACAGCCCTAAGATCTGGAACCAGACAAGGATATTCTTGCTGAAGAGAAAAGAGCTGCTTCGAACCACAGATGGATTTGCCACTTAAAGTCCATTTCAGGTCGGACATCCTCCCTTTTCTTATAGTCATGCCATCTAGAACATACGACCTCCAGGGTCACCAAGGCAGAGACTAAGAGGGACAGAGGAGGGTTGTAATTAATCAGCTCGCATGCATTACTTCCACTCAAGTCCACTGGCCTGCTTTATTCACATGGCTTCAGTCTAACAATAGGGAGGCTGAGAAGTATAGGTAAGCAATGGCTGTTGGGAGAGTCTCTACTGGCTATACCACAACAGTTATCTCTATCTTTTCTGGTTTTCATAAGGAGGTATATTAGTCCATTCTTGAATTGCTATAAAGAACTACCTGAGATCAGGAATTTTATAAAGAAAAGTGGTTTAATTGGTTCACAGCTCTGCAGGCTATACAGGAAGCATGGCTGGGGAGGCCTCAGGAAATTTACAATCATGGCAGTAAGCAAAGGGGAAGCAAAACATGTCCTACATGGTGGGAGCAGGAGGAAGAGGGCAAAGGGGGAGGTTCTACACATTTTTAAATAACCAGATCTCCTGAGAACTCACTCGCTGTCATGATAACAGCAAGAGGAAAATCCACCCTGATGATCCAATCACCTCCTACCAGGCCCCTCCTCCAGCACTGGGGATTACAGTATGACATGAGATTTGGGTAGGGACACAAATCCAAACCATATCAGGAGGAATTTACTCTAAACCCTAAGGCCTCTCTCCACTTACCTTCTATTGAGAGAAAGAGTGACTTAGCTACTGGGTGCCTTTGGAAGAAGGATTTAAGCTTGTTGGTACAGCCTCTCCCTTTCTTTCATTCTTTGAAAATGTACCTGAGAGTAGAGAGCATAGATTGCGCTCTTCTCCTTCTTGCTTCAAGCTTTGCTGGAGAAGAATTCCCCCATCAATACAAGGGTGGGGAAACCCTGTAATGACCCAACAATGCTTGAGATTGGACAAATACATTTGTTTTATTCTGAGATTTGATGTTAAGAAAGCCATTACTGCTGTTTCCTTTAGCCGTAAACCCACAATAGTGTTTATCTATAGTGGTGGTGATATTCTGATCCCCATCTGTCTCACTTCAGTGTCTTTCTCTTAATTGGTTCTGAATTCAGGCAGGGAACAAGGGCCATGTTGATAGACCCTAGAGCCCAACATCAGCATCAGTTTGTTCAGTTGTAAGATGTGTTCAATAAGCACTCAGTGAACGAATGCACCTGTAAGAAACCTGAAAGATTATCTGGTAAAACATGCCCTTAGAGCAAGATAAGTAG
Organism: Homo sapiens; assembly: GCF_000001405.40. Lineage (NCBI taxonomy): Eukaryota > Metazoa > Chordata > Mammalia > Primates > Hominidae > Homo > Homo sapiens. The sequence goes on from NC_000008.11 coordinate 127,265,308, forward strand.
AATCCAAAGCAATGATCTGACTGCTCAAAATCACCGATATTGACAACTGACTCCCAAATCCCTGCTTCATCTAACATATATTGCTAATACCATGCCCAGATAGAACACAAAGCAATATTTATTATATGACAAATTCTCTCCATAATTTTAGAGAGTTTTCCCTAAGGAAAGAAAGGACTTTTTAAAAAAGAGAGATTAAACTTTTCCAAGTATATTACATACTATTCTTTTCCTGGAGGTAGGGGGGTAAGTTCTTTGCCACACCCCACACCTACCACCCAAACTATTGAATACTTTTGGGTGAATCATTCCCAATCTGAACTGATAATCCTTGCCGAAACCTTTTCTTTCCAGACCATAAAAACACAGCAGCTTGTTAATCATACAACTATTTAACCCAGTCCCTCCCTAGTCCTACAAATGAGCTCCAAGCCCATAACGTATAATCTACCCACCCACACATATTGAAATGAGATTATTGTTCCCACAGAAAAGAGCCCTGCAGTTGCACAAGTCCCAACTTTGCTCCCGAGGGCGATAAAAGGGACAAGGAAAAGGCATGGAGTTGTTTGATAGGCTTCTAAGGAAGGCTCAGAAAGGATGAAAGATTACCCTCCCAGGTACACAGTGTGGAGCAGCGTTCCAGCAAACATCCAGAGGGTTCCCACACTCCACCCAGGCACGCTCCCGAACTCTTTGATCTAGAAACCACCACGAATTACTGATCGTTACAGAGGTGGCCGGAGTGGATGAACCTATCTTTTCTTATAAAGTAAGAGCTTCCAGGGAGGAAAAATACCCTCAAAAAGAACATTGTGGCAGGTGAGAATCCAGGCTGAGGAGCAGCTTGCCACAGCAGAAAAAGAAGAGTTTTGGGGATTGTGTACACCTAGATTCCAGTCTCAAACCTGCCACTTAGAATCAGTGAGAATCAAAAATACAACTACTGAGTCCCCTCTATGCGCCAAGAATGAAATTAGGCACTCTAGTGATAAATGTCCATAAGACCTCAGCTGGCACGACCATCACCTGTGCTGAGTTAGACCTTTTCCACCTTCAAACTGTAGATAATAAAACCAACATCATATAATTATTATAAAGAGAGGAGAAAAATGCAGGGACAATGCCTGGTGCACAGTCAACATGCAGTCAACGGCAGTGCTGACTCTTTCTCACTCATTGGCAGGCACTAGTTGCAGGGTGTCTTGCATGAGAGGGTCAGACACCCAGCAGCAACTCTGGAGAGCATCCCAGCTACACAAAGTTTCAGGTCAGCAGCCAGGATTTGAGCTTCAGCTCTCTTACCATCCCAGAGACTAGAGGAGCCCCTGGATTCAAATGACACATCTCAGTGGACACTGAGAAAGGTTTAAAACAGATTGGACCTCTCAGCTGGCATCATGGAAGTAGGAGTCAAAAGAGACTTGCTGCAAGGTCACTGGAGGTTTAGAAAAGGACAGATGTTCTTTGACATTCCCTGGTTCCTTCTTAGAGAGACAAACATAAACAGAGAAAATCAGTTTGTCCTTTGAAGAAGTTCCAGATGGAAACAGCAAGGCTGTCTTACTCTGTGAATGTTTCCTTGATCCATCCCCACCGCTCCCAGCAAAGCCTGAATCCCTTGGTCACCACTGTCCTGTAAACAGCCCTCTAATGTTGCCTGAAGCTCAATTATAAAAATATCTAGCTTCTCCCTAAACTAGACACTCCTCCAGGGCAGAGAGTGTGTTGTATATGTGTTGATATTAATCTGACAAGGAAAAAAGCCAATAATTATTAAGTGCCTACTGTACAACAAACACTTTTTTTTTTTTTTTTTGAGGTGAAGTCTCACTCTGTTGCCCAGGCTGGAGTGCAGTGGCACGATCTCAACTCACTGTAACTTCTGACTCCCTGGTTCAAGTGATTCTCCTGCCTCAGCCTCCTGAGTAGCTGGGATTACAGGCACACGCCACCATGCCCAGCTAATTTTTATATTTTTAGTAGAGACGGGGTTTCACCATGTTGGCCAGGATGGTCTTTATTTCCTGACCTCATGATCTGCCCACCTCGGCCTCCCAAAATGCTGGAATTATAGGTGTGAGCCACTGCGCCTGGCCAACAAACACTTTAAAAATACAGAGATATTTATATATTATACATACTTTTAAAAAATTCAACTAATCCATATAAACCATATTTTATACTTTCTTTTTCACTGAAGTTTGGAGTGATAGCCTTATTTCTTTTAATTGTTATGAATATTTCCTCATATAGATGTATCACAATTAATTTGAGCATTCTACTACTGATTGATTTTACAATTTTTCCTCTTCCCTTTGCTTTATCAAATTTATTATCTGTAGTCTTTGTCTGCATCAAAGATTACTTCCTAACAATAGACTCCTAGAAGTCAGTATCACACTGTCTTGTGTATAGTGAGACAGTAAGGCATAGAGGTAATAAGCAATAACTCGGGAACTAAACCACATTAACTAGCTGTCTAACCTTAAGTAGGACATTTAACCTTTCTGGTTAGAGTTTCTTTACTCTAAACCATAAGTTATCATAGTAACCAACTCATAGGGCTGTGGCAAACAGTAAATGAATTAATATATGTAAAGCACATAGAATAGTCCCTGCCACATACTAAGTGCTCTATTTTTACTATTATTATTTATATTTATACAGCTGTGCCCCATAAGACTGGGAGACCCTTGAGGACAGTGGCCACGTCTCACTCATGTATTCCACCCCCCTCAGCCTGGCACTGAGAAGGAGCTCTGTGCACATTTGCTGAATAAATAAGATATGCGAATGGGGAAATCAAACATTGACCTGGTTGCGGTCAATATTCCATAGTAAATAGTTCATTAATTTGAATTACATTTTTATCCATATGTATATACACATATATATGAAACCTTACCAGTCTTTCACACCTTAGTTTGGAATGAGTTTCTTGCATATTTTCTGGAGACAAAGATGTTAAGTGGAAGAAAAAGGACACAAAAGGTCTAGGTGCCCCAGGGAAAGAGCAGAATAGACACCACCAGGAGCACATAGAAAAGAGGAATGATGTGGTCAGTTCAAAAACAACGTCAATGCCTCCTCAATTTCATCTAGCATTGGCTCTGCACTTATAAAATTATATTAGAGTCAGGCTCCTATTCACTTAACTGTGATTGATCATTTCCTTTCCCATCAAGAGAATAAACCCAGAATAGGGAAGCAAACAAGGACAGAAGCCAATGATTATTGAGTGCCTACTGTAAACACACACTTTTAAATAATAATATTATTGGAATTTCACACAGACACCCAGCAGTTCTATATGATTATCCCCTTCCCACAAATGAGAAAATACTGAGATACAGCCATGCTTGGTCATGCAGCTAGAAAAAAAAAAAAAAAAAAAAAAAACCAAAGGAATGATTTAAACCCTGCCCTCTTTACATCTTGGTTCTAACCTTTTCTTCCTTGTTTAAGCAGAAGGGACCCAAATAGGGCTCATTCCTAAGAAGCAAGGCTTTGCGAGCTTAGCATCCTGGCATTCTCAACCAAGCAGGAAAAGAGAGAGTTCATCAACTTTAAATCTCATTCGTAAAACTGCCTATAAGCACAGTCATTTTCCTTTGTTTCTACTTGGGTACCATGTTGGGAGATAGGAAGAAGCAATCTGTTCTGAAACAGGTCCAAATAAGGCCTCTCAGTCAACAAGTCGGGACTTGTATCATCAGGGAACCAAAACTGCTGAATGTTCTGTAGTTGGAGGGGATCCACCACAGGAGACTATGAGAGGCAGCATTCAAAATTTTACATAAACATTCTTCAAATCAGCAGCTTCTGCCTTGAATGTAAAAAGTGGAAAAAAGCAAAGAAAAAGATGTTTTGTTCTTATTTTTCGTTGTTTACTTTTTTCTCATTTTACATTTGTTTTCATTTTTCATTTTTTACTGTGTCAAATTGTGATCCTAGTCAAAGAAGCCTGAAATGATTTAATGTGATCCCTAGGAGGGTTGGGTGTTTTACAGAGAAAGGTTCAACTATATTTGGAATATATGTGCTGCTTAGGCATATGAATTATGCATATGCTAAGGTAAAACCATAGACTTATTTTCAATTTTGCTTCCAAGTATTTCAAAACACAAATCTTCTATTACCTCATGTGTTATCATCTCTTAATGGGGAAATAAAATGGAGACCAGAATTTATTTTCCCTATACAGGTGAGAAAACTGAAGAACTAGGATTAAGTAACTCCCTAAAGTCTGGAAAAATAAGAGATTTTTTTAAAAGATAAGAAAAGGAAAAGAAAAACCTACTCATTTAGGGCCCTGGAATAACAGTAACATCTAACGTTGCCATAATGTTGTCACCAATGCAAGGATCCTTCTAGTATATCCTTAGGGGACAGCCATCCAAATCCTGCTTCTGCACATCCAACAAAGGGAAGATGTTTTTCCTCTCAGTGGGAACCCATATTTCAAAGAAAATACTCCACATGAGAAATGCAGATGTGTGGCAGGCACTGAACAGGCCTGGGAATGCTGGAATCTATCTGCAAGGCAGTGTTAATCCCAGGTGGTTAGTGATCAGTGCCATGGCTCAACTGTGGCATATGGAAGTATTCAGGAATTTGTTTCTTCAGGAACAGTTATGTATGTGTCTGGTTCAAATGCTGAGTCAAGACCTCACCCTTGCTCATGTTACAAACTTATTTCATTTTAACCTTCTTATAGGGATAGAATTTGCATGTGTGAGATAGTTAGAATGCCAAATATTTATGAAGCATTTCCAGTGCTTTTACTCATGTATTCTTACAGTCACTCTAAAGAAGCATTATTATCCCCATTTTACAAATGTAGAAATTGAGGGTTAAAAATTTGTCCCAGTGGGAAAGCGGAAGACCAAAGACACTATCAGTGTTAAGGGCTGATCTTGGTATTATACTAGGAACTTTAAAAAGAAGTTGTAATTCTAGATGATGGATGGTGGTCTATCACAGGGGATGACTTCTGAACTTGGCTTTGAGGATGAAGGAGAAGAAAGCTTTTCAGATTAAAGGAACAACGTCAAGAAAAGACATGGGGCCTTGAAAGAAGATACTGAATTTGCAATACTTCTTAAAGGTAGCTCACCTGACTCTCCAACCAGACTCTCTTCATTATGCCCTTATACAGAGAAGGTACCTGTATGCATTTATTGATTGCCTGCTGGGAGATTAGCTGATGCCATTCCCATCACCATGACAATCAAGTGGGTTTCAGCAGCTAATCCTATATTTGGGACTTGCAGACCTATTTTCAGATGCAAGCACTGAATCAGAAAAGTAGAATTGGAAAAGCTTAGGGATGGTCTTCTCTAGAGCTTCCAAACTTGTCTTTAGTAATGAAAATCTTTTTTCAGACAATATTTTCAATGTACCATAGGTAGGCATGTATTCCTTGGTATTTTGTCTCTTTGATAAAATATACCTAAATTTTATTTGAGAAACTACCCTTTTCACATATAGTATGTAGGATTGACCCCAACCACCAGCTCTAATTTGGGTCAGTAATTGGTTTAAGCCATGCATCAGGTTGTATTTCTCTGGAACCATGATTGCTTTAGGGTAGGCAAGTGATCTCTGCTGATTCAACCAGATTGATCCTCAAAGAATTGCCTGGAACTACTGGACTAGAACAGCTTCACTGGTTGAGATGATGAAGATGTGAAGGCTGGAACTGCCAGGAGCCATGGCTGCTACCATTAGCAGTTCTAGCCTGAGGCCAAAGCTAGCACAGAAGGCAGATCCATGAGAAATATAAAGAAATGAGCCTCTAATGTAAATATAGTTAACCTGCTGGATCAAGCTGTTTCCTAAGCTAGTTGCCTCTGGCCTTCTTAGTTAAGTAAATACATAGATTATCTTTTATGCTTCACCCAGTTTGAGTGGGATTTTCTGTTAGTTGCAAATGAAAGCATTTTTAAAGAATCCAAAACCCCATGATAAGACATAGATAAAACCAGGTTCTCCCAGTTAAAGTGATGGTAAGAAACTTAAGAGTCTCACCCACAATGTACTTTCAATTTCTAAAATGTGGCGCAGATGAACTTTACTATCTAGTTTAATTCTTTTATTTTACAAATGGCCAAACCATGATTCAAAGTGAATATTAAAATATTGGCAATACACGTGAAGGAATACAAACATGGGTACAAGTATATTTTTTAAAAAAAGCAGATTTCAGAAAATTGGACAGGATGAAGGGTTGCAGTTTAAAAATTAGGAAGCTTTTATCTAGAGAAATCCCAATTATGCAGGATTCAAAATAACATGAAATAAGCCATCAGTAATTACAATATAGTCACTTATGTAGTGTAAGCATGTTCCACAATGTCTATAAAAAGTATTAACAGTTATTGTCCTATAGATAGTTGATCATGCTTAAAAACTGCATTAAAGTACTGTTTGCTACTTTGACCATGCTTATAAACTTCTAAACTTGCCACAGAAATTTCTGGTATGTTCTATTAAAAATACACTTTTCCTAGGGAGGGGCTGGTTTTATATTATGCCATTCATTTTACCTGTTATTTCAACTGTACACAGCTTTACACTGTGATGCATTACCCTGTAACCTCAGCTTTCTCTCTGGCAGACATCAGTGTCGCAGGGTATATTCTTATGACAAAATAAAAGAAATTCAACAGACAGATCAAAATTTGGGACACAATATAAAAGGCACATGGTAGACCGTTTTGCGATGGTCAACTTGTAAAACATCATGATCCACAGAGGTCAGAAGACTAACCAAATTTACATAACTGGTCAAAGAGAAGGGAAAGTAGAAAATGTGTATGAATATATAATCAATAAACGAGTCATTTATTCTCAGTTTAAATAAAGTTATCTTCAGAGAGGTGCTAAATCCACAAACCACATTGCCTTCATTCTTTTTTTCCAGTGAATAAAAAAGAAAAACATTTCAGTAGTTAGATGAACAGATTTTAAACTAAAATTTCAAAGAGCATTTTTTTATTGTGTCTCTTATCTAAAGATCAGTCATTACATGACCCCTTTCCAAAGTTTAAGAAGTGTTTTATAGAAATGTGTCTGATTAAAAGCTTGGTACTCAATACAAAAATGTTTTTATCCTTCTGGTTGATGGAATGGAAGTCGTACATGTAATAATGAGGCAGAATAAGTTCTGAAGGCAGGCAACCTCAGGCTGATTCAAACTTACTTCCTAGAACTAAAGCAAAAGGAAAACCTCAACTTTCCATGCCCAAGTAACAAAAGAACCAGAGGCTACTCCCTTTGCAACCCCCAGTTTTCTGTGCGACAGATGAAAAACTAAAAGTACCTCTGATTGGTCCCTTCCCACAACCAATCAGGCTGGCTGCGGGCCAAGTCTTCCTTTGTATAGGAGTATAACTTTGTAACTTCAGGTTAGCCTCTGATTGGTCGTTTTTCACGACCAATCAGACGTTTGCATATGGTGTAACTTTGTAACTTTGCTTCGGGCTCTGATTGGTTCCCTACCTCAACCAATCAGACTGATTATGGGCCACTACTTCATTTACATAGGGGGTACACAAAGTAACCAATAGGACATCAATGGGACACCTCTAGAGAGTATTTAAACCTCAGAAAACTCTGTAATTGGGCCCTTGAGCCTCTTGCTTGGGCCACTCCTACCCTGTGGAGTGTGTTTCCCTTTTCAATCTCTGCTTTTATTGCTTCATTCTTTCCTTGCTTTGTTTATGCATTTTGTCCAATTCTTTGTTCAAGGTGCTAGGAACCTGGACACCCTCCACCTGGACACCATCTACTAAACAATAACTCATAAATTCTGGTTAAAAGGAGAAACAATTATGAAATTTTGGTTAAAGATAAATAATTAAAAAATAATTATTTTGTATTGTTCTTGGTGACCCATATGAACCCTTTTTATATTATTTTTTATTTCATCTGAAAATTTTGAGTAAAGGAGAGTTTTAAAAACTTCATTTATGGTTTGTGGCATAGTCACTGAAGTATTTGAGAAACACTTAAGAGACTGGGAATTGGTACACAAAAATATAATGATTCGTTCACAAGAATCTGAGGAAGTTACCTTTCCCCCATATAGAGAGTGAGCAATTTAGTTACTCAAACCTTTTCATTTTGTTTGGACTATCTTAGGTCAGTGAAAGCATTATTAACTAGTTACCAGAGTCATGGTTTATTAGAAATGCCAGCTTGGGTGGGTTTTAGTAAAATTTGAGGTCATGCAGCTTTTCTTAGACCCAGAGAGGGAAACTGAGGGATCTACTATCACATGACAGCATGCTGAGAGGAAACTGTTTGAATTCCAACCTGCTCCTGAATATGTGTGACTTCTGACAAATTACTCATCTTTTTTTTCGGATGACTTCCTTAGTTTTCTCAACTGTAAAATGAAAATATGTATAGTGTTTTAAAGGACTGTTGTAAAGATTAGATTGGTTTAAAACTCTTAAGATGATTTCTGGCATATGGTAAACACTCAACATTAGTCTTTATTAACATATAAGTCTAGTGAAACTGACATAATTAGGCAGTTTGTGCCATGAATGGCTTCACCTCGAGGAAAGCTAATACAGAGAAACCTGATCTCACCAGCCAGATAAATGTGAGGCTGGTCTCCCAGGTCAGCCTGGATATTCACTGGTTGTGGTGGGCAGAATTCTAAGATGTCCCCAAAATCCCTGTCCCTCTTGTTCAGAGCCTTTATAACCTCTTCCCCATGAACACAGGTAGAATCTTTCATGTGATGGGTTATTACTCTCATAGTTAGGTTACTAATCAGTTGACTTTGTGTTAACCTAAAGAGTGATTATCAAGGTGGGCTTGACATAATCAGTGAGCTTTATAAGGGACTGGGCCCTTCCTGGAGTTAGATAGATTTGAAATGTGAGAAGCTGCACTTAAGAGGAAGCTGCATGGCAAGGAACTGAAGTAGTCTCCAGAAACTGAGAATAGTCCCTGGCTTGCAGGGAGCCACAAAATGGGAACCTCATTCCTACAGCTTCAAGGAACTGAATTCTTCCAACAGCTATGAGAGCTACAAGGGACTCTTAGCTCGAGAGGAGACCACATCCCAGGTGATACCTTGATTTCGTCCTTGTGGCACAGTAAGCAGAGAAACTGGGTAGATCTGCCTGGACTCCTGACCTACAGAACTACGAGATAATAAATGGCTGTTGCTTTAAACCACTATGCTTGTGGTTATTTATTATTATGCAGCAGTAGAAAATGAGTACACTGTTAATGATCCAAAGTTGTACATCATTTCCCTGGCTCATCAGAGGCTAGGAGAGTAGATAGTAACAGCATGTGATTATTATTTTGCTTTTTATCTGTCCCAGAAAGGGAAGCACAACTCAGGGAATTTTGTGGTCCCAGAGGATGGCTGGGTTCATTCTTATGACCCTCTGCAGGAAGATTACTGTCATCCCCAAATACCCTCTTCAGCAAAGTCCCTAGAAAAGACTTCTTAAATTTTGTCATCCTTTAGGCTTCTGCTTAATTGAAATAAAGAGAAACTTCCCCTAATCACTGAGTCTATTGTTGTCCACCTCTCAGAGGCGCTTCATAGTGCTGGTCCGTGATTATCTTTCTTATTTGCTTTCTGGTTTGCTACTATGCTCTGATTTGAAAGTAAGAAACATGAAGGCAAGGACCTTGTTTATTTTGCTCACTATTTTATCTCCAGAGCCAGTACAAGTGGCTGGCAATGAATGAACAATTGCTACATGAAAGTGTAATAGAGAAAGGCAGCCAGTGCCAAAATTGCAAACACACAGCACTGTTATACGCTCATATACCCGGCATTCACACACAGCTCTATTAAAAGGTGTTTTTTTGTTTTGTTTTGTATTTTTGAGACAGAGCTTCGCTCTTGTTGCCCTGGCTGGAGTGCAATGGTGCGATCTCAGCTCACCACAACCTCTGCCTCCCAGATTCAAGCGATTATCCTGCCTCAGCCTCCCGAGTAGCTGGGATTACAAGCATGTGCCACCATGCCTGGCTAATTTTGTATTTTTAGTAGAGACGGGTTTTCTCCATGTTGGTCAGGCTGGTCTTGAACTCCCAACCTCAGGTGACCTGCCTGCCTCGGCCTCTCAAAGTGCTGGGATTACAGGTATGAGCCACTTCACCTGGCCATAGCACTTTGTTCATATTCTTGTAATAAAATTTTTGATGCTAGTTTATGAGATTCTTGAGGACAGAGGTAATGTCTTCTTATCTTAGTACCTTTGTGCTAAACACAGTGATCGATGTGTAGTCAATGTTCAATAAATGTTTGTGGAATATGATGGCAATTGATAATTAAACGAAAAAATAATATTATTCTCAACATGTATATATATATATGTGTGTGTATATATATGTGTGTGTGTGTGTGTATATATATATATATATATATTAGACTAAGTGTAATTCTTTTTTATTTTAAGAAACATACCAATTTTTAAACAACATCTTAACCCAGTAAAATCCATCTTGGGAGTCTGGCCTTCTGAACTGTGAGATAATAAACTTTTGTTATTTTAAGCCACTAAGTTTGTGGTTATTGGCTACAGCAATAAGAGACTAAGGCATAGAGGGAGGGACAGAGCTGTCTTAGGCAGATGTCTCCTCCTTACAGAGATCAGCTTGCATTGCAGGACATATTATCAACAGTTTTGGGTCCTGCCATTAATGGGAACTGTAGATTTTACCTTCAATAAAGCTTTTCTCATCATCTCTCCGGCTTTCTCCCCAACCTTGTGCCTGCATGTGATATGGCAGAATAGAAAGAACATGGGCTTCAGAATCAGAGAAACATAAATTTAAATCCCAGTTCCACCACTTATCAGTAACATGACCTGGGACAGCTAGCTCCACCTCTCTGGTCATGTTTCTTCACCTTACGTTCAGTATTGTTATAAGGGTTAGAAAGCAAAGAAATAACAATGAAGATAATGTTATAATTGATGACCAAAGCAGCCTTCCAAGGAGGTACTCACACTAGAGTTTTTCTGCTCTGAACATCCACAGGATTGCAAGGTGGCAGGGCCTGTGGAAAGCTGGGTTGTTTCTGTATATTCTAGGGAAAGAAGTTTGGTGCCACCAGGCTCAGTCCTGGGGTGAGGTAAAGGGCAGCAGAGACTGGCTAAGAGCAGAAAAGAGGAGATGAATGGCAAAGTGCAACAAATTCTGTAATATGAACTTCCCTGGGACTTTCTAATCTTCAATAATTAGTTCTAAATTTATATGATCTCAACATGAGTGTGTTTTTTATGGAAACTTTCATTGAAGCTTATTTTTAGAACCACTTTGATTTAGGATAATACAGAGAGAAGATTCAGGCAGGAGGTAATCATGAGACGGTATAGCCCCCAGAAATAAATAAAAAGCAAGGAAGAACTTTGGATTTCCATCAATCGTGAGATTGAGCCGAGATTACCAAACTCCCTAAAAGATAAGGCCAGGGTCCTGCTAACAACTCATTGCAGGAAAGCCTGGAAAATTATAGACAATCAAATGGTGAGGACTTCAATTTGGGTGGCGTTTTGTATGCTTTCTTCTCTCATTTGAACCATATTGACTTGCCAGTTTGCCTAGATAGAGATATGGAAAGAAGTTGATCTAACAGGAAAACAGTGGGGATGGCAGGTGGTAATAACAATCAAGAGGTCCATTGCCCCTTCAGGACCCAGAATTTATCCCTTTTGTTCCCAGTCACCCCTCTGCCCTCTAGTCCAATGCTGTCTTCTGGGGAAGGCTTAACACAAGAGAGCAGGTGGCTTCACGGGCCTTTCATTTGGGTAATGAGTTGGAACACTTACCCAAAGCCAAGCCCAAGGAACTCCCAGCTGCTCCACACTGGAAGTTGACACACAGTAACATATATGCATATGTGTGTGTGTTGAGATGGTGGGGGGATCATTTTTTTGTAACAATCAACAATCTTGTAACTGTTTCCTGCCTATGTTATAAGCCAGGATAAGAGCTTCCTGGATCACTTGATCTCTTTTTGTGTTGGTAAAAATAATCAAGCCTGTCTTCAGGCAATTAGCCACCTCTTCAAGCCATCAACCTTATGCACAATATCCAAGGAACTCCTCCTTGCCTTTTCTGAACTACTGTGGGAAGTGATTGGAAGGAGACAGCCAAAGGCCAACAATATAGGGCGAGGCCCCTGGGCATCCTTCTCAGCTCTGGGGAAGGTTAATGAATTGTACTTGGGGAACAAAGAGAACTTTGACAACAGAGATTCTGACAGTTTCATAAGGCAGGAAATGTGGCCACTATCAACCCAGAGCTGGGTGTGCAAACACAATCTATGTGTTTATATACCTTCTCCTAGTTTGTGGACATTGTTCAAATGGAAGAGGAAGAAAACACAAGAAGGAAATCCTCTTCCTTTTGGCAAGACACAGACAGAAATTCACATGCTTGACCTGCATCTGTTGTCTCAAAGAACAAGTCACCTTCACTGTGTTGGGTGTCACAAAGAGAGTTTCAAAGACAGCATCATCACCATCAAATCATTCAAAAGCCATATATTGATCACTGATTATAGAACAGGTGCCAAGGTTACAATGGCAAGCAAAAAGTCATTGTCTTTCCTTTGTCTCATGGAGCTCCTCTTCCAGTCATTGTTGTGGTTCACCTTGTCATCATCCTCACTGCAAACACCACTACCATCTCCCTTTTTATCTCTTAGGACAATTTAAAAAATTATGTGGCTGGGTGTGGTGGCTCATGCCTGTAATCCTAGCACTTTGGGAGGCCGAGGCAGGTGGATCACCTGAGGTCAGGAGTTCAACATCAGCCTGGACAACATGGCAAAATCCTGTCTCTACTAAAAATACAAAAAAATTAGCCAGGTGTGGTGGTGGGCGCCTCTAATCTCAGCTACTTGGGAGGCTGAGATAGGAGAATCCCTAGAACCCTGGGGGCAGAGGTTGCAGTGAGCCGTGATTGCGCCATTGCACACTAGCCTGGGTGACAGAGCAAGACTCTGTCTCAAAAAAAAAAAAAAAAAAGTTTATGAAGCACCCAGGGACCAAAAAAAGGAACATAAAAATATTTTAAAAATTTAAAAAGTGAAAAAGAATTATCTGGAGATTTTATTAAAAGGCAAATTTTCAGGTATCTTTGCCACGCTATGAATTAGAAAACCTTGAGGAGAGTCCCGGGACTCAATATTTTCAAAGTAATTCAGATAGTTCTGATGTACATATTTCACGGTTTATATTTTGCAATATTGTCTTATGTTATAGCACTTTATACATTTTTGTCACATTCATTGTGTTCTGAATATCACAACAGTCCAATAAGGTAGATAGAATGGGAAGTATTATCTCCAATTTACTTATGAGGAAAATGAATGCATAAAACTATGCATTTATCCTAATTTAATATAACTGATATCTAATTTGTTCAAGCCTCTGTTTTAGAAGTTGCAGAGAAGAATGAGATACTTAATGAGTTTGTATTAGGAGGGAAAAGCAATGTATACAATGTGTCAGATGCTTTACATGCTATATTACTTGTAACTTACTCTAATATATATTAGTAATACATGCATATAAATGCATTATATTAGCCTTAATTTAAACCCTGAGGGTGATACATTTCTTCATTTACTAATTTGTTCATTCACTTGCCTAATATTTATTGAGCACCAATTATGTGACTGGCATTGCTTTTTGTATTTTGAATGCAGTGGTATATAAAACACATTTTAAAAGCCTTCCTGGAGCTCATATTTTGGGGCAGAAACAGAGATCAGGAAATCACAGCATAGTATGATTAGTTCATATTTGTAGGGGTGCATCCAGGAGTCCACACTCTAGATATAACAGTGCAAGTGCTTAGTAGCACTATCCATGTCTACATCAGAGGGTTTGCTGATTAGCATAAGGATGCCAGAAATAATTCCTTGGTGAAATAAATGATATTCAAGATGTGTAGTTGACAAGAAACATTATAAGACAAGTCTACTCTTTCATGAATAAAGCAGATGACATTGACAAGCCCAGTAGCCTAACATCTTTGGCATAACTAGGTCTAGAATTCTATTTGATCATCTTTCTCCTCTAGTTAATGGAGGTCTCTGTCATCTTATTTTTTTTTATTTTTTATTTTTTGAGATGGAGTCTCGCTCTGTCCCCTAGGCTGGAGTGCAGTGACATGATCTCAACTCACTGCAAAGTCCACCTCCCGGGTTCACGCCATTCTCTCACCTCAGCCTCTCGAGTAGCTGGGACTACAGATGCCCGCCACCATGCCCGGCTAATTTTTTTGTATTTTTAGTAGAGACGGGGTTTCACCATATTGGCCAGGCTGGTCTCGAACTCCTGACCTCGTGATCCTCCCACCTCAGCCTCCCAAAGTGCTGGGATTACAGGCGTGAGCTACCGTGCCCGGCCCATCTTATCTTACTGGATAATTTCCTGAACCTGTGTGCACCTCAGAGTAAGGATTGCATGCAAGGTGCTTATTGAAACAACTAAAAGGATAGAGAGGGAGAAATCACCAAGTTTCTGGGAATAGGCTGCATGACTATTTGGGATGTATTTGATAATAAATGTTTGTACAAGTGGCAGAATTCTTTCTGAGACTTGCTCTCATCAAAAAATCCCTTCCTCAAGTAAGATTGTTGGGGAGCAAATTCACAACCCCACCTGCCTGTTATTGTCACAGCCATTGTTTGCCAAAATAATCTGACAATTATGAGCAGACAAATTGACATACCAATTTGTAACAGATTGTGTCATTTAATCTCTTACAATAATAAGGTGGGGTAGACAATCTTATTATCTCCATTTTACAAATGAGGCACTTCAGGTTTAAAGAGGTTAAATAATTTACCTGATGCTGTTATTAGATATTGAGTAGCAGAGCAATGGTTTAAACTGGTTTGTTTCTAAAGCCTGTACTATTTCCACTAACCCATTCTGGTCTGAGAAGATCCTGGTGTCATAAAATCTATGTAAAACCATCTCTCAACAGTTCTCAGTGGCCTTGTGTTTCAGCTGGCCATTCTCTTTCACACCAGCCACATTCAACTTACCTTTGAGTTTCCTCTCCAACCTTCTGTCTATGAAGAGCCAATTTAGATTTCCCTTCTGGAAGAAGTTCCCAGTAGTTGACGATCACTTTTTAATCTATGTTAAATCTCTTCTCCCTCAAGTAACTAACTGAAAAGTTTTTTCAGATGAAATAATATTTTTCTATAGTTTTCTAATACTCCATAGCACCTAGTATGATGCAATACATATAGAAAGCATACGATCTTTGTTGCCTCCATAGGTAAAATGGAACTGCACAGCTTAGAACATACTACCTGGCATATAATAGATACTTATAGGTATTCACTCTTGAAATCAGACTTTTCACAGGATTCTGGATGATATCGTGGATGTCACTTTCAGTTTAGATGATCAGAACTAGAAAACCAGTGAGAATTCCTTTTGTAATTTAAAAGACTCATTCTAAATGGCTGTTATTTACTTATTCTTTTAAATATAGGGCTTAAAGGTCTTGGAACAAGAGGTTCATTCTTAATATATAATGTACGTATCCAAAAATCTGAGTCAGCAATGAGGTTATCTGAGGCAAACCTGAGAAAATATTTGTGGAGGGAGGTCCTGGATAGTGTGAGCAGAACTGAGATGGAATACGGAATATGGGGAAGGAAAAGTGTGCACGGAGCCAAAGCTTTACGTGTTAGATTTTCTCCATTGATTATAAAGAAACTAGAAGAGAAGGTAGTGCATGCACCATATATTAAGTTCAAAACAGCCCTTTACTTACTTTGGAAACACAAAGCACATTTCACATCTTGTCACTTCTTAATGATTAGTGTGCTGAATACCATTTGACATCATTTAAAACAGATGGACTTTGCAATTATTGCTTAGTTACATGCAGACATGTGATAGAATCACAGCATTTAATATATGCATGCTCATGTATATAGCTGTGTGCAACTTGTTTCCAAATCCAATACCAATCTGAACAATTCAACAGGGGATTTTGTTAATTTATGAATTTCTTTAAATTAATGTTCTATGGTGCAATGCAAATTGATCAATTTTAGGTATACATATTTGAAAAGAATGAAATTATCAGAAATTGAGACTGTTGCCAAAATAAGAAGTACAGTCATTCTGTGAACAAGTATGTGTAATATAATTAGGAAAAATAACTCTATGAGCTTTATGCAAACTCAAAGGGTAGAAAAATCATTTCAATTAAAACTTAAGAAAGAAGTGCTTTTGTGATACACACATATATGGTAAATACCCTTAACATATTGAACTATGAGGAACAGCAATTTTATGATGAAAGCATTGGTTTTTAAAGTGATGTAGTCTTAGATATGGGTCCCTGTTCTACCAGTTCTAGCTGAATTTACTTCTATTTCTGAGCTTTAGTTTTCTCCCCTTTAAACATGAGGAGGGTAAGCATAATTGTTCCTATCTCAAAGAGTTGTTTGAATAAAGAGATAGTATACATGAAAATTCCCATCACACAAGTGGCATGCAGTAAAGTTTACTTACCTCCCCTTCTTTTCTTGCCTCTGTTGGTGTTTATTATGAATCTAGCCACATGTTATTCTATTTGGAAGGGCCATAAGATACATACAAGAGGATATAGGCAGGCATTCTCTTGTGTCTTTCATGCATTGTATGCAGAAAGTGGAGAGTGGATATTTTGAAAAGTGCTGGTTGAGATATTCCCAATTTTTTCCTACTAGGCTATGGCCAGCAATTTAATTAGAGACAAGATCTCCAATTAGCCAAAAGAAAGTCAGATGACAAAGTATTGCTATACTGAAAAGATACCTTGAATATAGGAAGTCCCCAAGGAGCCCTGATGGGCAGCAAGGAGGCAGGAGGAAGAACCAGGCACATGCTGAAGGCCAAGGCAGTGCAGGGAGCCAGGCTGTAACAGCCGAGTGAAAGGAACTAGCAAAGCACACCAGCAGGAGAGGAAGATTCCATTTGAACCCAAGCTATGTGACCCATCCAAGTCCTAAAGCTCATCGATGTTATGCACCTTCTCAGCATACCCAGGTGCCAAGCACAGGGCAGGTAAGGAGCGTCTTCAATGACATATTCTGATTTAATGAAGCAAGCACTGAACCAGGAGCCAAGAGACCCAGATTCAATCCCTCTTCCACTTAGAAGCTCTGTAATATGGAGCAAGTAAATTCCTTCAGTGCCCTCACTTGTAAAGCACTGATAATGTTTGCTGTCTTTCACAGGTAGTATGAGATCCAAAAAAAGAGGGAACATGAAAAAACACAGGTTAGTGGTCAATGACAGAGACTGCCTGGATTCAAATCCAGATCCTGTACTTACAGCAACACCCAGTCTTGCCAAGTGTAGCTGTACCTCGGTGTGATCATCTGAAAAAATGGGATAATAAGATGCCTTTCTCATAGAGTTGTAGGCAATAAGTGATACCAGTAGTACATGTGAAGTGTTTACAACAGAGCCAGACAGAAGACATTCAGTAAATTTAATGTGAACTATGATTATTAATGAGAACATTAATAATCAAACATCACCTGTTTGTGAACAGGTGCTGTAGGAAGACAATAGAACTTGGCTCCAGAATCAGACAGACTTAAGCTCTGATTCAAATTCCATAAATATGAGCTGGATGATTTGAAGGACATTCAACTTTTCTTAACAAATGTATATATATATATATATATATATATATATATATATATATATATATATATATATTTAAATTTGCAAACTAGGCATGTTAATTCACTTTACACTTTGTTCTTACAAAGATTTGAAATGGTCTATGTCAAGCAAATAAAATATGGTATATTTTCGATAAATGGTAATTATGTACAGTTGTAGGGTGATAGATACGTTTAGAAGGCATTGGTATTAGAACTGATATTATTGCAAGTTTTTTTCCCGAGCAATGGATGACTTCTCAGATGCTAAGACTGTGACATTATTGAGTCAATGTGAACAAGGTGAGCCAGTGCAGCTGGGAAAGGCGAGAACCTTGTTAAAAACAAGCATAAATGCTTCTTCCTTTATAGACAACCCAATCAGAATAGACATTCAAACAATTCATCTGTCCCCTGTGGTTTACATTCATAGTGCATTTGGCCCAGCCCTCTCTCCTCTCTGGTCCCCTGTGTTGGTGAGACCAATGAGGAGAACAGTACAATGTCCTGGGACAGAAATGCCACAGGTAGCCTGAGGACATGAGCTCTTTGTCCTGTGGGTCTCAGACATCAACAATGCTGCCACTGTTCTCAGAAAGACTGGAATGTGGATGGAGGCCAGCTGGACTCAACTACCACAAAAGCAGACCAAAGAGTTGCAAATGGGCCAGGAGGAAGGCTAGAAGATGGGTATTTGAGAATGCGGGTTGTGGTGCACTCTCACAGTGCTCTTCAAAGCACTGGGCTCTTCCCAGTTCAACGCGTGCCAAATACCCAAAGGAGCAAGCAACATGCTTCTGATTCCCAGTAGAAAGCCATGGCTTAGAAGACCCGTGAAGGGGAAAATTGCCTCAACAATGACTAAGTTTCTCATTCATGGCAGGTGCTTTATACGTTGATCCCATTTGGTCCCCACAGCACCTGTGTCAAGTTTCAATCATCCCAATGATGCAGGTGCATTGTAACCCTTCAACCAATTTTCGTTATGATTATTGTTATTGTCATCATTATTATTGGAAACGGAGAGAAAGAGACTCATGGCAGTTAACTCATTTGCCCAAATTTATACAGCTGGTTAGCAACAAAGCTAGGACTCAAACTAGTGGCCTATCCTTTGCATCAAAGCCTACAGCCTAAATGACTCATTAAACACCTTCCCTGAACCAATGGCCATATTAGGTGCATAAACAGAGATAAAATGGTTTGCTCTAAAAAACTTAGTCTAGTGAAATGTTTTGCAAACTGTGGGACATAGCCTTTGTAGTTCATTAAGCTACTTTGAAGTCATCACAAATGCATTTTTAATAATTTGTTGAAAAATTTAAGTATAGAATGCATATTACATAATACTAGTATTTGATGACACTTTTGTTTTAATCATATGTAAATATACATATGTGTATGTATGTACCATATCATAATATACAAAATATATCTTTTTTTTTTTTTTTTTTTTGAGACAGGGTCTGCTCTGTCACCCAGGCTCTGTTGCCCAGGGAGAGTGCAGTGATGGCTGCACTGTAGCCTCAATCTAAAAAATAGCTCATAAAAATCGTGGTGAGAAACTTTTGGAAGCTATTAGTTTAGTAATTTTGCCAGCGAAAGACACAGAGATTTATGTGGGGCATTTCCTCCTTGCTAACTCTTGTTCTCAGTCTCTTTACGGTATCTCAAGTGGAAGAGAAGGATTAGAATGCCCACGTCAATGGTTAGGACTTCATAAAGCAGACTTCTGTAATCCACAGTGAACATCTCAGTATACAACAAAATTCAATAGCATGATATGAATTAACGTTTAAATTAAGCTGGAGTTAAGGTAATTTTTTCATTCAACAAACATTCAGCTAACATGTGTTTATCCTCTTCTGGGTATTAGGAGTATATTTTCTACTGTACTAGTACATTCTCTACTGTACTAGATACTGAAGAGAGGAGATTCAAAAGACAGACATATTATTGCCCTGTCCTCATAGAGCTCACAAGTCTTTTCACAAATATGAATTGAACACCCTGTATGCACTAGAATCTGTACAAGGATCCAGGAATATCAGAGTAATGCCAAACAATGTTGGAATATGAGGATCAAGAAAAAACATGTGCCCCTATGTACATTTTTTTTTTTTTTTTGAGATGGAGTTTCCCTCTTGTCGCTCAGGCTGGAGTGCAGTGGCATGATCTAGGTTCACTGCCACCTCCGCCTCCTGGGTTCAAGCGATTCTCCTGCCTCAGCCTCCCGAGTAGCTGGGATTACACGCACCAACCACCACGACTAATTTTTTTGTATTTTTAATGGAGACGGGGTTTCACTATGTTGAGCAGGCTGGTCTCAAACTGCTGACCTTGTGATCCGCCCAACTTGGCCTCCCAAAGGGCTGGGATTACAGGCACTAGCCACCGTGCCTGGCCTATATATGTTTTAATATAAAGATTTAATTTTATTTTATTTTTAATTTATAAATCATGTATATTTATGGGATACAATGTGATGTTTTGATCTATGTATACATTATCAAAAGATTTAACTAAATCAACATATCCATCACCTCAATAATTTATCATTTTTGGTTGTGAGAATGTTAAAAATCTTTTTTAGTAATTTTGAAACATACAATATATTGTTATTAACTGCGGTCATCATGCAGTGCAATAGAGTATTAAAATCTTTTCTCCAAGAAATAATATTTATTTCTCCAATAAATAAAACTTTGTACCCTTCAATTAACAACATCTTCCTTTTCCCCATCCTTTCCCCTTTGACCCAGCCTCTGGTAACCACCAGTCTATTCTCTGTTTCTAGGAGACTGACTTTTTCAGATTCCACATATAAGTGAGAGCATATAATATTTGTGTTCCTGTGCCTGGCTTATTTCCCTTAGCATAATGTCCTCCAGTTCCATCCATGCTGTCACAAATATTAGAACTTCCTTATTTTTAAAGACTGTATAGTATACCATTGTATATGTATACTATATTTTTAAAAATCCATTAATTTGTTGATAGATTAGATTGCTTCCATAACTTGGCTGGTGTGAAAAATGTTGAAATTAACATGGGAGTGCAGATATGTCTTTGACATACTGATTTCAATTCTTTTGAATATTGATTTCAATTCTTTTGAATATACACCCATAAATGGGATTGTGGATTATGTGGTCATTTTATTTTTAGTATTTTTTTTTGGGAAACTCCCATTTTCCAAAATTTCTATGCTAATTTACATTCTCCCCAGCAGTGTACAAGCGTTTCTTTCTCCACCTCCTCACCAACACTTTTCATGATTTGTCTTTTTAATAGCAGCTGTTCTAACAGGTTTGAAGTAATATCTCATTGTGGTTTTATTGCTTTTCCCTCATGATGAGAGAAATTGAGTATTTTTCATATATTTATTGGCCATTCATGTGGCGTATTAATATGTTTGTAACTTTTTTAAGAACACTAAAATCATTGAAGAATATTGAAGTCTAAAAGTAGGTGTACTAAAATTCAATACATTATTTTAAGATTAAATATTTTATTTATACCCAAAATAAACTTATTTTAATTTTAATTTCCTGTTTTGTTGATGAGAAAACTCACCAACATATTCAAAATCAGCTTCTTGCTTATCTCATTTTCATCTGGGGAAATTGCTATGTTTAACAATTTCTCTTGACCAAATGAAATGGTCTTACATAATGATTAATACAAATCCAGTCTTATTTAAAATATTATGTTCACAATGGAATGTTTGCACTAATTTCGATTTTTTTTTTTTCTTTTTTTGAGACGGAGTCTTGCTCTGTCACCCAGGCTGGAGTGCAGTGGTGCCATCTGGGCTCACTGCAAGCTCCACCTCCCGGGTTCAGGCCCATTCTCCTGCCTCAGCCTCCTGAGTAGCTGGGACTGCAGGCGCCCGCCACCACGCCCAGCTAATTTTTGTATTTTTAGTAGAGACGGGGTTTCACCGTGTTAGCCAGGATGGTCTCGATCTCCTGACCTTGTGATCTGCCCACCTGGGCTTCCCAAAGTGCTGGGATTACAGGCATAAGCCACCACGCCCGGCCACTAATTTTGATTTTTAAAAGCACTGCACTAAAATATTATTTATCTTGGTTGTTTATGTTTTTTGCTTCCCCTACACTCTCACTGAATTTTGCAGCCAGTCAGGTGCTTCGCTCACCTCACCCTAGTCCCAGCACTGAAGAAAACATCAGCAAAATAAGACAGAGCCCTTGTTCTCCAGCTTTTACAATCCAATGGGAGGTCAAAGTAAGTAGACACATACTAGCTAACATAAATGCTCTTCTAAGTACACTACATAAATTAATTCATTTAATTCTTCCAGCAATTTTATGAGGCATATACTACTTATAAATCCTGTTTTACCAAAAAAGAAATAATAATAAAGAAAAAAAGAAAGAAAATTTAGGGACAGAGCAGTTAAGAAACAAATTCAAAGTCTAAGAGCCTGTAATTGAACCCAGACAGCCTGGCTCCAATCCTGAAAAATCAACCACTGAGTAGTCTCTAGATTAAGACAGGTGGTTGTAGTTTTTTATTTAAAAGATCATCAGCTCAGCTGGAGAAACAAAAAGAGAACATGATATTACATCATATAGGACTTTAAAACCAACTTAACAATAGTAATTATAATAATTAACACTTTGGGTAATCTGCCCCCAGATAGTTCTCCTAAAAATGTGATCTTCCTTCCCTGAGCTATATGCTTTTCATTTCCAAGGAGGATAATAGTAAATCTCTCTACCAATGCTTAAATTAAATCAGAGAATTTCCTTAAGATGAATTTGCACTCACAAATTGACATCTTTTGCACAGTAAGTAGCCAAGTAGCCACACTGATGCCTACTACACTGAATCTATGTCTCTGAATATTGCATCTTATGCATTCTTTGAACAAATATTTATTAAGCACCTACTGTGAGTCAATTTTATTTTTAAAGAAAATACAAAATGTCTTTAAAGCATCAATCCACAAGTCTGTTTTACTCTGAATTCTTTTGGAGACATCCCTGAGGAGGAAGCAGTACTAATGCATAAAGCTATATCCTCAAATATAAAACTGTATATAACACACATCTGTATGATGGTTTATGGGTTACAATGTGTTTTCATGTACATTATTTCATTTGCTATTTATCCTCTATAATGTCTCAGGAGATAAGCAAAATTAAAATAACACTAATTTAAAACACTCTAATTAAAGGAGCCTAAAATGGTAAGCACTAGCAATAGATAAACTCTAATTGTTGCCCCACTGAGGAAGAGAGTTTGAAAAAGTAGGTCACACATAATGGTTTTCCCTGTAGGGAAGGAAAATAAAATTCTGAAGCCCTGCCACTAACCGCTAACCACTTGGGTGGTATCAGGTTAAATCATTAAGCTCTGTGTTTTAGTCTCGTTACCAATATAGTGAGTTTTCAGTCACATGCCAGTTCATCTCACAGAGTGAGATGAGTCCCTCAAGTACAGAGATTGTTCATCTTTTCATCTCTGCAGTTCCCATGCCCAGTACAGGTCCTGGTATGTAAAGGGCACCCAACATGTATGTTGAATAGATGGATGGATGGATGGATGGATGGATGGATGGATGGATGGATAAATGGATCAGTAGATGGATCAATGGGTGGATGAATAAGTGACAAATTGAACTGGTTTTGTCTGCCCTTTTGGCCCTTTCCTTGAGTCTGTATCACTCACCCATCACTTGAAGCCAGTGGTGGGTGCTAGCTCAACTATGGCATTTGCCCAGGGTCTTTGCACTTGCTATGGAAGAGATATGCTCTTGTATGAATTATTTACCTTCTTCATTCTACTTGCCATTTGGATTCCAGATCAAATATGTTTTCTTCAGAGGTTTTTTCCCTGATCACCTCTTACTGTTACCTGCTTAGTCCTGTTTTATCAGTCACCCTGCTTTACTATTTTCAGAGCTCTTAGCACTCTTTGAATGATATTATTAACTTTTGCTAATTTACATATATGTTTCTTGTTTTCCCCGTTGAATGAAATCTTCATTAGGCCAGGGAATTAGTTTCTCTTATCCACTACTGAACCCTCAGTTTATAATATAGTGATGGTACTTAGTAGCACATAATAAATTGTTGTTACATGAATGAACAAATTAGCCTCGATCACTCTTTCAGGTACTGATATGGCCTAATATTCCTGCCTTAAAAATTATTTTCTGGTAATCAGACCTGGTAATTGGCCTTATAATCTTGGTTGCAACATTTTCTCCAGGCCTACTTTCCCATTTTAGAAACCTTGAACTTTCTCACCCATCTTCTCCAGTGCAAGTCCATAACCACTAACTCCCAAAACTCTAAAAATAAAATAATTTCTTCCTCCTTCCTCTTTCCCATGAAACTTTCACTGATCAGGCTTATTCCTAGATTTCCTCTTATGAGAGGATCTAGAAATGGATGGAGGGATGGATGAATGGACCAATGAATGATGAATTCATTTATAAATTGATAAATGCATGATGAATTTAAAAATACCTTCAAGGTTTATGAGTTTTCACCAGTGGAGTACTTGTAAAAATTCTTTTGTCTTCTCTACAAAACTTTCTCCAGTGAAAGAGAATTGCCATTATTCTAGGACCCTACTACTACTCTTACAAAAACCCATTTTGAGTTTGGAAAAAATTGACTAATTAAGACAAAATATGTAAAGCTGTAACTGAAAATCAAAACAAACATCAACTTTATTACTTAAAAAAATGGATTGGAGGATGTGATATAGATGTATTATGTCAATAAGCTTTGTTCCAATTATCTACTGCTACATAACAGCCACCCAAAAATTAATTACTTAGTAACAGTCATTTATTTCACTCATGAATATCCAACTTGAGCAGAGCTTAGTAGGGACAGCTTGTGTCTGCTTCATGTGGCATCAGCTGGGATGGCTCCACCAGGCAGGAGGATCGACGTTCAAGGTGGCTTATGCACATGATCAGCAGGTTCGTTGGTAGGCTAGTTCTGGCTGCTACTGAGCCTGGCTGAGGGCATCAGCTGGAAGCCTTGCATCCTCTCCATAGGCTACTTGAGCTTTCTTGCAACCTGGAGTGAGATTACAAGAGCAAACATTCCAAGAGAATAAGGAGGAAGTGCATACCATTTTTATGCCCTAGTCTTGGAAGTAACAATATTATCACTTTTGCCATACTCTGTAGATCAAAATAGTCACATACTGTACTGCCTAGATTCAAGGTTAGGGAAAACAGACTACATTTATTTATTTATTATTCTTTTTCTTTTTCTTTTTTGCCCTCAGCCAGTGGAAGTTGAGAAAGAGACTCCATTACTTGATGGAAGAATGATAAGGTTCCAAAGAGTCTGTGAGATGGGTGGTATTGTTTGAACCATCTTCAGAAAATAAAATATGCCACAGGCCTCCTAATACTGAGTCCCAGAATTAGAGGGACATACTCTTCTTGTCATAGGCAGCTCTGGTAAACCCACACTGATGCCTGCCCCTGTAAAACTTAGGGCATAGAGCAACTGATGGGAGAGAAAAGTTACACTGAACTGAATTCTAAAACCCAATCTTAGCCAATTAAACACAAAGAATCATCTGCTAGAGTTTCTAAGAGAGAGAAGAATACTCTTTTACACAGGATTTGATGGTGTGAAGATGTGAGGTTTATACTTATTTCAGATATTTTGTCAACATTAGAAGAAATAGCTAAGGAATAATGTCACCACACAGAGAAGTCAGAGACAAGAGATAATCCTAGTGGCATTATTCAACTGAATCAAATGTTTAAAGTTGGATGCAACATTGGACTTTTAATTTACATGAGCCAATACATTCCCTGTTATTAATATTTGCAAGCCATTGTAAGTCAGTTTCATTCATTTACCACCTATCCTCCTACACTCTGCATGCCACTAGGAGACTGTCTCATAATGAACAACAACACTATAGATGATAATGATATATACATCTTGGAAATTCTCTATCTGTTCCTTTCTTACCTCAGCAACATATGGTTTGGACCTGGGCAAACTCTCCCCAAGACTTTTCCAGTTGCCTCTGCTTCAGTGGGCTTTTCTACTTACTTACAGTGTATCCTACCTCCAACCCATTCCCCATCCCCACCATTCAGCAACCCCCTCACCAATACCCACATCTTCTCTGATCACTCATATCCTTTTATCAGTTCTCCCATTTCCCACTTCTTTAAGTACAGAGTTCTCAATCTTGTCTCCTATGCCTCTTCTTTTCTTTTCTAGATTTAACTCCCATGAACTTGATAATCCATCCCAACTTTATGACTCAGTTCTCTGACAAGAATGCATATTTTTTTCTGCATTTCTCAACTTTGTTCTTGCTATTCCTTCTATAATATATTAAAGATGGCCACAGATCCCTTGCTATTTCTTTCATCAAGAGGGGCAGTCTGTATATCTAGCACAAAGAAAGCACACATATTTAAGGTGATGGACATCCTAAGTATACTGATTTGATCTTTACAAATTATATAAATGTATTAAATTACCACACGTAACCTCCCAAAAAAAGAGTCTGAACCTTTTTTTTTTAAACCCGGGTTGGTCTTGGGGACATAATTGATCAACAGAATGCAGCCGAAGTGACATTCTGGGATTTCCAAGACTAGGTTACCAGAAGCCTTAAAGCTTCTTCCTGGGTTTCTTAGAATATATGTTCTCTTTGTTCTGGGTTTCTTGGAATGAAATGATTTTTCTTGGAACACTTTCGAATCCCAGCCACTGGAATTCATGCTGTCAAAAAGTCCACGCCAGACATGCAGAGTAGATACAAGATGAAATAAATGCTTGACCAGCCTTCAGCTGTGCTATCCATTATGAAAAAGGCATCAGATGTGTGAGTGAAGCCACCTTGGAACCCTCAGATCAGCCCACCTGCCAGCTGAGTACCACTGAATGCAAGCTGAGTACCACCGAGTTACCTTGCTTGATGTTCCTTGGAACACAAGAAGAAAGCAGCCAAGCTCTGCCTAAATTCTAGAGGCACACAGTAGAGCATCTGTGGCCACTGTAGTTAAGGTGAAAAGGAAAAAGGAATGAATTCTAGATCCATCTTAAAATGTTTATGCACACAATAGAGATATCTTGAAATGGTTACTTTTTAAGTCACTGAGTTTTAAAAATAATTTGAATATAGCAATAGATAACTAGAACACTCTTTATCAAAGTAGGGCTAGGTTCACCAGAAAAATCATAAGATAATCTTACCTCTCTCTTCTACCTGAATTTAAAAGACTTTTGGACAAGAATCTATCATTGCAGTTTGATGGTGCTAGACAGGTTTAAGGAATATTTCAAGCGTATGATCCTTTTATGTATCTTATTATAGTTGAATGTGTACAGTTGGCAAGGTGTGGGCAAAAGAACATTATTGCAATGGTGGTAATATGAGGAAATGATGATATCACGTTAGAAGTCCAGGAGCAAGTATGAATGTTCCCCGAACAGAGAAACTGTCTGCCTTCAAATGACCCTGCTTCTAAAAGCCCATTTCTTAAAACGTAAAAGAAAATTAGCATTGCTTATTCTTCATGATAAAACTTTTAAAATTGTATTTTGCAATGAAGATTATTTCTATCTCCCCCCCCCCCCGTTTTTTTCTCACATTCCCCCTGATCCCTGAAAAAAAAAAAAAAAATAGGGGATTATTAAGCGTACTCAGTTTTTCTGTTTAGACAAATTCTGTCTGGTGTTTGTAATTTGCAACTGATTATAAAGTTTTACATATTAAAATAAAGAACAACTTTGTCATATTTGAAAGAAGGCCAAGGTTACATTATCCATTTATTTTAACATTAGACACAGTCAGCCCAATGAAGGAGGAGGAGGAAAAGGAGGAGAAGAAGAAAAGAAAAAGAAAGAAAGAGAGAGGAAGAGGAAGATGATCAGAGTGGAAATGTGGCCAGGCGAGGTGGCTCATGCCTGTAATCCCAGCACTTTGGGAGGCTGAGGTGGGCGGATCACTTATTTATATACCTCCTATGGCATATACCTCTCCACATTTTTATAATTGCCATTTATATACGTTTCTAAGTTCCTATAGTATTGTCCTTCAAGGCAAAAATCCTGGTATTATCTTCTTGATATTCTTAGGGCCTAATGTTACCAAAATGCCAGGGGTTTGGTCTTGGTCCTGTTGCTTGCTGCTTGGAGAGCTAGGCCCTGAGACAATGAGAGGTGCCAGGTAAGAAGGCTTTATCTGGGTGCTGCAGCGAAGGAGACAGGAGATGAGTCTCAAACCTGCCTGACTAAAATTGGGGGTTTATATAGCAGAGAAGGAACGTAGCTACAAGCAGGAAGGAGTTCGGGAGTGATAAGGAAGCAGTCATGATGAATGAGGGGTGTGAGCTCTCATTATCTGGATGTGGTGATCTGGTGAGTTTCAGTCCATTGCCTGAGGGTCAGTTTCCTGAGAAGAGATTTCAGATGGGGCAAATAGAAGCTTCAAATTTTAAGATCAGGAGAGTCAATTTCTATATTTATTCAAAAAACCCATACACATTATTTCTACGGAGCAATTGGGCTGGTTTCACTAGCACAGTGCTTGGTTATCTTCAGTGCATAACTGAGTAAATAACTGCTCAGTAAATAACTGCTGAATTAAAGGAAGTAGCGATGATGGCAGTGGCTGTGGAAGTGGTGCAGGTTAGGAGCCACGATGGTAGTTTTTGTTGGGAATGTTACTGAGGGTGGTGGTGATGATACTGATGATAGAGGTAGCCCTACTGATGTTGGTGAGGTTGGTATTGTTGAGTCCTAAATCAGAGAAAAGAGCACTAAGTTATCTAGGAGAAATATCATTTTGATAATAAAGGAAAACTTGGTGGTAAGCCTGATTGCCAGTCTATGCAACAGTTAGCAGGAGAAAATACCAGATTTTCTCTGACAGCTTTGGGATCTGATGAATAGATAGCAGAGGCTACTGGGAGAAATTTTATCAGCCTCTGGAGAGTCCTTCTAGCTGACTCCCTAAATGCCTCTTTGCTCCAGGACTTAGGTTTTTGAAGGAATTGAGCAATGAATATGAAAGAAGAGGGATAAATAGTCACACCCAGAGTGACTTCCCATTCCTCATTGTCTCTTGCAAAGACAAGACATTCTTTAGAAGGGATCCTTCCAAAGAAAATATCCTGAGCACCTGAGTATCCTGCTTGTGGATCCCCAATAGCCAGCACGCTGACTCACTGCTATTTGTGCAGTTCCCATGTGCCAGTGAATTATAATGAGAATATTCTGGGCAATCAAATTACTGGAGCTGAAGGGGGTGCTGAAGCAGGGATTGCCCACATAGGTCACTTTCTAGAAAGCAGGTTCCAAAAATGTCTTTCTGTGCACTGAGAATTGGATCGCACCATTCCAACAGAGAAGCTATTTTCTGCCCATAACATACATAGACTGAAGGAATTAAAATGCAGTGAGTTTAGTTGAAAGCTTATTGTACTTAAATCCACAAAAATTAGGTACTTTTCAACTTATTTACCCTGCGCTGTATTTAAACCGCTTCCCTCCTGCCTTCGTTCTGTAAATAACCATTCCAAAATCTAGACTGCCTATCGAACAACAAAGCAATGATTCAGTTAATAATTATAAACCTTAACAATTCAGCATGCACCCACTTATAGAAGAACTAGATATCACTTGCCTGAAATATTTGACAGTCATACAAGAGAGCAATCGGCTACTTAAACAACGCAGTCATGTTGGGAGCTGTTGGGGAAGGGGTAAGGGCGGGGAGGATTGTTTTTGAATGAAACTTCATCTACGTGGTTCCAATGGATTCTTTCCCACACAAGCTCAAGCCTACATCTCACAGAGCTATTAGGTCTGTATACTTCCTTGTGCTCTGCTCCAAGAATTAGTGAGTCATGTTTTAAGCACAAATTCTTAACATAGGTGCTACCAGGGAACAAAGGAAAACAAAATGCCTCATTCTTTTATTCATCTTTTGAAAGGAAACTCATGGCGGAAACATTTGTATAACATTCCATTTATATAACCTGAGAAATATCAGCTGAAGGAAAGAACAGTACAGCTGAGGAAGGGGACTGTGGTGTTTTCTTTCCACAAGCCCATGCCCCTCCTAGACTATTAGTTCCTAATGTGTTTCACAGCTCTTGGGTCCAGCAAGGAAATGTGAGGGCACATCGTGGGAGGCAGAGAGGTGGAGGGGAGCCCATCAGGAGGGCCCAAATGCTCCAGCAGGTATTAGGAAATGCTTCAGTAGAGTGTTTGCAAGCATGGGCTGCGGAGTCAGGCAGATCACTGGCTGTGTGACCCTGGGCAGGTGGCTGAACGTCTCTGTGCCTTAGCATCATTGTTGGGAAGAACGAGGATAATAACGACAAAAAAATACCCCGTGGACTATAGAAGGTTTTCTATATGTCTGATACATAAACCAAGTTCAATAAAGCCCCTTGGGTCCAATTCTGGTTTCTTCTCTTGGACCGGTCATTTTGCTCCTCTTAGTTTCAGTCTCCTCATCTTTCTCTGAATCTTTTATACTTGGGATTGATGGAAAACTTACAGAAATGTTCTGAAATGCAAAAATGTCATAATGACCTAGCCATAGCTCACACATGAATCCTCAGTGTGAACCAGGAATCAACCACTTGTGACCACAAAAGGGAAAGGAGGAAGAATACAAGTCTTTCCAGCTCTTTATTGCCCGTGCATCTTGGATATGTTGAGAAACCTTTACTGACTATCTTCAAGTCAGTTTATTAATGCTCTAATATTTTTTATTTCTGTCATAGTATGCATATGATGTATTAGACAGGGCTCTGGGTACAGATGGGCAGGGTTTAAATGACAGATTTAAGGCAGTGGCTCACACCTGTAATCCCAGCACTTTGGGAGGCCAAGGCAGACAGATCACTTGAGGTCAGGAGTTCGAGACCAGCCTGGCCAACATGGCAAAACACTGTCTCTACTAATAATACAAAAATTAGCCGGTCTTGGTGGCACCCACCTGTAATCCCAGCTACTCGGGAGGCTGAGGCACAAGAATAAACCTGGGAGGCGGAGGTTGCAGTGAGCTGAGATCACACCACTGCACTCCAGCCTAGGTGACAGAATAAAACTGTCATCAATCAATCAATCAATAACGGATGTTCTCCTATGTGCCCTGGAGCAAGTGAATTGAACCCTGGTTTTTCCTGCAGCATGCTTGCCAAAGTTAATTTTGTTCATTGGTCTTTTCAAAGAACCAGCTTTTTCTCCCCTTTATCCTTTTACTGTGTTGTTTTCTATATCACAAATTTCATCTTTTGCATTATCAATTCCCATGTATTCCCTCATGATTTACTTTGTATTTTTCCCTAGATTCTTAACAAAAATTATTTATTTTCAATGATAAAATAACAAAGGCATTTAGGCTACACATTTTTCTATAATAATAGATTATTTCTAATAGGTTTTGACAATAAGTAATCGTCTTTCCACTGATTCCTAGATAGGATTTCATTTCTATTTTTATTTTTTTCTTGGCTCTCAGGCTTATATTAAAGAACATTCCATATTCATACTTTCCCAGTAGTTAAACTTGTAAAATTCTATTTACTTTGCTTTTCTATTTGTTGGGCATATGAACTATAGCCCTAGATTCCTAAATTTACTGAATTATAGTCAGAAAAGGGCAACTTAAAAAATCTGTATTTGGGGAAAAATCATTATTATTTTTTGAGACAGGGTCTTGCTCTGTCACCTGGGCTGGAGTGCAGTGGTGCAATCATAGCTCACTGTAGTCTCAAACTCCTGGGCTTATGTGATCCTCCCACCTCAACCTCCCAAGTAACTAGGACTACAGATGCATGCCACCATACCTGGCTAACTTTTAAAGTTTTTGGAGAGATGGGGGTCTCACTGTGTTTCCCAGGCTGGTTTCAAACTCCTGGCCTCAAGTAATTCTCCCACTTTGGGCTCCCTAAAAATGCTGAGATTACAGGCATGCTCCCAGAGTGCTGAGATTACAGGTGTGAGCCACTGCTCTTGGCCCAGGGTAGTTTTTAGTTATTTTTTTATTGTGATCAAATACTGCATTTTAAAAATTGTTACTTAGATGTAAGAGAAGAGTTAATATCCTCTCTGTGTGGTTCCTTACATATACAAAAGCAAGCTTATTTAAATTACTCAAATTAAGTATATCTTTTGGAAATATCTGTCAAGTTTTTCAATCATATTCTGAGACAGGTGAAACTGTTTTATCTTGCATTTCTGAATTGTTCATCTTGCTGTTACATAATAAGGCACTGATTAGATGCTTTAGGTTTTGAATTTTTTCCTTACCCGATTGACCAACTCTCTAAGTCTCAGTTTCTCCATCCATAAAATAGAAGTAATAATGCCTGCATGTAGAGTTGTAAAAATATATAATGAGAAAAATATTGTGAGGTACCCAGCATAGTAGCCACCACACAGTAGACAATAACCTATTTTACTTATCTACCTTCCAATCCTTAAGCTAACTATCTCTTAGTCCCAAGAATAAAATCTCAGGATTGGGAAAAGGCTTCTTCATTTCTGTTTAGGGGCCCCAGATCATTGAGATTCTTCTTTCCTATTAACTACCAGGTTATGGATTTGAAAGAATCTCAGTTAGAAATATAATAGCATCATTCTAGACAGAAGAATGGAAAACTAGTGTTCTAAACTGGATCAAAGGGTGTCTTGTGAAATAATGCAGTCATTGTTCTCTATAGTTTTGCTCCAATAGGTCAAGGATATACTAGTATATCAGGGGTAGCTATGGATCCTGGGATTTCCCCTTTACCACAAAGGAGATGATGTAGGTGTGAAATTCCAGGCACCTTGCCCATCTTTTGTAATCCATTCTTCTTTTTTTCTCTCTACCGGTTGCTTCAGATTGTAACTCTACAGCCCACCTGGCTTAGAGTGCTGACGCCTTCTCAAGGCTTCCTCACTAAACTTCCTAGAAGCTATTTTCCAAGGAGGGTAGAATCATTGTTCTGGAAAACTAACTAAACTACGTTCAATGCTTATCAATATCAGAGAATTCATTTTGGGTGACTCACTCAAGATATTAACTTTCACATTTTAAATTATATGCTTTTACTCATTAAATATACACAAAGCTTTCTCTCTCTCTCCTCTTTGTCCCAGAAGTGTTTGCGAAATGCTTTCTTTTTCCTGTAAGTTTAAATACTTCTACAGTTATGTCTTTTACAAAAGAGAGATGTTAGTAGCAAAAGGTGCAACATTTGCTAAACAGTTCAGGTGACATCTACGAACACCATCACCCTGAGTTTTCACAAACAGCCTGAAAGAAGATGTCACGTTCACTTTTCTGAAGCCAAAACAGAGGCTCAGAGAATCAGCTTACCAAAGGTCTCTCACAGCTGGCAGATCTAAGAGTCTAAACCGTTTCTGTTGGGCTCAAGGCCCATGTTCCATTTGGTTATACTCTCCTCCCACAAAACTCCCTTAGGCTTTGGAAACTGAAAAAAATGTAAGCGGAGTGATTGATTGCCTGAGGTTCCTCTTGTTAGAACTGATCAATTGAGCCACATCTACAGCAATATTAGAGAGGGAGGAAACCCATGAGTCCTCAAATCTTTTTTAAGAGACTCATTGATCGTCTTGAATGCTTAGATGGTCCATATGGACATTCGGTGCTTTTTTTGTTTGGCGTAAGTGAAGCAGCATCATTGTCTGGGGTAAATACCCAGGGTTCATCATCTTGTGCCAAGAAGATTAAGGACACAGACCACAGAGGAGTGAGTTTAGGAGCAGAGGTTTAATAGGCAAAAGAAAGAGAAAGGAGGAGACCAGCTCTCTCCCTTGTGAGACAGAGGAGCTCCCAAAAGGGAAAAAAAAAACACCCCTTGGTGGACTGCACCAGAATTTATAGGCAGGCTTAAGGAGGTATGTCTGATTTACGTAAGGCTCACAGATTGGTTCGACCAGGCGTGATGTTTACATAGTGCAGAGGGAAAGGCTGGTTGCCCCACCCTAATCTTATTATTATGTCTTTGCCTAGCAGGGGCCATATTGTCTGCTCCTTACTGTACACATGGTTTGGCAAAGAGAAGGGAAGATGGAGCCACTATTTTGAACATGCCTAGTCCCAGGTAGCCTTTTCCTATCGGCACAACTGGTGGCATTCACCCGTGCAAGCTTCCAGCTTGCTTATCGATGTCTGCAGCTTAATTATACAGGCTGCTCTTTGTTAGAAAAGAAAATGATTTGGGGGCTGCTTTTCATTAAAAGGAAAACTTTACCAAGGACTCCTGTAGCCTCACTATCTGCCTAAGTAATTTCTTCTTAACTCCTATATCATGAGGATTGACATTCGTCAGAGGTAAGGTGTTATGCTGCAAGTTCGTATTATTTGGCAAATTGATGGGAAGACGTTACAGTAAATAGTCTCCAAACAAGATGCCATGAATTGATTATTTTCCTCTATGCACATGATACTCTGCCCACCAAAATTTATAGTCTGCTTCTTACTCTCTTAAACCCGGAGTGGACTTTTGACTTGGCTTGGTGAGTAACATATAGCAGAAGTGATGCTATGCCAGTTCCAGGTTTATCGTTTAAGAAG
The DNA here is from genome assembly GCF_000001405.40 of Homo sapiens. NCBI lineage: Eukaryota > Metazoa > Chordata > Mammalia > Primates > Hominidae > Homo > Homo sapiens. Next base: position 127,299,572 of record NC_000008.11, read on the forward strand.
TCTGGCAGCTTCTGCTTTCATTCATAAAGCCAGCCACCATCTAAGAAATCTGATTAACCTGAGACAACCATGCTGTGAAAAGAAACAAACCAGCCACATGGAAGAGAATGAGGCACTGTCCATGTGAACGAAGTCTTCTCAGATCTTCCAACCCAGCCCAGACATCAGCTGGATACAGCCAAAGGAGTGACTCAGTTGATACTACTAGTCAGAGAAGAGCTGCGTGCTGAGCCAAAGCGACCTACAGATTCAGGAGAAGTATTGTTATTTTTTGTTTAATCCATGAAGTTTTAGGGTGTGTTGTTACACAGCAATGGATAATTGATGGATGTTTAGGTCAAGAATAGACAAAAATAAAAAATAAAAATGTGTTTTAATGTCCCATACATAATCGACCAATTGCCAGGAGTTTGCAACTCTGGGTGTACATCAGAATCACCTGGAAAGTTTTTTAAACTACAGATGCTCAAAGCTTAATGGAGACCTTTAAAATGCAAAATTTTGAGGCCTGCACATTTGCATGTTTTTAAATTCCCTCAATATATATAAAATGAGCAGTTATTGTAATAACCCACAAAATTAAAGACTCATTTACTTTAAGAAGCTCCTTTTTCAAAATGCAAATTCTTTCTGGGAGTGATAAATCAAGCAGATGGTCACAGGATTACATCTGTAATCAGATTGTTTTCTTAACGCTTGGCTAGGATTAGCAAATGTAGAGTACAGGAGAGCTAAATACAAAGCATGCACACACCTGACCAGGGAGCTATTGATTGAGGTCCCAAAGAGATGTCATTATAACAGCTTACTGTGAGCTTGGGCCTAACAGGTGCCTGGAAATTGGAAGACAGGTGCAAAAGGGACAGTGGAAGATTGACAAAGGCTGATTACAACTATTCTGATGGGAAGTCACTGAAAATCACCCCAGGAGTGGCCCTTAGAGCTTGTTATTTAGGAACCTAAGAAATTATTATGGAGGTTACTGAAAGGGACCACAGTAAAGATCAAGTCAGATAACAATACCTGTGCTCATACCAGACCTCTCAGAAGGCCAGGATATGAAGTTGTTCTGATTCCTCTACCCTAATCAAATAAATAGAATGTGTCTAAAGATAAGTCCAACAAGAGTCAGAGTTCAGTGTTGAAAATGGAGTGTTGAAGAAAGAAGGCCTTTGTTGTGAGCCGGAGAGTTCCTGTATCTTTGTCTTTTCCTTCATATTTCCCCCAAGCTGCCCAGACCACCTTTCTCACAAAGCCTCACAGGGTGGTTACCTCTCCCTGAGGAGTGGTGAGTCAGCTCCCTCTGAGAACTTTTCACTTTTACTATTTCTCTCTTACTGATCCTGTTCTAAGATACACCTGGGGGTTTTATGTTCCCTGAAGAAAGGAAGTGAAACGTACTGCATTTCCTATACTACTTAAGCTTCCTTTCTCGATGTGAAAAGAACAAACCTATAGTTCCTGAAATCTCTTTACTTCCTGTGTTGCTAAGTCAGTAAGAAGAGAATTAGCATGTACTGAGCACCCACCGTATGCTAATTGCGTTACCTACATCCTCATATAAATTATCATGCTCTATGAGTTATACTTCTTGAGATAAGTTCTGTGATACCATTTGATAGAATAGGACACTGAGGCTAAGATTTTGAGGTTACTAGCCTAAAATCATATAATTAAGAAACGTTGGGAACAGGATTTGAGCCCAGATTTGGTTGACCTATGTCCTATAATTCTAGCCAACAAAGTATCTCTGCCAAGAATTAAAAAAAAAAAAATCATTATTTCAGGGTCTGGAGTGGGACATTTTCAGCAGATCATTTTGTTATCATACGAACGCAGCCTAACCACCTGCTACTCCAAGTGAGAGTCAAAATCCAGCAGCATTGGTCTCACCTGAAAGTAAGTACTATTGACGCATGCTACTCAAGTGAGCTCTGCTGACAGGCCACATTGACATCATCTGGGAGCCTGTGTGAAATGCGGCATCTCAAGACCCACTCCAGGCCTACTGAATTAGAATCTGCATTTTCACAAAGTCCCCATGTACCTTAGCAGGCACATTAAAGCTTGAGAAGCACTGACCTAAATTAATGTGTTCTAATTATTTGAGCCTGATACCTCACTGAATATTTTTTTCTAGACACAGTGCTACCTACATACTTGAATTCCTAGAGAACTCACATTTCACAATGTTGGTGGCGGGTGGGGGGGGGCCTTGAAACCCAAAGAGGCAAAATAGTGGGTTGTAGACATCCCAGTAAATTAGTGGCAGAGTCAGACCTAAGATAAGTCCTTACCAGATGCTCAATACCTGTCATTTAGACATTATGTATTAAGTTCTTGGTCTATGCCAGGAACCTTGCTAGATGCTGAGGTGAAAGAAATAATTTGTGCCCTCAAAGAACCCCTGATCCACTGAGGGAGACAGATACACACACAAACAATTATAAAACAATATGGCAATGGGGAGACAGGGTGGCACAAGGTGACATGAAGCTTCCAATAAGAGACATTTGGAGTCACCAGGCTTCGTGGAAGAGGTGCAGCCTTCGCCAGACCAGGTGCCACCCACTTTGTGATTAATTGATGTACCAGCTCCCCCTCTATCCTTCATTCCCCTTTCTCATTTTCCCTTGTCTTCACTCCATTCTCTTTACCATCTCCCCTTGGCCTGGGTCCCTTCTACTTCTCAGATTCCCATCTTTTCCTTCAAGGCTTTTCCTGCCTGCTCACCCTAATCCACAAGTTCTGCTTTCTCGTAACATCTGTAACTTTTTTGTTTACTAGCAGTTTCCAAATCCTACTGCCCACCAACATCACCTTAGGAGCCTTAAAAACTAAAAAGCCCCATAACAGGCCCTACCCTCAACTCTGCAGATGATTCCAGGGCATCATTTTTCCCCAGAGCTGCATGTGCAGCAAGGGTTGAGATGAAAACCTTGTTGACCCCACTCGCCTGCCATCTACCCATAGCAGCTTGCATTACAGAGAGAGGCAGAGTTTACAAAGGCCTCTGCACGCATCATCCCATTTGATTCCCACATCAGACCGGTAAAATAAGAAGTGAGAGGTGCTTAGTCCATTTTACAGATGGGAAAACTAAGTCATAGAGAAGTGAAGTCACAAGCCCAAGTTGCCCAGATCTTGGACCCACATCTTCTGACTTGCCCTGTGCTGCTTGGAGAATATATGTATGGTTAGAATGAAGGCAAAGCCCTGCCTTGCTCTCTCAATGCCCCCATTTCCCCAGCCTAACACATTTAAGCTACTCAGCTCAGAGCTAACTGATGGTTGATGACAACTGCTCATTGAAGGAGGCATGTGTCATTTCCCCAGGTCTTGAAGGCCTCCACCTGAGAAAGAGGAACTAGGAGTTGGGTGTAAATCAGAAACCATATGACCAGACACACTTGAGCACACTCTGTGAGAAAAGGGAAGGATGCGGACAGCCAGAGGTATTGGAACTTTCCTCAAAATCAATCAGGAGTCATGTTCTGATCAGAAGGGCACATAAGAGGATCATGAGGACAGAAATGTTCTAGGGTTTCGTTCCTTCCCACCCAGCCGCCATCTGCTATCCTGTCTGAGCAGTGCTTCTGTGAATGGGGCCCTTCTTACCTATCCTTGCCTAAAAAGTAAACATGGAAATATTATGAAGCTCCTCTCTCTCCTGATCCTGAAAGCAGCCCAGGAAGTTGGGCTGATGAGAGGAGCCCTTAGCAGACATAAACTTGGGCAGGAAGGGATTGGGAGTGAGGACTAGGAAGAAAACTTCTTTTATCTTTTTTTGTAATCTCTTCGCTAGGTTTTCTCCATGTTCTGCTTCAGAAATAGACTGGATATGTCCTATGTATGTTTTATTCCTCTCATCTCAGGAATAATTTCCAGTTCTTAGAAAAGAGCAAGGCAGGGAACGGGCAGGGGCGGGCTGAACGCCTCCCTGCTGCGAGGAAGGAGGCACAGATAGGGCGCACAGGAGAGCTGACATTACACAATCCACATATCAGCATTTCTGGGGCAGCCAGGAGGTTATTCCTAAGGGGAACATGTTCTAAACCAGCAGAAAATAAATGCTGCTTCAAAAATAAGCATTTCAGGCTGTGACTTTCCTGGGTCAGAGAAGCCTTGTTATTTTTCAGAGTAAATCTGCCCCAGTGTACACGGCTGCTGCACTAAAAGGGCTTATTTCAGAAGGCACTGGGTCCTTATTTTCATAAATAAATAAATCCTCACAGGCCTTTGGAATCTGATTATATTTGGGACAAAACTCCTAAATATAGGGCCATTGTCTGAAACCATGTGACCAACCCCAGTCTTTTAACTTAATTGTATCTATTAGAGAATGGCATGCTTCCAGGGCCAGGATTAGGCTGTAAGCTGGTTCTCAACAAATATCATGGGTTCTTTTTTGTTGTTTGCAGGGGAAGTGGGGACAAATGACTTACTCTTGATTAGAAAAACTAATACTTTCATTTCCACCAAGAAAAAATAAAACCCTCTTCATGGGTGTTTGTCATTTTTCTTGGATAGGACAAAATCCTATTCTCAGAGAAAAGCCTAATGCACACATCCATCCTCTGTGTCGCTAACTGGTGGAGACGATGGTTTCTATCTTGGTGTCTTTTGTTAACTGACCCATTCCCAACTTTATTATTATTACTATTATTAATTATTAATATTATTATTATTTTGAGACAGAGTCTTGCTCTGTTGCCCAGGGTGGAGTGCGGTGGTGCAATCTCGGCTGACTGCAACCTCCACCTCATGGGTTCAAGCAATTCTCCTGCCTCAGCCTCCTGAGTAGCTGGGACTACAGGCACCTGCCACCACCACGCCTGGCTAATTTTTGTATGTTTAATATAAATGGAGTTTTGCCATGTTGGCCAGGCTGCTCTTGAACTCCTGACCTCAGGTGATCTGCCTGCCTCGGCCTCCCAAAGTGCTGGGATTACAGGCGCGAGCTACCGCACCCAGCTCCAACTTGATTAATTTAATTTAGAGTGACGTTAACTCTATTCATTCACTAGAAAACTGTCTACTGGTGTGGACCAAGTCTGAGGAAACACTTGGTCTATAGAACAGATGGCTGGCTTGCCTTGATGAAGCTGTCTGTTTAATGGGTAGGAAGACATTAATAAATAATCACACCATAAGCCATCTAATTTTATTGGAATAAATTCCTTGAAAAAGGGCTGTGAAGACACAGGCCTTGACCTTGGAGTATAGGCAGGGGCTTCAGGAATGGCTTTTCTGAGGCAGTAACATTTCAAATGAGACTTTCAGGAATAAGAGTGGGCTAGGGAAGAGAAGCCGGAAGGGCAGGTGTTCTTGGCAGTGGGGATGGCCAGTGAGTGTCCCGAAAGAAGGCTAGCTTCTGCCACCATGCCCTGCCTGCAAACTAGACAGGTAGCAATGGTAAATGCATGGCAGGTGATTGGGACACAGAAGAGGGATACCAGCATCAAAAAGGTTTCCTGGAGGAGACACATTTGAGCCAGGTGAAAGGAGGCAGGATGAGGTACATTTCTGAAAGAGGAGATTTGGCAAGGTCACAGAGGCAACAGGGATTTGGGGAGTGAGACGAAGCAAAGTCCGACTCTTATTGCAGGGGTAGGAAGCTAGGGAACTGTGGGCAGAGATTTGAAACTGCCACATGGAGATGTGGAGAGAGTGGGAGCACTGGAGGGCCAATGGGGTGTTGGTGGAACAAGGTCAAATTGAAATGTTTGGATGACAGCTTCGAGTGAAGCAAAATTAGAAATAGGGCCACCTCATAAAACTGAAGAATCACACTTCAGACTTGTTCCGGGTTAAATTTTGTTTACAAAAGCAGGGGGCAGCAGACTGGATTTGGCCCATGGGCTGTGGTTTTCCTACTTCTGCTCCAGATGGGAGACTGGAGGTTCAGGGAAAAGCATATACTAACCATGGTGGGAATCTCTTTTGGAGAGGAATGCATTAAGTGAAACCATCTTGCTGGCATCTCTTTCTGTGCTGGTTGGTTTCTTGTGGTTCAGAAATACAGTGAGTAAGTCAGTCAACAAGACTGTACAAGAGTTTTCTAAGTTCCAGGTCTGTGCTAGGACCCAGAGATCGGTGAGAACAAAATGGAAGGGACATCTTTGTGCCCATTCAGTGAGCCGGTGCATGTTGATTGTCCACTATGGGGCAGGCTCTCTGCCAACACCTTGAGATTCTAGACTAGTACTGAACAAGTCTAGTGGCACGTCTATCCCTCCATCAGTCCATCCATCCACCCAGCTACTCAACAAGCATGTCACGAACTTCTGCCAGCATAAGACATGTTGGCAGGACTCTGTGGGATTTATTGGTAACCCAGCCATGACTCTTGCTTCCAACTTGCCTACCTTCTAGAGAGATAGATAAGCCAAGAGCATTAAATATCCAAGGTCTGAGGTGGACAGGGAAATGTACTACCAGCAAAGTACAGATGGGGGTGGGGTGGGTGCTCAGAGCAGAATTAGAAGACTTTCAGCTGGAAGAGATCAGGAAGGCTGACAAGATGACATCTAGTTTCCTGTTAACCCTTTAAAGTGACATATGAGTCTCTGCAAGGATTACAAGCAGATTTGAAAAGACAATGCTCTTCTGTACATGCTGTTAGCCCTTGGGTCCCATCAGGGCAAGTATTACAAATGCCTTGTGATTTCACCGTCCTGGAGATGGCTCCTTTCTCCTACCAGCAAAAGGATCTTACCCAGCACAGTTTGCCTATTTGCTAGGAATTTTCATGTGTCAGCTCTTGAGTTGGGCACTGAAAGGAGTTATTAATAGAAAATAATAATTCTTGCAATAACTGTGCTGTGTGTTGTTCCATCTATTTTAAATATGGGGAAGCTGAGGCTAAGAGGATTAAGTAGCTTGCCTGGTATTACAGAAGAGAAGGAAGCAAGCATGGAACCCATATCTCTTGACTCTCAGATGATTCTCTCTTTAACAAACTCTCTGGTTGCCAGTCTTCAGATTAGTAGCCTATAATTTGCTTTGACTTCTTCCTCCATTCAGGTCAGCTCCCTGCTTGACATTTCTTTCTCCACTCCATTTCTCAGAGACAGCTCTTTCTGCTTTATTCCCACAACCACTGCACCAGCTCCATGCTCATCATTATTGGGTCAACAAACATTTATTTTCTGCCCACAGGGGATCATAGTCTATTATCCAGGATTTTCCTGGGTAATAAATTGGCCTTCTCACTTTTTACTTTCCCCTTTCAAATCTGCCAATCAGATACCAGTAATAAGCCATCTCCTTAGCATAATGTAAGACACATTCACTGATTATCTAACTTGTGGCAGGCATTGTCCTGGGTCCTGAGGAAGAAAAATTACAAATTTACAAATCTCATAGTTTACAAAGCATTTTACTGAAGCCAGATAGACCTCAGGATAAATAGCAAACTTCATCTGAGTTGGCCATAGGGAGTCTGGGCAAAAGAAACACTCTTGATACAGAAAGAAAGAAAAGATGGGTTTTCTGAAAGAAAGAAGAAGCTTGTGCAGTATTTGGCAGCCCCAGCCAACAGCACAAGAGGGAAGGGAGAAAGAGCACCTCATTCCCAATTGTAGGGCAAGAACAGATTCAATACAGCTACATAAGGAGCCAAGACTGAATTAGATGTGTAGGGAGGATGTCCTGTTACCTGAGCCCAAAGTTTAACACCCTTTGATCACTTTCCGTCTAGAGAGATCGCTCAGCAAAGGTCATTGGTTATGATAATTAAAGTGTTTTTCTAAATAGAAGCAATTTCAAGAAGGCAGGTTGACCTTTGGGAGAATTTCTAGCAGCAATCACTTCATGATTGATTGGAAATATCTGCAAATACACGTGTCCTGAGAGGTGAATGAGAAATGTGTGCAGTTACTGTTTTCCCAATGAGTCTATTTGTCCTTGTGGAACAGTTTAGGGGAGAGTAGCATTGAGGAAACAAAAATGGCCCAGGGATCTTGGAAGCTCTATGTGTGAGTATATTCCTCAGTTTTCAGATTTAGGGGATTGGGGAGGGATGTGGAAAGCATAGACAGAAGGCACTGCAGAAGAGGAGAGTAAATGACTTTAGGTCATTGAACTGGTTTTTGATAGAAATCAAGTTAAGAAAAATAGAAGTCAATAGTACTAAGTTTGAACTTTATCTTTCTAAAAACTGCTTCTGTGGGCAGAGTTCATATGCTGGAGGAATGAATCATAATGACACCCTTTGGTATGACCCTGGGGAGAATAAATGTGACTTAGTTGAGGTTTCTGAGGATGACATTCAGAAAGAAAACAAGAGAGGGAAATACCCTTTCTCTCTGTCACACTCTCAGGTTAGAAACTCACTTTAGGGGCCACAGCCTATGACAAATACACTCATGCAAATTCTGTGCTTGCTTCCATGCTCCATTTCTTTGCCAACTATGTAGCTAAGCAAAATGGAACAAGAAATAGTGTCTTGGGAGAAATAAAATTGCTGGATTAGATACAGGCCACCTTTATATAAGAAAAAACGTTAAATTATGCTACTGGTGAAATAAGTCCATTTGGGTTATTGTGGAATTTTATGTGAGACTGAGATAGCTGATTAAGATGGTGATGCTTGAGTATTATCATTTTAGTAATAAATATTTCCAGAATCAAAGTGAATAATATGTAGGGAAGAGGGAGGCAAACTGCGGCCATGGGCCAGCAGCCTGGTTTTTTGTTTTGTTTTGTTTTATGGCTCTTGAGCTAAGAATAATTTTTAAATTTTGAAGTGGTTACATTTTATTTTATTTTATTTTTTTAGGCTAGTCTAGTGAATACATTTTAAATGCTTATACAAGCACTGAGTGATAGCCTCAATTTTGCCTGTTGGCTCACAAAGTCTACAATATTAATTAACTGTATCTTCTAAAAAACAGTTTGTCAGCCCCTGGGACAATAAATAGTAGATATAGCCTGGGCATGGTGGCTCACACCTGTAATCCCAGCACTTTGGGAGGCCGAGGCAGGTAGATCACCTGAGGTCAGGAGTTTGAGATTAGCCTGGCTAACATGATGAAACCCTGTTTCTACTAAAAATACAAAAAATTAGCTGGGCGTGGTGGCACGTGCCCGTAGCACCTGTAATCCCAGCAACTTGGGAGGCTGAGGCAGGGGAATCACTTGAACCTGGGAGGCAGACGTTGCAGTGAACTGAGATTGCACCGTTGCACTCCAGCTTGGGCAACAAGAGTGAAATTCTGTCTCAAAAAATAATAATAGAAAAAAAGAATGTATAGTCTCCTGGGTCAAAGAGATCTGAATTTGGATTTTGCCTAGATACATCATTAATTCATTTCAAAATACTTATCAAGTAGGTATTCTTTCTTCACTTGGCTTCCAAGATGCCACCCTCTCCTAAATTTCCTCCTTCCTCACTCACCAATTCTTATCAATCTTCTTTGCCAGTTGCTCCCAGTCTTCCTAATCTCTCAGCACCAAGACCACAGCTCAGGTCTTGGCCCCACTCCTCTTTTCCGCCTGTACTCACCTGGTGCTTGTGCCGAGAGTTCATTCTTCCCATTGTATTTACTAACACCAATGTGCTGATGACTTCCAAATTTATACTTTTAGCCCGGATCTCTCCCTTAAACTCTACAGTCGTAATGCAACTGTCTTCTTTAATATCTCCATTTGATGATGAACATATATCTCAAACTTAACATGCACAAAATGGAGCTTCTGATCTTCATCCCCAAACCTGATTTTTCTAGAGTCTTCCTTGTATTGGTAAATGATAACTTCATTCTCCCTGTTATGTCAGTTTCTTCATTGGAAATGGGCATAGAACCTGTCTCAGGGCTGATATAAAGAATAAATGAGATAATATAGTGTTACCGCTACTCATAAGACCTACGACAGTCAGCATTCAATAAAAGTGAGGAGAGGACAGCATAACCTTTCCATTCTTTCATCTAATGGCTCTGTTCTTTCCTTCTCTTTCAGACCCTTACTATCTTATCCTAGAACCATTACAAAAATTTAGTAACTGGTAGCCTTGATTTAGTAGTAAAGTGGTAATTATAGAAAATATTATTCTCCCCATTTAAAGATGAGGAAAATGAAACAGCCAAGATGCCCTAGTCCCACCTCCTAGCAAGCACCAAAGTTGGAATTTAAACATCAGCCAACTGAAAAGCCAGTGTTCTCCAGGCTCATCCTCTGCAACACAGCCTTCACCAGCTTACTGTCAGGTGAAGCGCACACCCTACAAGGCTAAATATGACAACAAAACAGGGTAACTGGACTATGGGAGACAAGAGTAGAGGTTCCTCAACTGAGCTAACATATCAGAATTCTCTGAAAGTTTTATGCAGATTCCTGAGCTTTGCACTAGAACTACTGAATCAGGTCGGGCCCAAGAATGTATAAATTTTTAGAGCTCCAAAGGCATTTTTGAGCAGTCAGATTTAGGCGCTCCTGCTCTAGGTTTTAAAAGGAAGATTTCCTAATATTTAGAGCCAATAAATATAATACAATCATCTACAACTCTCAAAGAGAGACGAAAAACCAGATTTTCCAATATATAAATGGGCAAAGGGCATAAAAGGAGGATTTACAAAAGAGGAAGCAAAATGGTTAATAGAAATATTTCAAGTTATGAGACCTACTTATATTCAAATAATACAAACTTCTAAATGTTAATAAAATGCCATTTTTAGCTACCAAATTAGCCAAGTTTTTTTTAATGCGAATACAGTATTCCTGTGAGTATGTGATGAGATGGGCACTTTCATAAACTACTGAGAAGGCAAATATTGGAGGTACCACTTTGAAAAGCAATTTGGTAGCATGTACCAAAGTCTTGGAAATGTCAGTAGTCTTTAATTCAGAAACTCCCTTATATAAATACATGCAATAAAATAATCCAAAAGCAATGAAAAAAATATGTACTGCACCTAAAAGACATTTATAACAATCATTTACAAAAGCAAAATAAATAAAAATAAGTGAAATGTTAAAACAAGAGAAAATGTGAATTATTCAGCATCATTGATTATTAAGCAGTTATCAGATCTTTCAGAATACACTATATTATTTCATTTTACACAAATAAATAAATATATATGCCGGGGGAAAAGTTTGAATGTCCTTACACCAAACTGTTAACAACAGGGTCTGTAAGTGGAGCATAATATTGTTCTACCCATATAAATTTGTTCAGACAAATTATGCTAAATCCACTACTCAAAATATGATGTTTCTTCTTTTTAGAAGGTTCTACCCTGCTTTCTATGCTGGTAAAATATTTTTGTTTTGAGAACTAATGCAAGTGTCATCTCCCCTATAAAATCTAAGTGTTTTTTACCCAAGCAGTGATCCGTTTATCCCCTTTATTTGTTAGCATAGATTACCTTTATTTTAGCACTTACTTGCTATTCAAAAATTATCTGTTGCTGTATTTGTTCCTCCCAGCAGACTATGAGCTGCCTGAAGGCAAGATCTGGGGGGTCTTACGTGGCCAGAAGCGTTTATTAAATTAAATTCCTTGAATGATAGAAAGAAAGCTCAATGGAAACCTTCCATTTAGTGTCTGTGACTCCATCACAAAGAATGCTGTGCAAATTGCTAAGAGGATAGATAACTGTTTTTACCACCAGAAAAAAAAAGAGAGAACAGAAAATGGTAAATAGTTATCTCATGTTGATGAAATGGTGGATATATTAATCACCTTGATTATAGTGTTTATTTCAAAATGTATATGTGTATCAAGACATCAAGCTATGCACCTTAAATATATACAATATTTGTTTATCAATTATACCTCAATAAATAGGAAAAAAAAATGTGAAAGACTTTTGGCTTCTACTTAGGATATAGAAAGCAGGAAAGAGTAGCACTCCTAGAAGTACTAGAAAATAATGCTAAAGAATCTGCAGATTCACAGCTCTTTATTTTTATTTATTTATTTATTTATTTAAACTAATCAGAGAACTGAGGTCGCAAGACAACAAACTGGTCCTAAATAAAAAGTAAGAAAAATGCCGGGGAGGAGCCAAGATGGCCAAATAGGAACAGCTCCGGTCTACAGCTCCCAGCGTGAGCGACGCGGAAAATGGGTGATTTCTGCATTTCCATCGGAGGTACCGGGTTCATCTCACTAGGGAGTGCCAGACAGTGGGCACAGGTCAGTGGGTGTGCGCACCGTGCGCAAGCCAAAGCAAGGTGAGGCATTGCCTCACTTGGGAAGTGCAAGGGGTCAGGGAGTTCCCTTTCCGAGTCAAAGAAAGGGGTGATGGACGCACCTGGAAAATCGGGTCACTCCCACCTGAATATTGCGCTTCTCGGACCAGCTTAAAAAACGGCGCACCACGAGATTATATCCCGCACCTGGCTCGGAGGGTCCTACGCCCACGGAGTCTTGCTGATTGCTAGCACAGCAGTCTGAGATCAAACTGCAAGGCAGCAGCGAGGCTGGGGGAGGGGCGCCCGCCATTGCCCAGGCTTGCTTAGGTAAACAAAGCAGCCAGCCGGGAAGCTCGAACTGGGTGGAGCCCACCACAGCTCAAGGAGGCCTGCCTGCCTCTGTAGGCTCCACCTCTGGGGGCAGGGCACAGACAAACAAAAAGACAGCAGTAACCTCTGCAGACTTAAATGTCCCTGTCTGACAGCTTTGAAGAGAGCAGTGGTTCTCCCAGCACGCAGCTGGAGATCTGAGAACGGGCAGACTGCCTCCTCAAGTGGGTCCCTGACCCCTGAACCCCGAGCAGCCTAACTGGGAGGCACCCCCCAGCAGGGGCACACTGACACCTCACACTGCAGGGTATTCCAACAGACCTGCAGCTGAGGGTCCTGTCTGTTAGAAGGAAAACTAACAAACAGAAAGGACATCCACACCGAAAACCCATCTGTACATCACCATCATCAAAGACCAAAAGTAGATAAAACCACAAAGATGGGGAAAAAACAGAACAGAAAAATGGGAAACTCTAAAACGCAGAGCACCCCTCCTCCTCCAAAGGAACGCAGTTCCTCACCAGCAACGGAACAAAGCTGGATGGAGAATGACTTTGACGAGCTGAGAGAAGAAGGCTTCAGACAATCAAATTACTCTGAGCTATGGGAGGACATTCAAACCAAAGGCAAAGAAGTTGAAAACTTTGAAAAAAATTTAGAAGAATGTATAACTAGAATAACCAATACACAGAAGTGCTTAAAGGAGCTGATGGAGCTGAAAACCAAGGCTTGAGAACTACGTGAAGAATGCAGAAGCCTCAGGAGCCGATGTGATCAACTTGAAGAAAGGGTATCAGCAATGGAAGATGAAATGAATGAAATGAAGCAAGAAGGGAACTTTAGAGAAAAAAGAATAAAAAGAAATGAGCAAAGCCTCCAAGAAATATGGGACTATGTGAAAAGACCAAATCTACATCTGATTGGTGTACCTGAAAGTGATGGGGAGAATGGAACCCAGTTGGAAAACACTCTGCAGGATATTATCCAGGAGAACTTCCCCAATCTAGCAAGGCAGGCCAACGTTCAGATTCAGGAAATACAGAGAACACCACAAGGATACTACTCGAGAAGAGCAACTCCAAGACACATAATTGTCAGATTCACCAAAGTTGAAATGAAGGAAAAAATGTTAAGGGCAGCCAGAGAGAAAGGTCAGGTTACCCTCAAAGGGAAGCCCATCAGACTAACAGCAGATCTCTCGGCAGAAACCCTACAAGCCAGAAGAGAGTGGGGGCCAATATTCAACATTCTTAAAGAAAAGAATTTTCAACCCAGAATTTCATATCCAGCCAAACTAAGCTTCATAAGTGAAGGAGAAATAAAATCCTTTACAGACAGGCAAATGCTGAGAGATTTTGTCACCACCAGGCCTGGTCTAAAAGAGCTCCTGAAGGAAGCGCTAAACATGGAAAGGAACAACCGGTACCAGCCACTGCAAAATCATGCCAAAATGTAAAGACCATCAAGACTAGGAAGAAACTGCATCAACTAACGAGCAAAATCACCAGCTAACATCATAATGACAGGATCAAATTCACACATAACAATATTAACTTTAAATGTAAATGGACTAAATGCTCCAATTAAAAGACACAGACTGGCAAATTGGATAAAGAGTCAAGACCCATCAGTGTGCTGTATTCAGGAAACCCATCTCACGTGCAGAGACACACATAGGCTCAAAATAAAAGGATGGGGGAAGATCTACCAAGCAAATGGAAAACAAAAAAAGGCAGGGGTTGCAATCCTAGTCTCTGATAAAACAGACTTTAAACCAACAAAGATCAAAAGAGACAAAGAAAGCCATTACATAATGGTAAAGGGATCAATTCAACAAGAAGAGCTAACTATCCTAAATATATATGCACCCAATACAGGAGCACCCAGATTCATAAAGCAAGTCCTGAGTGACCTACAAAGAGACTTAGACTCCCACACATTAATAATGGGAGACTTTAACACCCCACTGTCAACATTAGACAGATCAATGAGACAGAAAGTCAACAAGGATACCCAGGAATTGAACTCAGCTCTGCACCAAGCGGACCTAATAGACATCTACAGAACTCTCCACCCCAAATCAACAGAATATACATTTTTTTCAGCACCACACCACACCTGTTCCAAAATGGACCACATACTTGGAAGTAAAGCTCTCCTCAGCAAATGTAAAAGAACAGAAATTATAACAAACTGTCTCTCAGACCACAGTGCAATCAAACTAGAACTCAGAATTAAGAATCTCACTCAAAACCGCTCAGCTACATGGAAACTGAACAACCTGCTCCTGAATGACTACTGGATACATAACGAAATGAAGGCAGAAATAAAGATGTTCTTTGAAACCAACAAGAACGAAGACACAACATACCACAATCTCTGGGATGCATTCAAAGCAGTGTGTAGAGGGAAATTTATAGCACTAAATGCCCACAAGAGAAAGCAGGAAAGATCCAAAATTGACACCCTAACATCACAATTAAAAGAACTAGAAAAGCAAGAGCAAACACATTCAAAAGCTAGCAGAAGGCAAGAAATAACTAAAATCCGAGTAGAACTGAAGGAAATAGAGACACAAAAAACCCTTCAAAAAATTAATGAATCCAGGAGCTGGTTTTTTGAAAGGATCAACAAAATTGATAGACCACTAGCAAAATTAATAAAGAAAAAAAGAGAGAAGAATCAAATAGACGCAATAAAAAGTGATAAAGGGGATATCACCACTGATCCCACAGAAATACAAACTACCATCAGAGAATACTACAAACACCTCTACACAAATAAACTAGAAAATCTAGAAGAAATGGATAAATTCCTTGACACATACACTCTCCCAAGACTAAACCAGGAAGAAGTTGAATCTCTGAATAGACCAATAACAGGAGCTGAAATTGTGGCAATAATCAATAGTTTACCCACCAAAAAGAGTCCAGGACCAGATGGATTCACAGCCGAATTCTACCAGAGGTACAAGGAGGAACTGGTACCATTCCTTCTGAAACTATTCCAATCAATAGAAAAAGAGGGAATCCTCCCTAACTCATTTTATGAGGCCAGCATCTTTCTGATACCAAAGCTGGGCAGAGACACAACCAAAAAAGAGAATTTTAGACCAATATCCTTGATGAACATTGATGCAAAAATCCTCAATAAAATACTGGCCAAACGAATCCAGCAGCACATCAAAATGCTTATCCACCATGATCAAGTGGGCTTCATCCCTGGGATGCAAGGCTGGTTCAATATATGCAAATCAATAAATGTAATCCAGCATATAAACAGAGCCAAAGACAAAAACCACATGATTATCTCAATAGATGCAGAATAGGCCTTTGACAAAATTCAACAACCCTTCATGCTAAAAACTCTTAATAAATTAGGTATTGGGTCTCTTAAAAAAAAAATTAGCTTGGTGTGGTGGGTATGTGTCTGTGGCCCCAGCTATTTGGGAGGCCGGGGCGGGAGGATGACTTGAATTCAGGAGTTTAAGGTTATAGTGAGCCATGATCGTGCCACTGGACTCCAGCCTGGGTGACAAAGTGAGGCCCTAGCTTTAAAAAAAAAAAAAAAAAAAAAAAAAAAAAAAAAAAAAATTGCCGGCCATGGTGGCCGCGGGTGGTGGTTGGCGCCGCTGCGCTGCGGCCCGGGGCAGTGCGGAGCCGGGACAGTCGCGGCGCTGACGCCCGCGGGCCCCAGCTGCAGATATGAAGCGGAGCCGCTGCCGCGACCGACCGCAGCCGCCGCCGCCCGACCGCCGGGAGGATGGAGTTCAGCGGGCAGCGGAGCTGTCTCAGTCTTTGCCGCCGCGCCGGCGAGCGCCGCCCGGGAGGCAGCGGCTGGGAGGAGCGGAAGGGCCCCGCGGGGCCCGAGGGCAGGGAGCAGCCGCCTGCCTTGGCCTCCCAAAGTGCCGAGATTGCAGCCTCTGCCCGGCCGCCACCCCGTCTGGGAAGTGAGGAGTGTCTCTGCCTGGCCGCCCATCGTCTGGGATGTGAGGAGCCCCTCTGCCTGGCTGCCCAGTCTGGAAAGTGAGGAGCGTCTCCGCCCGGCCGCCATCCCATCTAGGAAGTGAGGAGCGCCTCTTCCCGGCCGCCATCACATCTAGGAAGTGAGGAGCGTCTCTGCCTGGCCGCCCATCATCTGAGATGTGGGGAGCGCCTCTGCCCCGCCGCCCCATCTGGGACGTGAGGAGCGCCTCTGCCCGGCCGAGACCCCATCTGGGAGGTGAGGAGCGTCTCTGCCCGGCCGCCCCGTCTGAGAAGTGAGGAGCCCCTCCGCCCGGCAGCTGCCCCGTCTGAGAAGTGACGAGCCTCTCCAACCGGCAGCCACCCCATCTGGGAAGTGAGGAGCGTCTCCGCCCGGCAGCCACCCTGTCCGGGAGGGAGGTGGGGGGGGTCAGCCCCCCGCCTGGCCAGCCGTGCCGTCTGGGAGGAAGGTGGGGGGGTCAGCCCCCTGCCCGGCCAGCCGCCCCGTCCGGGAGGGAGGTGGGGGGGTCAGCCCCCCGCCTGGCCAGCCGTGCCATCCGGGAGGAAGGTGGGGGGTCAGCCCCCCGCCCGGCCAGCCACCCCGTCCGGGAGGGAGGTGGGGGGGTCAGCCCTCCGCCTGGCCAGCTGCCCCGTCTGGGAGGTGAGGGGCGCCTCTGCCCGGCCGCCCCTACTGGGAAGTGAGGAGCCCCTCTGCCCGGCCAGCCGCCCCGTCCAGGAGGGAGGTGGGGGGGTCGGCCCCCCGCCCGGCCAGCCGCCCCGTCCGGGAGGGAAGTGGGGGGGTCGGCCCCCCGCCCGGCCAGCCGCCCCGTCCGGGAGGGAAGTGGGGGGGTCGGCCCCCCGCCCGGCCAGCCGCCCCGTCCGGGAGGGAGGTGGGGGGTTCGGCCCCCCGCCCGGCCAGCCGCCCCGTCCGGGAGGGAGGTGTGGGGGAGTCAGTCCCCCGCCCGGCCAGCCACCCCGTCCGGGAGGTGAGGGGCGCCTCTACCCGGCCGCCCCTACTGGGAAGTGAGGAGCCCCTCTGCCCGGCCAGCTGCCCCGTCCAGGAGGGAGGTGGGGGGGGGTCAGCCCCCCTGCCTGGCCAGCTGCCCCGTCCGGGAGGGAGGTGGGGGGGGGTCAGCCCCCCCGCCCGGCCAGCCGCCCCGTCCGGGAGGTGAGGGGCGCCTCTGCCCGGCCGCTCCTACTGGGAAGTGAGGAGCCCCTCTGCCCGCCAGCCGCCCCGTCCGGGAGGGAGGTTGGGGGGTCAGTCCCCCGCCCGCCAGCCGCCCGTCCGGGAGGTGAGGGGCGCCTCTGCCCAGCCGCCCCTACTGGGAAGTGAGGAGCCCCTCTGCCCGGCCACCACCCCGTCTGGGAGGTGTGCCCAACAGCTCATTGAGAACGGGCCAGGATGACAATGGCGGCTTTGTGGAATAGAAAGGCGGGAAAGGTGGGGAAAAGATTGAGAAATCGGATGGTTGCCGTGTCTGTGTAGAAAGAAGTAGACATGGGAGACTTTTCATTTTGTTCTGCACTAAGAAAAATTCCTCTGCCTTGGGATCCTGTTGATCTGTGACCTTACCCCCAACCCGGTGCTCTCTGAAACATGTGCTGTGTCCACTCAGGGTTAAATGGATTAAGGGCGGTGCAAGATGTGCTTTGTTAAACAGATGCTTGAAGGCAGCATGCTCGTTAAGAGTCATCACCAATCCCTAATCTCAAGTAATCAGGGACACAAACACTGCGGAAGGCCGCAGGGTCCTCTGCCTAGGAAAACCAGAGACCTTTGTTCACTTGTTTATCTGCTGACCTTCCCTCCACTATTGTCCCATGACCCTGCCAAATCCCCCTCTGTGAGAAACACCCAAGAATTATCAATAAAAAAATAAATTTAATAAAAAAAAAAGATTAATACACTCAATGTTATATAAATACGTGTGCTACTTAAATTTTGCACCCTAAGAACTTCACTTGCCTTAACCTAGTTCTGGTCCTGCTCTGCCACCCCTAGCTTAGATTACATAGGAGCACAAAATAGCTTAATTTACCAAGAGTGCATACATTGGGGAAGAAATAGTTCACCAAAAAGAAATTGGAATACAATTGGTGAAAATAGGCTGAATATATGATGTGTGGCCTGAAAAAAAATATCCATTACAAACATGAAGATGGCTGTGATATATTGCCAAATTCCCACAACCTTTTATAGCCCCTGTATCCACATCCTTTGTCATGTAAATTTTCAGCTCCCTCCCTTTGGATCAGGTTTATATGTTTGATGAGCTTTGACCAACAGAATGCAATTGGAATAGAACAATATTGGGAAAATCTTATTTGTTTTAAAACTTCATTCAAAACTAGTCCCATGAAAAGGCAAACTGAGTATTATGTTAGCTGTGGGTTTTTCATATATAGTTTTTACATGGAGGTGGTTTTTTTATTTCTGGTTTGTTGTACATTTTTATCATGAAAGGGTATTACATTTTGTAAAATGCTTTTTTCTGCATCAATTAAGATGATCATGTGGGTTTTCTCCTTCATTCTGTTAATGTTAATGTTAAATAATTAATGTTAATTAATTATGTTAATATTATGTTAATTAATTCTCATATGTTGAACCATCCTTGCATTCTAGGAATAAATTCTACTTGGTCATGGTGTATAATCCTTTAAAAAAAAATAAATAAATTAGGTATTGATGGGACGTATTTCAAAATAATAAGAGCTATCTATGACAGACCCACAGCCAATATCATACTAAATGGGCAAAAACGGGAAGCATTACCTTTGAAAACTGGCACAAGACAGGGATGCCCTCTCTCACCACTCCTATTCAACATAGTGTTGGAAGTTCTGGCCAGGGCAATTAGGCAGGAGAAGGAAATAAAGGGTATTCAATTAGGAAACGAGGAAGTCAAATTGTCCCTGTTTGCAGACGACATGATTGTATATCTAGAAAACCCCATTGTCTCAGCCCAAAATCTCCTTAAGCTGATAAGCAACTTCAGCAAAGTCTCAGGATACAAAATCAATGTACAAAAATCACAAGCATTCTTATACACCAACAACAGACAAACAGAGAGCCAAATCATGA
This sequence comes from Homo sapiens, assembly GCF_000001405.40. Taxonomy (NCBI): domain Eukaryota; kingdom Metazoa; phylum Chordata; class Mammalia; order Primates; family Hominidae; genus Homo; species Homo sapiens. The sequence continues at coordinate 127,319,093 of NC_000008.11, forward strand.
GTGAACTCCCATTCACAATTGCTTCAAAGAGAATAAAATACCTAGGAATCTAACTTACAAGGGATGTGAAGGACTTCTTCAAGGAGAACTACAAACCACTGCTCAAGGAAATAAAAGAGGATAAAACAAATGGAAGAACATTCCATGCTCATGGGTAGGAAGAATCAATATCGTGAAAATGGCCATACTGCCCAAGGTAATTTACAGATTCAATGCCATCCCCATAAAGCTACCAATGATTTTCCTCACAGAATTGGAAAAAACTACTTTAAAGTTCATATGGAACCAAAAAAGAGCCCGCATCGCCAAGTCAATCCTAAGCCAAAAGAACAAAGCTGGAGGCATCACACTACCTGACTTCAAACTATACTACAAGGCTACAGTAACCAAAACAGCATGGTGCTGGTACCAAAACAGAGATATAGATCAATGGAACAGAACAGAGCCATCAGAAATAACGCGGCATATCTACAACTATCTGATCTTTGACAAACCTGAGAAAAACAAGCAATGGGGAAAGGATTCCCTATTTAATAAATGGTGCTGGGAAAACTGGCTAACCATATGTAGAAAGCTGAAACTGGATCCCTTCCTTACACCTTATACAAAAATCAATTCAAGATGGATTAAAGATTTAAACGTTAGACCTAAAACCATAAAAACCCTAGAAGAAAACCTAGGCATTACCATTAAGGACATAGGCGTGGGCAAGGACTTCATGTCCAAAACACCAAAAGCAATGGCAACAAAAGACAAAATTGACAAATGGGATCTAATTAAACTAAAGAGCTTCTGCACAGCAAAAGAAACTACCATCAGAGTGAACAGGCAACCTACAAAATGGGAGAAAATTTTCACAACCTACTCATCTGACAAAGGGCTAATATCCAGAATCTACAATGAACTCAAACAAATTTACAAGAAAAAAACAAACAACTCCATCAAAAAGTGGGCGAAGGACATGAACAGACACTTCTCAAAAGAAGACATTTATGCAGCCAAAAAACATGAAAAAATGCTTATCATCACTGGCCATCAGAGAAATGCAAATCAAAACCACAATGAGATACCATCTCACACCAGTTAGAATGGCAATCATTAAAAAGTGAGGAAACAACAGGTGCTGGAGAGGATGTGGAGAAATAGGAACACTTTTACACTGTTGGTGGGACTGTAAACTAATTCAACCATTGTGGAAGTCAGTGTGGCGATTCCTCAGGGATCTAGAACTAGAAATACCATTTGACCCAGCCATCCCATTACTGGGTATATACCCAAAGGACTATAAATCATGCTGCTATAAAGACACATGCACACGTATGTTTATTGCGGCATTATTCACAATAGCAAAGACTTGGAACCAACCCAAATGTCCAACAATGATAGACTGGATTAAGAAAATGTGGCACATATACACCATGGAATACTATGCAGCCATAAAAAATGATGAGTTCATGTCCTTTGTAGGGACATGGATGAAATTGGAAATCATCATTCTCAGTAAACTATCGCAAGAACAAAAAACCAAACACTGCATATTCTCACTCATAGGTGGGAACTGAACAATGAGATCACATGGACACATGAAGGGGAATATCACACTCTGGGGACTGTTGTGGGGTGGGGGGAGGGGGGAGGGATAGCATTGGGAGATATACCTAATGCTAGATGATGAGTTAGTGGGTGCAGCACAGCAGCATGGCACATGTATACATATGTAACTAACCTGCACAATGTGCACATGTACCCTAAAACTTAAAGTATAATAAAAAAAAAAGAAAAAAAAAAGAAAAATGCCTTCAGGAAGAGCCAGGACATGAACACATGTTTTCTTAGGATAGACGCCACAAGTAACCATATAAGCTGTTGATGATAATTCAACTAATGTTTTAAAAATTGGTAAAGGCTGAGTATGGGTTAAGATAAGATTATGGAATCCCTGCAAGCCACAGAGAAATGGGAGTTCACACTATTCACTGGCTCTTCTCAATAGACTACAAATTTCATCAGGTGTTCACAAGAATGATTGGAGGCAGGGTGAGAATCCAAGAAAAATTTACTCATGGCTCATATTTCAAAGAGAAAAATAGCAGCCTGTGTAGCATTGGAATAAAGCCATAGATTCTTCACCCTACCTCTTCTATAGCGCACATAGCTTAAGCTTGTAAGAAAAAGACAATAAACAATGTTGGCCTTGGGACAGTGGTGAAGATCCACTGCATCTGGAGAGAAGAAATAAACATAGACTCTCTATCTCTGAAAGAAAGGCAACAATACATGCTAAGCTCAGATAAACAGCTCTCTTGCAGTTTAGGAAAGGGCAGTATCATGGAGAAGGCACCACTATCAGGGTATTCAGGAACACAATGCCTATCTGAAACTGAGCCTCAATCCAAACAACAGAAAACACTCTGCTCCTCTCCTCAGTCAGCAGCAGGTTCTTGCTATGAGAGGACAAGAGCATGTGAAAAAATCATCTTATAGCATCAGAGAAAAGAAAAGACCTAAACCTGATAGTGGAGCAAATCCTGAGGAACATCATCTTGCACATGAGTCTCCAGTCTAAACACAAGTTACCTCTAGAACTTAAATCTTATTGTGCAGGAAAGGTAAGTTATATAGTTTGGATATTTCTCCCCTCTAAATATCTTTTGGAAATGTAATCCCCAGTGTTGGAGGTGAGGCATGTAGGAGATGTTTGAATCATGAGGACGGATCCCTCATACATGGCTTAGCACTGTCCCCTTGGTGATGAGTGAGTTCACACAAGATCTGGTTGTTTAAAAGGGTGTGGCACCTCCTCCCTCTCTCTCTTGGTCCTGCTCTTGTCATGTGACATGCTGGCTCCCTGTCACCTTCTGCCATAACTGTAAGCTCCCTGAGGCTTCACCAGAAGCAGATGTCAGCATCATGCTTTCTGTAAAGCCTGAAGAATCATGAGTCAATTAAACATTTTTTTTCTTTTTTTTTTTTGAGACAGAGTCTCACTTGGTTGCTCAGACTGGAGTACAGTGGTACGATCTCGACTCACTGAAACCTCTGCTTCCTGGCTTCAAGCATTTCTCCTGCCTCAGCCTCCTGAGTAGCTGAGATTACAGGCGCCCACCACCAAAAAAAAAATAACCCAGCCTCAGGTATTCTTTACAGTAATGTAAGAATGGTCTAATACAGAAAATTGGTACTGAGGAGTGGGGCATTGCTATAAAGATACCTGAAAATGTAGGACCAACTTTGGAACTGGGTAATAGGACTGAGATAAGAAGAGTTTGAAGAATGCAGAAGAAAGTAGGAAGATGAGGAAATGTTTGAAACTTCTTAGAGGCTAGTTAAATGATTGAGACCAAAATGCTGAAAGTGATATGGACAGTGAGGTCCAGGCTGATGAGGTCTCAGATGGAAATGAGGAACTTATTGAGAACTGGGGGAAAGGTCACCCTTGTTATGCCTTAGCAAAGAATTTGGCTGCATTGTGTTTATGCTGTAGAGATATTTGGAAGCCTGAACTTAAGAGTGATGACTTAGGATATGTGGGAGAAGAAATTTCTAAGCAGCAAAACATTTAAGATGTGACCCGACTGCTTCTAACAGCTTATACTCAGATGCAGGAGCAAAAAAAAATGACTTAAAGGTGGGATTTATATTTAAAAAGAAAGCCAAGTATAAAACTTTGGAAAATATGTAGCTTTGCAATGTAGTAGAAAAGGAAAGCTCATTTTCAGGGGAAGAATCTAAGCAGGCGGCAGAGTGCCCACTTGCTGGAGAGATCAGCATGATTAAAAGGGAGCCAAATGCTAATAGCCAAGACAATAAGGAAAGGCCTGAAAGGCATTTTGGAGATCTTCAAGGCAACCCCTCTCATCACAGGCTCAGAGACCAAGGAGGAAAGAATGATTTCATGGGCCAGACCCAGGTCCCCACTGACCTGCACAGCCTTAGGACACTGCTCTCTGCATCCAGGCCACTCCAGTTCCAGCCTCACTCAAAAGGCCCCAGGTACAGTTCAGGTCACAGCTCTGGAAAGCACATTCTGTAAGCCTTGGTGGCTTCCATGTTGTATTAAACCTGCAGGTATTTAGCACACAAAAGTAAAAGAGGCTTGGCAACTTCTACCTAGATTTCAGAGGATACATGAGAAAGCATGGGTGGCCAGGCAGAAGCCTGTACAGGAGCAGAGCCCCCACAGAGAGCCTCTGCTAGGGTAGTGCCAAGGAAAGATGTGGGATTGGAGCCTCCACACAAGTCCTCACTGAGACAACTGCTTAGTGAAGCTGTGGGAATGGGGCCTCTACCTTACAGCCCCTAAAATGGTAGATACACTAGCAGCTTACATCCTGAGCCTGGAAAAGCCACAGGCATTCAACTACAACCCATGAAAGCAGCAACACGGGCTTCGCCCAGGGAAGCCACAGGAGTGGGGCTGCCCAAGGCCTTAGGAGCCCACCCCTCATTCAGGGCAAAGAATCAAAGGCGATTATCTTGAAACTTTAAGATTTAATGACAGCCCTGCTGGATTTCAGACTTGTGTGGAGCCTGTAGCCCCTTTATTTCGGCCAATTTGACTCCCTTTTAAAATGGAAATGTTTAATCAGTGCCTGTATCTCCATTGTATCTTGGAAGTAAATAATTTATTTTGATTTTACAGGCTCATAGGTGGAAGGATATGTCTCAGATGAGACTTAGGACTTGATGTTGGAAAGAGCTAAGACTTTGGGGGACCTTGGGAAAAGATGATTGTATTTTGCCATGTGAGAAGTACATGAGATTTGGGGGCCAGAGGGAGAATGATATGGTTTGGATGTTTGTCCCCTCCAAATCTAATGTTGAAATCTAATCCTCAGTTTTGGAGGTGGAATCTGGTGGGAGGTTCCTGAATCATCATGGGAGCAGATCCCTCATGAATGGCTTAGTGCCATTCCCTTCATAATGAGTGAGTTCACATGAGATCTGGTTGTTTAAAAGAGTGTGGTATCGCCCTCCACTCTTTCTCTTGCTCACTCTCACTATGTGACATATTGGCTGCCTGTCATCATCTGCCATAATTGTATGCTTCCTGTGACCTCACCAGAAACAGACACCAGCAAGTTGCTTCCTATAAAACCTGCAGAACAGTGAGCCAATTAAACTTCTTTTTATAAAATAAATTCCCCAACCTCAGGTATTTCTTTACAGCAATGCAAGAATGGCCAAATACCATAAGCATATCAGTAATAAATCCCAAACTGAGCTTAATTTCTGACTTAAATGACTCAAACCAAAGACTATCTTCCCCCAAAATCCTGGCAAAATTCACAGTATACCCAATTGATTCATAAAAATTACATATATCAGTCTTGTCATATAAAAATATTATGAGGTATACAAAAAATAAGACACAAAGAAATAAAACATATTGTCAAGGGACAACGCGATCAATGGAACCAGACTCAGAAATGAAATAGATGTTGAAAACGTCAGGGAATTTAAAACAGCTGATTAAGATATTAAAGACTCTAGTGAAAAAGATACATAAATTGCATGATCAGGTGAATTAGCAGAGAGATCAAAATTTTAAGAAAGAATTAATTGCAAATGTTAGAAATGAATAAAACTGTAACAGAGATGAAGCATGCCTTTGATGGGCTCATCACTAGATTTGATGCAACTGAAAAAAAAATTAGAGAACTTGAAGGTAGGTAATTAGAAATTATACAATCTGAAATACAACATGCAAACAGCAAGAGTAGTGGAAAAAATAATAGGTCATCCAAGAGCTATTCAAAATATCAAACTATTTAACATTCAGTACATGTCTTTGGAATTCCAGAGAAGAGACAGAATAGGACAAAAGAAATCTTTGAAGAGATAATGGCTGAAAATTTTCTAAAATTAATGAAAGACATTAAATCACATATCCAGAAAGCCCAGAGAATATGAAACAGGATAAACACACACACATACGCGCGCACACACACACACACACACACACACACCACTATATATATTATATTTGAACTGCTGTAGAACAAAGGCAGAAATAAAATCTTTAAGGCAGCAAAGCTAAAAAAAAAAGACATATTATGTCAATAAAAACAAAGACTTTTGTCAGAAGCTATACAAGCCAGAAGATAATGGAGTAACATCTTTAAAGTCTCGAGAGGAAGAAAAAAAATACTGTAAAGTAAAAATTCTATCCATGGTGAAAAGAAAAATTTTCTAATGAAGGAATCATAAAACATTTTTAGTCAAACAAGAACTGACAGAATTTATTGCCAGCATGCCTGCAGCACAAAGGAAGTTCTCTGGGCAGAAGGAATTAACCAGACAGAAATTTGGGTCTATGAAAAGAAATGGAAACTCCTAAAAATGGCATATCAAAAAGTACATATAAAACCTTTAAAAATTATTTTTAATTATTCAAAAAGGTTATTCAAAAATCTACAGTAAAATAATAGCAATATGTATATTCTTTGTATAGCATGTATAAAAGTAAAATGACTGACAGTAGCACAAATGTTGGGAGGAAGGGAGCGGGAGTCACTCTCGTTTAAGGTACTTAAACTACACCTGAAGTGGTATCATTTTATTTCTTTTTCTTTTTATTTGAAACAGAATCTCATCTGTTGCTCACTCGGAGAGTGCAGTGGCATGATCATAGCTCACTGCAGCCTTGAACTCCTAGGCTCAAGTAATCCTCCCACCTCAGCCTCCCAAGTAGCTGGGACTGGAGGCATGTGCCACCACACCTGGCTAATTTTTATTTAGTTAGTTACTTTTAGAGATGAGTTCTCATTGTGTTGCACAGGCTGGTCTGAAATTGCTGGCCTCAAAAAATCCTCCTATTTCAGCCTCCCAAAGAGCTGGGATTATAGATGTGAGCCAGCCCTGTTCGTATTTGAAGATATAGATGTTGATTAGCCAAAGATGCATACTATAAACCCTACGGCTACCACTGAAAGCATTTTTAAAAAGAGATATAAGTACATAATCCAAAGTGGAGATACCATGGGATTCTTAATACTCAATTTGAAAGAAAGTGGAAAGTAAGAAAAAAATAAAGATGGAGCAAATAGAAAATAGCTAGCAAAATAGCAGATATTAATCAAAGTATATCATATAATTAGAGTAACCATAATCAAAACACACATAGGTGTATTAAAAGATGGAGATTATCAGACTGGATAAAAAAGCAAGATGCAATGTTATGTTTTCCATGTCTTCAGATAGAAAGACATACTAAGGTTTAAAGTAGAAGCATGAGAAAAGATATAACATTCACAGACTAATTTTAAAAATTTAAGTAACAATACTGCATCAGACTAAGTAGGCTTCGAAATAGAGAACATTGCCAGGGATAAAGAGGGGAATTACATAAAGGGGTTTCTTCCCCAAGAAGACATAACAATCCTAAATGTTTAATCACCTAACAATAGAGCTTTCAAATATGTGAAATAAAAACTGATAGAACTGAAAGGAGAAATAGACAAATCTACAACTAAAGTTGAAGTCCTCAACACTTGTCTCTCAGTAATTGATAGAACAAATATTAAGAAAGTCAATAAACATACAGAAAAGCTAAACAACACCATCAGCAAAGTTGACCCAATCGACCCTTACAGAGCAATCCACCCAGCAACAGTAGAATACACATTCTTTTCAATGTGCATGGCAAATTTACCAAGACAGACCAAATTCTAGGCCATCAAAAGATTTTATTTGCTTTTGAAATACGTGCTTACAGGCAGATCAAGTTTGGATTATAAAGCAAAGATCTATCTAATATATAGATATATCAGAAACTAAAATAAGCCATATCACTGTGTAATTAATTCCCCACCAGCAGACACATTAGAGGAAGCTTTGATGACTACACCCAGATATTATAAGTAGGAGAGTGACTTTTCTGACTTTTAGTACTATAAAACCATTATTCAAATTAAACCATATAGAGAAGACTAAAATATAAAACAGATACAAGGAGAACCACTGTAAGTGTGAGTCTAATTGATGTACCCTCAGACTCTACAGTGGGCCTGAGATATACCACAAGTTATCTAAGACTCTACTTACCATGACTTTAAACTACCAGAAGAGAGAATTTAGGTAGGTTGTGTCTATTAATATACCTTTATCTGAAATTTTCTTCAGTCATCATTCTCCATACCTCTAGCTGACTGTGTCCTCACTCTCCTAAATCCTCTATAGTCTTTGTTCTGTAAACCAGCTTCACTCTAGATAATAAGATAGGTCCTTGAATAAGTGTGCCTGTGTTCAATTTTCTCTATATAGTTTTCATAGTTGATAATGCTAAGAAAATTCCATAACTTTTCAGTCTTTGTTACTTGACATGAAAAGTGGGGATACCAACAACATCTATCACAAGAGATTTTCTTTCAGTGAAGTTTTTGTAAGTTTTTTAATTCAAATGAAGCATTGAGTTAATGCATATGAAACAGTTAGAATAGTGTCTGACATATAGCAAAAGTTTAATAAATATTAGTCATTATTTTTATCAGTCATCAGCAGCTTTTTGGTGTGCAAATAGAAAGAGCTTTGAAAATGGATAGATATGGGTTCAAGTTCAGCACTGCCAATTAATAGCTCTGTGAGCACAGGCAATTTACCTCCAAATTTTTACTTTAATGTCCTCATTATTTGTTCCAAACCCATTGATTGAGCTCCTGCCATGAGCTTGCTACTCTTCCTTGTTCCTTTTGTACAAAATTTGGGTAAAGAGGATTCAAGGAGCTAAAGGATGCAAGTAAATTACTTGGGAGTGAATTGGAGGGTGCCGAAAAAATTAGTATTGCCTAGGTCATCTCTAGGTCCTAGGTCTAAGATATAAAACTATCCATTGAGAATGCAATATTTTATATGTTCCTCTATCCCTTGAGCTTATAAGACAACCTGAGACATAATTCGTGTCAATAACTGCTTGCTGATAAAAATGTAATTGCCATCCAAATTGTGGTAATAGAGCATGTGGGAATATGATGTTCTTTGTGGGACCCAATGAACTATGGGCCCATCTATTCATAGTATAGTCAGAAATAGGACTCTAATACATATTGCAGTTCTTCACATCTCAAGACCTAGCATAAAATCTGTATTTTTATATTTATTACCATTCATTCATTTGGATATGTACTTGCTAGAAAGAAAGTTGAAGAAGGTGCAAAAAAAGTATGAGGGAAAACCTCCAAATTGAAAAAATATATTTTTTAAATTTGTTTATTCTCTCTTCTGTAAACTTGGAACAGATCATGATGATGAAGTATAGCCAAAGACAACCCCAAGTAAATTTTTAAATAAGCTACTGTGCAGAGATGAAGTTTGAGAGTCACCATTGGACCTAAATTCAGCAGCTTCTAGCATTTGATTGACAACAATGAATGTTTCCCATATGTGATATCACATAGTTAAGCCCCCACCTCCCCGCAAAAGATTATGTGTGCTGTCGCACTCTTCTTTTTTAAAAATAAATATTTCTTACCCTCGAGGCCTCTCCAGACTTCCTATTTTGGGCAGTTTACACCACTTGACCCTTTCTGATTATTCTTGTCCCTCAACAGCAGACTTAAGATACAAACCTCCCTCTCTCATTATACTCCTCCTCTTTCAATCCTTATGAATGTGCCATTTACAATATTACCTTGAGTTAGGTGGATATCTCTTTGCATCTCTTATCCTAACTGCATTATGTGTGAAACTTGTTGAGACTTTAAGAATGCATTTTTAATAGGATAATAGTCTTTCCTAGTCATCCTGAGTACTCAGCATTCCCCAAAAGTGCCATGTGCTCACTCTCATATCTGGGCAGCTCTGAACATGCTCTTCTTTCTACTCATCATTCTCTATTTTATCTGCCCTGGCTAGTGAACGCTTCACATCCCTCACAACTTGGTTCAAGCATCTGTTTTCTGCAACGACTTTATATCTTAATATGTCAGTGACAGCGCTGGACTGCTTTGTCAACAGTCGCTGTGGTAGGCAGAATAATGCTCCTCCAAAGTCATCCAGGTCCAAATTCCAAGAACCTGTGAATGTGTCAGCTTACATGGCAAAACGGATTTTACAGATATGATTATATTAGGGATCATGAAATAGGGGGATTTTTCTGGATTATTAAGATGGGCCAAATGTAATCAGAAGGGCCTTATAAAGCAAAGAAGTAGGCGAGAGAGAGTCAGAAATGATGGAAGCAGAGTTAGAGTAATGTACTTTGAAGATGGAGGCAGGTGCCACACCATGAGCAGGAATGTTGCAGTCTCTGGAAGCTGAAAAAGGCAAGGAAACAGATTCTCCCTAGAGCCTCCAAAAGGAAAACAACTCTGCCAGCAGCCTGAGTTTAGCCCAGCAACATCAGTCATCTGACCTCCAGAACTAAGACCATAAATATGTCTTGGCTTAAACCAAATTTTTCATAACTTGTTACAGCAGCATTAAAAAAACCCAAAATGGCCGGGCACGGTGGCTCACACCTGTAATCCCATCACTTGGGGAGGCTGAGGCAGGTGGACCATGAGGTCAGGAGTTTGAGACCAGCCTGGCCAAGATGGTGAAACCCTGTCTTACTAAAAAAAGAAAAATTAGCCAGGCGTGGTGGTGTGTGCCTGTAGTCCCAGCTACTCGGGAGGCTGAGGCAGAAGAATTGCTTGAACCCGGGAGGTGGAGGTTGCAGTGAGCCGAGATTGTGCCACTGCACTCCAGCCTGGGCGACAGAGCGAGACTCCATCTCAAAAAACAAACAAACAAAACAAACAAACAAACAAAAAAACCCAAAAGAACCTTAAAAAAAAACCCCCGATTGTTTTAGGGAATGAAGACCATTCTTGTGTGGTCTTTTTATCTAGTTAAATGCCTATTTTCCTTAACTATTAGTACAGGGTAAAATAAGGGCGGCTTAGCAAATTAATTATGATTAACAAATAAATACAGGGATAATTCACTGGACAATTGTTAGAAGAATAATTAGAAGTTGGATGGAACAGTGGACGGTGCTACAGACTCAGGGTCAGAAACATGAATTACAATTTTAGCTCTGCCACCTGCATGGAGATGAATCATTTCACCTTTGAATCTAAGCTTCTTTACCTACAAAAAGAAATCAAGATATTCTTTGGTCTCTGAGGTACCTTCCAGCCACAAGACTATGTGACCATATGCCAGGGAATTTTTGGAAGACATGCCTGAACCGGGTCAGGGGTTGGACTGATGACCTCAGAGGTCTCTTCCAACTCAAAGATTCAATGACACAGACACAGCAGGATGCATCTTGTGTAGAAAGTATTTCTAAGACAACTGATTTTTCTGAGTCTCCTGGGAGGAGGGGAAGTCCTCTGGGAGCAAACAAAGGCACCAGTAGCTTTGGGTCAAGCCCTGCTTCAGATTCGGGCCAAAGACAACAAGAATGCCACAAAGAACATCAAAGGGCAGAATCTGGCCCTGAAACAAGAAGAGGGATGGAGGGGAAGTCATGATCTGCAGTAAAACAAATAAATAACCTGTAAAATCACATCTGCAGACGCTCTAACGTTCTTAAATGCTTTCCAATAAGCTTTGCTGGTAGCATGCCACAAAGCCTGTCCAAGAGGATTTACAACAGATGGAGGCAGGGAATACTGACCTAGGCCTGATTCTGCTACTAACCAATTGGGTGACCTTGGGATCATCATTTCACTTCACTGGGCTGTAAGTTTCTTATTTCAAAGTAAGAGGACTAAATTAGATGACTTCTGACCTCCCCTCTAGCCTCAAAATCTTACTACCTTCCAGCCCAAGCAGTAATCATGGATTCTCAAAAGCACAATGGTTAGTTTGGTATTAAACAAGCAGTCATTTGCAGGAAAGGAAGGAAGGGAGGGAGAAATGGAGGGGAGGGCTATAGGATTTTTTTTTTCCTTCTTAAACAATTTCCTTATTGTTTCCTCCTGTTTATGCAAATGCTCAAAATTAGCAATGACCACTATCCTTTCAAATGACCCTGCTCTAGATAAAGTTGTATAGATCAGGCTTTGAGCTGCTGCTGTCTGTCTGTTCTTAGGCAAACTTCAGGCGCCGGCCTCCCAAGCATGAAACCCCAATCCCAAGATAATGCGTGGAATACTTAATCCTCCTTTGTCCTTGGCTTTCCAGTGTGGGAATCCAGCAAGATGGAGCACCGAGCCATCTCCTAGATTTCCCATTTTAGGACAGGTCTTGGAATAGTTTATGATGTAACTGTTTCTACCGCATTTACTTCAGACCGTCTCCTATCTAAGCCAAGATTGTTAGAGCAAGAACTTTTAGTTTTTTGAGAAAGGCCCAAAAACAAAAATTAAAATAGGAGATGGTTTATATTTGCCAGATGTTAAAAGGTGTTCTAAGTTTGAACTTCAATAAGTTTATAATTTTACCACGCCCAATCCTCCAGCGGCTCCCCAGATACCATATAAACACAAAGCCAACTGTGCCCATGGGATCATTTTTAGTTCCTAGACACCAGGATATAGTTACCAGGGAAGAATGGAGGAGAATTGTAAGGATAATAAAGTTTGTTCCAAGAGCTAATTGTAAGTAATTCCATGTATTTGTAGAATGCTTTAAAGCAGAGTTTCCCCAAATATGGTATATATACATGTACTATTATACAATATGCAAAATAATTTTAGGTGGGATATATTGACTATTTCACCCAAGACTTATATCTTGACTTTTCTTATCCCTTGCTGATGGGCATTCCTGCTCTCAGAGTGTAATCCCAGGAAGAAATGCTATAAAACTTAAAATGAGGAAGACACATATTCCATTACCATGTTTCCTGAAAGATCTGTCACTTCCAAATTGCTGGCTTACTCCGCTGCAGTAACACCATGACTCCATCTACATGGCAGTTTCCATTTCCTAAATCCTATTAATCATCCCTAACTTTCCAAGCATCCCCTCATCCCCAAAGCAGCTTTATATCTCTTCAAGCTCTCCCAATTTTTCAGCTTTGACCCTTATGTGATGTCCTTAAACTAAATGTTTCTCGAAACCCCTGGCTCTAGTTTTTCAGTCACGGCCTCTTTCTAGCTTCAGTGCCCCACCCTACCATTCAATCAAAAGCCGCCATCCCGTTCTACTCCAACCTTCCTTCTCAGATTGCAGTTCACTTCTTTCAGTGAGTCAACCTGCTGCCTTGGATCTTCCTCTCCCTTACTCATTCCACTCATTTCATGCCAATGTCTTGAGCCAACACAATGAAAAACTGGTCCCCAAGCCCAAGATCCATTCCTGTCTGCTCTTCCTGAACACATTCATGAGCAATGCTTTCTCTCTTAGGCCATGATCGTTTCTATAGTTTGCTCCTGTGTTTTTTTTTTCTTTCCATTAATTTCCCTTTATAAATAAATGTATTTAAGCAAAAAAGAAGTAAAATGACTTAATAAAAGTATATTTACTAAATACTAAATAACAGTGAAAGTGATACGTGGATGTGGTCAAAATTTGGATGACTAAATGAATGACAGCTTAATGAAGACTGTCGTAGAATTACAGAATATTCTCTTTGTTTTTAAAATCTGTTTTTGGCTATCCTGTAACGGCAAGAAGGATGGGAATAATTAATCCACTGTTCAGACAAGAAAGCTAAAACTCAGAGTTTGTATGAATTTCTAATACCATGCAGCAAGCAGCTGGTAGATGCAGGACTAAAATGAGAGCCTGCTGACTCCAAATCCAGTGACACTCTCCACGCACATGTCCTTAAATACAATTTCTTCTTAGTTGAAGATATAGATGCCAGGCATAGACTCCAGGAAAGGGTACCTCCCGGGAGTAAATATGCATAAAATATATATAAATATTCATCTCAGATAGTTTGAACATGTGTCAAATTAATAAGCAGTATGATCTATAGCCAAGGAAAAGATAGCAAATCACTGAAATGTAAATAAGGTTCCATTAAAGAATGTGGCAGAAATATGGAACACAAACGTAACTCCAGGAAAATAAGACTCCTACAAATTCAAATAGTAGATGTTTAAAAGGATATGTTGCCAAAAGATAAAAAATGCAGTTCCTGAATAAAGTCAAAAGAACCCAGGTTAAATCCCAGCCCCTTCGCCTACCTGCTGAGTGATGCTGGCAATAGGCCTAATATCTGTGTTTCTTTACCTTTAAGAAAGTGACAATAACAGTATCTAGCTCCTAGAGCTGCAGTGAGGATTGAGTGAGATAATTCTCTTAAGAATAGTAGCACAGAAAATGCCCAGTTAGACATGGCGGCTTGAATCTATGCTTTTACTCCGTTCTTTTATGCAAACCAATAAAATGATTGTAAAGGAATGAAGAAATGATATAAACTTACAAGAACAAAGAGGATTGGAAAGGTAATGACATCAGTTGTGAGATGTCAACTAAATTGTTAACTATGGGAAACAAAAGGATAGAGGTAGCCAACTGATGAGAGCAGAGCAAGCTGAAAACTAAGTCCATATTAGGGATGTCAAAATCTAGTTAACATCAGAAGACCCAGAAAAGATAATGGCTCATTGGCATCCAGTGTATTTGAAAGGGGAGAAAAATGAGAGGGTTGATTGACAATATGTGTAAGGAAGAGTTAGAACCACAGATTCACTGTCTAGTCCTAATAGCCAAATAACTCCTTCCCCAACACTTACTATCTACAGAGGCTCTATTACAGAAGACCAGAGAACATGGAGACACTAGGACTATCTGAGGGTGGATACAAGAAGATATATCAAAAATGTAATTTTAATTACATTTTTGTAATGTAAAATTAAGTCAAAATATACATTTTGAAAAGTTCTATTTATGATTTTTCCCTGACACTGTCATTCAGGTCTCTATTCTCCAACTGTGACACTGGAGAATTCTTCTCCATGGAGACTATCCGTCTCAGGAGGAAAACAAACATGCAGATACTATCACAATAAAATGGCAGATCCTCTTCTCATCACTCTATGGTGAGGTCAACCAGTTGACAGCCTCAGTCACATACACAGCACCTCTAATTAACTTTCCAGTGCTCCATTCTAGTTATTAGTGGAGTGCCAAAAATCGTAAAATAATTGAGGAAAATCTTGAATATATAAAACAGAGAACAAGGTAAGCATTTACAAAATAAAAATATCCTTGGAATTGTTGTGAAAGCAAATATTAAAGTGTCAAGAAAAAGGGAGGATAATTGGAATACTGCGTTGAAGAACTCTTCAGAAATTTGAAAAAATAAAAGTTGATGAGATAGACAATACTGGAGAAAGGTAAGAAAATTAGACAATCCTCTGGGGGTCTAATATCTAACAAATATTAGTTCCAGGAAAAAAAAATGACAGATTAGATGGGAGGAAATTATCTAGGAATTTTTAAAAAATATGCACAGAACCAACATATATGGGTTTCTAGACTAAAGGGATTTAACAAGTTTCCTACGTCATGAAAGAAGAAAGATCCACATCATGGGGCATCATGACAAAATTTAAAACTCCAAGAATAAAAAGATACTAAGCGATGCAATAGAATAAAAAATTGCCTTTAAAGCATGAAAGGTTACAATGACATTGGGCTTAATAGCAACATCAAAAACTAGAAGACAATGGAATAATATTTTCAAACACCTGAGCAAAAATGGTTTCCAACCTAGAATCCTATACCCTTAGTCCAATGTGTGAGGAGATAACAAAGACATTTTTAGACACTCAAGTTTCCCAAAACTGTTGTCTATCAGACAGCCTTACTCAGAAAGCTGTTGGGAATCATATACCATCAAAGTAAGTCAGCTGGGAAAGAGATCTAGAAAACAGGAGATTTTTCCCTAGGGGTACTGACAGTTCACTGCTATTGCTAACCTTTGGGGTACTGAACACTCCCATGTGTATGTCTCCAAACCTTTGCATAGAGTCCATTTATAAAACTCTCCTCTGTTACCCAGTGTAAGTTTTGTATCTGTCTGCTGCATGACTGATATATACTTGATATGCATAATAAATGCATATTTAACAAAGTCTAACACAACTAAGCAGATTGGGGGATTGTCAATGAGTTCAGTTTTTCATGATCCCCATTGCTTTGGAGAGACTTGCTCGAACAGGAAGTATTCTGCCAGTCCATAGGGAAGGCCTTCCAGGTGCCAGAAAGCCCCAGAGAGATTCTCTCATGCTCCTAACTACCCAGAAACTCCATGTAGGCAATTATTCTGTACTTGTGTTTTATTGCTCTAAGACAGACTCACACAAAGTTAGCAGTTTAAAATTACACCTATTTGTTAGTTTACAGTTTACATGAGTCAGCAGTCTGAGCATGGCCTAGCTAGGCTCTGTGTTTAGGGACTCACAAGCTCGAAATCATAATGTTTACCAAACTCAAGCTCATCTCATCTGGAACGAGGGATCCTCTCCCCAGCTCATTTAGTTTGTTGGCAGAACTCAGTTCCTTGTTGCTGTAGGACAGAGGCTCCCATTTCCTTGCTGGCTGCCATCTGAAGCTGCCATTCTTGGCCACTAAAATACACTCTATTTGTTGCCACATGGCTCCCTCTGTCTTAGCCAGCAGTGGAGAGTCTCTATCATGTTGAATATCTCTTATGCTTTGAGTCTCTGACTTCATTTGTCTCTAATCTGTAGATCCAGATTTAAAGAGCTCATGTAATTGGGTCAGGCCCACCTGCATAATCTCCCTTTCAGTGCACTCAACTGATTAGGGCCCCCAATTACCTCTATAAAATCCCTTTTGCCACATATCATCATATTAACAGGTCATTTCACACTTAACAGGAGGGGATAATAAAAGGGTATAGGTTATTAGCAGTTGTCTTCAAATCCTGCCTACTGTACATTGCCTTTAGCAAGCCATGTTGCCTGGCTCCAACACCCAGGATCTAGGTGCCATACTGCCAGTGCCATCTTGCTGCATTGTGTAGAGGTTACTGAATTGGCCAGGACATGCGTGGAGTCACATTGCAACTAAGTGGATGATGATGACTGGGCTGTGGGCATGGGCAATGGTTGAAGGCCTGAGAAGGCCTAGACAGAGTAGGACAGAACATAGCCACTTTTTTCTTTATGGAGAACTTAGAGCAATAGTTTTCATGCATAGCCCCCCTCCCTAAGACAAACTTACATAGTACCCATGATGATTCCCACCTCACAAATGAGAAAACTGAGGCTCTACAGGATTGGGCCAATGTCCAAAGTTACCCAGAAAGAATTGGTAAGCTAGGATTCAAGTGAAGATATGTAACATTCCAAAGCCCTGGCTCTCAGTGACTAAGGTCTAAGACCACCCAGATAGTTTTGTGTTATAAATCCTACCTTCCCTTCAACAGTCCTTCATTGCCATTTGCCTGAACTTGAGCTACTTGACTGAACTTTTCCTTAGGATGAGTTCTTTCCCAGAAATGTCTAATGAATACTATTTCATGCAAATTGATCTCAGGTCCTCCAAAGATGATTGGAGAGTTGTGGATCTTTACACAGGGACACTGCTCAGCAAAGAGGCTATCATCACTTAAGACTGTCATTCATGCTCATCAGCGTGACCACACATTGAAATTAGTGTAATTTTAGCTAATACTAAAGAACCTTGAAATTTAATTAGTATGTGCAACCTAATCATTGATAAATGTGTTGGACTTTTGAAATATTTAAAATAGCTCAAATCTCCTATTATTACTTTGACAGACATTTAAGAACCAAAATAATCCATGATAAGGAACAATGCTCTATTTAAAGCTAATCGTTTTAAATTTGCAATTGTCCCAATAGAAAACTTTGCTTAGAATTGAACTCCACATCCCAATCCTAGAATAAAGAACCTAATGTATTCTGTAAAATTACCACAAGGCTCAAGATTCACAATAAAATTATATTGAGCAAATTGTGAGTGTGTGCAGCATTGAATCAAGTAGATGAATGATAAACTTCTTACTAAATTAATCAATAAGTGGGCCCCTCTTTAAAACTCTGAGAAAATACGAGATTGACTGGGTTTTCCATCTCATCATGTCAGTTCTATCATAAGACTTTTTATTATGTTTTATTTTTACTGAATAAAATTTCATACCCTTAGTAAGGACAGAAGGATGCTTGTGGCTTGGTTTCTACCTAGTTCTCCAGTTTTGTCTCCTGTATTTCCTTTTTTCCTTATTCAATGAACCAATATTGATTAACTGCCTAGTGGGCTAGAGATATAAAGACAAGCAAGACAGTCACCTGAGTGTTCCTCTTAGCTGTGCCTTTCTTGATACACCATACCTGTGGTTCCCAGAATATGCAGCTTGTTGTAGACTTGTCTGCCCTTGCGTGTGCCTCCCTGCTGTACTCCTCTCACTTCTCCATTCCCATCGTTCTGGTGACTTCTCAGCCTCAATATTGCTGCTTCTGTAAAGACTTTCTTGAATTCCATTCCTCCAGCTCCAGCAGCTTACCTTCCCCAGGCATTGCCTCCTTTGTGCATGACTGTACATCAGCATTTACCACATTTCTATAAGTGACTTCTACTGGCCTTCAAACTCATCTCATGCCATGCTCTCCACTCAATCCATACCGGCCTCCTTCATTTCTCTAATGCGCCAAGTTCTTCATGGCCTCAGATCGCCTACACATGCTGCTTCCCTGGACTGGACAGTTCTTCCCCCGCATTGCACTTACTCTAACTCACCTTTCAGGTCTCAGCTTGAATGTCACTTCTTCAGAAAGTCCTTCAGTGACTACCTAGTCTTATGCAAGTCCCCACTGTTATAGCTTCCATGACACCTTTTGCTTAATTCACAGTACTTACCACGATTTTAATTCATTTTTGTGTTTTTCATTCGTCTATTTATTCCACGAATATTTATTAAGCACATATCATGTGCCATGCACAACTCTAAAGGTGGGATATTGTGGAGCAACTATCTTCTCAGCTATGAGGAGAGATAGATAATGAACATATACAGAGATAAATAAATTAAATAATTTTAAGCAATGATAAATGTAATTGAGAGGATAATATAGGGTGATATTTCTGAGAGTAACCAGGAAGAGGATACTATTTTAGTTCAGAGAAGAAGTGAGCCAGGCAGAAATGAGGGGAGCTATTCCAAGTAGACAATATCATGAGCAAAGCCCAGGGATAGGAATGAGTTTGAAATGTTCAAGGGACAAAAGAAAGTTCAGTGTTTATGGACAATGGTGAATGAGCAGGGACAGAAGGGAGAGTGAGGACATCGAAGTCAGCAGTCGAGATCAAGTCATGTCAGGTCATACAGATCATGATCATAAGTCTGGATTTTATTCTGGGAACAGTGAGAGCTCTGGCAGATTTAAAGGAGGGGGATAGCTTACACTTTAGAAAAATTACTCTGACTGCAAGTAAAGACTGGACTATTAAAAGTGAGTTCAGGCAATCCAGATATGAAGCTATTTCAGGAGCTCAGGCAAGGAGAGACAGTGTCTTGGACTGTCACAGCAGTGAGATGGTGAAAAGTGGTTGGATTTGGGATCTATTGGAGACATAATTGATAAGATTTATTGATGGATTGAATGGGGGTTATAAGAAATGAGACAAATCAAGGTTTTTAGGTTTTTTGCCTGGGAAGCAGGGTGTATTGTGGTACTCAAATTAGGCAGAGAAGTCTGTGGAGAGGGAGATTCCTTTGGAAGACTTCAGGGGTTGGGATCATTGTCATTATTGTGGCCATGTGAAATGTGCTATGCCCTTTAGATTCCAAGTGAAGATATCTACTGGGTAGTTACATGAATGTATTTAACTTAGAATATGAGTTTTTGCTGGAGATGTAAATCTGAAAGTCACCAGTACATATAGAAGGTATCTCAAGCTGTGAACTACATGAGATCATAAGGTAAAAGGGGACAGAGAAAAGAAAGGGATTAGGACAAAGCCTTGGGATACTTTGACATATAGACATCTATTCAATTTGGGAAGAGCCAGTATGGGCATTGAGAAGGAGCAGCCAGAAAAATATGAGAAAAACCAAGAGATTGTTATAGCAGAGAAATTGAGCTATAGCTAGAAGATGACCTTACCAGGCAGGATTCTAGTAAAAGTTAGAAGGCACAGTCAAATTAAGATAATTCTGGGAAGGTTTATTCATTAAAGTACTGTGTATGAAGATATGTGCAGGGCACGGGCAACCTTAAGAGATGGCATTGTAACTCTGTGCTTTGAGTGCAGTTTCTAGGGGAGTAAATACTCTGATGCTATTCTCCTCTCTTCCTCCAATCTCCTGCAGAGGTGCTTATTTAGCAAATTCAACCTTAAACCTGAGTGCATGGAAACTATTGATGCAGTGTCCAAGGTGGAGAAAGGTCAGAGTGGATCCAGAGGAGCCAAGAGAAGACGTCCAGCATGGTGACCTGGGCTCAAGTCAAGGTCCTTATTTCTCTGGTAAGAGCAAGGATACTAAAACATGTTTGAGTGCTGATGAAATTGATCCCATAGAGAGAAAAATGTTGAGAGTACTGGGGAAAAGGGGGATAGTTGTAAGAATGAGGTATTTTAAAGTGTTAGAAGAATGAGATCCAAAGAGCAAGAACTGGCTTGTCTTAGAGAGGAGTAGAGACAGATCTTCAATTATCATGGGAAGGAATGTACAGATGGAGCTAGGGGCATAGAATCAGTGGAGGGAATTGAAGATAATGTCTATTT
This sequence comes from Homo sapiens, assembly GCF_000001405.40. NCBI lineage: Eukaryota > Metazoa > Chordata > Mammalia > Primates > Hominidae > Homo > Homo sapiens. The sequence goes on from NC_000008.11 coordinate 127,339,697, forward strand.
CATCTAATTTTTCAGTAAAGTATGAAAATAAAACATCAGCTCACGGGGAGAGGTCCTGGAGACTTAAGGAGAGAGAAGATATGCAATGATTATCTCAGAAAATGGAAAAGTAAATCTGCTATAGAAATGTTAGATTAACTGATATCTGAGTTAGATTATCTGGTAACCAAGTGCACGTGCAAAGTGAGTCCTGCGAGTAATATTGTGATATTTCAACTTCTCAGGAGCAAGCTCAGACTAAGTGATTGTTTGGATTTATCCAGTATTTATCTAGTCAAGAATGGCAAAAGGAGAGAAAGGAAAGAAAGATAAGTGGTTTTTCAAGGCACTGATCTTAATGATGGGTCATAAATTATAAGCTGGAAGGTGAGAGAAGTGAAGATGAGAAGGGAAACATACATACAGACAAAGCTGTAGAAGGGTGAGTGGATTTGAGATAATGATGTCAGTCTCCAGAGGGAAGATGCCAGAATGAATAAGCTACTAGGACAGAAGAGTACTGTATGCAAGTGGAATGTACTGAAATCAAGATTTTGAAGATGATGCAATTGCTGGAGATGACAAATCCTAGGGCATGACTATGTGAGTAGGTGGCAGAGGTGGGTGGAGGAAGAAATGGTCAGAGCTACTAGGCCAAAGAGCTAAAGGGCCAGAGTCATAGAGATTCCACCTTCATGAATGCTGAATTTGCCAAGAATGATATCGGACAGAGAGGAGAAGAGGAAGAAGTAAGCCAGACATTCAAGTTATCAGTCAGTTAATAACAACAAAATAATTACAGACACTTACATGGCACTTAAAATATACCAAACACCATTCAGTGTACTTCACGTGTATTACCTCATTTAATCTTCACCTCTACCCTATCCTCATTCTAAAGATGAATAACCTGGGTCCCAAAGTATTAATTAATCTTTTTTACTGTCATAACTAGTAAATGGCAGAGACTGAATCCAACCTAGGCAATCTGATTCCAGGGTCTATGACCTTGACCATGAGTTTCCTCTACTGCTCTAAAAAACAAACAAAAAAAATAATAAAATATGTAAGTAAAGTCAACACTTTCCTCTATGCCAAGTTCTTCTGGGTAATGAAGTCTAATGATGGGCTTCAAAAATGCTAGGATTTTTGGAGTAGGGAAAGACAACAGAGAGAAAGGAGTTAGCTTCCTCACCCCCAGGCCTCAAGTTATCTGAGGTGTGAGAGATGAAACAAACAGTCACCAATCACAGGGGAAGCTGCTTTATCAGGGAACAGAAAGTCTTCATTTACATCAAGGAGGTGATAGGACCAAGAAACTGTGGAACATATGGGGGTTTATTCATGTCTTATTGTGAATTCCAGTGTGCAGAGAAAGATGGGGATAGATTCAGATTTGATTCACTGTCAATTCCAGGGGTGGGGAACAGGAGTTTAGAAGGGCAGAAAGAGATGGGGATAGAGTCATATTTGGGAAGCCTAGAGGCATGTCCATTGATAAGAGATTAGATGGGAGCCTTGACCTCTGATGGTGACTAAGGAGGGAGGGATGAGAGGTGTAATGGTTATGTGATAAGTCCCAGCAGTCCAGGAGCATCAGTGATAGAAGTCCTGGGTTGGGGAGGGAGCTTTACCTGAATACACTGAGACCTGAGGGGCTTGCCATTGCTGAGATACACTGACAACTGGCAATATGCAATAAGGTAAGACCCTCAGGGCAATTTATCTGGTCCATAAACATATTTTATTGGTCTTTACACCCCCGGAACCCAGCAAGGTTCCCAGCACACAGTTGGTGCCTGTACTCTTTACACAGGTAGCAATGTCAACCTCTCTCATTTCAACTTGAATTAATATCCTCCATGCTCACCCAACTTGCCACACTGGGCTTGGTTGTGTTCCCAAACCTACCAAGCTCCTTCTCATCTGAGAGTTTATGTAGTTATTAACCCATCTACCTGGACACCACCACTCCTACTCAGCCAGTTCCTTATATGCTTGGCTCTTTCTTATCACTCAAACCTCTGCTCAAATGTTTCCTTTTCAGAGATGACTTGCTTGGCTTCTTATCTTCAGCATCACACCGCTGTGTACCTCATCATCATATTTTATTTCTTTTAGAGCACTTATCAACAATCACTTGTGTATTTGTTTGTGCGTGTGTACACTACTGGTTTCTTGTACATTTTCTGTCTGTCTGCACTAGAATGCCTGTGAAGGCAGAAGCATAATCTGTCTGCCTTATCTTCATGTCCTGACACTTAAAATGGTAAATGCAGTAAACATTCATTGAAAAACTGTTGAAAAAATATTTTGTTTAAATATCTTCCAGGTTTTCAAGCACAACAACCATTGTATATTTAAAAAGCCCCCATAGTTCATGAATAACCAGCCCTCTGTAGCCTGGCAAGATCAGGATCTGGCTCAATATTCCCGAGACAGCTCATCACACTACATCTGCAACTAACCGTGTGGTTTCAGTGGCCAAAGCTGAATAGCTCACAAAGGGGAGTAAGCAAGTATTTGGCAGGGTCATTTGCCAAAGAGTCATTGCCCCTAATTTAAAAGCAATTAATTATGGGAATTAAGGAAAAGAAATGGTGTTCATGTCCCTGGGCCACCTTTTCTGAATGACTCAGGCGGCCCAGGGCAAGTCAGGACATAAAAGTAAAAATAAGCCCTGTGCTCTGAAGCCACTGAGGCTTTGACAACAAAGCTGATGAGATGGCAGGTCACAGGTAAGGAGACCTGAGTGTAGAAGATTTTAAAGAGCATGCCTTTCAAAGTAAAGGGAACAGAGGAAGAAAATGATTTTTGTAATTACAATTTAAAAATACTGATTAAAAAAAACAAAATAACTTAGCATGGGTTAAAGAGAGACAAGATTTACAGCACTGGGAAAACCAAGGAGAACCCGTGCAAAGTGTTGTCATGGGATTAAGCTATTGAGATAAGCCCTTTCCAGCTCGAATAGAATGTATTAGTTTGAAAGCAAAGTGGGCTTTGTCTCTGCCACTTGGTCCATTTGATTTTTATTTTCTGGTCAACTTGACCTTTGAGTCTTACTCAAGTGATTTTTGACCTAGTTGTGGCATAGGGCCTGAAGCTATATAAAACAGTAACTTATTTGATTACATTGCTCAGCCACTATAAGATTCCTTCATGTTTTTCCCTATTTTTGAAAACGTTTTCTCACCTCAGCTAAACAAAACCGGTCTTTTCAGTTTATGGCTACAAACAACAGCTCGTATTGTTTTAGTACCTTCCACAGTTAAGAAATGAATTTAGCAATCATCCAGTTAATTCCCAACTCTCTGCCCATTTTATGGATGAGCAAAGTAAGCCCTAGAGTGCTGAAGGACCTGGCTCAAGAGCACAGCTACCAGGTGGCAGGTTGCAGGACAGAAAACCCAGCTGTTGAGCCAAGTAGACCCACATTTGAATCTATCTCCACTATTCATTACCTGTATGAAGGGACCGTAGCTTCTGTATCTGCAACAAACAAGACTATTTCCTTTGACTGAACCTCAGTTTCCTCATCTATAATATGGGGAAAAGTTCATGAATTCCGTAAACATTTATAATGGAGAAGCACTATCCTGGAATCTAGGGATGTAGATACAATAAAATAAAAAAAAAAGACACGTGGAATTTACTCTTTTGATAAATTGGTAACTATGAATCTCATCAAAAGAAAGCAGAACGCAGATATTCTGAGTAGGGGGTTTGGGGGAGAAATAAGAGTGATTCCTCCTATCTGCTGCTAGGGCCATAAAGACACTACACCAAGAGGAAGTGTAGGCTTGGCCAGGTCCCTGTTCCAGGCCCTGTTGAAAAGGCTGTTAGCTCTCTCTCCTTCACACCTTCAGACTCTATACACAGACAATATTCTCTGTGCCTTGGTGTGTAGTATTCTAGAATAATGGCTTCTATTCAGTAGGGGTTTGACACAGACATTTTTCATGTTATAGCTCATACAGAAAATTTAGTTTTCATAGAAATCTATAGCCCAACACACGGATAGGTAAATGTTTCTGTAAAGGCCAGATGGTAAATATTTTTGGCTGTGTGAATTACATAGTTTCTGTCACAGCTGCTCAACTCTGCCATTATAGCTAAACAGAAGCCATAGACAATGTGGCCAAGGACAAGGATGGTGAAGTTTCCATAAAATTTGATTTACAAAAATAGGCTATGGGATGGATTTGGCCCACTAACTGTTTGCCAACCCCTGGCCTAGCACAAAGTTAAAACTCAATAAATATTAACAGTAATTGATTAAATCAAAAACACATTTACTGAGCGCCTTCTATGTGCCAGGTACTATCCTTGGATAGAGGATAAAGTATTCAGTGACAGGACACAGTTCTTACCCTCATTGAGCTTACAGTCTAATTCCTAAATAAGTTGTTATGAAATACAAAGCAATATGAATGAAACAACTGTGGTTTTGAGATAAATAATAATCAGAAACCCAGATCATCTGACATCAAAGCGTACATTCTTATATTGCTTATAAGCTATTTGGGGATGAGAAATAAATCTATTCCTATCATATCATACTGATTATGTTATACTGACTAGCACAGTTCTGGGCACACATTAATCACTTCACAGAAAACGTGCTGACTTTAATATCATAGTAGGGGATTTGGGTTGTAACGGAGATGGAGAACTTTGTATATATGACTTTTCCATCTTTACAATCTTCTTTCACTTTGTAGATGCATTAAAAATTGCCTGGCTAACTGATGTGAGTAATATGTCATTGAGCCCAAGGCCATGGGGAATACTAAAGCAACCTGTTTAAATCCCAAATCTCAAATGACTTTGAAAAAAATTGTGGACTAAAAGCAGGAAATCATCCCAAGACCTTGTCTTAACCTAAATTCCCCCTAAAAAGTAAGACCTGGGATAGAGACTTTCAGAGAGTTTATTTTGGAGAAGTAACTTCAAGAAATGGGGGGTGGGAGTTGTGGAGAATGAAACAGGGAATGGACAGGTGCACTATGGAGCTAACACCACTGTGAGCATCTGGGGCTCAGTCCCACTTACAGACCCTCTGAGAAGCCTTGTAGAATGCTCTGTAGAATTGCTACCTAGGGGATAGAAGAGGGGATTACTTATCCACCACTTCACCTTCACTGGTCAAGGGTTATCCCAGAAGGTGCTACCTCTTCTGTACTCTGAGTTGCATATGCATCAGAATGACTGAGCAGGTTCCTTTAAGTACTGCATATTAGCCATGTCATAAAAGGCCCAGGGCAGAAAGCAAGACTTCAAGGGTGCGGCCAAGGCTAGATGCTGTTGGTTTGACCTGCGTGGTAACTGGTTATTTTAGCAATGGCTGGAGTAGAACATGTAGACCAAGAAGGTGTAAGATGGAACGCAAGAGCATAACAGTATTCAGGATACAGCAATATTCAGGGACATAGAAGTATTCAGGGATGCATCACAGAAAGTTCTATGCTTTGTTTGGAGTGAACACCCAACCATGTGTCTACCACCAGTTCTCACTTCCAAACTTCCTTCCTCAATTGAGATAATGATAATAATCCACCTTCATGTACCACGTGCATAGTACTTTTATGAACATTTGACTCTCACAGAAATCTTGTGATGTAACTAAGGTCTGACTATTATTCTTCCTTTTTTCTACATAAGGAGACCAAGCTCAGACAAGTTAAGAGAATTAATTGCCTAAAGCATCATTTTCCAATGGAATTGTCTGTGATGATGAAAATGTTCTACACATTGTCCAACACAGTAGCCATTAGCCACATGCAGCCACTGAGCCCTTGAAATGTAGTTCACATGACTAAAGAACTGAATTTTTAATTTCATTCAATGTTAATTAATTCTGATTTAAATTTTAATGGCCACATGTAGTGAGTAGACAAAGCAGTGGCAGACACTTTAACATGTCTTTTTCATATTGTATTCAAAATACTTTTCACTGTTGAAGTGCAATGAAAGAAATGTGTTGACTTTCTTCATATTGCGTTCTTATTTACATAGTCAATTATAAATTAAACGATTTCCTTGTTTTCTTGCTATCACCTGGTTGCTTTCCAGCATTAACTGTAATGTTAAAAGGAGGGACTTACCCAGAAATAACACTGAATGCAACCTAAAGCAGCAAGAATCTTCATGGGAACAGAATAAACACAAAGGATGTCTACCCTTCCTCCCTCCACCCACTTGGATTCTTGTTTCTAGTTTGCACCTGGACATAAGGCCATTTTGTACTTCCACACATAGAGCAAAACTGTTCTACACACCTAAAATTATAGTGTGTACCTTGTGCAACAATGCATCTAAAACACAATTTGCATAAGGTGAGACTTGCATAACTTGGGGTTGAGATTTAAGACTCTATTTCAAATCTTCTGAGTTTTAAGTTTAGGACTCTTAAGCCTAGGACTTTTTATTTCATATTTTACCATTTCTTAATTCAAGTATGATAAGCATGTCAAATTCATGTTCATTCAATAAATGATTCACGAGCTACTAACTTACACTACAATTGTTTTTTAAATATTTATGTGTTGTTTGGAGAGAAAGAGGCATTTTAAATCTAAAGACAGTAGTAGATCATCCATCCTGAATTGTTAGAGAATGAGACACCTCATATTCGTGTATTTTTCAGAAGACCGAAGCTTACTTTAACCCTTAAAGAATGAGCTTTAAAATCCTATCCATTTTTGGGGGGAAATATTTCTGCAAGAAGTCTCTTACTTTCTTAAGCAGAGTATTTCAAACTGTTTTATCATGAATTGACAATCTATAATTGTATAAATTTATGGGGTACAACATGATGTTATAATTTATGAGTGTGATGTGGAATAACTATATCAAGCTAATTAATATTTTCATTACCTCAAATACTTAACATTTTTTGTAGTGAGAACATTTGAAATGCACTCTTAGCAAATTTGAAATGTACAATTCTCTATTATTAACTATGTTCAACACACGGTCCAATAGAACTCAAAAAAGAATAAATCACATCATTCATGTCTCACAGATTTTATACCCTTTAATCATTAATTCTCCATTCCCCCAGCCTCTGTAACCAGCATTCTACTCTGTTTCTATGAGTTTGTTTTAGATTCTACATTTAGGTGAGAAGATGTGGTATTTGTCTTTCTGTGCCTGACTTATTCTACCTAACATCAAGTTCTTCAGTACCATTCGTGTTGTCCAGATGACAGAATTTTCTTTTTTAAGGCTGAATAGTATTCCACTGTGTATATATACCACATTTTCTGTATCCATTCATCCATTGATGAACACTTAGCTTGATTCCATAACTTGACTCTTGTGAATAGTGTTAAATGAATATAGAGGTGCAGACATCTATTTGACAAACTGATTTCAAATGTTATGGGTTAATTCCCAGAAGTAGGATTGCTGGATCACATGGTAATTCTATTTTTCATTTTTTGAGGAAGCTCCATACTGGATTTTATGATGGCTGTACTAATTTACATGTCACCAAAAGTGTACAAAGTTTCCCTTTTCTCCCCATCCTTACCAACACTTGTTATCTTTGTTTTTTTGATATGCCACTCTGACAAGTGTTGAGTGATATCTTCTTATGGTTTTAATTTGTCTTTCCTATATCATTAACAATGTTGAGCATTTTTTTGAAAACATATTTGTGGCCATTCGTCTTCTTTTAAGAAATGTCTATTCAGATTCCATTTTTTAATTGGGTTTTTTGTTAAGTGAGCTCCTTCCATATTTTGGATGTTAGCCCCTTTTTGGATATATGGTTTACAAATATTTTCTCCCATTCTGTGGGTTGTCTATGCATGCCAGTAATTGTTTCCTTTAAGATGCAGAAGTCCTTTAATTTGACGTAATATTTTGTCTATTTTTGCTAGACTAATGTCTTGTAGTTTTTTCCTATGTTTTCTTATAGTAGTTTTAGAGTTTCTGGTCTTAAATTTAAGTATTTAATCTAATTCAAGTTAGTTTTTATACATGGTATGAAAAAAGCATCAATTTTCATTTTTCTGCATGTAGAAATTTGTTTTTTCTAGCATCATTTATTGAACAAACTATCATTTTCTCATTGTGCACTCTTGGAACCTTTGTCAAAAATCAATTGACCATGTATGTGTGGGTTCATTTCTGAATATTCTATTCTATTTCATTGGTCCATGTTTCTACTCTTTTGCCAATACCATGCTGTCTTAATTACTACAGCTTTGTAGTATAGTTTGAAATCAGATGGTGTGATACCTCCACAAACATTTTTCTTTAATCCATTCACTTATACATTCATTTATTCTTTCAGCACATATAAAACAAATACTACCCATAGACCATGCACTGCAAAAGGGTCTGGGGCAGTCCAAGGAAATAAATCCATTCTGCTCTCAAGAAACTCAAAAGTCTTGAACAAAATACCAGTGTCCCATTCAGTCATTGTTATTCAGAATCCAAATCTTCTGGAAGCCATGTCTTTAAAAGAGTAAAAGAAACAAGTGTAATCAAGTTTAATACTATATTTTAACTCAATATATCCTAAATTTTATCCTTTCAACATGTATTCAATATTTAAAAATTGTTAAGGTATTTTACATTTTTTTTATATTTAGTCTTCAAAGTTCCAAGTGCATTTTATATGTACAGAACATCTCAATTCATATCAGTCATGTTTTGAGTGCTTAATAGCCACATGTGACTAGTGGCTTTTCTATTGGACATTGCAATTTCAGAGCAAAACAAGTATTGGTGATTAATCACCAATTCACTACAAGGAAGCAGATACTTAAATATTTCAACTTTGTATGTCTGTTAACTTCATATATTCATATGCCATATGAATATTTTAAGTTCATATGGTTTCTCATTCTTCCGCCTCACTCTCAGGCAGCCTGATTTCCTTCATTATTGTTGCAAATTTGCTTATGTCTAGCAAATGCCAGTGCCTCCTGTTTGTCATTATTATAGTCTGATATAAGCTAGAAAAAATTGGTAGTAAAATCGTGTTGTATTATTCAAAACAGAGTAAATGGGCTCTAAGTAGGGGCTAAAGAGGCATTTCTGTGAATAAAACATACACATATTAACGTATAAAATTTCTAACACAGGTTTGACTTCTCAGAAGCCTCCTCTCTCTTTCAGTCTTCTTGGTCAGTGGTCTTCCAAGTGTTGTCCTCAGGCCCACAGCAGCAGCAGCACCCAGGGAGTTGTTAGAAAGGCAAAGTCCTGGTCCCCACCCCAGACCCAGTGAATCAGAAACTCTGTGGGTGAAGTATATAGCAATCTGTGTTTATAAGCCCTCTGGGTGATTCTGGTGCCCACTAAAGTTTGAGAACCATTATTCTAAAATGTTCAGACTGCTATATACATGGACTTGAGATGAATAAGTGTTCCTTTACTACTTTTAAAGTCAGTATTTTGATTACTTGAAAAGGTAACAAAGAGGTCTGTTTTTTCTCTTTGAAACATGGTAGTAAAGTTATGTCAGTTAATATATGTACATATTACTTTCTTATTGCTGCTGTAGTGAATTATTAAAAATTTTACTGACCTAAAACAGGAAAAAAATAATTTTCTTTTAGTTCTGGCAATTAGAAGCCCCAAAGGGGTCTCACTGGGCTAAAATCAAGGAGTCAGCAGAACTGCTTTCGTTCTTGGAGGCTTTAAGGGAGAATTTATTTCCTTGTCTTGGCAACTTCTAGAGGACACCCACATTCCTAGGCTCATGGTCTCTCTAGCTTCAAAGCCAAAAACATCCGATGAAGTCATTGTCAGGTCGCAGCTCTCTGGTTCTCCCTATTCTGCTTCCCTCTTCTACTTTTAAGAGGTTTTGTGATTACATCGGACCCACCTGGCTAATCCAAGAACACCACCTCATCTCGTGTTCAACTGATTAGCAACATTAATTCCATCTGCAACTTTAATGCCTCTCTGGCATGGACCCTAACATATTTACAGGTTCCAGGAATTAGGACATGGGTATCTTTGTGGATCATTATTAATTAGACAGTGATATATCCTAATGCAAAAATTTTAAAAATTATTTACCCTTGCACATTTTCAGGTTGACATCTAGCATTTTTCACTACAGTTGCAAAGGATGTCATTTCTTGCATTTTGCAAATCTCAATATTTACATCACTCTTAAAAATATCTAAATGAATTTAAATGTGATGGCAATTTGATATAGTTATTATCCATTTAATTTGTTTTTCTATACAGGTATGAACTCTTTTCCAACAGTTGAAATTGTATAGCCTTCCTTTTTTTTCCTAGCAAACATGTTCCCACTTTCTTTCTCCAGAGAATATTATATTCACATATTTTCCACACTTTAGGGTTTTTCTTTGATTACTCCAACACACATCTCTACAACAAAATTATACACATACTGTACATATAATTATGCACATAGATATGTGTGTACATTCAATTTTCTGTGATCATAAAGTTTAATGAGTTTAAATTTTTTCTTCATACATATATAAATGTTAATGCAATTAATGTGAACAGACAATTGAGCTAAAGAGATTATCCATTTTCTAAATATTTTAACTTAAAAAATAAATTTCATTAGAAAGACACCTCTTTGTCATATATGGGGGTGGAGAGAGAGGACATTATGGCATCTTGATTAGATGAAGCTTTTTTAAACAATATTTCAAATAGTCCCTCTGAAGTTTTCACATCTCAGCACAACCCTTTGTAGTATGAGTCTGTGTGTAAGAGACAAGGCTTGATTTGGTAAAGTGGGACAGGATCAACAGTGAAAGCAATAAGAAAGTCAGGATGCCCAGTCGACGCGGAGCGACTTTTCTCACAGGATGTGCAGACTGTGCAGCAGATACAATTATAAATGCATCATGCATTATTTTCTTCGAGTGCAATCACAAAATAGAACGTATCAGCAGTCCAATATTTATAGGGCACACATCTCTAGCAGTACTACAAATAGCATGACTGCCTGTGGGTGAGGTAATATGCTTTATGCATCCCAACTATCAATAATAAACACAAATTCCAGTCAACCATGCTAGAGGAAAGACTGAGTTAACTTCTGATTCCCTGTAAAGAAAATGATATTGAGACACCACTGTCATCTGGCAGGGAGATCTTTGAAAAGACAGGCAGCCCAAAAAAGTAGCAAAGAAGTTTTATTCAATTGTGTTTAAAAGAAATTAATTAAAATATTACTATGTAGATTTTTCTGACATTAATTATATTTGTTAATTTTAGTTCATTGTGCAACTTGTGATATCTTATTCTGAGTAAATATTCATTTTCACAACTAATTCTGTATTTATAATTGGTATGCCTTTTAAAAGGGAAACTCTATTAAGAAGTTTAAAATATAACTCAATAAATCATTGTCAAGCCAAATTGAATGGAATTCACATTCACTTCTTTTTCTTTTCTTTCTTTCTTTTTTTTTTTTTTTTTTTTTGAGACAGAGTCTTACACTGTTGCCTGGCCTGGAGTGCAATGGCACAATCTCAGCTGGGCTCACTAAAACCCCCGCCTCCTGGTTCATGCGATTCTCCTGCCTCAGCCTGCTGAGTAGCTGGGATTACAGGCACACACTGCCATGCCCGGCTAATGTTTTTTTTTTTTTGCATTTTTAGTAGAGACAGGGGTTTCACTATGTTGGCCAGGCTGGTCTCCAACTCTTGACCTTGTGATCTGCCTCCCTCAGCCTCCCAAAGTGCTAGGATTACAGGTGTGAGCTACCGTGCCTGGCCATGGAATTCATTTAATCAAATGAAAAACAATTACTATTAACTGACTCCTGGTGTATGTCAGCCACTCTGTTTAGACTGTTTGGAAATGGTGTTTTATTTACTTCTCAAAAAACAAGTGACCAAGTACAAGCATGCAGAACCTTATATGTATCATTGTTCATATTTCACTGCCAAGGAAAAATTAAGTAGAATATTCAGTCTCACAGCCAAACAACTCAGAATTAGATACTAGAATATTTTGACAATAAGTAGTAGAAACCATCAAATCATTATTCATACACTCAAGGGGTAGCTCACGGTAGGCGCAACATAGAGCAAAGAAAGTGGGAAAGAGAGCTCAGCATGGTTGCGGTGGCGATGGCGATGGAAACCAGGTATAACTTTAAATAGGGAGTTCAGGAAAGGCATCATCAATAGGGCAACGCTTGAGAAAAATTCAAGAGACAAGAGGAATCAGTCATGTCAATATCTGAGGCGTGAGCATTGCAACAGCAAATGCAAATGTTTAAGGTATTCTGGTGTTTGATGAACAAAACAAAAGCCAATAAATAAAAGTGGCAAACAGTGACAGCTGAAGCTGGGGTTGGGTGTGGTTTGCAGCTCACAGAGGATTTGTAAGCCTTTATTGGGTTTTCAGCTTCTACTCTGAGCAAATTGCAAAGCTGCTGTGGGAGGATGCAGAGTTACTGATCTAACTCACATTCTCCAACCTGACTGTAGCTGCTAAGTGGAAACTAGGCTGAAAGTTGGGGATGGTGGAGCAAGGGGAATCAGGTAGAAGGCCATTGTAGTAATCCAAACAAGGTAGTGACAGCAGCAGAGGCGGTGAGAAATGATCCAATCATAGACTTATTTTGAAGGCAGAGCCAGAGGATCTGCTGATGGTATCAGGGAGGTATGAGAGAGAAAGGTCAAAAATGACTCCAATTTTTCTTTTTCTTTTTTCTTTTTTTTTTTTTTTTAACCCTGAGCCAACTGCAAGAATGGAGTTTCCATTTATTCCAGGGCAGTCATTGTGCTAGGTTTTTTATTCAAATTATCTATAATTCTCATGCCAACCCAACATTGCAGGCAAGATGGCAGAAGCAAGGGTAGAAACAAAACTCTGCCTGTCTCAAAGTCCTCTGCATCACACTTAGCAGCTCCATGATCTGGGGCAATTATCACTTTTAAGAAGGATTTGGCATGTGCTAGGCACAGTGCTAAACCTTCTTACATTAATTTTTCGATTTAATCCTCAAAACAACTTGATCTGGAAAGCGTTGTTTATCTACATTTTCAGACAAGGAAAGTGAGGCACAGAAAGGATGAGTTGCGTACAGTTGCACGGTGAGGAGGTAGCAGAGCTCAGATGGGGAAGTACTAATGTGTCTTTATGACTCCAGAGCCCAAACGCCTCGCCCTTACATTAGAACCCTCAAACTTATTCAGCTGGAATTGCCTCATCTATACACTGGGAATTATATTTGCCTTTTAACTTAATTATACATAAATTAGCTGGCATACTGTAGACACCCAATATCAGTGTCTCTTTATCAATGTAACGTATGCATGATGTCATGGAATTAGCACATAATGCTGATCCGCTACTCCTAGTGACAAATCCAAATGTCTGAATATGTCTCTGTAATCAAGGTTTTATTTTGCTTCATTTTTAAGCCACAATTTTGAGTAAAATTCTTCTACCTCTTGATAAACAAGCAGTGAGTGGTGGCATGTGCAGAGAGATGGAAGGAGTTACCAGTGGACGTGTTGCCTCTCCAAGACAAGGCCAAGCAGCCAGTTCAGGAAATAAGATAAATGGAAGTGGTGGCAGGGCCTAACCCTATCCACACAAGTAAAAGTCATAAGGGGTCTCAGTGGTATCATTTTTAAGAAGACAATCAAGGACTTAGAATCCCAATCTGCCCATCTTCTCTAACCTCATCTGTCAAATATTAGTTTTAAGTGACAGGATTTCTTAATCCTTTCCAGTTTTATATATCTATGAGTGGGGAGGGAGAGAAGATAGAGTAAAAGAAGAAGGACAAGGAAAGGAAGACGCAGGAAGGAGCTTCCTTTGATGCCTTTCAGAGATTCTATTTGCCCTGAGAATGGCTAATTGCATTTTCAGCCTTCTATGACTGATTGAGAAGACCCAGAATTTCTCCTGGTCCACAGTTTCTCCACCTTGAAGAAAATGACTGTGAGACCTCAAAGAGCCATTCTGGGTGTAATGATAACAAACAGAGGGGGAATGCCATGAGGATTTGAGATGAAAGATGCGATAGATGTATAAGTACTACATAGGTATGCAAAAAATGAACGAGGCATGATGTCTGCCTGAGAGGCCACACAAGCAGCAGTTAGATATCCAGTGAAAGATCTCCATGGGCAGGAAGGCAGATGACACCTCAGGTCCAGGAGCTGAAGTGAGCATCACTCAGTTGACAGAAAGCATCTAGAATGTGTCAGCGAAAGGCACTGGAATTATCATTCCTTCTTGAGAAGGAAAGAAGAAGAAAGAAGAAGGAGGAGGAGGAGCAGGAGGAAGAGGAGCAGGAGGAGCAGGACAAGGAGGAGGAAGTCTTCTTCCCTTGAGGAATTCTTAGTCTCCTGGGAAAGATAGCTCTTTATACTGATAATATGCCACATTTTCTTATGGGTCTTGATGGACATGCACAAAGTTTAAAAATATCACAAAAAGGAGAGATGATTGAGAGTAGCTGATAGAGGGTGAAAGCAGACTTTACAGGGTACTGGATGCCGTAATAGAGCTGTGAGCACTAAACTGGAATGTGCCAAACACAAGAGAGAATCGTGGTGCCCTTCCTGGTAGAGGAAAAAAAAAAAAAAAACACGTGCAAGGGCAGAGGAAGGAAACCATCTGGCATAGGATGCCACTTCTTATCTTAAATGAGAAATCCATGACCTCCAGCCATCAAAGCTTCATTCATTCACAAGTCCTCTCTGGATCCATCCACTGCGAAAAGGAGCCCAAAGATAATGAATTTGTAAAATTTTCATTTTCAACCCTTAATTACATGGAATATATTGAGCTTCTAGCATATAGCTTGGCATATAGTAGGTGCTCAATAAATAATATTAAATTTATATTAATATAAAGGGAAAATAGGGAACTACAAAAACGTTTTTGTCAGTAGCAATTTTCTTGAGGTATTCTTTCTTAATCAGTCATACTCTCTTGATATGAAATTTAATTCCATTCAACAAGCATTTGCCGAGTGTCAGCTGTGTTTCAGGCACTCAGGAAGACAGGCAGAGCTGCCTCTCAGCTGGTGCGCACCAGAATGTTCTAGGAGGCTTCCATCTTGGTTGGCTGGAGAGCATGATTGCCAGTTGTGAATGATGAATATCTCCCTGAGTCCAGAGATGAATCAGATCCTGTCCTTGCTCTCAATGATTTACAATCAGCTGGGTCAGTTGTGGATCTTTCTTGCAGCAGGAAGTTTGGAGACCAGCCCTGCCACTGAATTACTGCGTAACTAGGAACAGCCACTGAGCCACTTACAAATGAGTTTCTCCACATGTAGTCAGTAATAATCTCACCTTCCCACCTCACAGGGATTACACCAGTTACTAAGCTATTGTTTCTCATCTCCAAACCCACCCTCCTATACCCTGCTTGGACTTTGAAAACTGCCCTAGTCCTGAGCTGCTTGGCCCCCTGTTCTGTTCTGCCAAACTGGAAGGCAAGAGTCCAGAATGAAAAAATAACTTGTTTTTGGCTGGGCACTGTGGCTCATACCTGCAATCCCAGCATGGGGTGGGTGGATAACCTGAGGTCAGAAGTTCAATACCAGCCTGGCCAACATGGCAAAACCCCATCTCTACTAAAAATACAAAATTAGCCGGGCATGGTGACAGATGCCTGTAATCCCAGCTATTCTGGAGGCTAAAGCAGGAGAATCGCTTGAACCCGGGAGGCAGAGCTTGCAGTGAGCTGATGTCATGCGACTGCACTCCAGCTTGGGTGACAGAGTGAGACCCCATCTCAATTAAAAAAAAAAAAAAGGAAGAACTTGTTTTTGCTGCACTGTTTGCTATTCCTATAAGTGTCATCCTGGAACAGTCTTCATCTAGTGGCAACAGATGATTCTAGTTTTCTGCTTTTTTCCACTCTCAGACCAGCCTCATCATGCCCCTGGAGAGGTACCAGTGCCAACTGGCAGGGCAGCACCTTCTCTTCACCAGTAGGGATCCCATCTTCATAGGTTCTCTTTTCCAAATGTCTTGAATCTGATAACCCCAATCTCTTATATTTGTAAGGTTAATAACTGCTTCCTGCAGTAACTTCACTTTTTTTTTTTTTACCTTTTCATTCCTCTTGTATTTAGCCAGTTCCCTATTAAATTTTCCATTAAGACAACTAGTGTGGTTTTTATTTTCTACACGAGAGCATGATGGATTTGGTGATGCTATGACAATTGATTCACATTTACTTCCACAAACATGTGTTCTGTCTTTGCTATGCTAAGATGCCATGCTAAGTGGTAAGGACACAAAGATGAAAAAGAAAGAAAGTCTGACCTCAAGGATGCTCCTGAGCTAGAAAGACACATACCATGCTCACTCTGTACAAAACCAATCAGGCCATACTCCAAGGTAAAATGCAAATACTGCCAACAAAGTGCAGTGGCCACACACAGCGGGCAGTGACTGATTCTAACTGAAAGAGTCTTACTGGCTGACAACAGGGCTGCTCCATGAAGAATGAAATTTTATAGAGAAAACAGAAGAGGAGTGGGTGGACGCACAGGAAACAGCAAGAGCCCAGAAGAGTAAAATTGTTCAGAATGTCAGGGAAAGGCAAGCAGCTCAGCAGAGTAGAAACAACACTGAAGCTGTGATGGGAGCGTGTAAGAGCTGAGGCAGGAAGGGGGTGGTGGGTCCTTGGATGGCATGAGAAGAATTTGAACTCTTATTCTCCTAAAAGTAACAGACAGTCATCAAAGGAATTTGTTTGAAGAGTGTCATGGTCAGATCTGCCTTTCCAAAGATCACTCTCGGTATCCCAGAGAAGATAGGAAGTTGAGCTGTGAAAGGAACTCCACTGGGAGATAAAAGGACTAAAGTAGGGCATTGGAGGGGTGTGTGGAGTAAGGGGCAAATTTGAATGAGATAACATATGTAAAATTACTTTGAAACATATAGAATCTTGATAGAAAATCTAGGTATTATTCTTGTTTCCCTTCATTTCTTGCCACTATGCTAACAGTAGCCACATCCCAAGTAGGCAGGCATCCATGTCAACTTCAGGCTCTAGATCTTGCATACTTTTCTCTATTCCTCCTGGAACACATTTGCAGACATTTAAACATTTTCAAATTCTATCTTGTTCAGTCAATCTCTTTTCTAATAATTATATCGTTATACAGTCTGGGCATTAACTCCTTCCAGAGCTCAAGCCCTGTTTAGGGAAGCTTATTGGCCAGTGATTGTTAGATCTCCAAATGACTTCTTGGACAAGATTTGGAGTCCTACAGTGTGGATCAAGATTAAGCTTGGCTCTGTCATTTACTGGCCTCAAAATGTCTTGTCAATTCTCATTTTCTTAACCCGTAGAATGGGAATCCCAGTACCTATCTCAAAGTAAGTGATTTCCTGGGATATAACAATGAAGTCTGTAGGAAATCTAGCATGAAGCTCAATCTACTTGAAAGCACGGTCAGAGCATTCTTTGGGAGTAAAGTCTTCTGTGTTCATCACTGTATATTTATTGACTGGCTAGCTCATTCAAATTAGCATTTGCTTGTCTTATTTTATTTTTTGTTTAGTCTACGTGAACATAATGAGGGTCACTTCTGTTCCATAGTGTTCTTATAGAAGCAGAAATACTGAAGAAAATTCCATCTCCTTATATTTCACTGCATCACCTTTTGCAGTTTCCCAAAGTCTTTCATTTTAATGAACAGACTGGCCTTTTTCAGAAGCCAAGGGATTGTTATGTCCATATTACAAGAGAGAAAATTGAGACCCAAAGGCAGGGAATGATTTGAGCATGTTCACAAGGCTAAAATAATAAAGTTGGGACTGGAATCAGATGTGTCCAACTATATAGTTCATTCTATCCTGGACCACAGAGTGGTAGTAAGATGGCCAGGATTTGCTGTTGGGGATGGGGAAGAGTTGTGTTCAGGAAGGAGTTAGGGGTCCTGCACTCAAGCTAATGAAGGACAATAGGGCAAAGTTCTGAGCCCCTCCCTAGGCCCATGGTGGGACAGTTTATCCTCATTTTGAATCTGTATCTAGATGCCTCCTTGCTTACAGCCTTCCTCTGTCAAAGGGTAGTGCTTGAGCCACAGGAGATGCTTCCGCTTCATTTTCATTTTGTTTCCTTCCTTCTCTTTCTTTTCCTGATGCACTTTATGGAATCCATTGTCCTTGTCATCTCTACTCATCGCCTTAATTTATTTATAAAGGTACCCACTAAGAAGGGCCTCCTTCTCATCCTTTCCCCTTTTCTATCCTTTGGTCCTATCCCTCCATGTGCCTGTGTTAGCTGCAGGGGAAAATAAATAAACCTGCCCACATTATGTACATAGGGAATTAAAATTCAACATCTTTTCTTTTTACCTATGACAAAACACTTTAATTATACTGAAGCAAGGTGAGTGCTGAAGGCAAAACCATATCGACAGAAACCAGAGCAAACACACTCTTTTCCCAAGCTAGACAGAGTAGGAAACAGCTTTCCATAAAGCAAGGGCATGGGGATGGAAGACAGCAAGACCCAAGTCCTAAAGCTAGTATCACCACCTCCTTCCAAATCTGTGACTTGGTACAAATAACCATCTTGTCTCTCAGAAAAGCTTTGCTGATCCTGACATACTGACATATATGTTTTTTCCCCTTGTAGGGATGAGACAAATTGTGTAACTGATTGTATTTCCTTTTAGTTCTATCATGAAGTTCATTGGTTTGTCTGGGGCTAAATTTAAATACATAAAATGATATCTGTGAAACCACCTTTGCAAAGATTATGGCAGTGAAAGAAATCTAACATGGCTGACTCCATTTTACTTCTAGCCTAACAGGCTAGTTGTTCTCACTCGTTCCTGGGCATAGGACAAGCTAACCATGGGAGCAATTTAGTTTGTAGTTTAACTTGGAAGCAAGGATAATAATAGTTCTTCCCTAAAACTAACCCCCTCCTTGTTCAGGAACCAAAAACGAATAAAAAGCCGTGAAATTAGAATTATGAGAGGAACCTGAATTCTGCTAAGATTCAGAATAGGCATAGTTTCTATTAATCCTGCTCAGGAGTCATGTGGCCAGAGGTCACAAGATTTCCAACTTCCCCAATTGCTCCTGTAGATAACATTGTTCTTGTAGAACCTAAGATTGTTCTTTTGAGATGTTTTTCCGACTTTTGGATTCTGGTAACTGACTGACCCCATTCAGACCTGTGACTCATGACTTAAGTAGTCCTGTGGCCCCCTCCTTGAGGCAGACTTAGTGCACAAGGACCGTTTTCCACACCCCTATGATTTCATCCTTAACCAGTTAGCAGCACCCAATCCCTAGCCCCCTGCCCACCAAATTATCCATAAAACCCCCAGCCTCTGAGTTCTCAGGGACATGGATTTGAGTAATAACTCCAGTCCTTCCACTTGCCCAGCCTTGCATTAATTAAACTCTTTCTCTACTGCAACCACCAAGTCTCAGTGAATTGGTTTGTCTGTGCAATGGGCAAGAAGAACCTGTCAGGTGGTTACATCTGCATCATTCCCAACTTATCCTCTGTTTTTCTATCTTCTCAGCATCCCTATTTTCCATGATTCTGGCTTTTTATGTTTGTATTCATATTTTCTTTCTACTTGTATTAAGTGAACATGTATATTCATGTTATTGAATTTTTATACATAAAAACAGATTATAAGTAAATAATCTCTTCCCACTTCCATTTTTAGACCTATAAAGGTAGATAATAGTAACTACCACATAGCATTGTTATGAGGCCAAAATAAGGCAAAATATATAAAGGTTTTAGCATAGCCTTGCCTATTAAATGTGAGTGTTCTCGTTTCCTCTCTGAAATGGAAGCATTGGCTGCCATGTGTGGCTCATTGAAAATGTTTTCAATCGGATATGTCAGATCTGAGGTGTGGGACTATGTAGTCAAGGCTAAAATAGTCCACAGATATGAGCATCCTCCAGCATCTCATAGCTGGGTGCCAAGTCAACAGTCACCTTACAGTCTTCAGGGTTCTCTCAGCCTTCACTACAATAAGTGCAATTTTATGCAGTGTTGGTGTTCAATAGTCCACGATCTTGGGCAAGTTATTAACCTCTCTAAAGATTCGGTTCATTCATCTATAGAGCAGAAAGAATAGTATTATCTCTCTCTCTTTAGACTTTAATGAAGATTATGTGAAATGGAACATGTAAATTGTTTATATCATGTAGTGCTTAATGTTAGTTGTTAAATGTAAGCCCAATAATTAGTACTATTGTCATTCCTTGTACTTATATTTGGCATCACGCTATCTATCTCACCTTATTTTTCTAAGTTAGAAAAGCAGGTATTAAATTATTACCTCCATTTTGCAGATAAGGAAATTGAGGCTTAGAAATGTTTCATGACTCCACAGTTTAAAAAGTGATGGATATAAGTAGAAATTATTGCATAAGAAGGATTTAGAGTCATCTAAAGTTGTAGAATAAACTAGGGCAGTTACTTCAGGTTCAGTCCATGCCAAATTTGAGTCTTAAAACTTTTAAAAAACATTTAATTGGAAGGCCATTAGGCTGAGATGGCTCCAGTGTTTTGGGTTCTGTATTAGTCCATTCTTGCATTGCTATAAAGAAATACCTGAGACTGGGTAATTTATAAAGAAAAGTGGTTTCATTGGCTCACAGTTCTGCAGATTGTACAGGAAGCATAGTGGCTTCTGGGGAGGCCTTAGGAAACTGATAATCATGGCAGAAGGCAAAGGGGAAGCAGGGACATCTTACATGGTTGGAGCAGGAGGAAGAGAGAGAGAAGGGGGAGGTGCCACAAATTTCTATGCAACCAGATTTCATGAGAACTAATTCATTCTGCAGTACCAAGAGGGGATGATACTAAACCATTGATGAAGGATCCACCCCCATGATCCAATTATTTCCTATCAATCAGGCCCCACCTCCAATACTGGGGATTACAACTGAAAAAACAGAACTTAAGTTTAGCCAATCTGAAATCACCAACTAACCTCCAACTAGAGACTTCCCACTAGATTGTACCTAAACAAGGCAAAAGGCCTATCTGTAACCAATCAAGCAATTTCTTTACTTTGCTTTCATGTGCACTCTACAGAAGCCCGCTGCTCATGCTGCTGAAGCAGAGTTCTCTGAACCTTTTCCAAGTGGAGTTCTGCCTGATTCACGCTCAAATAAACTTTGTTAAATTAATTTTGTCTAAATTTTTTAAACAACATATATAGGACTAGAATGAAATGTCCATCACCTAGCATAGCACCAAGCTCATTTCAGGGATTTTAGAACGGCTTTAAAAAAAAAGAATAAATAAATAAAAGCTTTATTGAAGTATAATTGATATACAAAGACCTGCACATATTTAATGAGTGATATTTATTGCAATTTGATGAGTTTGGATATACGCAAAAACCATCAGTACAATTAAGGTAATGGACATGCCCATTACCTTCCAGTTTTGTTATGTTGGCAGTAAGAACATGTAACATGAGATCTTCCCTCTTAAATTTTCTGGTGCACAATATCATATTATTAACAGTAGATAATATGTTGTATAGAAGACCTCTAGAATTTATTAATCTAGCATAACTGAAACTTTATACTTATTGAACAACAACTCTCCATCTTCCCACTCCTTGGCAACCACTACTGTGATCCCTGCTTCTATGATTTTGACCATTATAGACATGTCATAAAAGTGGAATCATGTAGTATTTGTTCTTCTGTGCCTGGCTTATGTCACTTAGCCTAATGTCTCCCAGGTTCATTTGTGCCCGTGTTGGCACAAATGGCAGGATTTTTTTCTTTTTAAGACTAAACAACATTCCATTTTGTATATATACCATGTTTTCTTTATCCATTCATCTGTTGATGGACATTTGTGTTGTTTCCATATCTTTGCTATTGTGAATAATGCTTCGATGAACATGGGAGTGCAGAGATAAATGAAGGCTTCAATGCACAAATAGAAACAATGGGTAAATGTAGAGCCGCACTCGGGAGACAAGCCTATTTTAAGCTGAGAAGAAGATTATATTCCCATCAGCTTACTCTTTCCTAGAGCTATCTGTTGTTCTCTAAAAGGCAGAGCATTGGATGGTGTTGAGATTGACTCAGCTTGGGAGTTTTGGAGCTAAAACAGATCTGGGCTCAAATCCTGGGTTTTGGTATTGTTAATATATTAAATCTTTGGTATTCTAAGGAATGCCCACTACTTTCAAAAGACATAAGTAACCTCACTACTCCAGTCATGAACTTGAAGCCAGTTGAGATTTTGAGTAAAGTAAAAAAAAAAAGACTTACTCATCAAATAATCTGAAATATTTTCTTGTGAATGTAAGACAATTTTTCAAGGCAAGTACTGGAGGATTTACTTTATTTATAGACAGAAACCTATAAATAGGAAAAAAAATGTGTTGTCTTACCAAGAAAGGACTAGTCCATTTTGCATCTATCTCATTCATTCATTTTATCCATTTCTATTCATCAAGGCACCACATTTTTCTCTCTTTAAAAAATCTAACTTATTTCATGCAGAATGGATTCTAATACGAGGTACCCTGTAATGTCAGGGAGCTATCCTAAGTATTATGTTAACTTCCATTTCTACACATTTTTCATACGGATACTCATATTACATACTCCTTGGAGATTTAAAAGGTTTGCATTGCCTTCATATACCCCCAAAACTCAGCATGATTTGTTCAAAATTTTACTAGTCAGCACTGAAATAAAAAAAAATGGTACATCATGCACAATGATAAACTACCCCATGTGGTTTGGATAAATTAAATACTTTAAGCTTTCAGTCTCCCTAATGATTTGGAAATGAAGAAGCTGTGATTTATGACTCCAGCTGATAGGTTAGATCTGAAGTTTACACTTTGAAAAATGCCGTATTTAAATTCCCCTATAAATAAAAAATAATATTGCTTTAAAAGCCCAGCCTAAGATATGTATGTAATAAATTAGAGATACTCATATTGAGTGGGGGAAATCTCCAAGACTGATGACTTTCTCCCTTGAAAAAATGCACTGAGTGAACCAGATCTAGGTCTGTGTCTATCTGCTACCACTTAATCACCAGTTATTGTCCCTTTCTGTCCAGTCATTCATTTGCTCATCCTAATGACTACTGTTAAAACCACCTGCACTAGTTCAGTTGTAAAGATGATCTGATGTGGTTTTTAAGTCCAAATCAAGTATTTTTAATCAGGTAGTTTCAAAAGTCTTGATACCAATATCATTCTTTGTTCCTCGTGTTTTTTGTTTGCTTATGTGTTTATTCCAATGACATGACTGCTTTTGGCCTCTGATTTTCTCTCCCAAAAAGTAACAGAACTGAAGCAGGTAATCAATATGATGCACGTTAGTAGGGAAAAAAAAGTACTTGGAGAGGAGTCCGCTGACCCACGGTCCAGTTTGGCTTCTTCTCCTTTCTACCTCGAAGCCATTCACAAATTCCTTATTCTCTCTGGGATCTTTATATTGCAAGGGATTGGCTTATTTGACTCCAAACTTCCTTCTGTCTCAACAACCCTATAGCCCAATGTTTAGTGTGGAGCAAACCTAAGTTCAAATCCTTTAACAAGTTACTGTATTCCCTCTGAGTTCCAGTTTTCCCAGGTATCATGTAGGGATAAATAGCCCCACTACACAGAATTGTCATGAAGATTAAACAATAGAAAATACAGTAATTTCTAGTGCATAATAAGCACTCTAAATAATAGCTGTCATTATTATTTTTATAATTTGTATTAACAGTATTTTCATTATTATGCTAGACAATAACCAGATATAAAGCGAGGAAAGGTGAATCTCACAAGCTTCAGAGAGAAGATGACATCAAAATAAGGGCCTTCTCTCACTTGTTTAATAGCCATAGCAGTCAAGTCAGCAAAGCGGCGAAAAGAATTAAGACAAATACCAAGTCTTCATGACCCTGAACACTCACCGAAAGCTACCTAAGACCTCACACGTGTAGACCTGAATTCCATTTCTGCCACTTACTAGTGCTTGGTGTTGGGCAAGTCACATCACCTTGTTGAGCTCAGTTTTTACATCTACAAAATGCAGCAGTAATCCCTACTTTATATGGTGATAGCATTAAGTAAAACTGAATATTAAGCACTTTATTTTTTACCCAGTCGACAGCAAGTGGATAAAAAAATAAAAGTTGCTACTATTACTATTATTATCATTATTTCGATGATTATTATTGATTTTTCTGGTACTGCTTCTCTGTCTCTGCCAAAGCCACAGACACTCAGTTCCTGGTGTTTTCAAGTTTCCTCTGAGGTCCCATCACTTCCTTTCTCATTTACTTGCACCATTCCACTTGACAGGCTCCACTCCTTTGCACTTCTTCCACTTTCCCTGCTTAGTTTTTACGCAAGTCCTTAGCTTGCTGAGAAGGGCTCTTGTCTCATTTATGATTCATGAGGCACTGAGTATACAGATGGCATTATATAAATGTTTAATAATTGCCATATGGTTTCCCCGGAAATGCTATCACTCAACAAGGAATACAGACTTGAGGCTTCTCACATGTGAAATAAAAAAAAGGCAGACCTGCACTCTCCTGCTCCCCTTCACTGCTACAGCCTCAGAAAACAAACAGAAACAGTTCATCTCAGGCTTCTAGGTGTTTAGAGACCACCACATTTTGGAGCAGTAAAAAAGTAAATAAAAATAAATGTCAGATATTACTCTTCTGTGTTAAAGACAGACAGCTCAGTTGGTGCTACAAAATTCCAGTGTCTATGTTAATTATTATATCACAGAGCACTGTTTTAAGTGGCTGAGTGGCCATGGGGTTTTCAATTGGATCCACTTCCATCATGATCTCATCTCTCTCGGCCAGTTTCTTAAAGGGCGTTGCAGCAGCCATTTATTTATGAGGTTCTGCACTTTGGATGGAGATGCATATGTAATGGGGAGAGACTGCACATTTGACAAATGGGAATCATGATTGTCTGACCTACTGACAGTTGTTGATGTGCTCTCGTGACCTGTAAATGTTGCAGCTGACTGATTACAGTAATTGATTGAGAAAACATTTGTCAATAGCCTTCTAATGACAGAGAGCAGGGAGGAAGAGATTGCTGGAGCACCTAGGAGCTGGGTTTTGCTTAACAGAAGGAGCACTGACCCATGTTATAGACAATCGCAGAATTTCATATCCCCATCTATAAAATGAAAACACAATACTTCTCACCAACACTTATACAGCACCTACTATGTGCTAGGTTAGAGATCATAAACTGGTGATATGTAAGTGGAATATAACCCTCAGACTTGGTCTGTGTGTTCTACGCAGTTGATCTGCACCAGCCTTTTGTTAAAATTGGAAGGAAATTGCTAATATTTAAAATCAGGATATTTCCCACGAAAATCTACATTTCTAGTATCTCAGAAAAATCATTATTTGGCAGCACTGGGCCAGAATTTCTGCAGGGCAATTGTTGTCCTGACTTGGGTGGCTGGTGGAAATGGGCGTGTACTCCTAAGTTTGTCCCAATTGCTACCGCTCTATTACTTCATCCTTTAATGTTCACTCTCTTGGCCCTGTGGGATTTTTGAGGCTGAGATTCCTATTTTAGGTTCTGAAGACAAACACACACACAGAAAAGAATGATTTCAGGCCCTTCCTTGAGCATACTCATGATGCTATAACTTTTTATGACAGTAAATAGTAAGTATCTAGCAAATAAGGAAAAATAGGCTTTCTTGTTTATTAAAGACTGCACAGTGAAGTCAGCCCACATCTATCGATATGGCTGCCATATGCAACAAACTATTTTAAAACCCGTTACAATACCCTGACTTTGGTGGTAGCTGGAATTGTAGATAAAGGAAGACTGCATTTGTAAGTAGTGGACTTGGGCAGGGTTTTCAGTAGTGTCACCTGATTGCTGGTGACCTATAATGAGTCCTTCACTTCCTTGGAAATCTTATTCCTCCAGAGCCAACAGAGTAGGAGGTTGAAAAGTGTTCTATAAACTATAATGCTCTATACCAGGGGCAGTGATCTATGGCCACTAGTTTTTGCAAATAAAGTTTTATTGGAATACAGCTACACCCATTCAGAATATAAACTCCAGAGCAGTTATTTTCAAAGTATAGTCACCAGGCCACTTGGTTCATAAATGCCTGGGCCTTGCTACTACTACAGATTCTAAGGCTCCACTGCAGACTTCCTGAAACAGAATCTTACGGTGGGAGAAGAATGCCAGACTCTGTTTTAACAAGAACCCCAGATTATTTTGATGAGTCCTAAAATTTGAGAGCTTCTACCCTAGGGATAGCCCCCTCTTTCTGTACTATTTGGCACATACAAATTTGGAAGGAGACAGGAAATTCGTGTCCAACACAATGCGTGAGAGGCATGATGAGAGCTAGCAGCATGAATTATGAATCTCCTCTTGTCAGAGAAAACCCTTCAGGCAAGAGAGACCTAAGCTGGCTTTTAATGGAGTCGAGATAACCTGGTTAACCCCAAGAGTTCCTCCTCTGGACAGCTGCCTCATGAGGGAGCTCTCAGAATCACTTCCTGCTCCAATGCCCAGACCCACACTTTGACTAATTTAGTCCAGATGGACTCCCGCCTGCCATTCATTACATATGTGGGTGTTAGCCCAGTGTAACTTTAGTTCCTCTCTTACGGGTCCTCTTTTAATGGATGAGGGCATATGTGTAATGAGAACTCTGAACACACAGAATTCATAGGGCTTAGTCATACAACTAGTTTTATTTATTTTTGTCCCTGATTGCCCTTTTAAACCTACTAGTGAGGATAATCTTTCCCCTGCCACTGGGTGAAAATTCAGGTTGTTCCAAGGCTTTTTGGATCACTTTTACAAGTCTTGAATGCCTAATCTCCAATCATAAATCAAAATATTCAGTTTAATACATGAATGAAAACTCCTATCTATATTCAAGAATAAGACCTTCCTTTCCCCTGGTCCACCCAAACTGCTAGAGCCTGTGGTAGGCAGGTAGCCCGCCTTGGGGAAGAATCATGTCTCACGTTCTCACGTGCGACTTTCTCCACTGACTAATTACTGTTTCTGATCCTCATTTTCATTCAGATCAGGGTGGACGAGGGGAGAAAAAGAGGTAAGGGAAATAAGAAAGTCCTTACTTTCTTATTTGTTGTACTGCTGTGAATCAGCTCTGCTCTCTCTGGGCCTAACGGGTGAACCCTATAGACTGAACACTTTTCAGCAGGCCAGCCTCAAAATGAGCTAAATGTTTTTGCTGAACTCATCAACAAAATGAGCTACGTGCCTTTGTTAAGCTCACCTACTGCAACCTCAGTTATACAGGACGCGGATTCACCCAGGTCCGTGGATAAAGTTCTCTACCTACCCAACATGTCCCTTGACGCACACATCCAGGGAGTCCCATGGGTAGAAGGCAAAGGAGCTTGAGGCTAGCTCGCTGTCTCTCCTGTGTGCCCACATCTGGTCCAGAGGACACTCAAACATCCTATTCACTCAATGCATTTGCTGTGTGCCAGGAGAAGGGGTCACCTCTTTCTCATGTGGCCAGCAAGCAGCTCCCCAACCTTTCTCTCTTGCTCAGTAGAGTCCCCTGAAGGGTGTCAGACATCAATCCACTACTCACTCCCAAATCCTAGATACACACATTATGTTCTCTGAATGGTCTCACAGAAGCACCTCTCCCACTTGGCTTGAAGTGAGGGACAGACATCCCCAGACACATCCTTAGAGAAGGACTCAAAGCCTGTCATCAGCTCCTCCAAGAAATTATCCCCAAATAATCTTCTGTCTGTTGGCTTCTGACCTTTTTATATTCTGCATGGGATAGAGTATTTTAAAATTAATAAAACTGGTTTTCTGGTATCTTCTGTGAATTTTTTTCTATGCTGATACCTAATATCTACTCAATTTTAACTTTATTAGTTGAAACTCAGAATATACTAATCTTCAGTTATGTTATCATTATGTCATCTTCAGGATTAGCTATGAAAAAATTACTTCCATGAATAAAACATCTGAAAGAACAAAATCACCTAAGAAAATCATACAAAATATGGCAATTAGCTCAGGCTCCCAGCTTAGGCTTAACCTCAGCAAACTTCCAGGAGAGATGCCAATATCTATAGAAAACTGGGTTCCCCCATTATTTTCAGGAGGCTAGCTCTGTGGTGGATGAAATGCTCCTCCCACAATGATGCTGTGTTTTCTCTCTCTTAACATCTTGCGGTGTGACTGTTTGCTGCCATTTCCCCATAAACTGAAAATCTCTTGAAAACACACTTCTGTCTTATTCGTCTCTATTTCTCCAATGCTAGCAATGGTTCAACACTTAGAAGACACTAAATAGATATCAATTGAGTAGGATGGAAATATTTCTCCCTTCCCAAATTTACCTGTGATAGCATGGTCAGCCATATTGAGGGAGAGATGACTGATGGCAGCTGAAAGCACTATATATTCCAGGCCTATCTGTGAACAGATCGAAGCATTAAGGAAACAGTTGATAGTGACTTTGAAAAGTGAGTCTTTCTTGTCTTCTAAAATCATACCATGAGTGGGTTATGCCAACAAAGAAGGCTCTTCCACCTCCTGTTACATTTTATTGTGCATGTGGTCCAGGTATATCATGATTCCTTCCAGGTGCACCCCTGGAATACAACATTTATAGCATGACCTAGTCAGAGATCTGTTTGAGGCACAAATTTCCTGTTTGCCACTTACTTCTTTAAGAGCACCTCCTTCATGCTAGTGTTCTCCCTAACTTGCTCAGATGGTTGGGCTTTGCAGAGATGCACCAAAGCAAGTGGGATAAAGGAAGCCTAGGGGTCTCTTCCTAGGAAACTGAGCCATAGACTGGCAGATTTTAAGAAGCCCCAGAGAATAGAATCTATACCTGTGGACTGAGCTTCTCTTCTCCTGGAAATCAAATTGCCTTATTGTTCTGGGCACCAAGGCCTCCACTTATGCTGTGCTTTTGCAGCATTTTGCTCATCCTTAGAGCAAAGCATTTACCATGCTCTTTTACGGTGAATTCACGAATATCCATCCTTTCAAGACTCAGAGCTCCTTGCAGGGAGGAATTTTTGTCTTGTCTCAGAAATCTGAGAACCTAAAACACATAGTTTTGTTAAATGGGTGGATGTTAATGTTTGTTGGATGACAGATAGGTGGATGGATGGGTGGAAGAATGGATGGATGAATTAATCTCTTGCATGTTTACCATGTGGAAATTAGAATTACACGGTGTCTCTGGATTCTCTCAAAGCCAAACAGTGATCAGGAAGAATCTGGAAGTAATACTATTCTCTATCATTAACAGCAGCAGCAATATCTCATAACGGCATGATATATCTAAATGTACAAGGAAGAATATTTATAGTGTATGAGAAAATCTCTTTTCTAATATAAAATATATATAATAAAATATATAAAAATATATAATATATATAAAAGCTATTCAATTTTGTATTTAAAACATATTTAAGTGAATTGCCTGAATAGATGCTGATTAGAGTATCTGTCATGTTTTGCTACCAGCATCCAGCAGTTCTTCTTCAGATAACCACGCTCTGATTGTTTTCCAGAAAACCACCTTTCCCAACAGCCTCAGCCCATGTGCCTTGATTGAAGTATCACCATTGGCCAAAGCTACTCACAGTATTTATTCTTCCTGACCCTAATGCTCAATTTAAGGATAGATATCTGCTCCAATCAGAGCTAGAGAAATGGTATGAGACTTTTGCTTAGACTTCTCGGAAACTCTTTCTGCTTACCTAAACCCGAGAGAATATAAAATCTTGTTCCTCGAGAGAATATAAAATCTGGTTCCTCAGCAGCTATCTTTCTACCATAAGGAGGGCAATTTGTCTGAGAAGGTGATTACCTTAGACTAGCAAACGAAAGACAGAGAGACTGGGCAATTGTAACATTATTTAAATCTTGGAATAATGCTATATCTTAACACTACTTCTGTACTATCTTTTTCTGTGTGTGCATATTTTATAGTTATTTATGTTTATATATGATTACTCAAACAAATATATTTTTTCCTAAAGCTAAGTGGGTCAGACTTTTTTTTTTTTTTTTGCATTTGCAACCCTAAGTCCTAACAGATTAATTTCTCTTTTCAAAATTAAATGCTGGTATAAGTTTTTGCAACTCCTACTATACACATGGATAAAATCAACTTTACTATTGTGGGAAGTCCATGTATGGACTCAGGTGTTTCACAAATAATAATATGAACTTACTCATCCAGGTCCTGTGCCAGATTCTTGAAAGACAAAAATTACATTCCGTATCTCAAGGTGCTCACACTTTTAATAGGAATTAGATTTGTAAACAACTAATTATAATGCAATATATGTGAATAAAGTATTAACATAAGTAAAAATAGTGTAGCGAACACTTAAATGACAAATCAATTACTCCTGATTTTTAAGTAATATTTCTAATTTATAGTCACAAAATAAGTTAGTATGGTAAGTGGGTGGATGAGTAAGAAGGAAGATCTTTTCCATATACTGGAAGGCTTTGTATATAGGGAGCTTTTAAATGATTCTGATACTGACATCACTATTCCAGAGCAATTTAAGGCATACTCTCTGAGGGACAGGACCCAGGCTTTAGTATTTTAGAAGCTCCAGAGGTGATTCTAATTTTCAGCCAGGGTTGCCAATCACCTTTTATAGTTGCCAACGACAGCAGTGATGCTCAACCTTCTTGTGCATCCAAATCACCCTGGGCAGTTTATGAAAAATACTCATCCTCAGTCTCCACACTCAGACATTCTGATTCAGCTGGTCTAGGGTGGGAAACAGGTGTCAGGGGGTTTAAAACTCCCCAGGTGACTCTAATATTCAGCCACGATTAAAAACCACTAATTTATAAGAAACTCATCATTTTGGAGGTGCCAACAGAGTCCTATGTATCATGCTGAGTACATTTATATGCCTGATTTTTCTTTGTTCTTCTTAAAAACCTTTCAAACAGCAGCATTATACAGATAAGAAAATAGACACTCTGAAAGCAAAATAACTTGACCAATATGACCTATATAAATGACAAGAGCTGGAATTTGAACCCAGTTTTGTCTGCTTTCAAAGTCCAAATTCTTTTAACCTCAGCATTCATCTATTCGTTTATTGTTAGTCAGTCTGTTTTTCTTTCAACAAGCACTTAGTGTCTTTTAATAAGTGTGTGGCTTATGTCCCAGAATGCAAAGCATCTCCACAAAGCGGCCACCTACCTCCTTAGGAACACAGCCTTGTAGACCTAAATGTGAAAGACAAATCCCTGTTTAATGAACCAGCTTTAAGCCACCCCTAGTACCTCAGGCTGCAAATACAGTTTGGTTATTCCAGTCTCTTTGCTCTGGACACAACACAGTCCCAGTGGCTTCAAAGAGGGGCAAGCCATATTAATCATACTATGGGAAGTCACTTCCAGATCACTAACCCAAAAGGCAAGTGACATGAAATACACCTGGTCCTACTCTAGTCAAATGACTGCAGGGAGAGTGGCAGGTAGGGTTTTCTGTTGGAGAAAGAGCACCCGGGAGAGACAGAAGGGCAAAGATAGTCTTGGTGTGAGAAGCAAGATTTGCCTCCTGGCTACAAGGAAAAGCTCTCTTTGTCTTTCTTAGTCCCAAGAACAACCTGCCCTTTGTGATCAAACCTGCCAGCAATTTCTGCCTGAAGGACTGGAAAAGCCTGTCATCTCAGCAGACAAAGGAGGCCTCCAGCCCCAGAGGCAGTGCAGTCAATGAAGGGGAAGAGGACAGTTACCTTTCCTTCCACTCACCTTGATGGCCTCCTGTTACAGGTGCCTCCCTGCCATTTCAGAGATGCATGCCATCCTGCCATCTGCTCTCAGAGTGTTAGAATTCAAGGAATTCTGTGCTTATCTTGTTGTCCACACACCGAATCCTTAGCCCAGCTTGGAGCAATTTAATTCCAACCTACATTTTCAGCTTCATCACCTGCTGCTACCCACAGCTTAATGACCCTTTAGTGTAGTCACTGAAGGCCCCTTTCTTTTTGGCTTTCTCTCACAAAGTTTCTTTCCTGCTGCCGAAATTCTCTTCTCCCTTCCTTCCTCTTGGAAAACTCTCACCTACATAGTTATCTACCGTACTAGGAAGACTTCCTGCTGTACCGGTGAACAGAGTCACCTTTGTAATTTTTTATAAAACAAAATTTTCTTTACTTCTATAATTCCCCTGATACTATACTCATCTTAGGGGCTTAGAATTAAATAATCTTTACATACCTGGCTCAGTTGTGACCTCCTCCAGGAAGTCATCCTTGAGGCCCCACTTTTCAGTCTTAGCCCTCCTTCATGCTCTCATAATGCTATACTAGTAGCTCTCAAATGTTAGTGTACATCAGAATAACTCGAAGAACTTGTTAAAATGCAGGTTTTGGGGCCTCATTCCCAGTTACTGACTTAGTAGGTCTAGCATGAAGCCCAGGAATTTCCATTTCTATTACATTTTCAGTGATGTTGATGCTGCTGGCCCAGGGAACACCCTTGAGAACTACTGGTCTATATTTACTCAAACATAATTCTCTCATTGTGCTTATAATATGTGTGGCAAATTACTTATTTATGATTCCACTTGCCCCACTCACTACATCAGTCAATAAGGAAATTTCAGAAAAATATAAAGCAACACAAAAAACAATTCAGAGTATACTAATTATCTATTGTGCAATAAATGACCCCAAAACTTAGTTCAAAACAATAAATATTTATTATAGCATTATTTCTGTAAGTTAGAAATCAGGAATGGCTTTGATGGATGGTTCTGGCTCAAGATCTTTCACAAGGTTGTACTCAAGCTGTTGGAAAGGGCTGCAGCCTCATCTGAAAGCTCAACTGGGAAAGGAACCTCTTCCAAACTTACACCGGTGGTTGTTAGTAGGGCTCAATTTTCCACTGGTGGTTACCAGAAACTTCAAGTCTGTCCCACATGGACCTCTCCATCAGATGGACTAATGTGCTCAAAACATGGTAGCTGGCTTTCCCCACAGCAAGTAACCCAAAAGAGACAGTGAACACCCAAGATGGAAGTCGCAGTCATTTATAACCTAATCTTAGAAGTTATAGTTTCTGCCATGTGCAGGTGGTAAAACAAACCAACCCTAGTTCAGTGAAAGATGGGACTACACGAAGGTAAGACCATGAATGCTGGCTATCAATCACATGGGGTAGTCATAGAGAATAGAGATGACCCTTTTATGTAGGGTGTCTAGGGAAAACCTTTTTGGGGAGATGCTATGAAAACCAAAATCTAAATGAACAGAGATAGCCAACTGTATAAAGACTTAGAAGTAGAGAATTCCAGGCAGAGGAAAAGCAAAGGCTCTAAGGTAGAAATGAGCTTGGTATATTTGAAGAAGAGAAAGTGGGCTGGTAGAAGAGCCAGCAAGGAGCAGGAGGGGCAGCTGTTATTATTAACATCAAAAACTTTTTTTATTATACTTTAAGTTCTGGGATACATGTGCCAAATGTGCAGGTTTGTTACATAGGTATACATGTGCCATGGTGGCTTGCTGCACCCATCAACCCATCATCCACATTAGGTATTTCTCCTAATGCTATCCCTCCCCTTGCCCCCCACCCAACAACAGGCCCCAGTGTGTGATGTTCCCCTCCCTGTGTCCATGTGTTATCATTGTTAAACTCCCACTTATGAGTGAGAACATGCAGTGTTTGGTTTTCTGTTCCTGTGTTAGTTTGCTGAGAATGATGGTTTCAAGCTTCATCCATGTCCCTGCAAAGGACAATGAACTCATCCTTTTTTATGGCTGCATAGTATTCCATGGTGTATATGTACTACATTTTCTTTATCCAGTCTATCATTGATGGGCATTTGGGTTGGTTCCAAGTCTTTGCTATTGTGAACAGTGCTGCAAGAAACATACGTGTCCATGTGTCTTTAAAGTAGAATGATTTATAATCCTTTGGGTATATACCCAGTAATGGGATTGTTGGGTGAAATGGTATTTCTGATTCCAGATCCTTGAGGAATCGCCACGCTGTCTTCCATAATGGTTTAACTAATTTACACTCCCACCAACAGTGTAAAAGTGTTCCTATTTCTCCACATCCTCTCCAGCAGCTGCTGTTTCCTGACTTTTTAATGATTGCCATTCTAACTGGTTTGAGATGGTATTGCATTGTGGTTTTGATTTGCATTTCTCTAATGACCAGTGATGATGAGCTTTTTTTCATATGTTTGTTGGCAGCATAAATGTCTTCTCATCAAAAACATTTTTAAAGCATCTACTATGCTCAGGGTCTTATCAGCCATATAAATAAGGAAAAATACAAAATTTCTTTTTTTTTTTTTTGAGACGGAGTCTCGCTTTCACCCAGGCTGGAGTGCAGTGGTGCGATCTCGGCTCACTACAGGCTCTGCCCACTGGTTTCACGCCATTCTCCTGCCTCAGCCTCCCGAGTAGCTGGGACTACAGGCGTGGAAAAATACATCATTTCTAACTTCAAGGAACTGATCTTCCAGTTGAAGAAACCTTTCATGCTTTTTAATTAGTGCAATCAGAAAGTCTAGATAATTTAGCTTCAATACATTCCCATTACCACACCCACATTTTTTATTGTATGAGTTTCAATTATGTTTAATCAACTCAGGAGCAAGAGTTTGAGGGAAAAAAGTACCAATTAGTTGAGTAAAGCCAAGACTATGCCTTATATTTGTCAAATTTAATGAGCCAGAACCTTTCCAATCTTGGAGAATATGCAACCTGGAATCTTGAAAAAGCTGGAAGAGACTTCAGAGATCATTCCATCCTTCTGTCTTCATCTCCAGCTTGATTTTTGAAGAAGAAACTGAAACCAGTGAGCTAGAGAAACCAGCCCAAGATCTCAAAGACTGTTGGACAGCCCTCCATCCACTAATTGGGTTAATGAGCTTAATGAGAACCCGTCCCATGCAAGGTGCTCAGGGTAGCAGAGGAACAACTAAACTCCCATCTCAGGATTTCTAGGTCAGCCTGTGTTCCATGGCAGAGATAATCCAGAAGCTGCCTTAGGTGTGGGAAAGAGCAGAGAAAGGGGAAGAAAGAGGCTAGGACGCAGCCTCCAGGCTCTCCTCTGCTCAACCACAGCAGACACCTTCATCTACTTTATATGTAGGAGTTTATAAATGTCTCTGCTAAAAGAAGATTGAAAGCCACTTTATAATACCATTCTTTTTTCTTTGATAGTTAAGCCTAGAGGTCAGCAAACTTCATCTCCTAAACCCAAACTAGCCCACTGCTTTTATTTATATGACCTGTGAGCCAGAAATGGCTTTTGCATTTTCAAATGGTCAACAAAAAAATCAAAAGATAAATAATATTTTGTCACACATCAAAAAGTAGATGAAATTCAAATCTCAGTGTCCATAAGTAAAGTTTAGAACACAGCCACACCCATTTATTTAAGTATCATCTCTGGCTGTTTTTGTGCTACTGTTGCAGAGCTGGGTAGTTGTGACAGACCATCTGGCCTGCAACCTAAAATATTTACTATGTGACCTTTATAGAAATGCCTGCAACCCCTGGTACAGCCAAGGGTCCAATAGATGCCTAAATCCCTCCCTTCACATCTTCCTTCTCTTTTTATTCCTTCTGCTTCCCAGCAAAACTTCATTATATGTTGGTATTCAGAATATAGTTTACTGGGATCCACAGGTCTGCCTTTGATGCTAGTGTATTTTGGGGACACAACACTAGGGTTTCAGATTCCTGATTCAAACCATCCAAACCCCATCTGCTCTTTCTAATAACATCCTGTAGTCAGCATTGCAGAAAGAGTTTGAGTGATTACCTCCCTACTCTTATCCCCCAGCCAATGAAGCATCTGCTAATGATATGAGCTGTTCTTTCCTGTCCCTGTGGTCCATAAAAGCCTGGGTTACAGAAAGAACGAAGTCGAAGTGCATAGACAACTCCACCACCCACAGCTACTTGAGCTCCTAAATATCTCTCTAGAAGGGCAGATATGTGAAGAGGAGTCTGGCAGACACATTGCTTATTCTTGTTGAAGGTGTGGATTGCTAGCAAAAGGTTCATTGTCAGAGATAACCTAGGTCTGAGGAAGCAGAGGCCAATAGTTTTTACATGCATCAGAGTGTTAGACAATAAGATGCAGTGTAAAAGTGTTTGTTCTCACTGCTAACCAAAGACAGGCAAATTAAGACTATTAAAGTATCCTTTTCTACCCACTAAAATAATTTTAGAGAAAATTTAAGATTACAAAGCTCAGCGTTAGTAAGACTGCAGGGAAAAAGAAACACGCACACATTGGAAAAATCATTTCGGAGACCAAATTAGTAAAATAAATAAAGAGCCAATATAATCATGCCCTTTGACAAAGGAATTCTCCTGGATTCTTCTAAAGGCATAAATTAAAAACAACAACAACCACAAAAACCAAAAAAACTTGTACAAAGAAATTCATTGCAAGATATTTACAGTGTGTTATTTAAAGTAACAAAAAGTCCCCAAACTCTAAATGTTTGATAATATATTTTGATGTATTAAATTATGGTAAACTAACCCAAAGGAAATATCTTATGGTCATTAAAATGACCATGTTGTAACATATAAATTCCTTTAAAAATATTATGAAAGTAGAAAGGTAGAACAGAGAACATTGTATACATACTGCAATTAATGTAAAAATATGCATGCATCTGAATAAAAATGAGATAGGAAGTTTCTGACAGTTCTTTTCTGTTAGCCATGGGGAGAATATGGGTGAATATTTTTTTCTATTTTAACTTTCACGAAAGTTGTTGTAATAAGTAAAAGGCTTTGTTTTACTTATAAGCATATATTTTAATAAAAGAAGATGAGAAAAGAAGAATGAGTCTTCTTTATAACATTACTTTTTGGGATACTGAGAAGCAGCATTACATTTGAGAGAGCTGGGTCACAACCCACAGTGGGTACCTCTCAGGACCGTAATGCAGGGATCCAAGAGGGAAGGAAGCTGTGCTCTACCCATGAAATCTGGTAATCGTGACATCGATAGAGATGGATGCTTCTGATGG
The DNA here is from genome assembly GCF_000001405.40 of Homo sapiens. NCBI lineage: Eukaryota > Metazoa > Chordata > Mammalia > Primates > Hominidae > Homo > Homo sapiens. The sequence continues at coordinate 127,376,677 of NC_000008.11, forward strand.
GAGGCAGAGATAGGGCCACTGAGAAAGTGACTCAGCAGGGCCAGATGGTATTTATTCAAGAGCTCATTTATTTGGATCAACTAATGTATGAAATAGCAGGGATCCTGACAAGGACATGCGATACCTCATTTCCTTGAAGATTAAGGAGCTGCAAAGGAAGTATCTATCCTCCAAAGAGAGCCTAAGGAAGACAGAATGAGGCTCAGAGGTGGCCAAGCCCTGAGCAGAGCCCAGCTTCCATGAGACTGATAAAGACAGAAAGATGTTTGCCTGGAGTTATGGGTTGAACTGTATCTCCCACCCCCGCCCTCCCCTCCCCAAAAGATATGTTGAAATCTTAACCCCCAATACTTTAGAATGTGACCTTATTTGGAAATAAGGTCATTGCAGATGTAATTAGTTTAGTGAGGTTGGACGGGTGTGGGCCCCTAACCCAATACAACTGGTGTCCTTATAGGAAGAGGAGAGCACACAGAGACACACACAGGGAGAGCACCATGTGAAGACACAGATGGAGACACATACAAAGGGAGTGTCCTGTGAGAGAGAGGCACAAATGGAGGGATGCATCTAAAAGCCAAGGAACGTCAAAGATTGCTGGCCATTACCAGAAGCTAAGAAGGGTCAAAGAAGGATTTCCCTATAGGTTTCAGGAGTATGACCCTGTTGAGTGCCTGATTCTAGACTTTCCGTCTCCAGAACTGTGAAGCAATAAAATTTCTGTTGTTTTAAGCCATCTAGTTTGTAGTATGGTTTACAGATGCCCCAGCTAGGAAACAAGTATACCCTGAAAGTCTCTGTGGTCAGCGGAGTGAGTCTGAGCCAGTTGCTTTTCCTTCCTTAACTTTTGGATTGCTGCAGCTGGTTGCAACTTGGGTCTTACTGATACAGACCAAGCAGAAATAACCTAGCAACTGGATACCCAGCTTAGGCCCAAAGGAGGGTACACAAAGCAGAAGTGTGGGTTCTGAGCCAGGCACCTTCTCCCCACAGCAGCATGTAAGCATTTAATAATGGGAGGACAGGAGTAAAATGGGGGAAGCGTGGGAAGGCGAATGTGGTGCCCAGATAGTAATATGTAGTGTATGATATGTATAGTGAGTGAGGAAGCACCTGGATTCAGAGTTCCAATCTCAGTTACACCACCTAACTAGCGGTGATCCTTTAAGTTACTTAACCTCTCTGTGGCTCAGTTGTCTTATCTATAAAATGGGACTAATAATAGTTTCTCCCTCACAGGGCTATTGTGAGGGGTAAGTGACTTAATAACTATAACTTGCATAGAACGGAGCCCAGTGCATAGTGTGATAATGTTAAACATTACCTCCACCTTTCCATGTATGCCTTTACAGTTATTCTATCAACTATTCTATGATGCCAATCTTATTAAGTTATGAGTAGAGAGAGAAACTCAGGCTTAAGAGGTTAAAGGAAATAGGTTAAAGAACATACACAAAATAAAGCAGCTTGGCAATTGGAGATTCAAACTATGGCAAGAAGGAGCAAGGGAGGACAAAGCAGGAATGTGAGATGAAAGCCAGGAACTTTCTGGTAAGCAGATCAAACTGGAAGCCAGATTACCTGGCGCCATAGTGCATCCTTTGTTCAGTTCTTCACTGTCCTGATGTCCTAAGTTCTGGTTGATCTGCCATCAATTTGCTGTACAGCCTTCAGTAAGTCACTTGCATTTCTTAACTTACATCAACGTTTCTCAACCTCAGCACTGTTGATATTTCAGGTCAGGTTATTCTTTATTGTAGGGAGGTGTCCTTTGTATTGTAGAAGATTTAGTAGCATTTCTGGCCCTTGTACACTAGATACCAATAGCATCTTTCCCACATGATAATAAAAACTGTCCCCAGATACTACCAAATATCCTCCAGAAGGGAAAATTGTCCCCAGCTGAAAATTATTGACCTACATGATAGGATTAAGTTACCTGTGAAACTGCCTAATTGAGCCATTCTGGGGAGCAAATTTGATAAATACGTTTTTAATCTTTAAAAAAACACAAAGTATTGCTAATATAAGATATTGTAAGACACATAAAATATTATTTGTTAGATGTCACTTACCACATGCAAAAAAATGGGTAACAGCTTTCTCCTTTCAAAAAAATTACAACCAAGGAGGGAAGGAAAGAAAAGTATGAATGCAATGAGCATTGTTGAGGCCAAAAGGCTTAGGAAGAAATTACCCTCAACTGAGTCAATAAGGGGATTTTATAAAGGAAATAGGACATGAGCCACTTATTGAAGGATGGGAACGATTTCTGCAGACAGAAATGAAATCTCCCTTAGAGACAGGGAGATACATACAAAGTTATCACACATCAGGAGCCAAGTGAGAAACCAAGAAGAGACTAAGCTGATGAGGACTCCTGAAATAACTTGTTTTTTCCTCTTCCTAGAAGGCCTTTCCCACTTTCACAAACCCAATCATCCTCGTCCTTCAAGGCTCAGTTCAGATGCTACCTCCTCCAAGAAGCCTTTTCTGAACTCCCAAATTTGGCAAGATACCGCTTTGCATTGTTCCTCTTTGCTCCCAGTAATAACCCCCATTAGTTTCTCTTATAGGGCTGCCATTGGCAGTAGGGTGGGTTGGTTCTTCATTGAGTAATTGGATTGTTTTATGCACTGTAGAAAGTTAAGTATTCTTAACTTTCACTCCCTAAATATCAATGATATTCCTTATCATCGTGATGACCAAAAATCTCCATGACACTATCCCAAATATCTCTAAGTAGCAATAAAAACCATATCGCAGTGAAAACTACATCTTAATACTTAATATATTTTGCCTGAAACCATGCGCCTGTCTCCTCCTGTCGACAGTAAGCCCCTGGAGGACAGATTGTTAATCTCAATCATATCTGCATCACTAGGACCTACTCCAGTTCCTAGTTTACAACTGGTATTTGATAAATATTCAGTGATCTATCAAAGCCTAGATTTTATCTAGGGGAAAATTGTGAATTCAGAATTGGAACATAAATTGGGGCCAGATTGTAAACAACTTTGAATATGCTAAGAAACATTAGTTTTATTCTATTAGGTGAAATCATATGAAGTTATCATTTTTGTAAGTCAAAATGGTCGATTTTCAGCAGCTGCATATAACCTTTCCTAATGTAAGCCAGTATAATTTTTTAAAAATTGAACAGAACCAAAGACAAAAACCACATGATTATCTCAATAGATGCAGAAAAAGCCTTTGACAAAATTCAACAACCCTTCATGCTAAAAACTCTCAATAAATTAGGTATTGATGGGACGTATTTCAAAATAATAAGAGCTATCTATGACAAACCCACAGCCAATATCATACTGAATGGGCAAAAACTGGAAGCATTCCCTTTGAAAACTGGCACAAGACAGGGATGCCCTCTCTCACCACTCCTATTCAACATAGTGTTGGAAGTTCTGGCCAGGGCAATTAGGCAGGAGAAGGAAATAAAGGGTATTCAATTAGGAAAAGAGGAAGTCAAATTGTCCCTGTTTGCAGATGACATGATTGTATATCTAGAAAACCCCATTGTCTCAGCCCAAAATCTCCTTAAGCTGATAAGCAACTTCAGCAAAGTCTCAGGATACAAAATCAATGTACAAAAATCACAAGCATTCTTATACACCAACAACAGACAAACAGAGAGCCAAATCATGAGTGAACTCCCATTCACAATTGCTTCAAAGAGAATAAAATACCTAGGAATCCAACTTACAAGGGATGTGAAGGACCTCTTCAAGGTGAACTACAAACCACTGCTCAAGGAAATAAAAGAGGATACAAACAAATGGAAGAACATTCCATGCTCATGGGTAGGAAGAATCAATAGCGTGAAAATGGCCATACTGCCCAAGGTAATTTACAGATTCAATGCCATCCCCATCAAGCTACCAATGACTTTCTTCACAGAATTGGAAAAAACTACTTTAAAGTTCATATGGAACCAAAAAAGAGCCTGCATCGCCAAGTCAATCCTAAGCCAAAAGAACAAAGCTGGAGGCATCACACTACCTGACTTCAAACTTTACTACAAGGCTACAGTAACCAAAACAGCATGGTACTGGTACCAAAACAGAGATATAGATCAATGGAACAGAACAGAGCCCTCAGAAATAACACCGCATACCTACAACTGTCTGATCTTTGACAAACCTGAGAAAAACAAGAAATGGGGAAAGGATTCCCTATTTAATAAATGGTGCTGGGAAAACTGGCTAGCCATATGTAGAAAGCTGAAACTGGATCCCTTCCTTACACCTTATACAAAAATCAATTCAAGATGGATTAAAGACTTAAACGTTAGACCTAAAACCATAAAAACCCTAGAAGAAAACCTAGGCATTACCACTCAGGACATAGGCATGGGCAAGGACTTCATGTCCAAAACACCAAAAGCAATGGCAACAAAAGACAAAATTGACAAATGGGATCTAATTAAACTAAAGAGCTTCTGCACAGCAAAAGAAACTACCATCAGAGTGAACAGGCAACCTACAAAATGGGAGAAAATTTTCACAACCTACTCATCTGACAAAGGGCTAATATCCAGAATCTACAATGAACTCAAACAAATTTACAAGAAAAAAACAAACAACCCCATCAAAAAGTGGGCGAAGGACATGAACAGACACTTCTCAAAAGAAGACATTTATGCAGCCAAAGAACACATGAAAAAATGCTCATCATCACTGGCCATCAGAGAAATGCAAATCAAAACCACAATGAGATACCATCTCACACCAGTTAGAATGGCAATCATTAAAAAGTCAGGAAACAACAGGTGCTGGAGAGGATGTGGAGAAATAGGAACACTTTTACACTGTTGGTGGGACTGTAAACTAGTTCAACCATTGTGGAAGTCAGTGTGGCGATTCCTCAGGGATCTAGAACTAGAAATACCATTTGACCCAGCCATCCCATTACTGGGTATATACCCAAATGACTATAAATCATGCTGCTATAAAGACACATGCACACGTATGTTTATTGCGGCATTATTCACAATAGCAAAGACTTGGAACCAACCCAAATGTCCAACAATGATAGACTGGATTAAGAAAATGTGGCACATATACACCATGGAATACTATGCAGCCATAAAAAATGATGAGTTCATGTCCTTTGTAGGGACATGGATGAAATTGGAAATCATCATTCTCAGTAAACTATCCCAAGGACAAAAAACCAAACACCGCATATTCTCACTCATAGGTGGGAATTGAACAATGAGATCACATGGACACAGGAAAGGGAATATCACAATCTGGGGACTGTGGTGGGGTGGGGGGAGAGGGGAGGGATAGCATTGGGAGATATACCTAATGCTAGATGACGAGTTAGTGGGTGCAGTGCACCAGCATGACACATGTATACATATGTAACTAACCTGCACAATGTGCACATGTACCCTAAAACCTAAAGTATAATAAAAAAAAGAAAAGAAAAAAAAAAAAAAAAATTGAAACATTTTTCTGGCTTAAATACCTACCTTTGGTCTTATCCTAATTAGGCACCAATATTCATGCAATAATAGATTATATGCAGTAATTTTTTAATTAAAACATTAAAATAATTTTGATCCTTAACAATTAATGATCATTTACTCACCCCGTAACAATATATTATGTGCTACAAGTAGAGACAGGTACTGCTGTAGGAAACTGTGCCGTAAGCAATGGGGATGGATCCACTGCAGTCTGAGGATAATAGTGTAATAATGAAATAAGGGAGGGGAGTGTTTTTAAAAGAAGGGGGAAGAAGAGAGGAGGAAGAAACTACAGAGAAGAAGGAAAACGTGGAGAAAAAAGAGAAGGAAAAAGAGAAGGAAAAATAACAACAAAGTAGGAAGAGAAAAGAGAAGAAACAGAGGGAAGAAAAGGCAGTAGGAGATGATTACTATGAGCTCAAATTTGTTTCTCCCTTTGTTCCCAAGTTCCACTCCAATGCTGCAGTACAATCAGCTCAGAGCCTGATTATCATGGCTGACATAGCCTAGCGCCTGCTTATTTTTAGATGAAATTAATCATTTTCATGTGTTATTTTTGGTTTAGATAATAGCTCGAGTACACAGCAGCTTCTTCATTAGCTGCCAACAAGAATGTAAACAAGGTTGCATCTCTCCTTGGCAGGTTCTATATTCAGCTCTGCCATGAAGAAGCTGCGTTCCTACAGAAACTGAGAAACTGCTTCTCCTGCAGCCCGTGAGAGATTGCAGAGAGGGGCTTAGGCAGTCATAAGAGTAGCTGGATGGAAGGGAGCTGGAACTGCTTTGATTCCAATGCTCTCTTTGTTCAGTTTCTTTTAAGTCAGGAACTATTTGTCAGTATTATTGGCATTTGCACTGGATCATTCTTTGTTGGGGCCGGGGGCACTTTCCTGCACTTTGCAGATGTTTAGCAGCCTCTAGACAATAGATGCCAATAACATCCCCACCCTCACCCAAAAATGTCTCCAGACATGGACAAATGCCCCCTGGGGAGATACTCCAAGACACCCCCAGTTGAGAGCCACTGATTTCAATCAATAAAATGAAACCGTAATCGAGTAACCCAAATTACGGTGGAACAGACTCCCAACCACTTTACTGCAGAAATTAAAATTTCCAGGGCTGTCTTGTATATGTGAAAGAACAGAATGCTCATATTTGTCTCCTCCTGCCTCCGGGTCACTACTGGGTATCCTTGAGAGACAACTGCTCCAGTGGGCACAGACTCCAAGCTTTCCACTGGTAGCCACAGCTGGTACTGCCCTGTCTGGCCTTGGAAGATTCCTCAGCTCACTCCTTCCTTGCTTCATACCAGGCATGCACCATGTCTTCCTCTTTAACTCCACACAGCAGAAGAGAGAACCAAATGTAATTGTTTCTTAAGTTTTTTTTTAAAGGCTCAGGGACACTAACAACAGGATAACCATGATCTCTACTCTGGCCTTCCCTGGCCAGCGCTGGGCTGGCTTGTCATCGCACTCCTAGCTTCTCTCCATGGGGCCAGACATAGCATGCTCTTTCCACTGAAATCTGTCTAGTTAAATCCATTGCATTTAAACGCAGCCAAACCATGACTGCTCCTTGCACCCAATACCCACAAAAGAAGGCATTTTTCTCAGAGTCCAGAATCACACTCACTTCCCAAGTCCTCACTTGCCACTCCAGGACTCACCTCCTCCCAGGATGACTGCAAATTGGAATATACATAAATTTCTGCTCTTATCCACAGGAGTGTATCTCAATGTTGCATTTTCAGAAAGATAATCACCCAATAGGCTGATATTAGTGCCCCCCCCCCCCGAAACTGGGCACATGGGACACAAATTACTCAGAAAAAGTCCATTTTTCCTTAGTTTCTCCTCATCAAGCCCAAAGGGAAACATCTGAAGACAACTCTATAAGCCAATGATCATATTAAAACATGAAGAAGTTTCATCAAAACCTAGAGAAAAGCACAAAGCCAAGGCCAAGACAGGAAAGAAGAATTGGTGGCAGAGGTGAGACAGTAGGGGGAATAACAAAAACAGCCCAGGAGTCAGCCAGATAAAGTTCACAGGGAGCTGGGCAGGAGGGGAACCGCAAGGTGATTTTCAAAGCAAGTGCCCCCCATGGTGGAAAACAGCTTTGGGAGGCCAAGGTGGGCAGATCACGAGGTGAGGAGATTGAGACCATCCTGGCTAACATGGTAAAAACCCATCTCTACTAAAAATACAAGAAATTAGAGGGCATGGTGGCATGCGCCTGTAGTCCCAGCTACTCGGGAGGCTGAGGCAGGAGAATCACTTGAACCCAGGAGGCAGAGCTTGCAGTGAGCCGAGATTGTGCCACCGCACTCCAGCCTGGGCAACAGAGCGAGACTCCGTCTCAAAAAAAAAAAAAAAAAGAAAGAAAGATACAAAGATACAATACAGATTTTCAAGGATGTCAAGGATGAACAGTGCTGAGAGATCAGACTTAGGCCAGGTCAGAGTCTGATCTAAGAAGACTAGAGGAGACCAGGATCTGATGACTTGATTTTAGAAGATGATCCCAATGTTCCTGGCTGGGCTGCCCTACGATGGTCCCTCTGACAGCTGGCTACTCCGGAAATGTGCCAGCCATACTACCCTTTAAAAATAAGTACCAACTCCCATTTTCTGTTAAAAAGTTACTCTTAATTTTCCTAACCATAAGGATGGAAAAAAGAAGAACATTGTTTTCTTGTATTGATTAGGCCAGAGTGAAATGAGAGCTTACTATGAGCACTAAGGTGAAGGCTGGCTGGCATCACCCTGATCCCCAGGCAGCTTGTTCCCTTGGGACGCCTCTTCAATGACCCTGGGTGTGATTTTAGGACCTACACTCACCCCTGACTTACAGACACAAACGCACACACACTCAGGCATTCAGGCTAAGTGTTATAGACTAAGGGTTTGTGTCCCCTGAAGTTCGTATGTTGAAATCCTAACCTTCAAAGTGATGGTGTTAGGAGATGAGGCCTTTGGAAGACGATTGGGTCATGAGGCTGGAGCCCTCATGAATGGGATTAATGCCCTTAAAGAAGAGGCCCCATGAGAGCTCTCTAGTTCTCCACCCTGCAGAGACAGTGAGAAGTCATCAATCCGCAACCTGAAAGGGTCCCTTACCAGAACTTGCTCATGCTGGTACCCTGATCTTGGATTATCAGCCTCCATAACTGTGACCAATAATAGTTTATTGTTTGCTGGGCGCGGTGGCTCATGCCTGTAATCCAGCACTTTGGGAGGCCAAGGCGGGCGGATCACGAGGTCAGGAGATCGAGACTGTCCTGGCTAACACGGTGAAATCCCGTCTCTACTAAAAATACAAAAAATAGCCAGGCATGGTGGCGGGCGCCTGTAGTCCCAGCTACTGGGGAGGCTGAGGCAGGAGAATGGCGTGAACCCGGGAGGCAGAGCTTGCAGTGAGCCGAGATCGTGCCACTGCACTCCAGCCTGGGCGACAGAGCAAGACTCCGTCACACAAAAAAAGTGTATTGTTTAAGGCACACAATTGATGGTAATTTGGTATGTCAGCCCAAAATGACTAAAACACCAAGTCAAGGAATTTCTACTTTCCCAGTTTAGACTACTAGTTTCCACCTTCTCTGTCCGGTACTGAACGTGAATAAAATATCAAGGGGGAGAGAGCTGCTAATTTTCCTCTGGGACACTTATCCAGTGCTGATGCTGCTGTCTCCTCCTAGCCACAGCCTTGTGGTTGGTGGTGGTTTTCAGGTAGAATTTCCTAATCCAGATCCAAATATCAGATACAGATAACAGCTTTAAATAGAATCTAAAAGAAAAGTCAGATTGGGCTATCCCAGTAAGCTTGCCAGTAGAAATAGTGACTCTCACATACTGAAGGCATTCCCTGCAGAAGTAATGATCACCATTAGGTTGGGAAGGATGGCTGTTTCTACATGTGCCAGGAGTTTTTCCTTCATAGGATGGGCTGTTACTCAAGATTCTGTAAGTTTCAAACAATAGAAACACAACGAGAATTAGTTTATGCAAAAAGACAGGAACTTACCAGTTCCTATAAAACACAGAATGTGGAGAGATGGGTCTAAGCTGTATGATGGGTTTCTGCCAGAGCAAAAAACCTATCAGGGCTTTCTGTCCTTTCATTTCTCAGCTATGCTTCTATTGATGTGCTGACTTCATCACCTTCTATTGAGATAGGCATCTTCCATGCAACACAGACCATGCCAGAGGCTGATCTAGAAGCACATTCTAAGGTAGAGATGAACACATCTCCTCCTTCAGCTCCTATTTGAAACCATAGAGAGAGATGCTGATTGGCCTGGTTTAGGCCATGTGCTCATCCCTGGACAAATCAGAAAAGCCCAGAGTATAGGGCATTATAATTGGCCCAGGCTGAATGGAGCCGTTTAGATCTACAGTGAGAAAGGCAGAAGCAATCCTTACCTATTAGTATATATGAACAGTTACCGCTCCTATCGAAGCCAGGTACTGTATCCTCTCTTATATACTCAAAGGTTTTGCATTTCGAATAATCTCATAGGTCTCGTATCAATCGTTCCTCCCTCTTATTAGTGTACATATAGGTGCATACGTCTGAATGTTTGGAAAGGCAGGGGAAAAAATCAGTATCTCCTACTACAGATAAGATCAATAAAGCCCCTTTAAATCTAAGCGAAATTTTCAAGTTTCAAAATAGACTTCTAACTTTTCTAATTTTGTGTTACATAATTTTTACCTGTTAAATCAGCGATTTTTCCCTCTTGTTAGATCATTCTAATTAAAATATAAATATACTGATATATAAATATATCCTTCTATCTTAAAAGAAAAAAAAAAACTTCCTTAACCTCATGCCCCCCTTCAACAACTGCCTTAGTTTTTTCTCTTTACAAACAAAGTTATTGAGGGTTGACTATGCTGTTTCCAACTCTTCACCTCTCTTTCTCTCTTTAACCTGCTTTTATCAGATTTTGTCTCCACCACATCAATAAAACTACTTTTGTGAAGCTCATCAACATCCTCCATCTGGCCCAATCCAATGGGCCCCAGTTGACTGACTTCTAAGCCTTATTTGACAATTGTGCACACCTCCCTTTCTGAAACATTTTTTTCATTTGGCTCTGTGACCACACATTCTTCTAGTTCTGCTTTTGCCTGCCTGGCTACTCCTTCAGAATCTCCTTGGCTGGGTCCTCCTCTTGTTCACAACTTTTAAATGTAGTAATGTGCTTGGCTTATACGCACTCTGCACTCTCTCTGGGGAAACACATCCATGGCTTTAAATAAAATCCGTGTGCTGACTACTCTAGTTGAGAACTCTCCCTTGATTATCAGGCTTGTGTTTCCAGCTGTTTATTGAATGCCTTCATTAGCATGCCTAGTGATCTTAAATTTACTAAGGCCAGAGCAGAACTTTCCCACCTCCACTTCACATTTGCTTCTCTCCAATCTACTCAATCTCCTTTAATAATAGTACTATTCACTCAGTTGCCCAGCCATCAGCAAGTACTATTGATTCTGCCTCCAAGATACATTTTGAGTAGCAGCATTTTTGGCAACCTCCACTGCTACCAGCTGGTGCATGTTACCACCAGATTTCTCCTGGACCACTGCAAGAGCCTCCTAGCCATCTCCCTGCTTCACCTCTTTCTCCTTGACAGTTCATTCTCCATCCAGCCACAAGAGTGATCTTCTGGAAACACATTTAAATCATGTTTCTCTCTTGCTTAATATTGAACAAGCTCTCCACAGTATATTCTGAATTATATTTATCCATGCTTTTATTCCCTTTTACTTCTCCATTCTTTCCTCTCTGGCATTTTTTCTGTTCCTCCTCCATACCAAGCTTATTCCCTTTTCGGGACCTCTGTTCTGTTTATTCTTTTTAAAAAGTGTGTCCTGTACCACAGTTCTTTACCCAGCTGTCTTTTTTGCCATTCAAATGTCACTTCTTAGAGAACCTTTCTTCAGCAATTCTTTGTACAACCGGAACACTTAGCTGGTACCTCAGGAAATCTTTATCCCATAACCATATTTTATTTCCTCGGTAGCACTCTTTTAAATGATGCCATTTATTTATGTAAATATATTTGTGCTTTTCATCTTCCCCCCCACTGGAGTGTGAACAGGTACCATATCTGTCTTATTCCTTTGGTTTCAACTCATTTGCCTGTGTGTCCACAACTCTTTGATCAATATCTGGCAATAGTAAATTCTAAATAATGCGAAAGAATAAACTTGTGTCTCCCATTGCCCTTTTCATAGTAGATGTACAATAAGTTCTTAAGAAATAGTTGAATAGATAGGATGGTGGGTGGAAGAGTGGCTGGCTGGCTGGCCGGTTGTGTGGACAGAGGTAAATATGCAAAATCAACCAATTTAATATCTCCCCATTACTTGCAAATATAGGATAGTGAGCAGGTTATTTAAGTAATCTATAGCTGCATTAACAACCCGCCCAAAATGTCATAGCTTAGAAAAGTAGTTGATTCTGTCTCATAATTCCAGAAGTTCATTGGGTGATTCTTCGGGTCCACATGGTATTGGCTGGAATGCTGACATGGCTACAGTCATCCAAGGGCTAGGTTGAACAGAAACATTCAAAATGGCTCATTCATGTGGCTGTTGTGGCAGAGTTCAGCTGTTCATCTGGGACTGTCAACCAGAAAAACTACACATGTCATCTCCATGTCACTTGGGTTTCTCCTGGCATGGCAGGTGGGTTCCGAGGCTTCCCAGAAGTGAGTGTTCTAAGAGATTCAGGCAGACACTGTAAGACTTGTTATGACCTAGCCTTGAAAGTCCCAGGACGTCATTTCTGCCACATTCTATTAAACAATCACTACTGTCAGCCTAGATGTAAGACTCCACCTCTTGAAGTGAGCAGTGTTGGTGAAGCCATCTTGGAAACTGTCTACCATACCTGTAAAGAGACAGCCCACTGGGTTCTGCAGGGAAATCACATTTATAGATTTTGATTCTTCTGTTCTTTTTATTGAAACCACTTTGGGAATATGCATCTATGTGTTTTACTTTCAGCAGATCAGATCTTACTAATCACAACCGAGTAAAGTAACAGACTTTCATAACTCCAGCCTTCATAATTCAGTAGCTGCATATTCATTATCTGAAAACTCACTCTTCAGAATTCCTTGCATCTTTTTGGTTCCAAAAATACAATCTTGTTTCACTTTCTTTAAAGTAGTCTGTGTATTCTAATCAGGGTTCTCTGTTTTTTCCATCGCTATGTTCCTGCCACCTGTTCCCTTTCCGCAACCAAATTTCCTTCTCTTTAGCGCAGATAGGCTGATACAGAAAGAAAAGTCAGTTTTAAAATTAAGAGCTAGAAAACAAGATCTGCACAATCAAATGAAGACATAGTCAAGGCAAAATATTAAGAGTTGAACTATTAAATTAGTGATTGGGTTCTGTTCAGTTAGGATGCTACTGTCTTCCCTTTCAGTGTTTCTCACATAAGTATCATACATGGAGTGACAACAAACAAAAGCGCAGAACATCCTGCACTTCACCCCTGACGTACAAATCAGAAGCTTAAGGGGCATAGCTGGACCCCTGCATATATGTTTTTTTTTTATCATACTTTAAGTTCTAGGGTACATGTGCATAAAGTGCAGGTTTGTTACATATGTATACATGTGCCATGTTGGTGTGCTGCACCCATTAACTGGTCATTTACATTAGGTATATCTCCTAATGCTATTCCTCCCCCCTCCCCCCACCCCACAACAGGCCCCTGTGCGTGATGTTCCCCTTCCTGTGTCCAAGTGTTCTCATGTTCAATTCCCACCTATGAGTGAGAACAGACCCCTGCATATATGTTAAAGATCCACCTAGGTGACTCTGATGTTCTGTCGGCATGCATTCCTTCTTCTAGGTATCAAGATACCACATTGCAAAGGAAAACCTAGCTCTTTTGCAATTTTGGTTTATCTCATTAGCACACTTACTATTTTCCCATTGAAGCAGTGACTGGAACTATTGGTTATGTTTCCCAGTGTGTTTTATATCTCAGTTTCTGGATGAACATATTTGTACAATTATAAAGAAAAAGTAAGAAGAGAGCTTTCAATATGTGAAGATTCACTTCCCAGGCATCTTTTCAACATTGATCCTAATCTGCAAAAGACATTGACCTCACAAGAAACAATTGCAATCAGGTTCTCACTGAGCTGAGTTTCTTCAAGTACACCCCTGTAAGTGGGCCACAGCTGCAGCCAGCAGATTTTGCACTTCTCTTGTTCCTGCTGAGGATGAAATGTGCTGAAGCCAATAACCTGGTGAATAATTCATTTTTCCAAGAAACAATTGCTAAGCCTCAGAATTGCTTTTTACCCAGACAGAGAGCAAATTATTTAACCAATAATAATACTTTCTGTATGTATAGAATCTTGTAATTTTTAAAATCATTCTCCTAACAATAAGGATAATGACCATAGCTAATATTTATCAAAAGCTTATCATGTGCCAAGTTTTGTGCTATGTCCTTCAACATAGATCATCTCATTTAATTTTTGCAACATTCTGAGACAGGTATTGCCATTTTTATCTCTCTTTTTCAGAGGAAGAAACTGAGGCTTATGAAGGTTAAGTAACTTTCCCAAGTCCACACAGCATTTAAATCCACATCACAGCCATCATGCTAGACTGCATCCCATTTCTTTATTGATCAGTAGACAGATAGAAGCAGACATATAGACTCATTTGATAATTATGAAAACCCTGGGTGACAAAAAGTATCACATATTAGGGCTACCAAATCAGATAAGAAAATTTAGGCTACAGATTTAAAACAACCTGTTCAAGTAACACATTAGCAAGGCAAAATCAGTTTTCTGATCTGAGTCCTGTGGTCCTCCCATAGCCCTGGGGCAACTCTAACAGAATCAAAAAGATTTATTTAATTTTTGCCTTGCAGTGTGCATGGGAGTGTGTCAGGGGAAAGGGACCGGATACGGCAGTGTACCGAGCCCTACGATGACATTTTCAGCCAAGAAGAAGAAGAATGCTTCATCAAATCTCCCATCAGCCCAAGACTAGATTGTACCAAGATTTTGCAATATGAACATAATGTTCTCTACTGTCCAGGATCTAATCCTTTTCCATCGGGGAACACATTTGCAAACAATGACTCCTAACTGATGAGGAACAGGATCCAACTGTTACTCCACAAACTAGGACCTTTACACCACATTGGAGGCAATAGCCCTGAGGTTAAAGGGCCGTTCCGTGTCTAACCACTGAAGCTCTTGCTTGAAGGAAGGTTTCCCAAAATGAACCCCCAAAGAAACTGAAAATGGCATGAACGTACATCCTGTTACTCAACACTCCCCGAGTTTCATAACGTGAAGTCAGGAAGAAAAGGTGCCAACATTCCTGAATGTTATTATCATTAAGGAGCAAACTCTTAATGTTCCCACACTTGAACGTTAAAGAGATGGGATCATTCAGTCTCCTCTTTACTTATGGAATTGCTGCAAAACCATATGGGCTGAATTAGGCATCCAAGGCTAATGTTTCCTACCATTCCCTCTGGGGGGCCTTTGGGGCTCATCCCAGGCACTTGGCTTTAAAGACAAGGATATCCTATTTGGAAACACAGTCATGAGCCCTGATATTAATAAGCACTTCCTGACTTCAAAGCATCTTTATAACCATTGCCCTAATTAAATCTCGTAACCTCCCAGAGAGAATGCAGGCTTCATCATTTCCACTTTACAAATGGAGAAACTGAGGCAGAGCCCTATGGAATATGAAACCGTATCCCACCTGATTGAGGAACCACTGGAGATTTTAATCAGTTTCAGATTAAATTACAATGTTAAAGTTTTAATTTTTTATTTTACCATTTGGTGAGATTAAAACAAGGCATTTAATTGTGTATTCTGATGGTTAAAACCACCAGACCTGGTTGTGTGGCCTTGGCATAGGGATCAAACTTCTCTAAACTTTAATTTCCTCATTGGGAAAAATGAAAATAATAACAGAGTCTACCATAATGTTTTTCAGGTTAAATAATGTATGTTAAGTTTCTGGCATGCAAATAAGCACTCAATAAATTGTAGCAGTTTAAGTCAGCTTATTTTCCTTCAGCTACCCATTCATTCCTTCATTCACTCGTTTCCTAGTATTTATTACAGCCCATTGAGTGCTGAAGGCTGTGCAGTCCACAAAGGATACAGCAGCGAACAAAGCAGAAAAGGGACTATTTCCTACATATGGAATATATCTTATTTATGATTATAAATTAATTCACACAAAATGTGGGTTATTCCCTATTGATTTTGAACTGATCTCACCACTTACTTATAAGGTCTCTTTGATTGTTCTTTCAGCTGAACCATCACATTCCTTATACAGAGTGGGACAGCATTGGCTGAGTTCTACTAGCAAATGCCGGAGATGTGGTTCCTGTTGGCCTTTTAACTGATGTGATGAAATAAAGTCTTCCATAATTTGACAACTAGTTTATAAGTGGCAGAGTTTGAATTTTTGTCTCAATGTATGCAGTTGTGGGAATCTGTATTAGATTTCTGTTGCTTGCAGGCACTGTACTGGGCACTGTGGTGAGAAGGAGTGGCAGGAGGAAAGGCTTAGCCAATGTGGTAAGGCTAACTGAGGCCCTACAGGATCCATAGCATTTTTAAAAGAAATAGTATCAGTAAAAATGTCATTCCAGGGGAGGGCACAGGATGAGCAAACCCATGGAGGTTCTGTTCTCTGGAGCTTCTTGCCTGGGGACCTCAATGGTCTCAGCTACTCCAAATTGTCTTCTGCACTCTTCTAATTATATTTATATGTATTTATATAATGTTTGTGTGCATACGTGTATATATGTGTGTCTAAAATATACATATATATTTTTTCATCAAACAAATGCTTGTTGAATAGTAACTAAAAAAGGCATTTATTGAGCTTTTATTCTAGGTCAGAAATGCTGAAGGATGCCCTGACATGTATTAGTACATTTAATCATCCTGAGATTCCTATGTATATAATTATTTTTCTCATTTTACAGAGAAGGAAACAGATGTTTGGAGATATGAAAATTTTGCTTGTGGTTTATAAGTGGCAGAGTTGGAATTTAAAGCCAGTTGTGGTCACTGTATTCAAACGATCATCATAACAGAAAGGATGAAAGGGAAGGAGGGAAGAAGGGATATAGGAAATGAGGAAAGGAGAGAGGGAGGGAACAATTTAAAAACCATTCAGGCTGGGCACGGTGGCTCATGCCTGTAATCCCAGCACTTGGGGAGGCCGAGGCGGGTGGATCATCTGAGGTCAGGAGTTCGAGGCCAGCCTGGCCAACAGGGTGAAACCCTGTCTCTAGTAAAAATACAAAAATTAGCTGGGCATGGTGGCAGACGCCTGTAATCCCAGCTACTTGGGAGGCTGAGGCAGGAGAATCACTTGAACCCGGGAGGCGGAGGTTGCAGTGAGCCAAGATGGTACCACTGCACTCCAGCCTGGGTAACGGTGAGATTCCATCTCAAAAAACAAAAAACATTCAGCAACACTAATGGATGGCAAAAATGAGCTACACAATTCATATCCACATTTTAAGGCCCAAGAATTTAGTGTTTGGGCCCACTGAGAGAAGATGGGGAGACACATATCAAGAGAAGCTATGTGATGAGAGACGAAGGAGGCGGTGTAGGTAAAGATGGAAGTGTAGCCTCAGTCCTGCAAGCCTCACTCAGAAGAGCACCATAAGCTGCATAGCAATGGCAGCAGCAATTATTTTCCACAGGAGAACAGACATACAACTGACACCTCTCAGCACCCAGTGGCCAGGCAGAGCCTTCGATATGTCAGTCCAAGCCAAGGAGTCATCTCTGTCCAGCCAAATCTTTTCATCCTTCAAGATCTAAATGAAGTTTCTCTTCTCTGAAGAAGTCTTGTTTTAATTCAATATTTGCAGAAAAGCAACTTCCAAAAAATCTTTCATGAAAATACCAAGCCCCCAATACCCTCTCCTTTGTCTGAAGCCCTTGTAAATAAAAAAGTTATAAAATTGACAATAAGTAATATTTACTAACTGTACACGAGGTTCTAGGCATGTTTTCATTATTTAGGCATCACATTTTAAATAACTGCAATGATCTTTGGAATAAGTTGCTTTTTATTCCCGTTTTACAGAGGCCATAATGGTTAAGTAATTTCCCAATGTCACTTCACACTCAAGTGGAAGAGCAAGGTGGCCAACCCAAAGCCCACGTTTCTTCTCCTATAGAAGTCTTCCTCGTGGCTGACTGCTTGAAAATTTAGCCAGGTGTTAAAGGATCAAGACTGGAAGTGACTGGTGAACCATTTGCAGTGGTTCCAAAGGAGCCCTGCAATGGAAAAGAAAGGAGAGAGAGAAACTCCATGTGTGGAAGCTTGATCTCCTTTGAAAAGAGCTCAGCTTAAAGGATGATATCATGGGGACTGTCAACAGGAATCAGAGATGCATAT
The DNA here is from genome assembly GCF_000001405.40 of Homo sapiens. NCBI lineage: Eukaryota > Metazoa > Chordata > Mammalia > Primates > Hominidae > Homo > Homo sapiens. Next base: position 127,394,623 of record NC_000008.11, read on the forward strand.
CCAAGGGCAGAATCTAATTTCAATTCCAGGACGTTTCATGAAACAGAATGCAAAGCAACAATTATCTGCTAAATGGAAAATTAAAGGCATAAATAAAGTCAAAGCTCAAACCAGTGAGGCAAAAATCACACGGGCTCCAATTTCCTTTTGCTGCTTGTAGCTGCAAGTTTGAAAGGAAGGACACATGGGGATAGTAAAAATATGAGAGCAATGGACCACGTTTAATCGATAGTGAAGGCTCTGATCCCACAAATGCTCCCCTTCCCACTATTAGCCCTTCCCCACCTACTGCCAAAACCCAGCAAGCTGAATGGAGCAAGACATCTGAGAAAGAGGCCCCTGTTCTCTCCATAGGAACTTCACTTTCCTATAAATGTGCTCCAGCACTGAGTAAGTTCTGGTAAAAAAGAGCTTTATTTCCCCAGACTCCTTGTTCCTCCACTTCTGCCAAAATACATTTCTTAAGTATTCCAACCTGAAACACACACATGCACACACATACACACACATATGCTGCCAATTTCTTGGTATTTTGTCAATACTGACTTTGCCCCTTTTCTAAATCTTCATCTCCAATTAAGGCTTCCTGTTTGATAGACAAGTGGTGACACATGACACAGAATAAGCCCAGTGGAAGACTTTGTTTCCCACGGGTCCATATGTAAGACACTGGGTCAAGTGTCAAATGCTTTGGGCCATGATTTACAACCAATGCTTGTGACTTCCACCCCTCCCTCACCCTCTGTCTTCCCTGCTCTCCTTTAAATTCTTCCCCACAAGTGTGTTTCCAATCTTTTCCCTCCTCTTGATCCCCACTGCCTCTTTTACTTGGACCACTGCAAAGTTCACCACTTCAATTCCACTCTCAAAACAGCTGCAACAATGACTTTTCTAATCCATAAATCTGATTATATTTTTCCTTTGTTCAGAAAACACAATGGGCTCCCATTGCCTACAAGATAAAGACCACCCTCTATGGCCATGCCTACCAGGACCTTCATCAATAATCCCCCTTAACCTCCTCCACCACTGATGTCATTCATTTATCTTTTCACTCATTCATTCAAAACCATGAAGCATCCACTGTGTGCCAGCCATCATTCTGGACGCACAGCCAAACTAAACTTCTCTTTCCCAAACACTTCCTGCCCTCTTACAACACTGCCTTCTCACAGCGTTCTCTTTGCCAGAAACGCTTCTATTCCTCTTCTATCAAACTCTCATTCACCTTTCCAGATTCAGCCTCCTCGGTGTGTCCTCTGTGAAGCTTTGCCTAAGACAGACACACGCATGCACACACATGTTCCAAGCAGGTTCTGTCTTCTGTATCCCCACCCACCATGGTTTTATGAAATGACCATGACTTGTATCACTTTGAGAAATCACTGCCTGCTTGTCTGTTTCCTTTCTAAGGCAAAGATTGTATCAACCTCAAGGGCAGGAGAGCATTATATACTTTTCTGTATACTTAACTCACTGATTGGCACATAGGAAGTGCCTGTGAATGTTTGCTGTGAATGTGAACCTGCCTCCACCACCTGGCAAAAAAACCACTTAGCCATTCCAAGCTATTCTGAGGAGTGAGCAAGGTGAGTGGCTACCTACCCAATGACACCTTTCCCATCATGAAATTTTACCATCACCACCAACCTACACCCCAGTCTCTGCAATTGCGCCATTAGATATTTAGTTCTCTGTACACACCACCTTTTTTTATCTTTCCACTCTTGTTTTCTGATCCGGGAAACACAGTCCTCAAGAAGACAGAACCTGAAGTCAGGGTGCTTCTATGAACCCACCAGCTTTGCCATTCTACCTGGGCAACCTGGTATCATTTCCATCCTTCACTCATGAAATAGGGATCCTCATAATACTCAGCCTCACAAGGTGGTTGTGAGGATTAAGGAAGGTGGTACTTATGAAGTGCTTAAAATAGTAAGTGGCACACTGTAAGTGCCAACTATGCTAAAGTATTTGCTATTATTGTTGTTGTTGTTCTTATTTTCTACCCAGTCCTACCTTCACCTTCCAAACCAAGTTTTTCATAACCCTTAAACTCGTCTTTCCCTTTCAGGCTTTCCTGCTATTTCTTACCTTGAACGTCCTTCTCTTTCACCTGTTCATTCTTCATGATGGAGCTCAAGTCTCCTTCATAAAGGCACCAAAGACCACTCCTCACCGATTTGTCTCACCACTGGAGCCTGTGCATGCCCAGATCCCAGCATTTCCCACTTGTGGTTTACAGTCCGTTTCTCCTAGTAAGTCCAGAGTGCTGTGACTTCAGGGACAGTGTCTATGCACCTAGCATAGCTTTTCTGAAGTCCTTCCCTGGGCTAGGCATTGCGGCAGCTTCTGAGGATACCATGTAGCTCAAGCATAGTCCCTGCCCTCAAGAAGCAGACAAGAAACTAACCTGAAAGTCTATGGTGATGATAAATGTGATATCATATGGTCCCTGCCCTCAAGAAGCAGACAAGAAACTAATCTCAAGGTCTATGGTGATGATAAATGTGGCATTGTTCTTGGCAACTACAAGGAAATCAGTGAAAAGGGGAGGACAGAGAGAAGAAAGCCCAGAAAAAGGAAAGAAAGCAAGAAAAAGAAGGAGGGAGGAAAGAAAGAAAGAAGTGAATTGAGGCCATGGAGTTACTTCAGTTGTCAAATGTTCCACTGGAATATATTTACAACTATGAAAAGGAATCACTTTCACTATTCCAGACACATTTTTGCTGATTCCTTTAGCACAGTGTTTCCCAAAGAGTGGCCACCATGCCCCAGGAGGCATTTGACCATAGTGTGCAGAAGGATATTTTAAATTGTAATAATTGCGTACTTCAACGTGTGTTAGTACTAAGTTTCTAGCCTTTCAAACCTATCTTTTCATGGATATTATTGCTTTGTTTAGAGTGAGTGTAAACAAATTACAAGTGAGTAAAACTGAGGGGTTCTGATTTCATGTCTTGCCTAGAAAAGAGCTTCTGAGGAGAAAAAAATCTAGGTCTACCACCAAGGGAAGGGAAGAGCTAAAAGCCAAGATTTCAGAAGCCAAGGGCAGACCTTTGGCTCTCACTCTGCCTGACCAGCACCTTCAAAACATCTATGCACACTCAACAGTTAGAAAGGGGCTCCTCGTCTGTTTTTGGTCAGCAGACTTCAAAAGTCTCAAATGCTCTCAATTCATAGATAGAGAGATGAAAGCCAGGAAAATTAAATGTTATTAATATTTCACTAGTTTAGACTAAATCCATCTGTAGAAAAGGTAGTCTGACCAACTGCGCTTTTTAAATAAACTTTGTTACTCCCATCACAGAACGTGTTCCACAAAATCAGCTTATGTGAGTAATTCTTTTCCAGCCTTAATCTCAAACCCCCAAGGAATCTCATTTGGACTCAGCATTTGTGTATAAGCAACAGCAGAACAAATGGTGCAATAGCTCATTAATATCCTTCTTGGCAGGATATGCCATTAAAACATATACATCAAGTTATAGTCATGATAGGATCACACCTCATTTTAAACAGTACATGGGGCTCTGCTACCTGCAGGGTGTTAGCCCTGGGAAACAAGCAGCTTCCAAAAATAAAAATGTCTAACCTGCTCATTATCTTGCAGATAAATGACTTTGTGCATCTTCCTCTTTTTCTCATGCTTACTTTTCCCTTGTATTGTGCCAGGCTTCCTGTACCCTGTTATTGTAGGATATTGTCCTGACATGCTACAACACAACGTAGTATAGTGAATATTGACACAACCAGAGCACCATGGCAAACACACACACACAAGAAGAGCAAACTGAAGACTTTCTCTATTGATTCAGGTAGCAGAACAGCCTGAGGCCAGGCAGTAACATATTTGATTAACCTTCAGTATACCAGAGATTCCTAACAATCCTCAGCTGAGCATTATTGCTGTAGCCAAAGCAGGAACTCCTCTGAACCAAAGAAGGTCTATTGACATCATGCTCAGGTAGTCGGTCAGGTAGATTGATTGCTCATCCACTCCTAACTCAGGTGGATTGTCCACATCTGGACGACCTCATCCCTGGTCACTGTCAAAGCCACTAGTTGAGTGAAGACAGGCAGTTGGTGTCATTCAAGACTAAATGATCACCAGACTAAATTAAATTATGTGTTCGTAGCATCCCTAAATCCCCTTCTCAGTACAGAAATTGTCTTGCGTGTTAGACACAATTTTATTTGGAACTGGCAATGAATTTTTTTCCTGGCTCTCACCCTTCAACCAATTGGTTAACTCCTATTTCTTCTTCAGATTTCTGTTCAGAAAACACATCTTCAGGAAAATCACCCCTGACTCACCCAGGCTAAGTCACAAGCTTTTGTTATAAGGTCTCATCACACCATATGCCTCTCTTTCAAAACCAGCACCTGCAGAAATGTAAGTGTACATTGATTTATGTAAGTATTTGAATTATGACTGTTTTTGTATATGTCCATGAGCTCCCTGAAGGCAAGTACTTTGTCTGCTTCCGCCTGTTTCATAACTATCATGCCTAACACACAATAACCTCTCAATTAATAGCCAAGTTTATTAGCAAAAAAAATTGACTGAAAAAGTGAATGAACGAAAATGTTGCTACCAACATAGGCATTATAATGAGATGATATCAGTGATCTGAGCTCTGAACAAATTTATTCTTCTCTTCCTGGGTACATACCTGAATTATATTATTTCCCAATCTCCTTAGAGTTAAAATATAGTGATGTGACTTTTGAGACATGTGACTTCCAGGTCTGGCCCTGGAATCTCCAACATGTGCTTCTTCAAGCCCCTTTGCCCTTTTGGCTAGCTGAGATTAAAATCACCATAGCAATCTTAGAAGCAGATGTTAAAGATGACTTAGTTCTGTCAGCCTAGGTCCCTCAATGAGCACATGGAGCAGAATCACCCAACAACATATTCAGCCATCTTCAGAACTGTTAAATTGAACAAGAAAGAAATTTCTGATAAGTGTGAGCCTTTATGTATATGGAATTTATTTGTTATATCAGTTAGGGTTACTTGAAGTAATACAACTCTTCCCAGTGATCCTCAACTAGAAAAGAATTTGGAGGGCATGTTAGAATCTCATGGGAAAAGGGGCAGTTGGAAAAATCTTCCGAAGTATAATCACTGTCTTATGTACTTTACAATAAACGCAGAAATTTAAAGACATATTTGACTAGATGAAAGGATTTGTGGAGGTATGGAACACACACATTCACCCACATGTGTGGACATAGAAGGCAGATACAACAAAAATTACGGTTCATCACCAATAGTGGCAGAGGATGGGTTTCGAGCCACTTCCTTTCAAACCAACCACAACGTCATAAGTGATCACCATCATTCTAGTTCCTGTGAAGAAGAGAGAGCTGTGGAAAAAATGCTTTATGCCCTCAAAAGAGACAGCACAAAATTTCAGTTTAAAAGGCTTGCCTCCTATGTGATTCACTAGCAATGAAACCTTGGAAAAATTATTTCAACCCTCTTTTCCTTCATTTGTTAAAAGAAAGTGTTTAAATTTGCAACTCAGCATTGTTTTAATGTTATATGATTCAATTTATATAAAGGGTCTTGTGGAGAGGACATAAAAGTACATCAAGGATTATAGCCAAATGTTTCTTATGCTGGAACAGAGTTAGGTACAAAGGGTTATAGAAACATAGCCTGCCAGGTTGAATAGTAAAGAGGAGGGACAGAGAAGACTTGTAGTAGGAAATAATCCCTGATTCCAGGGCCAAATGTGGGATTCAAATAATGGAGGCCCTAGCAATTCCGAGGTGATCAGGTGGACTTTCCTGGATGTTCTGGGTCTTGACCTGATTGCTGAAAAATGAATACAAATTCAGAGAAGAAGAAAGCTAGTATGAGACTACCAAATGATCATCAGACATTTCTTGAACACCAATTAAATTGCTAGGTATGCTAAAGTTTGCAAAACTGGTATAGACACCAAGAGGGAGGTATCAACAGAGACTCCCCAAGAGCTAAGAGGAAACCACCTTGGACTGGAAGTCAAGAGCCAAAATTCTAGACTCTACTCTGTAATTAACTACCTATTTGAATTTGGAAAAATCACCATCAACTTTCCCAGCCTCGTTCTCTGCATCTGGGAAATGAAGGCGTCGTCCAAATGATTACAAGCTTCTTTTCCTGCTCTTATTGCATGATTCCACTTCCACAGCCCTCCAGCATTTTTTAGCAGCTGCATCGCTCCATAGAGCCTGCAGAGGGCACTAGACTGGGAATTAGAAAACCTGATTTCCCTTCCAGCTCCACCTCTGACCAATTGCCTGACCCTGGTCAAATTGCTTAACCTCTTCCTATCTCAGCTCCCTATCCATAAAACAGAGGGACGAATAAACTCTCCTCCTACCACTAAGAGGTGTAGCCAGAGTTAATACCCTCATCGTCCTTTGAGCTCAGCAGATGAAAGGCACTGAGAAAAGTACAAAGAATTTTTATGTGCTATTGACTTTATTTTATTTTATGTGGGGGAGGGAGCCGGCCCCAGCTGGAAAGCTGCTTTCTCTGAATCAAAGGGCAGGAACCCAGCAAGTTTCTCAGGATTGGGGCCTTAGACTGGGCTGTGTATACAGACAGTGCCAGCCAACCCCACAGTTCAGTTTCCTTTAACCTGGTGCTCCAGGCAATAACTGTGCAACTCTGCAATTTAACAATGTGTTCTTTGTCCCACAACTGTTCTCGTTTCTCAACTGCCCAGGTAATATGTTTGGGCCTGTAGGAAGAGTCAAATAGTTAATAAGGGAAGGGTTTGGCATGCCCTACGTAAGTTCTACCAGCAAGTCCCAACAAGAAGGCATTCTGTGTCTCCTGATTCCTGACCTACCCCCAAAATGTACAAATGTACAAGGAATGAGCCCACTTTCCCAGCAGGCTGTAATACCAGTTTGGCCTATATCAATGCATTGGTGAGCTGTGTTTTGTTTATGGTTTTATGCCATCTATTTTCCCATGGATATTATGTTTTCTAAAGAGCCCTTAAGTTTACGTCAGCTTTTAAAGCTACCAGCAGCACCATTTCAGTTCATATTAAGCCCTTAATATGGTATGAATAGGAGAGCTATTAGACTAAAGAGCCATAATCATCCCTGAGGAAAACATCCATCACCAACATTTATGTGGTCCCTGAACTTCTAAAAGGTGTCATCTCTCTGGGGTGTATCTGGTGAGAGCTTTCTCTGGGAGATGCCAAAAAGCCAATGCATTAGATGAAGCTTAGAAGGGCATTTTCTAACCATTACAAATTGCCTAGTCTAGCATCTCAATTTCATCTACGTGAAGAGCCTTAATTAAATTTGTTGGGGTTTGATCCTTTATCCCCAGATGTGGCGCTGACAGAGATTGCTTACATAAATAATGTGTGCTCCAAGTGCTTGCCAGGCTCCTGGCTCAGCTGGGACAGCTGTAGCTTTTTGAATGTCATTCCCAAGATATCCTGCAGGTGTTCAGCTTCCCCTGTTCTACTCTGGGAAGAGAGCCGTGGGCAACATCAGCCCAGAAGACACTAGTGCATCTTGACAGAGCATTCCCACTGGACAGGTGCACTACCTGCAGACACCTCCAACAGTGAAAGCACCCCCCGGCTGCAAGTATTGTCTCGCCAAACGGAAGGCATTTCTTGTATGAGTCTTGAATCTGATATTCTTTAATAAGACTTTCTCTAAAACTGTATACACACACGCACCTGAAAACGTTATCAGGCTTTTACTTATTTGACAGTAATATTCCAGGAAATGGTCCAAGTAGCAAAATCTTCTCTCAGTGGCTTTCTCGTTCCTCATGTCTGACTTGCTTTCCTGCTGTCTACTGGAGCCAACAAGAGAGGCATTCTCACTCTGGAAGTTGTTAGTTCATTACAGCCTAGGTTGATCTCATCTGGCTCTGGTTGGGGGTTTTATTCTGAAGATTGGCTGGTAAAAGCCTCCACAAAGTCTTAGCTAGAACATTCATAGCCCTGTGTTGACTTCCGCCTCAACTCTGGCTTGAACTTAGCTGACGGTCCTATCAGTTTGCTCAAAGGAGCTTTTTTGCTGCAGGCAACAGAAAGGAGTGGAAAGAACACACTCATTGGAACCCAGGAGATCCAGGCTCGCCTCTGGCTCTAGGACTTGCTCATCATGTGATATCAGATACATGACTTCATCGCTGAGTCTCAGTTTCCTTATCTATGAACCGGGGATATTCATACCTTCTTCACAGGACAAGAGAGGCACATACAAGTTCATATCTGTCCCTCTATTTCAAGTGATTCTCCCACATCAGAACCAGTTTGGCTTCCCCGGCCTGGTCTTCTTTCAAAGGATGCACAAGGCCATTTACAACTGGCCTGAGGAACAGAAGAAAAACTTTGGCAAAGCCGTTGCAGATAAAACAAGGATGAGACACAAAAGCAATTTTTATTCTTTTTCTGGTTGAAATCCAATCAAGGAGAAGAGTGCTCCTTTGATTCTGTATGCTATTATTATGCCCAAAGCTGAGAAACTAGTGTTTGCCCAACACATTAGAGTTCACGTGACGAGCCCATATCTATGATGGTGTTTGATACCCAGGCTTGATTAGTAAGACTAAAAAAATTGCCACCACTGCACAAGTGAGGACAGTAAACCTCAAAGGAGTCAAATAACAGCCTGAAGTTTATGTAGGTGGATCAAAGAAACAAGGCTAGTCTATGAATCCAAATCTGGGGTGCCTTCTCCTCTTTTATTGCCTCTCTTGCTCCCATTGGCCTGCGGGCATTCATTATATACTTCAGTTTGTTAAATGTTAGGAAGAAAATCTAAAAAGTAAATTGCTAACACAAAGCAAACAAATGAAAATTCCAAATTGATAGCCTGTTTTCTACCACAAAAACGACATTATGTCATATAAAAAGCTGACACCACCTGCATTGCTAGTTCCCTCTATCACCCCTTCTTTCTGACCCTCTCTTTAGACATAAAAAGGGCTGGTCATTTTTAAATGATCCCATGATCCCTGGACTCTTTGACTTCTCAAGGCTTAGACTCGTGCTTCCTGGAATGTCCTTCATTCCTCTCAGGCTGGTACATTCCAAGTCTCCCTTCAGCACACAGCCTACATGTGAAGAACATGATCGCAGCCCTCCAGCAAGGCCGGGTGAAAAGAACCACTGCCTTAGAACCCTGCAGATGCAACTTTGGTAAGAGCCCTTAGTCCTAGGTTTGGGACCCTGGGAAGATTGCTTTACTTTTCTGAGAATCAAGGGAAAAGTATACTGTCCCTCCAGCAGTGATGGAAGATTAAACAAGAACATATATAACAACAGCACAGCATTGCTACTCAGTACCACTCAAGAATTGCTACTCTACTTCCCCTCCTTCCTGCTTCCTCTGTTCTCCAGAAAAATCCTATATGCCCACCAATTATAGTGCTAATCACACCGTATTGCAATCATCTGTGTCCTTTTCACTAGACTGCTAGTAAGTTCCTCAGTGACATGAAAACAGACATTTTTATCTCCATGCCCCAGAACTCAGCTGGACATTCATTAGGCATTCAATACATGGTGAATGAAGAAGCCATATAAGAGCAGGAAGTTATACAGAAAATGTTTCCCTTTCTTTGCCTAGGAAAAAAAGTATGTTATCTCTGATTTCTTTAAACCAGCTTTGTCTGAACTTTTTGAACTTCAGGTGGCTTTAAATGTTGGTTCTAACTGGACGGCTCAAGCCAGCACGGATATCTCCATCAGGAATTTCCCATCCACATTCCACAAGCAACTGTGTCTGTGCACAAAGTTGGAGGGTAAATATCTGAGTAGAGTTCCTCCTTCCTGGATCTGCCAGCCCAGCATGCATATGGCTCAACAGTTCTTAAGCTGGGCCAAGAATCCACACATTATAAAACTGACATGAAAATAGGCACTAGCCAGATGGAATGGAAATCAAGCAGCAGATCTAAGGGAAGCAGGGAATGGAACCAAAGAACAGTTCTCTGCCTCTCACCCCTTTGTGTCCATCTTGTGAAAATCTAAGCTCATTTGAGATCATTAGAGGGTGGGTGACCACAAAGCCATGAATTATTTACCCTCTCTTTACATCAGTTTCCTCATCAATGAAATGCAGGAATAATATTCTCCATAAAATAGGGATATTATGTGGTGGCAATATCCTCACCCCATCAACTATTTATTTGGATTAGGCTTTCCCTGTGCAGATCCAGCCTTGAGTGACATCTACCCTAATTGCAAAATAACTCTGAGAACATTTCATGAGTACCATTAGGCACCATTGCCTCCTGCGTAACCCCATGAATAGGACCATTGCATCATGTCACTGTTTCTTACCCCACTATGTGGGGCTGTTTTCTTCTATCCTAAAATAAGATGTTGCAGGATAAAGATGCACCCTCTATTTAGTGACGGAAAAATGCTGGGATTCTTTCTAGGACAGCAGCATTCCAGGGACAGGGGCCTTGAGGAATAGAGGGACTTATTATAAACTCTAGAATGCCAATTTCAGAAAAGGTGTGTGGCATAAGTGTTTCTATGGTTTAGAAGAATACTTGGTGAATTATGGAGTATGAATTAGAGGAGGGAGATGGTGGTTGCTGAGAGATTAATTAAAAAGTTTTTCTATAGATCAGAATGAGAGATGATAGGATCCTGATTTAGGCCACTAGCAAAAGGGGGAAAAAGGAGAGTGAAATATGTATACTTTGAATGTAAAAGCTGCATGGTTTGGGGACCAAATTTACAAATGGGAATACAGTAGAAAGGGAAAAGAAGCAAAATAGCTTATCTTAACACAATTAAATATATTCCAAGCCTCCTTTCCCTAAGAAGCCAGGATAAACTCACCTATTTGTGACAAATGTTTTGTCAAGATAATATTTGTTCAATAAGATTTCCTTCTTAAGATATTTTATCATTTAACTCACCCCCAGAAGAACAGAATTAAATAGTAAAAGTGATTTGGTCATTAAACAAGAGGGTTAGACTGATCACACCAGCTCTTGAAAGTCATTTCTGTAGTTAATCATATAAGAACGTTGACTCCTTAGAATGGTTGAAATGGTAGTATTCCACTCAGAAAAGCCTAATCTAATCCTGGAGCACCAAGGTTACGAACCTGAGGCCAAGGTTTTAAATTCCAACTCACTCAGGACGAGTACTTTGTAGAGACTTCATCCCTGACCTAGGTGGGCCATCTCCAAACAGAACCTTTGGACAGTTCCGTGGTCAGCTTTTATCTTGCATTTTAGTAAAATAGAAACAGTTGTCTTATGTGTGTAGCATTTAAACATTCTAGAAAAAAAGAAGAAAAAAACTGGGTTCAAAAGCAGTGGAGTTGGTGTATAGAAAAAAAAAAAGCATAAACCTCAGGATTCCTCATAAATTCCATAGGATTCTCCTAGGTAATAAGAAAGAAAAATGAAGGAGAGGGAGATTATCACTGGATATGTTTGGACACAGGGCTTTGGAAAGCTGATCGGATTGATGTGTCAGTCAGGCTCTTAGCAGGCAATAGGAGCACACCCAAATTAGGGCTCTTTGAAGGGAACCACTGCACTCTAGCCTGAGCAACAGAGTGAGATGAAAGAAGGAAGGGAAGGGAAGGGGAGGGGAGGGGAGGGGGAAAGGGGGAAGGGGAAGGAAGGGAAGGGAAGGAAGGGGAAGGGGGAAAGGGGGAAGGGGAAGGAAGGGGACGGGGAAGGGGAAGAGGAAGGGGAAGGGAAGGGAAGGGAAAAGAAAAGGCACTATTTACCAAGTGTGAACAGGACCCCAGGAAATCTTAAGAATATTGCAGTACCCCAGGGTTCATTATAGATTTATACATCAAGGCTAGAAGGGGAAAGTGGATAGAGTATTTACTGAAACCTGGAGTCAAAGAGGGCCCAGTGGAGAAAGGAGCCTAGAGCTTTGGTCAAGGTTACCCTGCAGGGAGGGAGCATGTGAGTCATCTTTCCAACTCCACTCACCTACTCCCTTCAGTCTTCTGTTAGTGCTCACCCTTGTCTGAACCCAGGTAGACATCAGAGACATGAGAACCTGTTGATTTAGTCCATACAGGTCAGTCTCCTGGGGAATAGAGCAAGGTAGAGGAGAGTGGAAATGGCATCAGAGAACTGAATGGAAGATACACAGCTCAAATGCGTTCCTGAGAACCCTTACATTCTATGACATCCTAGTTAATGTGCACTGGGTTGTACCAAAAGCTGCGCCTATTCAGCAGCAGTTCTCAGGCTGATGTGATGGTAGACATATGCAGTGAGATTCTCAAAGAATGTTTTTGGGGTAATTCAACTGTAATAGCAGATTTCAGAATTTTGTTTATAATCCTAATGAATGGCAAAGATCCTCTATGATTTAAGGGGAATTTTGCTTTAACATCCACTACTCTACAACACATCTGTGGATTGGGGCTGGCCAGGTAGTATTATACTCATTTTCCAGATGAGGAAACACAGCAATCTCTTTGCCCATCTTAGTTCACAAAGCTCAGTGAAAACTTGTCCCTGGGTTCTGTGCCATGAATGCCAATGGCCTAGGTCTACTTCTTAGCTTGCCTTGGGGGAAATAAATTGAAAACAATGATTTCTCTGAGGAGCTACTTGTAGGAAACTCATCAGCTTTAGTTTCAGATACTTGAATAAGACGCTAGTGTCTCATTCAGCAAGTCCATCTATCATCCAACATTTTTGTAACCCTCCCTTCTGCAAGATACTTTGCTAGCAAATGAGTGGAAAGAAGAGGTGAGGAGTGTTAGGATTTGGAGACTTGGTAACAGCATATCAGATAAAAATCTTGTCCTGCCCAGTGGGAATTTACAGAAAAAAGAAAGAAAAAAAGGAAAGAAAAGACACCATTTACCAAGTGAACAGGACCTCAGGAGACCTTAAGAATATTGCAGTACCCCAGGGTTCATTATAGATGTATACCTCAAGGCTAGAAGGGACAAATGGAGAGAATATTCACTGGAACCTGGAGTCAGAGAGCCAGGTAGAGAAGGAACTGAGAGCTTTGGCCAAGGTTACCCTGAAGGGAGGGAGCAGTTGATTCTAATGGAGAACTAACCCAGAGGCTCATCAACAGGAGAGTGGAAAATAAATGGTGATATATCCATATAATGAGTAGTATACAACAATAAAGGGAATAAATTACTCAGGCATGCTGCAATATGGGTAAATCTTAAAAATAAATTAAGCCAATGAAACCAGACCCAGATATATACTGTATAATTCAATTTCCATGAAATTCAAGACCAAGCAAACTAATCTCTGTTGATAGAAATTATATTAGTTATCTCTTGATGTGGAGACTGAGTTGGAAGGACCATTGAGGACACTTCCGGGATGGTGGAAATGCTTTATATTTTTGACTCAGTTGTGGTTGCATGGATATATATATATATATGGATATATATATATATGGATATATATATATATATGGATATATATATATATGGATATATATATATATATGGATATATATATATATGGATATATATATATATATGGATATATATATATATATATGGATATATATATATATATATATATATACCTGCAAGAGAAAAATCATCAAGTGGCATCTATAAAATTGGTGCAATGCATGTTTATAAATTAGATCCTAACATTTAAAAATAGAACAGGAAATGCTACAGTGAAACATGCATAGTGATTAAAATGCTGTCCTTCCAGCAGTTTTCTTCTCCACATGAGTAATGCCCTGAGAGCCTTATGCATGTGTTTTGGGGAACTGAACTACATGGTTGTAAAGAGCATGGGCTTTGCTGAGTGACAGATGTAGCTCAAATTCTAGCTCTATCACTTCTTAGATGTGTGACCTTGAACAAGTCATGTAACTTCTCTGAGCCTGAGTTTCCTCCTTGGTAAAATCTACCTCCAACATATAGTGTTGTTGTGAGAATTAAGTAATAAAATGAACGAAAGAACTTAGCCAACTTCCGGGAACATTCTATGCTCTCAATAAATATAGGCTACTGGTTATTATCATTGTTATAAATGCTGCTTTTCTGCCCTCTGCTCCACTTTACCTGCAGTGAGGACAATTCAGAGAGAGAAAAGGAGGGTGGACAGAGGGAATGGATAGTATCTGTGAATTTTCTTTTCTTTTGCTTTTCCAGCAGTTTCTTATAGGGCACGTTTGAGGCTGACTGCAGTGGAAGATGTAACTTACTGGACATCATAGGGACATGGTGCATCCTGTCCCTATGATGCACCATGCCTGGCCTGCGGGCCTTCTTAATATGCAGGGCAATGGCCAGTGCTGCTGTCCCCCTGCACGCAGACTTGTCACAGTGGCACTGTGGGGCTCTGCTGGACTCATCAGTGGCTCCCTCACCCACAGCCTTCACAACTCTGACTGGAATTCTTCGCAGAGCCAGGGCACCTAAAGGCAAAAGGTGAGGCCCCCGTGGTGTCTGCCAGCCAGTTGCTTCCATAATAGAGTATTGATCTCCACCAGAAGAGTTTCAAGCCCTGTACACCTAGCATTGGCCATTAAAGGCAGGCTTCTGCAGATGGTAAATCCATCAGCTACCAGTTTGACATTAACAAGCAATTACAATGCAGTCCCTGTGTTAGCTCCACTAGGGGATATCAGAGTGATTGCTTCAAGTGGAGAAAGATGGGGGAAAAAATTTGATCAGTCCAGAGTGCTTCTCTAGAATTCAGGCCACTGAGGGTGAGACTATATGGTGTAGCAGAATGAGCACTCGACTCTGAGTTAGGAAATAAGGGAGGCTATTACTAGTGATCTATATCCATCACTTTCCTTCTGTGAGCCTTTCTGTCTTGTTTCTAAAGCAGTGGTTCTCAAGCCTGGCTTCACATTAGAATCACCTGGGAAGATTTTCAAGCTCCCAGTACCAAAACTATGCATCAAACCATTATATCACAAACTCTGAGGGCGAAACCAAATATCCACAGTTTTTAAGGCCCTTCAGGAGCTTTCAATTTGCAGGCATAGTTGAAAACCTTGAAAATATCTGGAGACAGGTAGCTGAAATTAGTGATCCTTAAGGTAGTAATGCATGACTTTCAAGAACGTGAATCCTTCAGGTGCAAATCATCTGAGGATCTTGTTACAATGCAGGTTCTGACTCAGTAGTTCTGACTTAGTAGGTGAGAGATCCTGCAGTTTTATAAAAGCAACCAGTGGATAGAGCCGCTGCTGGTCCTGGGACAACATTTTGAGTAACAGGAGCAAAAAGGTACCTTTTCTCTCAAAAATTTGAAAAGCCCAGTGCAGCACTGTCTAATAGAACTTTCTGCACTGAGTACAGTAGTTCACGCCTATAATCCCAGAACTTTGGGAGGCTGAGGCAGGCAGATCACTTGAGGCCAGGAGTTCGAGACCAGCCTGGCCAATGTGACGAAACCTCATCTCTACTAAACATACGAAAATTAGCTGGGCACAGTGGCACACACCTGTAGTCCTATTTACTCGGGAAGCTGAGGGATGAGAATTGCTTGAGCCTGTGAGGCAGAGGTTGTAGTGAAAAGAGATCGTGCCACTGCACTTCAGCCTCCGTGACAGAGCAGGACTGTTTCAAAAAAAGGACTTTCTGCACTGATGGAAATTTACTATGTCTGTGTTTTCCAATATGGTAACAAGCAGCAACATGTGACTACTGAGCACTTGAAATGTGGCTAGTGCAACTGAGGAACTGAATTTTAAATTTTTATTAAATTTTAATTAATTTAAATTTAAATAGCCACATGTGGCGACTTGATATCACAAGTCTAGAGGTTTTAAAACATGAAGCATATAACATGGCTAAGATGGGGTGTTCATACTATCTACCCACGAGCAGGATTACACATGCTCTTCTCCAGAAATAGGCCCCAGTCCATGGCAAGAAGTTCTCTTCCTGGCTCAAATTAAGCCCAAAGTCAATATGAACAGAGTGTGTTGACTCTGGGTGGACCATGGGAGGAAAGTGACTAGAGACGCAACTGAAGAAATAATTACTGTACTGAGCCTCCTAGAACAGGCTAAGGACCCTGAGTTTTAAAACAAGGGCAATGGCAAAGATACGGCCACACCATCATGACAGTAGAGAGAGGGAACACTTAATATTACCCAGAGCTGGCAGGGAAGACAACCAGAAGAGCAACATTTGAGCTGATTCTTAAAAAAAAAAAAAAAAAAAATAGAGATACACGAGAAATCCAAATTAGGATAGAATTCCAGAAGAAGGGAGTAGCATGTGCAAAAAAAAAAAAAAAAAAGGAAGCAAAAATTAGCAAAAAGAAAGTACTAAGTGTATGTCAGAGAGTAGGGAAAGTGAGGGTCTTAAGAGGCCTTGAGAAGTCCAACCTCAACAACTACAGACAACAAAAGACAAAACCCATGGTGACATACCTTTTCTTATTTTAATAGATAACAGACATTATTATTAAGAACATCTTAAGAGGTAGCTTCCAAACAGGGTCACTGCCTACAGTTATACAGGGGGCACACTACCCAATTCCAAGGCAGCGGTTTGCATCAATATAATGTAAATGGCATCCCATGGAGCAGTGCAATATGCCAGCCCTACCCCCATTTCTTTCCTTTTTAAGTTTTTTCATTAAAGTTCTTTCTCTTCTGGACAAGAAAACCCTATGATAATGGAATCTTCAAACTGAAAGCATCTATAAAATGAACCCCAGATTCCTGGGGCTTTAGACTTTCGTTAACCAAATAAGATGAGGAATTATGGGTGTCTGATGTGCCAGGTACTATTCCAATACTTAAAATATATCATCCCGTATTTCTCACAGTAGAACCATGAAGTAGAGACATTACTGCATTTTCCTATGAGAAAATGGGACTGAGATGGTTAAGGTGGGATAGTATAGGTAGAAACTGTTAGAACAAACATACTCAGTCTTAACTAATTTCTAGATCCATGCTTTGTCCGCTCCTTTGTTATTCCTTGAAGATGTTAGGGGAAATTCATTAGTCCATTGCAATAATGTACAACTCCTGTGGAAATAACTTACACGCCTATGATTAGAACACATAGGTTCAGACATCACAAGGCTTTGATGTGCCTGAAATTCTATCAATTTACGGGGCAATGCTAGTTATCTCTTGGTGATTTGTGCCTCTGTTTGGCAGTAGTCTCTGCCTTAGATCCCTTGGAAAGAGAGAAACTAATTCCTTAAAATTTTGTTTATTTGCCATCCTATCAAAATATGACTACCTAGGGGAAGAATAATTAAGTGGATCATTAATGGTGTATTTACCACATCCTGACTGGAATCATAATTATTTGCTTACCTGGATGTATACCACCCTCAGTTGTCCCGCAGTAAGCTCACCCAGCTTCTCTATGTTAATTTTCAACACCATCTAAGTCTTCTTGGGTAATTTAGTCCACTACAGTAGCTTTACAGATCACACACATGATAGTTATGGCCAAACCTGTATCTCCTTCCTTAATATTTCGTTATAGCATCTAACACATATATCCAGCTGACTCTAAGACTCCCACTCCTAAATGTCCTGCAGCTCCCTCTACCTTAAAATTTCCAAAACTATGTCAATTCTCTTCTCTTCTAATCTTGTTTTTCCTTTTGTGTATTATTTCTCAGTGAATCAGACCACCACCCAAATAACCCAAGAGTCTTCTTTGATTTTTTTCTCTGTCTCAACATCTCCAAACCCCTCTACCCCACCTAGCCACTTCCAGTCTTATCTTTTATGGTGAGAACCAGCTTCATGTAACAGAAACTCTAAAAAAAATCAATGATTTAAATAACTTGGGTATATAAATATCTCTCTCATACTAGAAGATCAGAGGTGGGAAGTCTGAGCATGATATAATGGTCATCAGGGGTCCAAGCTTCTTCATTCTGCCTCACCATCTCGCTTGCAGCTTCTGCCTAATGTTGACTTACAGTTCAAGATGGCTTCTGGAGTGCTACCATTACATCCATGTTGTAGGCTAGAAGGAAAAGGGCAATGGCCTGAAGAGGAAGGGAGAGTTCCTGTTAACTCAGCTTCCTTTAAACAGCCTCCCCAAAAGTTTCACGCTGTATTTTTGCTGATTCTCATTGGTCACAACTTAGTGCCATGGAAGACTAGTAAATATAGTCTTTTAGCTGGATGGCCTGCTATCTTATATAAAATGAGGTTAGGTTACTAAGACAGAAAGGGAGAGCAGATCTTGGGAGGCAGCTAGCTGTTTTTGCCATCCCAAGTGTTGTGATTTCTACCTGCTTTCAATTTAACCTATTTGCCAGTTTCTCTGCATCCAACCATCATGGTTCTAGTTGAGGTCCAACCTCAGAGAAATAGCTACTTAAGTGATACTGGGATACTTTGTACAGAGCAAAGAAACCAGTCTTTATGCCACTTGGAATGGATTTTTCCAATTGTCCTGCCCCCACTGAAAAAAACTCTTCGTTCAGAAGAAATAATGACCAATGACGTAAGAAGGACTAATGTTTCCACCTGCCTCTCAATTTAATAGCAAGAGATTCCACATGTCAGACAGGAAAGAAGGCTAGGAAGGAAAATGAGCATTAAGATTAATAATTGATGTTAATACTGACAACAAAGACAAACAATGGTGATAAATGAAATGGCAGAACCAAGGAAATTGTTCTACTGTGATATCTTTCTTTCAAGCAGGTCAACTGTATAATTACCAAACTCAATTTCATCAGGAATTTCATCAACATCAGAGCCCCTGGGCCACCAGTCTTCAATGTTTGCTACCAGTGTGTTACTGTCTGCTTGTCATTATCTAGAGACAAAAATGGAACATTACAATGGGCTTTATGACCCTTCTGTACCTCAGCATTTCCATCCTGCCCCCTTCACCTAGCTGTACCTCATTATCTATCCCAGTGCCTGGCCTGTGATATCCCTAGAAATTATTATTGCACTAAACTAAATTAAACACAAAGACTTAGTTAGCGGATTCACAATTTTTAGTTGTACTACATAGTCAAACGAGTAGACGTTCAGGTCACAAAATCTAGCCTGTCTCCCCATGAAACCACAATGCCATTGTCTGAACAGATTAAATAAAGCAGAGCATCACCTCAAACGATTTTCATGGTTCAAATCTAGGTAGCTATACTTACCAGCTGTGAGGCTTAGGCCAACCTATTAACCTTCTATTTCACTTTTCTGCTAAATGAGACAATATGGACTTGACTTCATTTTGTGAGAAATAAATAATCTAAGTAACTGGTCAAACACATTTTGTGCTTCTTAAAAAAAGGTGGTACACACACACACACACACACACAACACCCGATATAATACAATATTTTCAAATGACACTAGAAATATTTTAGTCAGGTCTAAAGGAACAGAAGTTAATGATAAAATGATAAACAATAAATAATAGCTACTGTTTCATGAGAAAATTACACACATCTTACTTGACTTAAACCTCACAACAGAATTGAGCAGAAAGTTATTACCCTGAGAAAGGGGACTTAAGGTTGGCAGGATAACAAGTGGGAGAATCTAGAGGTAAAGTCATATCTATCTTATTGGAAACACTCAAGAACGTCAAATAAGCATGAGAATTTGAGCAAGACTGAAGGAGAACGTTTAAGTTCCCTTTCCAACTCATATCCCAATTCTGGAATCTAATTTCTGTAACAAGTAACTATATTCCTTACTACAGAAGTAAAGATGGCCCCATGGAGAAACTGGCAGCATGGCATGATGGAAATGGAATAGAATCAGGAATTGTTTTGTACCTGTGTGTGTGTGACTTTGGTGTTCTGACTCAGACACATATTTGAGAGGTAGAGAGGGGAGAAGAGGGTTGCCACATTATGTAACAGAAAGGAGCCCACTGCTTAAACACTTACCTTGTGCCAGACATTGCACTAGGACTTTATTACCTGCAACCCATCCTGCAAAACTGTGAAGATTTGATATGATCATTCTCATTTTATGGTTGAGAAACAAGGGTTAAGGACATTAAAAATTTACTCAATGTTTAAACATTTGCCTGTCTTATTCTAAAGCCCCTTCTCTTTTCACAATCCCTTTAAGAAATGGACATCCAATATTTGAGTGGCAGAGGCAAAAACATGGCCTACCAGAACCATTATGATAGCTTTACAATATGCCCACCAATTATTTGATAGTCCTCCTGCCAAATGGTGAAGGCTAATTACCCTCCTACAGAATGTGACTCACTTCTAATGAATAAAATATGGCACAAGTAAAAGTGTGCGATTTCAGAGACTAGGTCATAAAGAACGCAGTGGCTTCTTCCCTGCTCTCTCTTTCTTAGGTCATTCTCTCTGGGTGAATCCAGCTGACATGTTGTGAGGACACTCAAGCAGCTTTATGGAAAAGCCCACATGGTGAGCAACTGAGGCCTCCTACCAACAGCCAACAAGAAACCGGGGCCTTTGCCAACAGCCAAGTAAGTGAGACATTTTGGAAAGTGGATCCTCCAGCCCCCGTTAGGCTCCCAGATGACAACATCCCCTGCTCTCATCTTGACCACAACCTCATGAAATACCCTTATCCAGGATACCCAGTTAAGCCACACCACAATTGCTATTTTACAAAACTGTGAGCTATGTGTTAGTTGTTTTTAAGCTATTAAGTTTTGAGGTGATCTATTACACAATGATAAACAACTAATACACCCATCCAGTGCTGAAGAAAGGGGTTGTCAGGAGGGTAGAATTTGCACTATTAAATCTTCATAGAGTGCTATTTCCCGTCACTACAGCACACTTGTCACCAACTATAAAGAATTAGGTCAGGGAATTTCTTTGGTTGCAGCCCATTTTGCCTTTGGTTGTTAATGGTAGAACCGTTTCCCCACAATCTGCAGGAAATAAGAATCAGAAAGAAGGACACACCATTCCATAGCACAGAACACAAGTAGATGGCTCCCATGAAGAATCTAGCATCATGGTATGGCAGAAGCAGAATGGACTCAGGAATCATGGTGCCTACACTGGAATTTCAGATCGGCCACTGACACAATGGACACATTATTCAACATTTCCAAATCTTGGCATTCTTATCCACAAAGTGAAGATAATAATTGTCAATTCACAGGTGATTATGATTTAAAGAGATTACTTTTGAAGAGTTCCTAACACATTCAGTCAACATTTAATGATGCTTCAGGCACTGTGTTCATTGCTAGTGAGCGTATGACACACACAGCCATACGGTCACAGAGCTTTCAATGAAAAGTAACATAATTGCTCATTTCACCAGGCCCCCGGCTTGGGGCGCCTTCCTTCCCCATGGCGGGACACCTGGCTTCGGATTTCGCCTTCTCGCCCCCTCCAGGCGGTGGGGGTGATGGGCCATGGGGGGCGGAGCCGGGCTGGGTTGATCCTCTGACCTGGCTAAGCTTCCAAGGCCCTCCTGGAGGGCCAGGAATCGGGCCGGGGGTTGGGCCAGGCTCTGAGGTGTGGGGGATTCCCCCTTGCCCCCCGCCGTATGAGTTATGTGGGGGGATGGCGTACTGTGGGCCTCAGGTTGGAGTGGGGCTAGTGCCCCAAGGCGGCTTGGAGACCTCTCAGCCTGAGAGCGAAGCAGGAGTCGGGGTGGAGAGCAACTCCAATGGGGCCTCCCCGGAACCCTGCACCGTCCCCCCTGGTGCCGTGAAGCTGGAGAAGGAGAAGCTAGAGCAAAACCCGGAGAAGTCCCAGGACATCAAAGCTCTGCAGAAAGAACTCGAGCAATTTGCCAAGCTCCTGAAGCAGAAGAGGATCACCCTGGGATATACACAGGCCGATGTGGGGCTCATCCTGGGGGTTCTATTTGGGAAGGTGTTCAGCCAAAAGACCATCTGCCGCTTTGAGGCTCTGCAGCTTAGCTTCAAGAACATGTGTAAGCTGCGGCCCTTGCTGCAGAAGTGGGTGGAGGAAGCTGACAACAATGAAAATCTTCAGGAGATATGCAAAGCAGAAACCCTCATGCAGGCCCGAAAGAGAAAGCGAACCAGTATCGAGAACCGAGTGAGAGGCAACCTGGAGAATTTGTTCCTGCAGTGCCCGAAACCCACACTGCAGATCAGCCACATCGCCCAGCAGCTTGGGCTCGAGAAGGATGTGGTCCGAGTGTGGTTCTGTAACCGGCGCCAGAAGGGCAAGCGATCAAGCAGCGACTATGCACAACGAGAGGATTTTGAGGCTGCTGGGTCTCCTTTCTCAGGGGGACCAGTGTCCTTTCCTCCGGCCCCAGGGCCCCATTTTGGTACCCCAGGCTATGGGAGCCCTCACTTCACTGCACTGTACTCCTCAGTCCCTTTCCCTGAGGGGGAAGTCTTTCCCCCAGTCTCCGTCATCACTCTGGGCTCTCCCATGCATTCAAACTGAGGTGCCTGCCCTTCTAGGAATGGGGAACAGGGGAGGGGAGGAGCTAGGGAAAGAGAACCTGGAGTTTGTGGCAGGGCTTTTGGGATTAAGTTCTTCATTCACTAAGGAAGGAATTGGGAACACTAAGGGTGGGGGCAGGGGAGTTTGGGGCAACTGGTTGGAGGGAAGGTGAAGTTCAATGATGCTCTTGATTTTAATCCCACATCATGTATCACTTTTTTCTTAAATAAAGAAGCCTGGGACACAGTAAAAAAAAAAAAAAAAGAAAGAAAAGAAAAGTAACATAATTGAGTAATAATTTTTTAAGTGTGGTAAAATGTGTGGCACGTAGTAGGTATTCAATAAATACTTGCTTTTTTCCTCCTTTTTACCTTTTCCTAGAGTGCTACTTGATGGTAGCTGTAGTTTTTCTTCAAGACATCCTATTTGTCCTGATACAAAACCTCTTTTGACCGCTAACGGCATAGTTCGGCCCTCACCATTCCCTCACATATTCCACAAAAATGTGAGCATTAACCATTCCCCATGATACAGATAATTCATTTTTTAATTTAATTTTTTAAAATTTTATTTATTTACTTATTTATTTTGAGACCAGGTTATGAGACTGGCTAATTTTTGTATTTTTGGTGGAGATGGGGTTTTGCCATATTGTCTAGGCTGGTCTCAAACTCCTGAGCTCAAGGGATCCTCCTGCCTGGGCCTCCCAAAGTACTGGGATTACAGGCATGAGCCATTGCACCTGGCCCGGATAATTTTTTTTCTTTTTTTGAGGTAGTGCCTTCCTTTATAGCTCAGGCTGGAGTGCAGTGGTGTGATCTCGGCTCACTGCAACCTCTGCCTCCCAGGTTCAAGTAATTCTCCTGCCTCAACCTCCTGAGTAGCTGGGATTACAGGCGCCCACTACCACGCCCGGCTAATTTTTGTATTTTTAGTAGAGATGGGGTTTCACCATGTTGGCCAGGCTGGTCTCGAACTCTTGACCTCAGGTGATCTGCCTGCCTTGGCCTCCCAAAGTATTGGGATTGTAGGCGTGAACCACCACGCCCGGCCCTGAAAATTCATTTTTAAAAGAACATCATATCTACCTTAAATGCATTAAGATTTCACATTAGACTCATTATTCATAGTGAACATTAGGAACTTAAGTCCACTCAGTAATAATGCACCTATTCATGACTCTTGATTCAAAGATGTGCACCTATTTACCCTGGACCAGCTCCTTGGAAGGACATGAAATAGAGGGTAATAATCACATCTTTCCAAATTTGCTATGAAACTGCATCGCCAAAAACTGAGACTCATTTTCCGATTGATGAATCAAATGACAACAAAATCTCCAGGGCATTCTGAAACCCAACAGGGATTAATGATTAGGCATACCAGTGGTAGTTAGGAGACTTGCCCAAATTTCCAGTTTTCTGCAGATGGCATCTAAGTTAGAAGACTGTCATAAATTTATTCATGGCTTGGCTTTCTGCTATTTGCTCATTGGTGACACTTTTATATACAATGGTGTTTCTATGGCTAGGAAATCCCAGTGGAGATCAAGAAACCTGGGTTCTACAAACTAATGGGGTGACCTTTGATTAGTCCTAACTCCCTTCCTAAGCCTCAGTTTCTTTAGACATGAAATGAAAGCAATGGATTACATTGCCTTAGACTTTTTCCTAGATCGAAAATGTGATAATTGTGCCTTTCCAACAATAATTGATACCACTAGTGAACATTCTTTCTTAAGCACATCTATTAAGGACTTCATTTATATTATTTTTCTAATCTTTAAGCAAACTCTGAGATAAGTGACTATGATGTTTATTCCATAGGTGCAAAAGATTTGTCAAGTAACTCTCCAAAGTAAAAGAGAGGGCTGGAGTTTAGACTCATGACTGTTCTGCTCTAACCCAAGTGATTCTGGATCCCAGACTCCCCAAATGACAAGTTATTCCAGAAATACTCAGAAAAAGGAGGGTGCCGTATGTCGCACATGGAAAAATAGAAAAAGTAACAGAATCCAGCCAAAGGATTCCCAGAAATTGAGGCTCTTCTGTTCTTGGCATTTGCATCTTTGGATGTGTGTTTTTTACATTGCTCTATGCAAAAGGTATGTTTCAATGTGATTTTTTTTTTCTCCTCCCATCCTACCACTGAGGAATCACAGGGAATAGACTCGACACCTGTGAACTCAATTTACCCTAGAAAAATGTTTCAGTCACACTTAAAATAAAAAGGGCATCAATTAGAATAAGAAGGACACTTTGTTGCCTAGGAGGACTGAACTTTTTTGGACCTGGGGCACCTTATCAGCTTCATTTTTAGCTCTAGTATAATCAAAAGGTCAGGATCTCCACTGGACCTTAGAAATTTTTTATTTTTCGATAAGATTTTCTGAATGCCTGCCATGTGTGAAGGGAAATGCCTGGACTTCTATGCATATGTATTTCATTGTCTCCCCACATCTACCCAGGAAGACAGGCACAGTGAGCCTTGCATGTTGTAGATAAGGAAGCTAAGTCTCAAAGACAGAGAAGGAATTTCTCAAGGTCACACTGTAAGTAAAAGGCAAAGGAGGGATTAGAACCCTGGATCCTCTTTATTACACCAAGCCTGCCTCACAAGGATGCCAATCTCTCATCACTTACTGGGAAAGACCCACTCCTCCCATTCATGATAAGGTAATGCTATCCAATAAAAACCCCAAAGCAGGCATAAAATATGAAGTAGCGAAACTCAGGCAGGCAGAAAGCAGAGTGGTTTAGACATGGCTGCTGTCTGCAGCAGGGAGAAGTTCCTGGCAACATGACCCTGAAAATAACAATGAGTGACTGAAGCTAAGAAGGAAGAATCTTCCAAGGACTCTGAAACTAGATATTTTCTCAAGCCCCACCTATGGACAAACACAAATCATGGAGAAATAAAGATGCCAGTCTCCAGGAAGCACCAGAGTTAAATTCATTCTGGAATTTAACTCCTGGCATTAACAGTTAGCTGGGAGATTAAAACAAACCAACACACAAACACAAAAAAATAATCAGTGGAAAAAAGTTAAAAAAAATCAATGGACAGTGGTTTCATAGCAGATGGCAAAGAGGAATATTAAAAGCTGTATTTTATTTGGAACTCATTTTCTTCTGATTTCCTTATTAGGTGTTTTGTATATCGAGACCCATAATTCCAAGCAGCCTCCATAAGGTAGAGGCTAAGAATTGCAATTTGTAGGTTAAAAAACTGTGCGTGCAATTCCTTGTTTGTCCCTTGTTTGTCATTTCTCTACCCTTCTGTACTTGGCACACACCCTAGGAAGATGACTTGTATAAACTACGTAAATGAGCTCCTTGCCTTCTGGCTCCTAGTTGGGTTTAGTCAATGAGACCTATTAGCAGGAAGATCGGAAGGTAGGAGAATCTGACTTTTTATTACTTTAAATTCCTTCCTGTCAGGCCTTAAATTGGCTGCAATCTTCCTTTGAAAGTTGCAGCTCCCTTCAGAAAGCTCTTTCTTGCAGCTCTAGCATCTCCCCAGACTTCAGTAAATGCTTCCTCCCTGTGCCCTGAGTCCTAGGCTTAGAGTGAAAATGGGTCTCTGCTGCCACTAACCCTGGGATGCTTCACCCTCCCTTGTGAGTTTCCCTTAGTTCTGCCCACATCTTTGTAAATAGTCTCTTCATGGAACTTTCCTCAATTGCCTCTTTTAAATGTTTGAGCTGGTTATGTTGGGAGGGGCCCCACTATGGGAGGAACAATGACTAAGACACGGAAAGGTTAAGTAGCTTGTGCAAGGTCATACAAATAGCGCATTAGTTAAAGCAATGCTTGTTTCTATAACAAATAAACCCCCATATCTCAGTGATTTTAAGTAAAGATACATTAATTTTTTACTTACGTCAGTCCAAAATAGGGTTCCTGAGGAGCAAGTGGCTCTTCTTCAAGTGGTGATCCAGAGAAGAAGCTCCTTGCATTTTCTGGCTCTGCCATATTCAACACACCTTTCAAGGTGACCATGTTCATCAGCACAAAGCTGGAGGAGGGAAAGAGTATGGAGGCTTGAACATGGCAGGTTGTGTGTCACGCCCTCCACTCATGTTTCATTGGCTGAAGCTCAATTGCATGGCTGTCCAATTGCAAGACAGTCCCAGAGATGGTGAGCTCAGGAGGATTAAAAAAAGAGTTTGGGAAAGCTCTTGACAATTTCTACCTCAGAAGTGTGTTTGGAAACACAAACTCAAATCCAAAGCTTTTCACTCAAAACACAAGGCCTCCAGTTCATGGTGTATACAATTATTTAATGTGGGCATAAAGTAATAAGAATCATCCATGTGTGTTCCTGAGGGGAAGAGACAGAACCAGAGAAAATTTTATAATGTGATAGTGTCAGCCCATGATTCTACCATGGGAATATCTATTCTGAAAAAGTGTAAGATGGGAAACAGGGACTGCTGCTGCCTCCACCTATCACAGTAATCACTTACTTTACTTATATTACCGATAAAGTAATGTATAAGTAACTGCACATAAGTCTAGCATTTAAGGACATTGATTTTTATATCACTTGTTATTTATATAAAAATAACCATATATATTTAATAGTAAATATCACTGTAAAAGGATTACGTGAACAATATGCATTCCATGATGATTTACAGTCCCAGTTAGAAATTCCAAGGGTCATTTTGATTATATGCCCTGTTTTCTTTATCTGCTAAATTTAGAACCGACATCTCCACTGTATTCAAACTGTAGCTCTCTCTCTTTCCACTCACATCTCTGTGGATTTTTCTCTACTGCCTGTGAGTTTTATAGTGTTAGTACATACTCTGAGAACACAGACACAGTGGGACTTTTTGCATTGCTATGTAAATCTGCAGATTCACTACTCAATAATTATTGACCTCTTGACTTTGCCTTTTTTCCACCTCATAAGCATTTCCAATGATCCAGAAATGTGAAGAAAGAACAAGCCCCAAGAAGGTAAATTTTCCCTGAGTAACCTGGGGAACTCACATAAAAATGGACTGACACAAATGTTATTTCAAGATTTAAAAACAATATATTTGAATCCTACATCAAGAAGTAAAATATCATAAGCTCTCAGCCTGCTGATCGACTCTACAGCACTGTTTCTCATCATTATAATATCCAAATATAAGAATGTGAAGGAAAGAGAATTTCAAGCACCATAAGATTATCATAGATATTACTCCATTGATCTAGTCATTCACTGAATGTGAGACCATGTGTCCACAGCAGTGAAGAAACTTCTGTTCCTGCCATCAAGGATCTTACCGGGGGTAGACAGATAGTGCACACATCATCAATTTTTTTTATAAAAAGGTAATTACTGCTGGCAATAAGTGGGGTAAAGGAAATCAAATTCAGGTGCTATTTTAGAAAGTGCTCTGAGATGAGCAAGTGGCATGCTATTTTAGAGAAGTGGTCAGAAAAGATTCCCCTAAGCCTCAGAGCCCTGACTGATGAGTGATCCAGGTAGAGAGTGGAGGAACAGTATTTCAACCTATGCAAAGGCCTTGAGATCAGGATGGTTTCAGGAAATTCGAGAACACCATGAGTCCATGTGGCTGCAATGGCAACATTGAACATGAGGTAAAAGGTGGCCAGAGGGGTTTTCATGGCCTGTGGAGTTTGTAGGCCAGGATATCAAGAGTTTGAATTGTGTTTGAAGGGTAACATAAAGCTATGGAGGTAGGTGGGTGAACAGAAGAGAACCATCATCTGTTTTGTTTTGTTACAAGGATCGCCCTATTTGCTACATGCAGAATAGGCTCTTTGTGTGTGTGTGTAGTGGTGGGGAGGAGGAGAATTGACAAGAGTAGAAGCAGAGAGATAAATTGAGAGATCAGAAATGACTCGGACCACAAGGGTAGACTTGGAGGTGGTGAAAGTGGTCAGATTAAGGATGCACTTGAAAATGGAGTTGTCAGGACCTGCTGATGGCTATGGCATGGCTGTGAAGGAAAGTGAAGAATCAGGATGCCTCCCAGGTTTTCAACCTTGGCACTAGTGAAAGGATTGGCAACAGCTGAAATGGAAGCAACTGGGAAAGATGTTCTGCCCTAGTGGTGGAAAACACGCCACTGGCTCAGCTGGATACTTCCAAAGGGCTGCTCTGGTAATACCTCTAGTCAACAGATATTTGATGAGTACTTCTGCCCTATCCTCAAGGAGTCCCAGGCTGCAAAGAAAAACTGATGTACAAACAAATGATCATGCTGAGAGAGAAAGCCCACAAGTTACTCTGGGAATAAAGAAAAGGACAATGAAGCCAAATGTGGACTCAGGAATGCTTTTTGGAGGAAATGACACCTAGCTAAGACTTGAAAGATGAATAAAAGCCAAAGATGTTGGGAGAAGCAGTCAGGCAGTGGAAACAGCATTAGCAAAAGCACAGAGAGCTGGAACAGCATGACAACAAACCACACACGTCTCACCAGGGAAGTGGAGGGTGGAAGGGAGCACAGGGATGAAGTTAGAGACGTTTGCAGGTTCCAATCATAGATGGTTTTTATGCTGTTCCTCAGAGATAAGCATCTATCCTATAAGTCTAAAGAGGCAACCATTGAAGAGTTTAAGATAGGAGTGCCAGTGTCAGGAATTAGGATGACAAGCTCAGTTTCTAGGAGGTCCAGATAGTAACAAATAAGAACATGTCTTTGGCATTCATTGCTTCTACCACATATTTTGCCTTTGATCCCGGTTTTCTTGGGTGTGTTCTTCTATTGTACGTCCATAATCTCCTGGTCTAGAAGGTATAAAAGCTTATTTTTTAAGTTTAATTTTCTGCACTCTTCCAGTAAACGTCTAGCATGGAAGAAGAAATCTACAGAGTTCCCTGGTATATTGCCTGGCTAGGATTTAAGCAAGATATTCATGAACCATCTTGAAATATCAGAAATAAAGATTCACTCCCAAACCCACCACCACTATCTGCATACCTGCTGCCATTTAGTATCAACTGATTTTTTAACTTAGAATCAATAGCAATCACTGAGAAATCTCAATAGCTATTTAACTATGAAAAGATAGACATCAAGTCAAGCACAAACTTCAAAACTCTCCAAAATACTAATAGCTAACATTGGCTGAGTGTTTACTTATATACCAGGCATTCATCTAAACACATTTCATGCATTAATTAAATGTTTTCAAAACAGCTCTAAGAGATATTTAATTTGACAAATGAAAAAAACTGAGGCTTAATTTCTTTATCCAGGGTCACACAACCAGAAAGTAGAAAAGCCAAGATTGAACTTCAGGGATCTTGACCCTAATGCCTTTTCTGGGAAAACAGTCCATAGTTTTACTCAATAATTCTTAAATCCTTTTATTTAAGAAGTATTCTTAAATAAAACCTTCTCTTCCAGAATATTCTCCAAGTCCCACTAACCAAGTTCAATTCCTACCTCTCCCATGATCTTTCCTGCTTAATACGAGTCATTCCAATCTGATCTCCGATGGCATATGCATTCTATACCAGAAATGTCATTAATTCCACTGCACTTATTCCCATAAAAACAAGAACTTGTCAACAAAATGAAGACAAGTTTGTTTTAAGTATTAATACTTTAAAAGAGTTAAAGGACTCTTTCTTTCTTTTTCACCCTACACATAGAATAAGTACTCCTCCACCAAATGCAACTACCAAGTACCCAGCACACATACACTATACATACACCAAATACACACATATAAGCACACATGTGAGTTTGGCCAAAACACATAATAAAAGAAGAAAATTGCAGCAACTTCTGAACCAAAGAAAATGAGAAAAAAAATACATGCCATACAACATTAATTGCAGCAAAGTCTGTAGGCTGCAGACTACGTGGGCACAAACAAGATTCAACTTTGTGCATGTAGTTGAATCTTGGCCTTTTATTTGCTATTTGTGTGACACTGAACAGCTTCATCATGCCTCAGTTTCCTCATTTGCCAAATTTGCCATTTTTTTCTTGGGTGTTTATCCTGTAAGGCTCTTGAGCAACAGTCACACTCTCAAGAAGATTCATTATGCTCTCATATTTTCATTTTGTGTCTTATAATGCATTGATTCATCTTTTGCTCAATTTGACTTCTAATATTCTACATGGTTTAGAGAATAAAGTATGTGGACCTGTCCAGAGCAGATGACCGTCTGCCTCTAAGCTTGAGGCTCTTAATTCCAGCTCCATTGCCCATTGGTTGTAGTCATAGAACAGGGAAAATTTAATTCAAAACTCTCAATCCACCCTGGAGAAGGAAATTAAAGCCTAGAAGAATAATATGCCTTGACCAAGGTCACAGAGTATGTTAACAATAAAGCCACAACCAGAAGTCAAAGCTTCCTGTACTCAGCCCAATTTCTACTAGTAAATATTTCCTGAATGCATATTAATGTTTCAGGGCCTGTGGATACAGAAATGAATAAAGCACAGTCCCCACACAAAAATATTGCCAATTGTATTGAACCCAACAGATGACCAATTGCAATGCTTCCTAACCTTGTTTGTGTCTGTGTCTGAGACACATGATACTTTCCTAACATGGGCCCTTGGAGAGTTGATTCCCAGCCACTCAGTATTTACAAACTGGAAATTCACTAACCTGTAACCTGTACCAGTTCCCAGTAGAAACTTGCACATTCAGAAATATTTTGAATAATCCTCACATGGAAGATGAGGATGCTTCTGAGGAGGAAAATGCCAAAAGTAAGATAAATCAGACCAATGACTTAAAGCTGCTGGAAAGACATATACATTTAGCAAGATGTCTGGAAGTGGGGGCTCTAAAGCTGATAGAATAGCTTGTGACGTCAAAGCATTAGATTGATGTCTCTCACCTTCTCTCAGTCTTTCCCTCATGGGCTCAGGTTGGCATTCCTATCTTTAGGAATCACGATTTCACATAACTGCATTTAAAGGCAAGAAACACAAGGCAATCAAGATGGAGAGAGTGGTGTAGCAGGAGGAGAGAGAGAAGAACAGAGAGAGAGAGAGAGAGAGAGAGCACTTGCCATGTATCTCTCCTTTTAGGAAGGAAGATAAATCTATCCTAGATAACCAGGAGTTTCCTTAAATCTCACTGGGCAGAGCTGGCTCACATAGCTGCCCTGCTGCAAAGGAGGCAGGCAAGCATGCATCTGGCTCATTCAACCTACATAAGTAGAGTCAAGTAAGGGAAAAACCAACTTCAGCATGACTATTGGTAGGCAAACAAAAATGTCTGCTGCACCCAAACTGTGTAGGTTTGTTGAAGGAATGCATGATCTGCCCTGGGAGTCATAAATAGCTCTAATTGCAGAGCCAGCATCCAGGAGTTTGCAAATCTCTAGTCCTCGGGCCTAAGAAAACTTTCTGAACCAAGCTGGAAGGGGGAAGAAACAGGCCAGGCAGATTTCAAGGACACCTGCCATTCTGGAAGGGGGAAGAAAGAGTCTAGGCAGATTTCAAGGACACCTGCCATTCTTCTACACATCACATTTTGCCAGATTTTGCCCTCCATGCCTGGGTCCTCAATGGCCTGTGATAATGGAATACTACTATTCACTAGGGCATGGAATTCTGCCACTTACTACAGCTCAGAATTTTATCAACTGTTGATATTGGAATTCTACCCCAAGCAGATCTTCCATTTAGCCATCATCCAGGGATCAGAATCTTACCATTCCCAGAACCTCAATCCCCACCCCATTTATTTCTGAGAACTTGAAGGTAGCAAGAAGATGTCAAATCCCAACCTAGTGAGTCAATGTAATTGATTCCTAGTGAATAGTCAGTTGCCTTGTAACCTCCCAAGATAGCTGTGATTAGAAAACTGGATTCTCAAAGCTAACTTTGGGTCCACCCATTGCTAAGTCTGTCCCCTCCTCCCCCAGCTCCTCCCTTGGAAATGTCCCAAGACAATGTGCCATGAGATTCATCTTCCCTTCTACGAGTAATAAGTCCTGCAAGGGGCATGTCAGAAGTGCCCTGACAGGAAAGCCTGGTGACCTGCCAGAGGAACCTTTCACTTTTTTCCGCATGCTCTGCTCTGTTTCCCTTTTCCTCCTAAAGGGAAAATCTGAAGGCGTTCAGTTTAGTCACCCAGGGTAAGCCGTTTTGACTTGTCGACAGTAAATACTGCTCTGTCCTAACTCCCCGTGACTGACACACAAGCCTGTTATTTCAACATCACTCTCTGAAACCTCCCTCCAGAAACCTCAAGGCAGTTGTATATGTCGTCAGTAGGTCTATGGGCCTGGACAAGGCATTCTGGTGTAGTGAAAGTCAACGTCCCTGGAGTCATTCAAACTGAGTTGGACTCTCAAGTCTTCACTTTCCAGCTCAGGGATATTGGCCGCTTATCCAGTGAGCCTCTTGTTCTCCTCTGTAAAATGGAGATAATAGTGCCTACTTTACTGGATTGTTGTAATTAATAAACATCATGCTGGTAAAAGGTTTACACCTGCAATGGTGCCTGGAACAGAGCAAGTGATTTTAGAAAGTATACACATAGAGGTGTGTGTATGTGTCTGTGGTGTATGTGTGTATACTCATTCATTCATGCATGTATGCATTCAACAAGTACCTCCTGCCTACTAACTGCCTGGTCTTAATCTAGGTGTCGGATATGTAAATAATAAATAAAATTGTCAAAGTCCCATCTATGTTTTAGAGTGGAAGACGGACAATAAATAAATAGATGTGTATTGTGACAAGTGTCAATAAGAGCTATGAAGGACAACAAAACATAGTAAAGAGATGAGGAAGGCTGGAGAGGCCAAGGCATCCATTTAAATAAGGTCATCGGGGCAAGGCTCTGAGAGGGTGGCATGGAAGGGAGACCTGAAAGAAAGGAGGGAGAAACCACATGTTTTCGTTCCTCTCCACACACTGCCACCAAACTATTTCTCCTATAGCCTTCCCAAGCTCAGTAAATGATAATTCCACTCTAGGAGTTTTCCAGCTCAAAAACCTCACTGTCAGCCTTGACTCCTTCCTTCACACCCATGCCATGCCAACTGTAGATGCAGCCAGCTCTGTGGATATCTGGGAAGGAGGCTTCCAGGTGGAGAATAGCAAGGTCAAAGGCTGAAGGGAGGAAGCTCCCTGGCCTGCTGTGGACAGTGAGGAGGCCGAGATGCTAGAGAAGGACAGTGAGAGAAGGCCAGAGGATCAGCTGAGGTCACTCACCTGGGACTTTGTGGACCAGATTAAGGAATTTTTAGTTTTCCTCTCAGGAAGAAGGGAAGTCATTGGAGATGTGTGGACAGAGGAGTGTCATGCTCTGAATTGTGTTAGAAAGGAATCACTCTGGCTGCTCTATGGAGAAGAGACTAGAAGGCCAAGTGCAGAAGCAAGGGATGCATCAGGAGTCTCTAGTGACAGATCAGCTGCGAAGCCATGGTTGCTTGGTCTAGAGTGGCCATAAGAGAATTGATGATAAGACATTGTTTAAGGGTAAATTTTGAGGCCAGAGTTGGTTGCCATTGCTGTTGGAATAGGCTTGGATGTGAAAGAAAGGAGTCAAGGCTGACAGTAAGGTTTTTGACCTGAAAAATTCCTAGATTAGAATTATCATTTACTGAATTGGGGAAAGCTATAAGAAAAGTAGTTTTGTGGTGGTGAGATGGGAATGGGGCAGTGGAACCAAGAGTTCATTCATTGAATAAATATGTTACTGAGACTCTCTTGTGCCAGACGTCTTGCTTAGCACTGGGAATACACTGATGACTAGACAGAAACAGGCTTTGCTCTCATGAAACACAAGTAGCACAAAGAGACAACATTTATTGAGTCCTTACTAGGAGACAAGCACCATGCTAAGTACTTTTTATTTAATGAAGCTGACTGTCTGGTAGGAGAGACAGTCATTAAACAAGTAACTATTCAAATATTTATTTAATTATGAGTGGAAAAGTACAGAGCATATCCCTGTGTATAATTTGGGAAAACTGCTCCCCAGGCTCCTTAGGGAAGGTGATACTGGGCTAGAGCAGAGGAGCAGCATTTTTGAGAATCTGGCCAATATGGAAAGATTTGCTGACATATTCAGATTTGAGACTTTTTTTTTTTTTAGACGGAGTTTTGCTCTTGCCACTCAGGCTGGAGTGCAGTGGCACAATCTCGGCTCACTGCAACCTCCGCCTCCCAGGTTCAAGTGATTTTCCTGCCTCAGCCTCCCATGTAGCTGGGAATACAGGTGCCTACCCACAGGTCCGGCTAATTTTTTGTATTTTTAGTAGAGACGGGGTTTCATCATGTTGGCCAGCCTGGTCTTGAACTTCTGACGTCAGGTGATCCACCCGCCTTGGCCTTCCAAAGTGCAGGGATTACAGGCGTGAGCCACGGCACCCGGCCTGGAGACCACTTATTTTGCAAGCATGTTGCCTCCCCTCTTATCTCTGGGAGTGGGGAGGACATGACCTTCTGTGTGAGTCCATGGATTCAATGATCAGAACCTCCATGACAGAAATTCCAAAGTGGTCTAGAATCTCTGCCCAGGCCATTTCTTGGCATGGCAGGCTATCCTCTCTGCTCCCTGCCTACCTATCCCACTTGGGCCAATCCAACAGGAAACATCTAGACTGCAGAAGACAACGACTTCTCCCTCTGACCACCACACTTCTACGTGAACCCCATTCCTAGGCTCCAACTTACCTCTCCAACCCCATTTAAATGTGTTCCATTGAGCCTCTGATCATGTCTCATCTTGTATGATTCTGAAATTTATCTGATTGCTTGTTTCCCAGCAATACTGCAAACCCCTTGAAGACAGGGATGGGTGCCTTGTTCTGCTTTTGTATCCCCAACAGGCATCACAATGCAAACTGCTCGGGGCTGATAACATTTGAGTGAGAGACTGTGAGCCAAAGACCTTGACATCATTTAAGAGAGGATGTTTGGAAAGAAAATCATCTTTTCAACACACAGAATTCAGCCTGACTCAGGCTAACCAACATGCCTGTGCAGCTAGGAGATATACCAGAGTGTCAGTTTATTAATTTTCAATGGGGGGAAAGAAGACAAAAGTTTCAGGTTGGTCTGAGTTGGTGAGTTTCCTTCCCTGAAGCCAAGTCACAGGGGAACCAAATCATGATTGGAAACCATTTTATTTTTATTTTCTCTCTATGAGAAGCTACATTGGCAGGAATCAGAAAATAATTGAGCTCCTTATGAGGTAGTCTGTTAGAGGACTCATGGTAGCATAAATTGCTATCTATAACTAATGGGGTTATTTCTCCAACCTGGGTAACCTTATGACATTGTCCATGTATTTCAAGGCATCCAAATCTCTCCTTTGCTGGAAACGTAACACCACCCACTAGAGCTTACCAGATTAGCCTCTTTAGGCTGCAAAAGATGCCCAGTAAATGATGAACACACAGACATGGGGTTTTTGCTTCACTAGACATAGCCCAAAGGAACTAATTTATGCTTCCCTTTTCTTTTTGGCATATTTTGGGAGGCAACCCACCACCATGTTGATTTCAGACTTAAGAAGGAGAAATTGAGGGCCTGGGTGTTCTACAAACAAACTTTATCTATAGATAATTAAGTTTCAGACAACTAGCTTCAGCGACTACTAGAAATATCTTCGGATTAGCATCAACAAGAAACTTGAGCATTTAGAAACCATGATGATTTCAGGCATGCCCACAAGAAATTAAATGTTTCAGCACAAAAGGCAGGTGTTGAGTGTGTAGAACTGTTCAGAGTAAATCATTCTATTCTTTCTGCATAGTCCTCTATAATTGAAAAAGTCCTTTCAGAACAATTTCGTAGGGAAAGAAAACTTGCATTTTGTGCATCAGCTTTTGTACTTAGGCTTTTACATGTGTTAACACTTATGTTCCTTGTGATGGCAGATGAAGAAAATGTAGCTGAGTGAAGTTGAGTGGGTTGCTTATTGTCAACAAGTCCTGAGGGACAGAGTCAGTAATTGAGATCAGAGTTGGGGGCTCTTGTCCAAGCTTCTCCCACAACCGCATTCTGGGGCACTTCGTGGAGAAATGCCACTCAGCAATCTGCATTCAGCTCTGCTGTTGCTGTGGTTTTCAAATTGGCTACACATCAAAAAACACGTGAGAATCTTGTCAGCCACAGATTTCTAAGCCTCACCTCAGAGGTTCTGATTCTCTGGGTATGGCATGGGCCCCAGAGGTCTAGATTTTTGCATCAGGTAACTATGAATATTCCAGGTCCCTGCCTTCATACAAAGCACCATGAGGTGATAAGTATTACATTTTCTTGTTCCTGGTCCTAGGGTTCATATTTAGCTTAATTCTATAAAATAAAAACTTCGGACATTTAACATACCCTGCCTCATTTGATAGGGTTGTCCATGAAATTGAGAGACAGTGGAAAACTCATTGATCTTGCTATTTACCATGAGTCGTAGACCTAGTAACTTAGCCTCTCCGAGTTTCAGTGTCTCCATTATTGAAAGCAGGGCTTATAGTAACTACTCTCTAGAGATATGAAATTCAAATACCATAATATGTGTATTAGCTGTAGTAGTAGCCATTTATCAGAGCAGGAGATGAAGGGCACAGGTTCTATAGCCTGACTGCCTAGAGTCATATCCCAAAGCTTTCAGCTACTAACTGTGTGATCTAAGGGAAGTTACTTAACTGCTCTGTACCTTAGTGTTATCATCTATAAAATAAGAAATAATAATACTAGTACCAACTCAGAGACTATCAGGAGAAATAAATGAATTAATATGTAAAAGGCTTTGGCTGCATCACAGAGAGTTTGGTAAGTTGTGTATTTTCATTAATTTTGTCAGGCCTCTGAGCCCAAGCCAAGCCATCCCATCCCCTGTGACTTGAATACCCAGATGGCCTGAAGTAACTGAAGAATCACAAAAGAAGTGAATATGCCCTGCCCCACCTTAACTGATGACATTCCACCACAAAAGAAGTGAAAATGGCCAGTCCTTGCCTTAAGTGGTGACATTACCTTGTGAAAATCCTTTTCCTGGCTCATCCTGGCTCAAAAAGCACCCCCACTGAGCACCTTGCGACCCCCACTCCTGCCCGCCAGAGAACAAACCCCCTTTGACTGTAATTTTCCTTTACCTACCCAAATCCTATAAAACGGCCCCACCCTTATCTCCCTTCGCTGACTCTCTTTTTGGACTCAGCCCGCCTGCACCCAGGTGAAATAAACAGCCATGTTGCTCACACAAAGCCTGTTTGGTGGTCTCTTCACACGGACGCGCATGAAATTTGGTGCTGTGGCTCGGCTCGGGGGACCTCCTTTGGGAGATCAATCCCCTGTCCTCCTGTTCTTTGCTCCATGAGAAACATCCACCTACGACCTCAGGTCCTCAGACCAACCAGCCCAAGAAACATCTCACCAATTTCAAATCCGGTAAGCAGCCTCTTTTTACTCTCTTCTCCAACCTCCCTCACTATCCCTCAACCTCTTTCTCCTTTCAATCTTGGTGCCACACTTCAATGTCTCCCTTAATTTCAATTCCTTTCATTTTCTGGTAGCGACAAAGGAGACACGTTTTATCCGTGGACCCAAAACTCCGGCTCCGGTCACGGACTGGGAAGGCAGCCTTCCCTTGGTGTTTAATCCTTGCAGGGACGCCTCTCTGATTATACACTCACGTTTCAAGGGTGTCAGACCACACGCAGGGACGCCTGCCTTGGTCCTTCACCCTTAGCGGCAAGTCCCGCTTTTCTGGGGAAGGGGCAAGTACCCCAACCCCTTCTCTGCTTTTCTGGGGCAGGGGCAAGTACCCCTCAACCCCTTCTCCTTCACCCTTAGCGGCAAGTCCTGCTTTCCTGGGGGGCAAGAACCCCCCAGTTGCTTATTTCCGCACCCCGACCTCTTATCTCTGTGTCCCAATCCCTTATTTCCATGCCCCAACCTCGTATCTCTGCACCCCAATCCCTTATTTCCGTGCCCCAACCTCTTATATCTCTGTGCCCCAATCCCTTATTTCCACACCCCAACCTCTTATCTCTGCACCCCACCCCTTTTCTGGAAGGTAAGAACCCCCGAACCCCTTCCCTCCATTTCTCTACTCTCTCTTTTCTCTAGGCTTGCTTCCTTCAGTATAGGCAACCTTCCACCCTCCATTCCTCCTTCTACTCCCTTGGCCTGTGTTCTCAAAAACTTAAAACCTCTTCAACTCACACCTGACCTAAAACCTAAATGCCTTATTTTCTTCTGCAATGCCACTTGACCCCAATACAAACTCGACAGTAGTTCCAAATAGCCAGAAAATGGCACTTTGAATTTTTCCATCCTGCAAGATCTAAATAATTCTTGTTGTAAAATAGGCAAACAGTCCGAGGCGCCTGACGTCCAGGCATTCTTTTACACATCAGTCCCTTCCTAGTCTCTGTGCCCAGTACAACTCGTCCCAAATCTTCCTTCTTTCCCTCCCGCCTGTCCCCTCAGTCCCAACCCCAAGCATCGCTGAGTCTTTCTAATCTTCCTTTTCTACAGACCCATCTGACCTCTCACCTCCTCGCCAGGCCGAGCTAGGTCCCAATTCTTCCTCAGCCTCCGCTCCTCCACCCTATAATCTTTTTATCGCCTCCGCTCCTCACACCTGGTCCGGCTTACAGTTTCTTTCCGTGACTAGCCCTCCCTCACCTGCCCAGCAATTTACTCTTAGAAAGGTGGCTGGAGCTAAAGGCATAGTCAAGGTTAATGCTCCTTTTTCTTTATCCCAAATCAGATAGCGTTTAGGCTCTTTTTCATCAAATATAAAAATCCAGCCCAGTTCATGACTTGTTTAGCAGCAATACTGAGATACTTTACAGCCCTAGACCCTAAAAGGTCAAAAGGCCGTCTTATTCTCAAAATGCACTTTATTACCCATTCTGCTCCCGACATTAAATAAAACTCCAAAAATTAAATTCCGGCCCTCAAACCCCATGACAGGATTTAATTAACCTCGCCTTCAAGGTGTACAATAATAGAAAAAAGTTGCAATTACTTGCCTCCACTGTGAGACAAACCCCAGCCACATCTGCAGCACACAAGAACTTCCAAACGCCTGAACCGCAGCGGCCAGGCGTTCCTCCAGAACCTCCTCCCCCAGGAGCTTGCTACATGTGCCGGAAATCTGGCCACTGGGCCAAGGAATGCCCGCAGCCTGGGATTCCTCCTAAGCCGTGTCCCATCTGTGTGGGACCCCACTGAAAATTGGACTGTTCAACTCACCTGGCAGCCACTCCCAGAGCCCCTAGAACGCTGGTCCAAGGCTCTCTGACTGACTCCTTCCCAGATCTTCTCGGCTTAGCAGCTGAAGACTGACACTGCCTGATTGCCTCGGAAGCCCCCTAGACCATCACGGACGCCAAGCTTTGGGTTACTCTCACAGTGGAAGGTAAGCCCGTCCCCTTCTTAATCAATATGGAGGCTACCCACTCCACATTACCTTCTTTTCAAGGGCCTGTTTCCCTTGCCTCCATAACTGTTGTGGGTATTGACGGCCAGGCTTCTAAACCTCTTAAAACTCCCCAACTCTGGTGCCAACTTAGACAATACTCTTTTAAGCACTCCTTTTTAGTTATCCCCACCTGCCCAGTTCCCTTATTAGGCTGAGACACTTTAACTAAATTATCTGCTTCCCTGACTATTCCTGGACTACAGCTATATCTCATTGCCGCCCTTCTTCCCAATCCAAAGCCTCCTTGCGTCCTCCTCTTGTATCCCCCGACCCTAACCCACAAGTATAAGATACCTCTACTCCCTCCTTGGTGACCCCTTACCATCTCATTAAAACCTAATCACCCTTACCCCACTCAACGCCAATATCCCATCCCGCAGCACGCTTTAAAAAGATTAAAGCCTGTTATCACTCACCTGCTACAGCATGGCCTTTTAAAACCTATAAACTCTCCTTACAATTCCCCCATTTTACCTGTCCTAAAACCAGACAAGCCTTACAAGTTAGTTCAGGATCTGCGCCTTATCAACCAAATTGTTTTGCCTATCCCCCCTGTGGTGCCCAACCCGTACCCTCTTTTGTCCTCAATACCTTCCTCCACAACTCACTATTCCGTGCTTGATCTTAAAGATGCTTTTTTCACTATTCCCCTGCACCCCTCGTCCCAGCCTCTCTTTGCTTTCACTTAGACTGACCCTGAGACCCATTAGGCTCAGCAAATTACCTAGGCTGTACTGCTGCAAGACTTCACAGACAGCCCCCATTACTTCAGTCAAGCCCAAATTTTATCCTCATCTGTTACCTATCTCGGCATAATTCTCATAAAAACACATGTGCTCTCCCTGCCAATCGTGTCCGACTGATCTCTCAAACCCAAGCACCTTCTACAAAACAACAACTCCTTTCCTTCCTAGGCATGGTTAACGTGGTCAGAATTCTTACACAACAACCAGGACCACACCGTATAGCCTTTCTGTCCAAACAACTTGACCTTACTGTTTTAGCCTAGCCCTCATATCTTCATGCAGCGGCTGCCGCTGCTTTAATACTTTTAGAGGCCCTCAAAATCACAAACTATGCTCAACTCACTCTCTACAGTTCTCATAACTTCCAAAATCTATTTTCTTCCTCATACCTGACGCATATACTTTCTGCTTCCCGGCTCCTTCAGCTGTACTCACTCTTTGTTGAGTCTCCCACAATTACCGTTGTTCCTGGCCCAGACTTCAGTCCGGCCTCCCACATTATTCCTGATACCACACCTGACCCCCATGACAGTATCTCTCTGATCCACCTGACATTCACCCCATTTCCCCAAATTTCCTTCTTTCCTGTTCCTCACCCTGATCACGCTTGATTTATTGATGGCGGTTCCACCAGGCCTAATCGCCACACACCAGCAAAGGCAGGCTATGCTATAGTACAAGCCACTAGCCTGCCTCTTAGAACCTCTCATTTCCTTTCCATCGTGGAAATCTATCCTCAAGGAAATAACTTCTCAGTGTTCCATCTGCTATTCTACTACTCCTTAGGGATTATTCAGGCCCCCTCCCTTCCCTACACATCAAGCTCGAGGATTTGCCCCACCCAGGACTGGCAAATTAGCTTTACTCAACATGCCCTGAGTCAGATAACTAAAATACCTCTTAGTCTAGGTAGATACTTTCACTGGATAGGTAAAGTCCTTTCCTACAGGGTCTGAGAAGGCCACCGCAGTCATTTCTTCCGTTCTGTCAGACATAATTCCTCGGTTAAGCCTTCCCACCTCAATACAGTGTGATAACAGATGAGCCTTTATTAGTCAAATCAGCCAAGCAGTTTTTCAGGCTCTTAGTATTCAGTGAAACCTTTATATCTCTTACGGTCCTCCGTCTTCAAGAAAAGTAGAATGGACTAAAGGTCTTTTAAAAACACACCTCACCAAGCTCAGCCACCAAAAAGGACTGGACAATACTTTTACCACTTTCCCTTCTCAGAATTCTGGCCTGTCCTCGGAATGCTACAGGGTACAGCCCATTTAAGCTCCTGTATAGACGCTCCTTTTTATTAGGCCCCAGTCTCATTCCAGACACCAGACCAACTTAGACTGTGCCCCCAAAAAAACTTGTCATCCCTACTATCTTCTGTCTAGTCATACTCCTATTCACTGTTCTCAACTACTCATACATGCCCTGCTCTTGTTTACACTGCCGGTTTACACTGTTTTTCCAAGCCATCACAGCTGATATCTCCTGGTGCTATCCCCAAACTGCCACTCTTAACTCTTGAAGTAAATAAATAATCTTTGCTGGCAGGACTATGCTGAATCTCCTTAGGCACTCTCTAATCGGATATCCTGAGTTGTCCCAATTCTTAGACCTTTTATACCTGTTTTTCTCCTTCTGTTATTCCATTTAGTTTCTCAATTCATCCAAAACCGTATTCAGGCCATCACCAATCATTCTATACGACAAACGTTTCTTCTAACATCCCCACAATATCACCCCTTACCACAAGACCTCCCTTCAGCTTAGTCTCTCCCACTCTAGGTTCCCACGCTGCCCCTAATCCTGCTTGAAGCAGCCCTGAGAA
Organism: Homo sapiens; assembly: GCF_000001405.40. Lineage (NCBI taxonomy): Eukaryota > Metazoa > Chordata > Mammalia > Primates > Hominidae > Homo > Homo sapiens. Next base: position 127,436,911 of record NC_000008.11, read on the forward strand.
ACATCGCCCATTCTCTGTCCATATCACCCCCCAAAAATTTTAGCCACCCCAACACTTCAACACCATTTTGTTTTATTTTTCTTATTAATATAAGAAGGCAGGAATGTCAGGCCTCTGAGCCCAAGCCAAGCCATCCCATCCCCTGTGACTTGCACATATACGCCCAGATGGCCTGAAGTAACTGAAGAATCACGAAAGAAGTGAATATGCCCTGCCCCACCTTAACTGATGACATTCCACCACAAAAGAAGTGAAAATGGCCGGTCCTTGCCTTAAGTGATGACATTACCTTGTGAAAGTCCTTTTCCTGGCTCATCCTGGCTCAAAAACCACCCCCACTGAGCACCTTGTGACCCCCACTCCTGCCCGCCAGAGAACAAACCCCCTTTGACTGTAATTTTCTTTACCTACCCAAATCCTATAAAACGGCCCCAACCTTATCTCCCTTCGCTGACTCTCTTTTCGGACTCAGCCTGCCTGCACCCAGGTGAAATAAACAGCCATGTTGCTCACACAAAGCCTGTTTGGTGGTCTCTTCACACAGACATGCGTGAAAAATTTCAAATAATATTTTATTTTTGCCTTAATTTTGATGTTTGCCCAGGAGTTATTCAGGAGTAAATTGTTTAATTTTAAAGTATTTGTATAGTTTTAAGAGCTCTTCCTGATATTGATTACTATTATTATTGCACTGTGATCCCAGAGTGTGCTTGGTATTATTTCAATTTTTTAATTTATTGAGACTTGCTTTATGATCAAGCATGTAATGGACCTTAGAATACATTTTTTTTGTGCAGATGAGAAGAATGAATATTCTGTTATTGTTGGGTGAAGTGCTGTGTAGATGTCTATGAGGTCCAATTGGTCAAGTGTTGGGTTTAAATCTAGAGTCTCTTTGTTGGTTTTCTGCCTTGATAATCTGTCTAATACCGTCAGTGGGATGTTGAAGTCTTTTACTATTACTGTTTTCATCCAAAGCAGTGATAAGAGAAAGTTTATAACCCTGAATGCCTTCATCAAAAAGTTAGAAACATCTCAAATTAAAAATCTAACTTTGCACCTAGAAGAATTAGAAAAAAAAAGAACAAACTAATCCCAAAGAAAATAAATCATTAAAATGAAATAGAAGAAAATAATTAAATTAGAGAACTTAAGGAAGTTGAGATGCAAAAATCAATACAAAAAATCAATGAAAGCAAGAGTTTATTCTTTGAAAAATAGACTGCTAGCTAAATTAACAAAAAAAATGAAGGAGAAGATCCTAACGAGCACAATCAGAAACAACAAATGATATTACAGCTGATCCCACAGATATGCAAAAGATCCTCAGAGACTTATGAATTTATGAACAACTCTATGCACACAAATTCGAAAATCTAGAAGGAACAGATAAATTCCTGGAAGCACACAATCTCCCAAGATTGAATCCGGAAGAGATTAAAACCCTGAATAGACTAATATCAACTTCTGAAATTGAATCAGTAATAAAGATCCTAACAACAACAACAACAAAAAAGCTCTGGACCAGATAGATTCACAGCTGAATTCTACCAGGCATACAAAGAACTGATACTGATTGTACTGAAACTATTCCAGAAAATTGAGGAGGAGGGACTATTCCCTAACTCATTCTGTGAAGCCAGCATCAGCCTGATACAAAAATCTGGCAAAGACACAATGAAAAAAGAAAACTCCAGGCCAATATTCCTCATGAACATAGATGCAAAACTCCTCAACAAAATATTAGCTAACCAAATCCAGCAACACATCATAAAGTTAATACACCATAATCAAGCAGTCTTTATTCCTGGGATGCAAGGTTCGTTCAACATACACAAACCAATAAATGTGATTCACCACATAAATAGAATTAAAAAGCAAAAAATATATGACCATCTCAATTGACACAGAAAAAGCCTTCAATAAAATTTAACATATTTTATGATGAAAACCCTCAACAGACTAGGCATCAAAAAATATACCTCAAAATAATAAGAGCCATCTATGACAAATCAGCAAACAGTATCATATTAAATGGGCAAAAGGAGGAAGGAATCCCCTTGAGAACAGAAACAAGACAAGAATGTCCACTCTAACCACTCCTATTCAACATAGTACTGGAAGTCCTATCCAGAGCAATCAGGCGGGAGAAAGAAATAAAAGACATTCAAATAAGAAAAAAACAATTAAACTATCTCTTTTTACTGATGATGTGATTCTATACCTAGAAAATTCTAAACACTCTACCAAAAGGCTCCTAGAATTAATAAACAATTTTAATGATGTTTCAGGTTACAAAATCAATGTACAAAAATCAGTAGCATTTCTATATACCAACAATGTCCAGACTGAGAATAAAATCAAAAACACAATCCCACTTATCATAGCCACAAAAAGGATGAAATACCTGAAAATTCAGCTAACAAAGGGAGTAAAAGATCTCCACAAGGAGAACTGCAAAATGCTGCTCAAAGAAATCAGAGATGACACAAATAAATGGAAAACCGTTCCATGATCATGAATTGGAAGAATCAATATTGTAAAAATGGCCATACTGCCCAAAGCAATTTACAGATTCAGTGCTATTCCCATCAAATACCAACATCATTCTTCACAGAGCTAGAAAAAACTATTCTAAACTCTGGTTTCTATATAAAACCAAAAAAGACCCTAGCCAAGGCGATCCTAAGCAAAAAGAACAAAGCCAGAGGCACCACATTACCCAACATTTAAACTATACTACAGGGCTATAGTAACCCAAAGAGCATGCTACTGGTACAAAAATAAACACATAGACCAATGGAACAGAACAGAGAGCCCAGATATAAGGCTGCACACCTACAACTATCTTATCTTTGACAAAGCTGACAAAAACAAGCAATTCAGAAAGGACTCACTCTTTAGTAAATGGTGCTGGGATAACTAGCTAGCCATATGCAGAAGATTGAAGCTGGAACCTCACCTTTTACCATATACAAAATGGATCAAAGATTTAAATGTAAAACCTCAAACTATAGAAATTCTAGAAGACAACTTGGAAAATACTCCTCTTGACATCAGCCTTGGCAAAGAATTTTTGACTAAGTTCCCAAAATCAATTGCAACAAAAACAAAAATAGACAAGTGGGACCTAATTAAACTAAAGAATTTCTGTACAGCAAAAGAAACTATTAATAGAGTAAATACATAACCTACAGGGTAGGAGAAGATATTCAGAAACTATGCATCCAACAAAGGACTAATATCCAGAATCTATAGGAAACTTAAACAAATCAACAAGCAAAAAACAACCCCATTAAAACATAGGCAAAGGACATGAATAGACAGTTCTCAAAAGAAGACATACAAGCAGCCAACAAACATGAAAAAAATTCTCAACATCATTAATTGAAGAAATGCAAATCAAAACCACAATAAAATACCATCTCTCACCAGTCAGAATGGCTATTACTAAAAAGTCAAAAAATAACAGGTGCTGGTGAGGCTGTGGAGAAAAGTGAATGGTTATACACTTTTGGTGGGAATGTAGATTAGTCCAGCCACTGTGGAAGGCAGTCTGGAGATTTCCCAAAGAACTTGAAACAGAGCTGCCATTTGATCCAGCAATTGCATTACTGCGTATACACCCAAAGAAAAATAAATTATTCTACCAAAAAGACACATGCACTTTTATGTTTATCCCTGTGCTAATCACAATAGCAAAGACGTGGAATCCACCCAGGTGGCCATCAATGGTAGAGTGGATGAAGAAAATGTGGTCCATACACACACAGTGGAATACTATGCTGTCATAAAAAAAGAATGAAATCATGTTCTTTGCAGCAACATGGATGCAGTTGGAGGCCATAAACCTAAGCAAATTAACGTAGGAACAGAAAACCAAATATCACATGTTCTCACTTATAAGTGGGAGGTAAATATTGAGCATACATAGACATAAATATGGGAATAATAAATAGTGTAGACACTAGAAGGGGTAGGGAAGGAGGGAGCATGGGTTGAAAAACTACCTTGTGGTTACCATGCTCACTACCTGGGTGATGGAATCTGTACCCCAAACCTCAGCCTCATGCAATATTCCCATGTAACAAACCTGCACATGTATCCCCTGTATCTAAAATAAAAGTTGAAATTAAAAATAAATGTTAACTAATATTTATTGAAGGCACACTGTTTTATTTATTGAGAGTATACTAGTATTTATTAAGGGCCCTGTGTCAGGCTATATATATATATATTTTTTTTTCCCCCCAACGCCTCTGAGTCAGGTAATATTAGTTTCCTCATTTTACAGATGACAAAAATAAGTCATAGTACCTTGCCCAAGGTCTGACAGCTAGCAAACGGGAGAGCTGGATTCTGAACACAGGCAGGCTCCAGAACTTAAAACTACTATGCAATATTGCATAGTAGTTGCAGAACTTAAATAATAGTACTATTGCATAGTGTTATGCAATAATTCATAGTATAATGCAGAACTGAAAAATGCTGTCACAATATCACTATGTTGTGCTAGTCATTGCACATTCTCATCTCTTCTTCTGGCTGTAAGCTTCTGAATAGGTGGGAATGAGTTGCATTGTATCTCCTGTCTTTGGTACAGTGTCCTATTCATGATAGAAAACATGCTTAAAAGAACTAGAAAGACAGGGAGGAATGGGATGACACCTGCATTTTGGCAGATGTTTTAAAAATTCTGGAAACCGAAGGAGCAGTTGGCCAGTCACAGGCTGTGTGTGCACATGTGCTTGACCACTCTCTCTATTCCCCTCTAGTCAGAACTTAAACATCTTTTCATGGAGCTCTGCTGTGGAAAGCCTAGAAATACATTCTACTCTCTCTAAAAGCAACAACTAAAAATACACAAATTAGCCAGGTATGGTTGTGGGCACCTATAATCTCAGCTACTCGGGAGGCTGAGCCAGGAGAATTACTGGAACCTGGGAGGCGGAGGTTGCAGTGAGCTGAGATCATGCCATTGCACTCCACCCTGGGCAACAACAGCGAGACTCCATCTCCAAAAATAAAACAAAAATTGAGAACATAATCCACAGGAATGAATCTCCAGTGTAAGAATGGTGACACTAAGATATCCAAGAGAGGGATCTTAGACTCAGGACAGGTTATATGCAAAAGACAGTTTACAGCCTTAAAGGTTATAGAATCCAGCCTGCTACTGAGAAAGCAAAGGCTAGAGACATCCCAAGATGACACAGTGGACGACCAAATGCTCACCACTGTTTTCTGGGGCTCTAACTCCAGGCTGTTGATTCTCAGGAAGGGTTGTTTTTCATACTGCCCTTTCAAATTACAGCACCTTTGCTGCCTCCATCTAAAACTGGCCCTTCCAACATCTCATCAACTTTTACATTCTGATGTCCCCATTTCAGAGAGATTTCTTTGAAACAGAGCCAGCCCTTCCAGTAAGCATATATAACAGAATGGTGATTTCAGAGAGTGGAGCCTGGTGGAAACAAAACCCAGACATGTAAAATTTGACACCTTAACCGACATAAGTGCCCACATTCCCTGCGTTTTCCCACTCTCTGCCTCACCCCACCTTCAACATGCCCATAATTTTATTCTGAGGAAAACCACAACCAGCACTTACCACCAGAGTCCAAATTCCCTGGCAGCAGCCTTGCTTTTAAAAGGGAGACATAAAAAAAATTGTCAAGACCTATGGGGCTTCCTAACACATTAAAAAGGCCCTCAAAAACTGTGTTACACCAAGCATAATATTATCTTTTTCTTTAAGAGATTTCTTAATTGGTTCCATGCAAAAGGTTTGTAGGTAATGGGTTTTAAATAAATAATAATGTTCCACCACCCTGACTGGCCAAGAAAGTAAATGCCTTTTTCCCTGACTTGGGTAAGCACTGGGATGGAAAAAAGGCCTGTGTGAAAATTTTGGCCTCACCGTAAAAAGGCAAGACCTCAATCTGGGGACTCAGATGTAATCAACCATGGTTTAGTTTCAGTAATTTGGTTGCAACAATTATTTGGCAAGCATAGTGCTAGGTATTGGTGGGACGGAGATGACAGACTGTATAACTGAATGCTCAGAATAATTAAGTTAAATGTATTTATTTTATTTATTTTTTATTTTTATGTTTTTGAGATGGAGTCTTGCTCTGTCACCCAGGCTGTAGTGCAGTGGCTCAATCTCAGCTCTCTGCAAGCTCCGCCTCCCTGGTTCAAGCCATTCTCCTACCTCAGCCTCCCAAGTAGCTGGGACTACAGGCGCCCGCCACCACACCCGGCTAATTTTTTGTATTTTTAGTAGAGACGGGGTTTCGCCGTGTTAACCAGGATGGTCTCGATCTCCTGACCTCATGATCCGCCCACCTTGGCCTCCCAAAGTGCTGGGATTACAGATGTGAGCCACCGTGTCTGGCCATTAAGTTAAATTTATTAATAATTAACAAATACGTTAATTAATATTGAATAAAGGAATTTTATTTGGGCTTCAGTCTTTCTGGGCTCCTCACAGTTACAAAAATACAGCATACCCTTCTGGTTCTCAAGGAGTTTCCAATGCAGATCTCTGATCTGGAGTGCCTCTCTTCCTTTTTGCCCTGAAGGTAGTCAGTGAGGCTCATCAGAAATTTTCTGATTCTCTTCCTTCCAGATACCTCCTTATGCTTTTGAACTCAATTGTTGCCATGGGCTTGATTTGGCCAGTGAAATGTAAGTGAAAGCAATGTTTGTCTCTTCAGGTAGAAGCTGAGAGCCAGTGCTTACTGTTGTTTCATTCTCTCTCTTCCTCTTGTCACTTTCCAAATGGTAGCGGCCCTATCAGCCTGGGTCCTGGCATGAAGAAACACAAAGTAACACTCTCCCAAATTACCCATAACAGACATGGAATACGGAAGAAATAAATCTTATTATGATCTCAAGTTCTGAGAGCTGTTTGTTACACAGCGTAGCATAACCTAGACTAACTGATTTTTACCTCATCTACCCATTTACCATTTACCTAACTCTAATCATCCTTCAGCTCTCTGCTTCATGGTTACTTCACAAGAGCTTCATAAGATGCCAAAAAGTTCATTTCAATAGTTTCCAAAGCTTCCTCAATATAATGCTTATCATGATATTAAGATTGTTAGTTAATTTATTTATAGCCCATGATTGGTTATGAGCTCCTTGAGAGAAGAGTCTAAGCCTCATACACAATCTTATCTTTAGTCTATAATGTAGTGCCTGATATAAAGTGCTATGGTTTGAATGTATGTGCCCCTCCAAAATTCATTTTGAAACTTACACAACACTAGTAAAAGGTGAGGCCTTTTGAGTGTGATTAGGCCATGAGGACTCTGCCCTTATAGATGAGATTAGCAACCTTATAAAAAGACCAGAGGGAACTAGCTAGGCCCTTCTGTCCTACCTCTTCTCTTATGTGAGTACACAGAGTTCATCCTTTTTTGTCCCCTTCCACTGCAATGAGGGCACAGTAAGAAAGCTCTGTCTTGGAAGGAAAGAGTAGCTTTCACCAGACACAGAATACACAGAATATACTGGTGCTCTAATCTTGGACTTCCCAGACCGTATAACTGTGGACAATAAATGTGTACTGTTTATAAATTATCCAGTCTCTGATATTTTATTATAGCAGCACAGATAACTAAGACAGAAATTGGTACCAAGAAGTGGGGTGTTCCTATAACAAATACCTGAAAAATGTGGAAGTGGCTTGAAATTGGGTAATGTGTAGAGACTGGAAGAGTTTGCAGAATCAGACTAAAGAAATAGCCTGTATTTTCATTAACAGAGTATTAAAGTAATTCTGGTGAGGGCTCAAATGAAAACAGCTGCAGAGAGAACCTAAATTATCCTAGAGACTAAGTGGTTGTAAACACAGTATTCATGGAGATACAGACAGTGAAGGCCATCTTGATGAGGTCTTAGGTGGAAATGAAGAACAAGGCATTGGAAACCGGAGGAAACGTCATCTTTGTTATAAGTTGGCAGAGAACTTGGCAAATGGTGCCCATGTTCTAATGTTTTGTGAAAGGCAGAAGTTATAAGTGATATACTGGGATATTTGGCAGAAGAAATCTGTAAACAAAGTGTTGAGAGTGCTGCATGACTGTTTATAGGAAAAGACGAGAAGGGAGAAACAACTTAAAGACACAGCTTATAATCAAAAGGGAAGCAGAACTTAAAGCGTTGGACAATTCTCAGCCCAGCCATGTAAAGAATGGAAAGGTACTGTTTTGGAGAGAATAATCCTAAGGGTGAGGCCAAGTGACTCTTTGACAAATAAATTAGCATACCTAGAAGGAAGCCAGATGCTATTCCATTAAGACAATGGAAGAATGACACCAAAGTCATTTCAAAGATCTTGGAAGCCGCCACTCTCATAACAGGCTCAGAGTGCCAGGGCCCTGAAGGCAGAACAATTTCATAGGTGGTACCTTGAGGCTTCATCACCCAGGACTGCCTCAGGCTTCTGCTCCACTCATTCTGGCCCAACACTCTTTGTCTGTTGCAGCTGTAGATCCTCAAGTGCACCCAGGTGTGGTTCAAAGTGCTAGTCCGGAGAGCATGAGGTAAACCCTGGCAGCATCCATGTGGTGCTAACTGAGCAAATGCTCAGAGTGCGTGAGCTAAGCAGGCATGGCTACCTCCTCCTCGATTTAAAAGGATGCTTATGAGAGCCTTGGGGCGTAGGCAGAGAACTGTCACAGTGGCAGGGCTACCACAGATAGCCCCTACTAGGGCAATGCTTAGTGGGGGCAGGGCCACTCCTGAGACCCCCCAGCCTGTGCAGCCACCAGCATGCAATGCCAGCCTGCAAGAATAACAGGTATGTGACTCCAACCTGTGAAAGCTGCAGCATAAGCCGCGCCTAGCAAAGCCACGGGGATGAGGCTGCCCAGAGTCTTGTGGGGACCAACCCATATACCAGTGTGTCAAGTAGTCAGGAATGGAGTCAAATAAAATTATTTTCAGTCCTCCATATTTGAGTGTTATTTGCCTTGTTGGGTTTCGAATGGGAGTGAGACCTATTACTCCTTTCTTCTTTCCTATTTTTTTCCCCTTTGGAATGGGAATATCCATCCTATGCCTGTCCCACCACTGCATTTGAAGCACATAATAAAATGTATTCATTCTATCCCAATAATTCCAAAAATCTTAATTAATCCAACATCAACTTTAACTTATAAATCTAGAGTATCATCTAAGTATCATCTAAATCAGATATGGGGGAATTCTTCTCCAGCAGTCTGCAAAATCTGACAAGATATAGATATCTATATGTCCACATACGTAACTATAACTATCTGTTGAATTCATTCTCTAACCACTTCTATCAAGTCACTGTGCTAAAACTTCTTACTTAATGCTCATTAGTGTTACACACACACACACAAAGACACACACACACAAAGACACACACACTTGCTGCTAGATTTTACTCTCTTGGTGGATTTTACTCTCTTGCTGCTAGATAAGGGGTACCTAATGCAAGATGTACCTATCTTAGAGTTTGCACATCATCTGCATTATTGAACGTAAAGTAAAAGCCAAATGAGGGAAAAGAGACGTTGACTGTTTCATGATCATTGTCTTACCTGAAACAATTAGGAAGTCACCGTTCAGCTTTGCAGGCTATGTAATTGTCATATATCATGAATGGCTGATAAGGGGTTGAATCTGTGAGGTTTTCCCATAGAGGAAAGGGAAATACTGATTCTCACTTTAGCCAACAGCAGTTGTCTCTAACTCACCCAAACTGCTGAGAAGAACTTAAGAACTATTTTACTGTGCTCTTTTTCTTATTTATTTATTTAGAGACAGAGTCACATTCTGTCACCCAGGCTGGAGTGCAGTGGCGATCTCGCCTCACTGCAACCTCTGCCTCCTGGGTTCAGGTGATTCTCCTGTCTCAGCCTCCCTAATAGCTGGGATTACAAGCATGCACCACCATGCCCAGCTAATTTTTGTATTTTTAGAAGATATGAGGTTTTGTCATGTCGGCCAGGCTGCTCTCAAACTCCTGGTCTCGTGATCCACCTTCCTCAGCCTCCCAAAGTGCTGGAATCACAGGCATGAGCCACCGCACCCAGCCTTTAAGAGCTATTTTATTTCCAATGCAGAATGGAACCTCAACACCATCATGGATGAGTTCCAGATTCATAAGACTTTAGGCCTACAGCGGACATCAGACACAATCTAACTGAGCTCCTTCACTGTAGAGATGTGGGAAAGGAGGCCCAAGATAGGAAAGAGACTTGCCCAAGGCCACACATCTGGTTAATGGAGAACAAGAGACAATACTCATTTCTCCCAACCACCATGCCAGTGGGAGTTCCAGGTCCACCCTGCCTGAGAGCTTCATGACCACCTCCAAGATGGCCCAACGCTGCCCTTCAAAAGGGGTCAGTACCTGGGCAATCTGATGGTGAATTCATTAGAGGTGAAATAAATGCTTATAAAAGGGAAAATGGAGACTTGTAATTCTACCTCTTGATTCTAAGAAATCCTTTCATTGGGTCTAGAGTGTTCATAAATCTCTATAATTTGAAAATTGAACAGCACAGTTTTCTATGAACAAGTGCAAAAACGGGGTCAGAAGTCAGGAAAATTGTAAAGATGGGATGTGACATTGCTGCTTCCCCAATCTTTACCTACAAAACCTCTCCTTGCTCTCTTCCATTCTATCAAATCCTAGTCTCAGACTATTCATTTACACTAAGATGTAAATGACTGACAGCAAAGTGGCCACTTTCAGGGGCATTTGGAGACAAAGGGATGACATTGCGATTATTGACCTATCACACTGGGGATATCAGAGCCAGAGAGAAGACGTGGAGTCTGAAAAGAAAAGCTGTTCCCACAACAAAGAATTATCCAGCCCTAAATATCCATAGTGCAGAGGTTGAGATATCCTGCTCTGGGTTACAGAAAGTTGCATAAATTCCTAGCATGAATCATCAGGTGGGCACCTTGAGAGCAATCTGCCATCTCCACAACTTTGTACCTTTGCCTTTTTTTCCAAAAAGAAAGGGTCTAACCAAACCATGCTTATGACCAGCCTCAGCCTCCCATCAACTGGCACCATTGGCATCCTGGCCCTTGTGTGTCTGCACAGTGCCTGCTACACACTTTCATTAAGTAACTCTCAACCTTACAATAATTCAGGGAAAGGAGACAGTATTGTTATTCATACCCCACATACAAAGAAACAAAGAAGGAGGCAATTTACCAGGTTTTCACAGGGAGGAAGAGGAAGGGTCAGAATTCCAATCCAGACTGATCCTAGCTCCAGAAACTAAACTATCACACTATCACACTTCAGACAGGAGTGCAGATTATCAAACACTAACTATTTTAAGAAATGTTCAGGGGCGGAGCAAGAGCACAGGTGCCATCCAGTGCTGTTTGTGGAGAGGAGGTATTCGGAGGCCACAACGTAGGGCAAGGCATTTCTTCCTAGGCTGGGTATGATAGGTAGAATAATGGCTCCCCCAAAGATGTCCACATCTTAACCCCTGTAACCTGTGACTATTACCTTACACCATGAAAGTGACTTTGCAGATGTGATTGAATTAAGTGCCCTGAGTTGGGGAGATTTTCCTGGAAGAATCAGGAGGGCTGCATGGAATCACAAGGGCCCTTATAAGAGGGAGGCAGGAGAGTCAGAGTCAGAGGAGGTGTGAGGATGGAAGCAGAATTTGTAGGGGTATGGGCGAGAAGCCAAGGAATGCAGATGACCTCTAGAAGCCGGAGAAGCAAAATGGATTCTCTCCCAGAGTCTCACAAGGAGTGCAGTCCTGTGAACACCTTGATCTTAGCCCAGTGAAGCTGATTTCCAGCTTCAGACCTCCAGGACTTTAATGATAATAAATTTGTGTTGTTTTCAGCCACCAAGTGTGCAATAATTTGTTATGGAAATCACAGGAAGCTAATATATGAGGATTGCTACATAAAGTATAGAACACACAGTCCAACTTGAACTTCAGATAAACATCAAATAATTTTCTAGTATGAGCATGCTCCATGCAATATTCATGTGTCCTGTATTTTCATTTGCTAAAACTGGTAGCCCTAACCGGCTTCCCCCTCCCACTCAGCCCCTGCATCCCCAAAGCCCTTTCCCAGGTCTGCTCTGTTACAGTGGTATCATTATACCTGCTATTCTGGGGTTAGTCTATGACTCAACCGAGTGAAACTGTTAAGGCCTCAGATAAATAGCTCTGAGGGAAAGTTATTATTCTATATCATTGCCTATCAATTATTTATAGTTTATAATGCAATGCCATTTGTAATGGGTAATATGTTTTTCTATTGTGTTGTAATATCATCCAACTCATCAGAACAACCATTGGGGAGATGGATTGGCTTGATGTAAATAGCAGTGCCTAGTAACAAGCTGTGTGCATTTTTAAACCTGGAAATCACTGCTCTTTCAGATAAGAGGAAACTCTTCTTTGAATTCAAACAGAAGGGTCCAAGCCACCTTTTCTGACAAGTTGATTTCCTGAGAAGCAGGGCAGGAACTAGGGCAAGGCAAATGTGTTCAGGGTACAAAATGTAAGGAGGCTCTCCATTTCAGGTGCCGACCCTGCACTTGCAGAACGTGAAAATGAGTGCTGCTTTAAATCTTGCACCCTGGGAGACTCACTTGCTTCACTCTAGTATCGACTCTGCTAAGAAAACTCACATGAAGCCATCAACAAACGCCAAAGCTAACCTAGCCTCTTTACATGGCTTATGGGAAACTGAGGCCCAAAAAAATGTGGACCAGCCAAGATTCAATTTGCTTAGTGACTAGTGGACCTAATGGTTGCTACTGCAGCATCAGCTGCTTCTGCCAACACCTACCTACTGAGTTTCAGCCAGAGGCTTGAGGTTCGCACTGCCCTCCCAGCCCTGGGACAAGGCCCTGTCTCAACTGGATTAAGCAAATCAGTATAACTTCGTATCCCTGATCCCAGTGATTGAACACTTAACTCAGTCCTAAGCCAGTAAATAGGTTGTATGTCCCTGGCCACAGTTGTTAGCTCCAGGATATACATGTGGGGCAGGGTGAAGCTCATGACTTTGATTCACGGAGAGAGAAAATGATTCCTCTTTCCTTTGGAGGGTGTGGAATACAAATAGAAAGTCTGGAACTGCTGCAACCATTTATTACCATGAGAAAAGCCAGAATGGGAATGAAAGCAATCATATATAGAAGGGAAAAGGTGAGAGAATCATAAAGGGAAACCAGATTCTTCACCGACTCCCATCTAAAGGACCCACTACCTCTGGACTATTCTGTTATATGCACCAATAAATTCAGATTAATATTTAATCCAGTTTGAGTTAAAATATTCTGTTACTTGTACAAAAGAGGTTCCTAACTGGACAATGACCTTAGAAAAGCCAAGTTCTACAGCTACATTGCCCCATAGAACTTTCTGCATTGATGCAACTGTTCTATATCTGTGCTGTTCGATACAGTAAGCCACTACCTGCGTGTGGCTATTGAACATTTGAAATGTGGCTAATGTGACTGAGAAATGGACTTTTAAATTTTGTTAATACTAATTCCTTTCAATTTAAACAGCCACACAGACCAGTGGTTACCATATTGGTCCATGCAGCCCTACAAGCTTCTTTTCCTTCATTTCATTTGTTGCCTCCTCCAGAAACCAGCTCCAGATCCTTTCTTTCCTCCAGAGTTGGTTAGGCTGATCTTTTCTGTGATCCTATAGCAACTGAGCATTCCTCTAAAATTGTGATTGCCTCTCTTAGAATAATATCTTTTACCGTGTGTATCTCCCACCTTTGGTTGAGGTTTTAAAAGGCAAGGCCCATTCCTGTGTCCAAGCACTGAGCAGAAGCATTGCCATGGTGACTTTTGAATTGGATGAGATAATCTGTGGCCCAAATGTGTACCAGATGTTGAAAGGCTTTGTAGCTTTTAAGAATGTAAGACAATATAAAAATGTTTGCTATCATTATTAGTTATTGTTACTATTTCTGATTGTTAACCTTGATCCACTTCTCAATTTTCTACAGGAGTCTCAGTCACTGCCCTCGAATGACTAGAAATTTGCCCAGCCTTGTGACATCTGTGACCATCAGTGTCAGGCTCACTGGCTTCTTACCCCTCTGCTGCCTTGACTTTCTTTTTCTTTTCTTTCTTTTTTTTTTTTTTCCTTGAGACGGAGTCTCGCTCTGTCACCAGGCTGGAGTGCAGTGGCGTGATCTTGGCTCACTGCAACTTCCGACTCCCCTGTTCCCTGCTTTAAGCAATTCTCCTGACTCAGCCTCCTGAGTAGCTGGGACTACAGGCACACACCACCACGCCCAGCTAATTTTTGTATTTTTAATAGGCACAGAGTTTCACCATGATGGCCAGGATGGTCTTGATCTCCTGACCTCGTGATCCGCCCACCGCGGCCTCCCAAAACTGCCTTGACTTTCTAGCTCAAATGTCCTATTTCCCTAATTATCTGGCTTGGTCCTCTTAGTCTGCCACCTACACACTTGTGGGTGAGAGAGGAGGAGCTGGAAGACAATGCAGAGCTGCAGTTAAGGCCATTGCAATTGCCAGGGTGTGCTATGTGGCTTCGACATGCTTAGAAGCCAGTATGGTTTGGCTGTGTCCCCACCCAACTCTCATCTTGAATTGTAGTTCTCATAATTCCCACATGTTGTGGGAGGGACCCAGTAAGAGATAATTGAATTTTGAGGCCAGTTTCCCCTATACTGTTTTCATGGTAATGAATAAGTCTCATGAGATCTGCTATTTTTATAAGGAGTTCCCCCTTTCACTTGGCTCTTATTCTCTCTTGCCCGCTGCCATGTAAGACATGCCTTTCACCTTCCACCATGACTGTGATGCCTCCCCAGCTCCCATGTGGAACTGTGAGTCCATTAAACCTCTTTTTCTTTTTATAAATTACCCAGTCTCGGCTTTGTCTTTATTAGCAGCATGAGAACAGGCTAATACAGAATCCTCCTCCTTGAGATGTGCTTCCTGATCCCAGGCCTTTACACCAGGGGAATTCATCAAATTCATTCATCTCCTTAACAAATGTTACTGAGTTCCTAAAAATTGTCAAGCATGTGATGAGGCACTGGGGTTCTGTCAGTGAAAAAGACAAAGTTTCTGTCATACTGAAGGTCACGTTCTAATAGGGGAGACAGACAGAAATAATACACCATATAAATAAATGGCTACAGTAAAGAACAATCGAGTGTGGGAATAGAGGGGAAGCAGGCAGGTAACTGCAGTGGACCAGAAAAAAGCAATGGTGACAAAGTCCAGAGTGGTGGCAGGTGAGACAATGGAGTGTTATCAGATTTGAGACCAGGAACTTCTTAAGAGTCCTTTTTCTTTTGCCTTTGGTCTCACTCCTTGATTTATTCCAGCTCTGCCAGATCAGATCTTGTCTTTACATGCCCCCACCCATTCTCAGATACCCTCTGTGCCTTAACAACTAATAACCTGTTGGTTCTTTCCAGGGAATAACTTGTACTCAGCTTCTGGGGTTCCCTAGGCTTTTCCACTGGAATAAAATTTTCTCCTAGCTGAGCCCACTGTCCAATTAAGGATCAGACAAAATTTAGAAGAAGCAAGTCACTTCTCCTTTCTGGATCTGTTTCTTCCTGTGCAAAAAGAGATGTTGCACAAGATAATCTCTGGTGCCCCTTCCAATTTAATATTTTATAATTACAGCCTAGGTTTTGAAGAATAAAAATATAATAAGAGAAGAGAGAAAGAAAGAGATGAGGAGTGGGGCGGGGGAAGAAAGGGGAGGAAGAGGAGGAGGAGGAAAAGCAGGAGAAAGGGGAAGGGAGAGGGGGAAGGAAGAAAGGGAGGGAGGGAAGAAACCTATTTGTAAGGCCAAGTTAAAAATTCATTGCCACAATAAATACTTCGGTGTGAGGCTGTAGAAATTGGCAAAATGAAAAAATTCTGGCATGTAAACCCACAGGTGAGTCCTAGGCTAAGAGAAGCATCTTCTACCTCCCTCACTTCCTGATCCCCATCCCATTAGCATTTCTGAAATGCCTGGAAAGATGCTCCCTAGCAGGGTAGAGTCAGGAACCCACTGTCTGTTCCTTTCTCATCTAATCTGAGCATTGGAAAGATGCTCCCTAGCAGGGTGGAGTCAGGAGCCTGCTGTCTGTTCCTTTCTCATTTAATCTGAGCATAATCTGGTGCTTTGGGCTGTGGAGCGGATTTCTCTCTCCAGTCTGTTTCTGCCTGTCCTGTCTTGAGGTGCACTAGGCAGGGATCTCAAGTGTGTCCTTGGCCTGCAGTGGGGACTTGTGCATCTGAAGGAGCAATCAGGCAGGTGGCCTGGGGCAGCCTGCTCCATAACGATGCCCTCATTCCCAGGAGCAAGACTGAATGCCAGTTACTCAAATCCCATTCCTGGCTTTCTGCTTCAGTCATTACTAAGAGTTTTTCATATCTTCTGGTGTTCAGGAAAATATTTCTATTTTCAGGAGAAGCAACTCTGCCTTATACTCGAAAATTAACCAGACATTCTATTATTGCTGAAATTCTTTCCTCGTATTGCATTTTATTTAGGCTTTTAAAAATCCTTTATTTATGCAGTTTGAATCAGGGGTATTTTCTGGCTTACAGGTTAGTAGAGAATTACAAAACATTCAAAATTTCAAAGATTCCCTAAGGGAGAAGTGATCTATTCCAATATGGGCTTATATTCCAGAAAAAAAAAAAAAAAAAGCGTACTCCCAGAAAGATTTGTCTGGGAAATGATTGCAAATGAGAAAACTCACTCAGATGTGAGAAATGATACCGCCCTGGACTTTCATGCTGGGCCCTAAGAATTATGACATGGATGTAAAAGAAGATTGCCACAAGTCGCCAGCTTGCCTGCTCCTTAAGATGCTTGAAGTCCCCAGTGAAAGCTGAGAAACATGAAATTACTTCTGAATGTGCCCACAGACAGGACAGTGTAAATTGTAATGACAGAGAAAAAGACCTGCTGCAGGCCTCCCTCACGCGATCCCAAGTGAGTTTTACAGTCGTGTAGTAGGATAGAGTGAGCCTCATTCTAAGGCTGACGAAGCTGAGGCTCAGTAACCCCAGTTTGATCAACTTGAGTCAGCAAGCTCAAAACTGGTGAAAGCCAGATTTTCTTATTTTTTTTTTCTACCCAGGCCTTCTACAACAGGTCTCTACAACTAGTGTCTTTTATGACCCAGTGCTGCTTTCTGATTGGGAACATACCAAGTTCAAGGTCCCCATGTGGTCCTGTATAGTATTCACAATACTATATAGTATGCAACTGTTCTATATCTGTGCTGTTCAATACAGTACTATATATAGTATGCACAATTTCCATGCAAGGAAAACATTTAATATCTTACAATGCACTTTCACACTTAGCATCCCACTTGACCCTTACAACAACTTCATGGGGTAAATATTTATTTCCCTGTTTATGAATAAAGAAATTGAGGCTCACGTTCTGTTAAAGCCATTGTTATGGCCTTAACCCATTCTATTATGCCTCCAAGAACACACAAAATCTGGTGGCTGTTCTGGGAGCTAACAAACTCTGCTTTAAGTCCTAACTCTGCCATTCTCCAACTTTGTGACCTCAGGCAAAATGCAAATTTTTTCTGCATCTCAGTGTTCACATGCGATAACTAGAGGGAAAGAGTACTTGCCTCATACGGCAGATTCTTCATTCATTCTACAAGCATTTATTCAGCATCTACTATGCTCTAAGTTCTGGAGATACAGTAATGAACAAAACAAAAGCCTCAGCATTTGTGGAGTTATGTTCTACTTATGGGAGACAGAAAAGAAAATATATTGCATTTGAAGGTGATAAATACTAAGAAATATAAAACAGGGAAAGAGAATAGGGAGTATTGGAAGGAGGAGTTCAGTTCAAATCAGAATGACCAGGAAAGACTGCAATTGAGAAAGCAACATGCAGTGAAGACTTCAAAAAGGAGTGAGGGGCCAGGCGCACTGGAGGAGGATTACTCTTGTAATCCTCGCACTTTGAGAGGCCAAGGCAGGCCAAACACTTGAGCTAAGGTGTTGGAGGCCAGCCTGGGCAACACAGCGAAACCCCATCTCTACAAATACAAAAAAATTAGCTAGGCATGGTGGTGGGCTCCTGTAGTTCCAGCTACTCAGAAGGTGGGGATGGGAGAAACACTTGAGTCCAGGAGGTCAAGGCTGCAGTGAGCTGAGATTGTGTCACTGCACTCCAGCTTGGGCAACAGAGTGAGACCCTGTCTCAAAAAATAAAGGGAGGAGTGGGCGGTGAAAGAGCAAGCTTTGTAAGTATCTGGAAGAAGAGCTTTCTAGGCAAGAGGAAACAGCAAGTTTAGAGGCCCAGAGGCAAGACACTGGGAGGGTGGTGCCTCTGTGTTCCAGAAACAGGGAGGCCATGTGGCTGCACTGGAGTGAGCGAGGGAGAAAGAAGTAGGAGGAAGATCAGAGATGTAACTGATAGTGCGAGGATGGGACACTAATTATGCAATGCTTTATGGGACCATTACAAGGACTTAGATTGTTTTCTCTAAAAGTAATTGGGAGCCATTGGAGGCTTTTGACGTAGGAGTGCCATGATCTGACTTCAGTTTTACCAGGATCACTCAAGCTGCTATGTTGTGTTAGACCGGAGGGATCAGGTGTGGGAGCCAGTTAGGGAGATGTTAAATGTTCTCTAGGAAAAGAGGATGGTGGTTTGGGCTGCAATGGTAGCCATTGAGATGGAGAAATGGTAGGAATTGGGTTTTATTTTGAAATCGAGCCAACAGGGTTTGCTGATGAGTTATATGTGAGTGGGAGAGAAGGAATGGGACTACGAGTTTCTTGGTCTGAGTAACTGCTTTTCACAAGAATGAGAGTATAGAAGAAGCAGCTCTGCAAGAGTGAGAAAGAACTGAACAATGAATGTATATTTTCTCCAGCTATACAGTGTCCAGCACAGAGTATGTGTTCCATAACAGGTAGATATTACTATTAATAATGTATCTGCTCACCTGGTTAAATATTTCTGCAGACCTTTGCCCTACATCCAAGCACTCTGAGAAAGCACATGGTCAGGCTGTTTTCCACCAGCAAATGGACCACAGAATCTTGGTACCATAGTGGTTTTTAAAGCCCATTGGCTACCCAAAACCCCTTTGACCCATCAAGCGTGCTCTGGACTCAATACCTTTGCACAGGCTGATCTCCCTCTCCACCCACCCTTCCTTCCTCTCAGCTTCTCCATACAGGAAATGGACAAAGGCACAAACTGGAAGTCAGTGCAGATTCAAGCTTTGGTTTTGTTCAGAGAGTATTCCTTAATGCTCACAGAAAATCTAGCCCAGCTTCTCCTATTACAAAACTGGAAGCTGAGGACTAGAAAGATGAAGTGGCTTGCAGCTTCCCCATCAGTATGACAAGGAAACTGTATTAAATAATTCCCAAGGATTCTTCTAGCTCTCACATGCTTTCAGGTTTTCAATAAACACAAGATACAATAAAAAGCAATCAAAATAATGACCAGCTGATTTTGCTTTCCTTCATTACCCTCATCTAAGCCACCAGCAAACTCTGCTAACTCTTCCTCCAAAATAGATCCCACTCTGTCACTCCTTTTTTTTTTTTTTTTTTTTTTTTTTTTGAGACGGAGTCTTGCTCTGTCACCTAGGCTGGAGTGGAGTGGCGCGATCTCGGCTCACTGCAAGCTCCGCCTCCCGGGTTCACGCCATTCTCCTGCCTCGGCCTCCCGAGTAGCTAGGACTACAGGCACCCACCACCACGCCCAGCTTTTTTTGTATTTTTAGTAGAGATGGGGTTTCACCGTATTAGCCACGATGGTTTTGATCTCCTGACCTCCTGATCCACCCGCCTTGGCCTCCCAAAGTGCTGGGATTACAGGCTTGAGCCACTGCGCCCGGCCACTGTCACTCTCTTTTTATGGTCACCACCATGAGACAAACCACCACCACCTTGAAATGAACAGCCAGAGCAGCCTCTAACTGGCTTCTTTCCCCTCCTTACCCTGGCCCTCCTACTTGCTATATGCATGTGACAGTCTGAACGATCTGTTGAGAATTTGAACCAAATGTATTTACTTCTTTTCCCAAAACCTACCAGTAACTTTCTATCATGTCTTACCTTGGCCAATCAGGCCTTACATGATCTGGCCCCCATTTTTCTCTTTGACCAGATCTTGCACCACTATCCCCTTATCTACAAGCCTCTCTGACCTTCTGCCTGTGCCTTTGATATTCCAGGCTTCCCCTCTCTTTGGCATTCAGGCTCCTAAGAGGGCCACCCCACCCACAGTGATTCCCACCTCTCCATATTCACATCCTTTGTGTAGGCTGGACCTAGTGCTTTGCCTTTAAAGAACAGAATATGGCAAAGGTGATGGGATGTCACATCCACGATTAGGTTGCAAAAGACTGTAACTTCCATCTTATTGGCTCTCTCTCTCTCTCTCTCTCTCTCCTTCTCACTTTCTCACTCAGATGAAGCAAGTTTCCATGTTGTGAGCTGCCCTGTGAGAAGGTTTACTTGCTAGGAACTAAGAGTGGCCTCCAGCCAACAGCCAGCAAGGAAGTGAAGCCCTCAGTCTAACAGCTTGGGAGAAACTGAATTGTGCCATCAATCATGTGAGTGAGCTTGGAAGCTCTTCTATCCCCAGTCCAACCATAACAGGACTACATCCCTGGCCAACACTTTAATGACAGCTTGTGAGAGACCCTGAGACAGAAGACTCAGCTAAGCCAGGCCCAGATTCCTGACCCATAGAAACTGTGAGATAAAAAATATTGCTTTAAACCATGCAATTTTGGAGTAACATATTATACAACAATAGACAACTAAAACACCCTCTCGGAACATTTTCTCTTCTTTTTCTCTCAGCCAGAAATTCTATTTCTACTCAGGTCTTCCAATGGTTGGCTCTATCATGCAGCCTCTCAGCCCAGATGTCCCCTTCTCAGGCCTTATTCCCTAGCTAACTCTACACTCAGCCCATTACTCTGTTTCATTATGTTTATCCACTTTTAACTGCTGGAAAGATTTTATTTATTTACTGATTTACCTGTCTTCTCTATCGTAATAAAAGCTCCTCAAGAAGAGGAACCTTCTCAGATATGTTCATGGCGGAATCTCAGCTCCTAAAATAGAGCCTGGAACAAAGCCCCCTTCAATAATTACATGTTGAATAAATAAATGAAGAAATTATGAATGAAAAGGAGTTGGGGGTGGGGGAGGAATGGAGATGCTCTTCCACATGATTTTTTTAAAGCTCTAGGACATTGGACCAGCATTTGCTCTCCTGATTTATCCCATTTGTCTGCTTGAGTACATTTAAATTTTGAAGGACCCCAGGTTGTTTGTTTCTTTCAAAGATTACCCCCTAACTTCAATTTTCCTGCTTGAGTTTTTTGCAGATCTCAGCTGAATTTCAGGGTGGCAAAAACCCACATCCTCTTCCGCTGGCTCCACCTTTCTCTTCTCCTCTTCTGCAACCCACCGACTAGTTTCAACACATCTTTCCTTCTAAGTGAAGAGCATTTAAAAGATTGTAAAGCTTATTGAACTCTTACAACACCATATCTTTATTTGTTAAGTACCAATGACTCAAAAATAGAGTAGTCTCTCCTGAAATTCATGTGGTTTTACAAATTACGGAGGAAGTTCTAGGCTCAGTGTGGATTGCCAAGTGGTGAAAATTTGTTATGTATCTTTTGCAAGGCTCCGTTTTCTTCCTTTCTACTGTCATTTTGTCTGTAGCTTGAAGGAATAGAGTGACTTATATCCCCATATTGTCACAGAGAATAGAGAATAAAAGATCATCCCATTTTTAAGGGCCCCTCCACCGAAAAATACCAGAGGATTTTGTGTTTGCTTCATTCTTAAATGCGGCCCATAAATGAGAACATTCATCCAAATGTCCAAATAATATTTGAAAAGGGGTTTCATTGAGAATTTCATTAGTAATTGGGGATGAAAAATAAAAACACTATTACACATTCCAAAAATTGACTTAGACGTGAAAGATTAGAAATTCCAAGTATGGGCCAGAATGTGGAACAATGAAAACTGTCATACTTCTGGTCAAAGTGTAAACTGGCACAAGTATTTTAGAAAACTATTTGGTATTATCTACTGAAATTTAATATAATACTATGACCCAGCAGTTCTAGGTATATATCCTCAGAAATGTGTGCACATGTGGACCAAAAGACATGTACAGAAAAGTTTATAGCAGTATTAGTTATGATAGCCCCAATCCAGTAACAACAATAGTTCTAGTTCAACAATAGTAGATGGATAAACAAGTTTTGGTATATTTGTACAATGGAATGCTACATAATAATGAAAACAAACTACTACTATATATAACAGTATGGATGAATCTCAAAGATATAATGTAGAACAAAAGAAACTAGACACTTGAAAATGCCTAAGTTATGATTTGATTTATATGGAATCCAAAAAAAAAAAAAAAGACAAGCAAACTTGGCTACCTTTGGGGAGAGGGGAGGGGCTGGATATGGGGTGATATAGGCGCTCCCAGAGTGGTAGCAATGTTCTGTTTCTTTGACCTGGGTTGTGGTCAGTTTGTCATAATTTAGTGACTTGTTCACTTAAGATTTGTTCACTTTTCTGCGTATTTGCTATAGTTCAAGTAAACAGTTTAAAAATTCAAAAAAATAAAAATAAATAAAAACAAATAAATGAAGACATACATCAGTTCAATACCAAAACATCAGTAACATGTCTGGCCAAAGGCAAGGCCTATCAAAATGGGTAACAAAGCAAAATCTTCCCTCTGCCGTTTTCAAGATACATGCCTATAACAAAATGCACAAAATATAGTCAAAGATATTCATCATACAATATTCATATTAGCACAAAATTCATTTAGATCTAAATGTCCAATAAAAGAGGATAGTGAAAGTACTTTACAGTGTATTTCTACAACAGAGTATGATATAGCCAGTAAAACTCGTGTTCTCAAAGACTTAAGTAAAATGCTCCTGGTATCTCGGTAAATGAGATTCATTCAAAGTGAAACATATAACCTCAGCCCTGTTTGTATGTGCTTACACCTTCTAAAGTAATTTTTGTCTTCAGTTGCTCTGTTTTCCTTTCTCCCTTCTGTGTAGCTTCTGTCCTCCCATCCTTTTCATTGTCCTCCAAAAGAAATCTCATTCTCAGCAGCCATGATTTCACGAGACAAGATTAGGAGAATGGGTAGAGAAAGACTGGAATGCAAAGGTAGTAAAACTTTAGATAAAATTCTTTCTTATTGGGTGTGGTTTCAGGTTCTCCTCTATTATGGAAATTCTAGATAATGAGCAAAGAAGAAAGCAAATTTAAAAGGAGACCAGATACTTATGGACATAAAGATGGCAGCAATAGAAACTGGGGACTACTAGATGGGGGATGGAGGGAGCTAGAGGGGAAAGAGTTGAAAAACTATTGAGTACTATGCTCAGTACCTGGATGGTGGAATTAGCTGCACCCCAAATCTCAGCATCATGCAATATACCCAAGTTACAAACCTTCACATGTACCTCCTGAATCTAAAATAAAATTTGAGGAAAAAAAGAAGGCCAGAGAAACTCTTCCTTACTATATTTAAAAGAAGCTTAAAATAGGGTAAGAAAGGGTTATGGGAGACTTATAAAGAGGTGAGGATAATTTGGGGTAGGTTGGAGAATCCAGAAGCTATCATATAGATTTTGGGTATGGAAAGGTAGGAGAGTAATAGAAACAAAGGTTTAGGAAGTTTTACCATGGGTTATGAATTACATTCCACTTAACATTATTTGAAGACCAAAGGTAAAGCCTGTATTTGTCCTAATAATTATCTATGGCTAATTGAGTAGCGATTTTCTGAGTATCCATGAACACATGAAGTCCTAGATTATATTAAGAGCATAAAGTAAGACATTGAGGTCATCAGAAAAGCTTGTCATGAAAAAATCCAGCACTGTTTATTTCTCTACAGTGGAACTAGAATTAATTTATATTTTGTTCTTTATATTTTTCTCAATTTTTTCCAAGCTTTCTTATATAAGAAAGTGCATGACTTATATAGCCAGAAAAATGCATATATAATATATATTATTCAGAAAAAAGTTCCAAAAAACTTACTATTGTCTGTCCCTTCAATTGCTGCTGGAAGAATGTTTGATAGCGAAGCAGAAAAAGAAAGCATGGAGAAAGGGCTCTCTCAGTATATGGGGTGGGGATGGGAGAGGAACAGCCGTGGAACCCCTCCCACCATGGCCTTGGCCTTGTTCACAGGAGAGCAGTTTGCCCTAAGTAGTTTTGTAGAAGGCATTAAAAAAATTGCATCAGGCTGGGCACAGTGGCTCACGCCTGTAATCCTAGCACTTTGGGAGGCCGAGGCAGGTGGATCACGAAGTGAGGAGTTTGAGACCAGCCTGGCCAAGATGGTGAAACCTTGTCTCTACTAAAAATACAAAAGTTAGCCAGGCACGGTGGTGGGCGCCTGTAATCCCAGCTACTTAGGAGGCTGAGGTGGGAGAATCGCTTGAATCTGAGAGGCAGAGGTTGCAGTGAGCTGAGATCATGCCACTGCACTCTAGCTTGGGCAACAGAGCAAGACTCAGTCTCAAAATAATAATAATTATTATAATAATAATAATTGCATCAATAAAACAGCAACTTGCCATAGAAATAGTTATGACAGTCTGTTTTATATATAATCAAAAGATCTGTACACAGAATTTGATGTGAATGATGTATCCACAGAGAGCCAGTAATTTAAGTGCACCCAGAGATGACTGCCTGCCCTGATTATACTCCTGCAGATGCTGCCAGGGGAGGAGCAGTGTGGTCTGGAAAAAGCATGGACTTGGGTTCTCTGAAGTTAGACAAGCCTAGATTGGAATATCAGTTTTGCCACTTACTGGCTGTGTGACTTCAGTCAAGTTATTAATTGTTTTTGTGCCTCCGCTTCTCCATCTGTAACATGGATTTAATTAAGTCCATATCACCTGGGTGCTATGAACAATAATATTGAGAAATGGGATTATATAATATACATTTAAGCACCTAGTGGAACTCTGAGAAGTAAGAGGTGCCCAATTAGCTTTATCCTTACTGCCATTCCCACTTATAGCTCCCACCCCCCACCACATCTCTTCTGCCCTGCCCCAAAGTTCTCAAAGCAAGGGGGGCTGGGTGGGGATAGGAGGGGTTGGAGGCAGGGAAGGAGTCAGGGAGGGAAACTGACTGGAAAGATTATTTTATCATAAAATAATTTTCCTGCCAAGTTCCCCACTTACTCCTGGATTTATTTTTCCTTTTGTGCATAGATAAGGGTATGTGTTAGCGTATTCCTGTCTGAATTTAGAGGCATTTCTTAAAAAGTCATCCAGCATCATATTACATTAGTTCTTAAACTCCACATACAAGGAAGCATTCCAGAGTACTCATATGTCTTGGGATGTACCTTTTATCAAACAATCAAGAAATTATAATAAGCAACTCTGATATAATCTTTATGAAGTGCCAGGAACTTGTCTAAATTTTTTACCATACAAAGTAGGCGCCATGACAATCTTCATTTTATGCATGAGGAAATTGAGGCACAGAGAGGCTGAATAACCTGACCAAGATTATTCTTCAGGCCAATGTCAAGTCTGGATTTAAGCTCAGAGCAGAAGTCAAGAAAGTGCAGCTGGTGGGCCAAATACAGCTCATCAGATATTGTATAGAGAAGACTTCTGTAGCCAGCCTTCTCCTCCTCAAGGCCACCTCATCATCACTCCCTTTCTCTGTTACTAATCCTAGTGTTCTGTTTTTATAGCTCTCAGAACCCGATCCTATTTATGCACTGACTTGTGTATCATCGTGTATACATACATACATTGTATATTGTATGACTCAAGTTAAAAATAATTTCTACCTTTTTTTCTCTTTTCCCACACTACACTGATGTAAGTTTTTACTTTTTTAAATAAATATATATTAAATACAGTCCCTGACTCACAATGGTTTGACTTACAATTCTTTGACTTTACAATGGTACAAAAGTGAGATGTATTTGGAAGAAACAGTACTTCAAGTACTCATACAGCTATTCTGTTTTTCACTTTCAATACAGCCTTGAAAAAATTGAGATATTCAAAGTTTATTATAAAATAGGCTTTATGTTAAATGATTTTCCCTAGCTATAAGCTAATAGAAGTATTCTGAATACTCTTAAGGTAGGCTAGGCTAAGCTGTGATGTTCAATAGGTTAGGTGTATTCAGTGTATTTGTGACTTAAAATGATATTTTGAACTTCAAATTAATTTATCAAGACATAGCCCCATCATAAGTTAAAGAATGTCTATAGTTATACAATAAAATTCTCAATGTTTCCTTTTGGCCGTCCAAACCTAAAATATGTACAACCCATTTCTTTACAAAAGAAGTTTGCTGCTCCCTTATCTAGTGTATCTTAATCACTATAAATATTCCCTCTCATTACATGCAGTTTCAAGCACAATCTGCAACCCACAGCAATAAAATTATCAGTTATCAAGCAGGAAGGCATCATCATCATCATCCCTTCCACTGTACAGTCGGTTTAGGGTAACACAAGCAGCATTGTATGCAGGCATGGCCTGCCAATCAGTGACACAAATGCTCTGGGCTCTCAGGGGCTATCAGTAACTAGGATAGGTGCTGAGGCAAATACAGTGGTAGATGACACTACCTTCATCCTGAAGATTTACCATCAAAATATCCCAAAATAGTGCATTAAGAGCTATCCAAGTCTTTAGGTGAACTAAACCTTCAGCCAAAATATTCTCTAGTAGATTAT
This sequence comes from Homo sapiens, assembly GCF_000001405.40. Taxonomy (NCBI): domain Eukaryota; kingdom Metazoa; phylum Chordata; class Mammalia; order Primates; family Hominidae; genus Homo; species Homo sapiens. Next base: position 127,463,712 of record NC_000008.11, read on the forward strand.
CAAGCCACCTAGTGAGAGAGAGAAATCAGACAAACATAAATTTCTGTGTTTGGGGGGAAATTTGTCACTCACTCTGTGCCCAATTTCCTCTTCCACACAATGGGGTTGGTGATGACATCTACCTCATGGAGTCATTGTAGGATTTGACTGGGACAATAGATGTCAAGTAGTTAGCACTTTAAGTAGTTGAGACATAAACTCTCAATAAATGTCTAGTATTACCGGTATTGCCCCAGAATTTCTTAGTGGTAGAACAAAGAAAGCCCTCTGTAGAAAGGCTTCAGCAGGGTTATAGTCACCCTGAAATTGCACTAAAATTTTATATTTAAGATGCATTTTTCTGGGGAGAGTTTCTGTAACGTACTTCAGATTCTCTGAGAAATCTGGAACTCAGAAATATTAAGTGCCACAACTCAAAATGATATGAACTAGGGGAGATACATGAAGGCTTTTGGGAGAAAGATGTGCGCATCCCCAGACATGTCCCCTCTGATGCACCACAGAAACCTGTCAGTTGGTACTGATCTACCCTCCTCCTCCTCCTTCTCCTACACACACACACACACACACACACACACACACACACACACACACACTTCATCCTACTCTCCAGCATTCAGGGAAGAAAACAGAGGCAAATGTTGTGAGCTGCATCCTTGCAGTCAACTGCTCTTGGGACTTCTGTAGCCAGTCTTCCTCCCTCAGTGCCCCCTCATCATCATTCCCATTCTCTGTCAACTGATCCTAGTGTTCTTTTTTATAGCTTTCAGAAATTGATGCTATTTATGCAGTTACTTGAGTATCATTGCCATCTACTATTTGAATATAGGCTCCATGAAGATAGGAACTTGGTCCGTCTTGCTCATGACTGAATTCTCCGTATTTGGCTCAATAGACATTTGATCAACAAGTAAAAGAGACCCCAAAAATCCCCAGAAAATTTCAGTTCAGCTTGCACATGAACAATGAAAGGCAGCTTGAGAATCTTGACTCTACTGTGAATGCCAAATAGCCTGCTTAACCAAGGTTGTCCAAATTCAGCTAAGGGATGCATCAGGATGGACACCATGAGTGTTTTGTGTGGAAACAGAGTGAGGGTTTGCCTATCATTAAGCAACTTGTGAGTAACGAGTGTATAACATCCAGGATGTTTTGACATTTGGGCTTCTTACATCTGACTGCTGCCACCTCGGGCCAGTACATAACTTAGGGGTAGGGTAGCTACGCTTATAGACCTGAAATTCTAGTATAATAATAAGACAAAATATCTGAATTAAGACAGTCATAAAAATAATCTTGGGTTTCTTTTATTTATTCATACATTCAACAAATATTCATGGAGCCTTGTTATGCACTAGGCACTGGGAACTGAGCTGTGAACAAAACAGATAAATCCTTATACTTGGGATATTTATATCCAAGTGGAGGACTAATGAGAAATCCTTCTCCTCCCCCAGTCCTATTCTCTAGAGCCCTTCAATATCTGATTTGATCAAACTTACCAAAAATACTTTTTGCACAAGGCAGCACACCCACATGCCCCTCGTATATAGACAGTGCATCAAATGTGTTATGGTTGACAGTAGTTGTTCTCAACCAAGGGCCATGTTGCCTTCTCTCTAGAAGACATTTCTCAATGTCTGGAGACATTTTTAGTATCACAAGAAGGGGGATGTGCTAATGGCACCAGTGGGGAATGCTGCCAACCATTCTACAATGCACAGGACAGCTCCTCACAACAAAGAATTATCTGGTCCCAGATTACCTAAGTGCTGAGGTTGAGATGCCCTGGTCTACAGTCGACATCTAATAGCCAGATCCAAGCAGCAGTTATACTTTCCCTGATTTCCTTTAATATAATAATATCCAGCATTAAAGAGCCATTGTAGACATTGGGAGTTTTCCCACTGCTCAGAAGTTTTTAAACACCCTTCCCTCATCTAAGAAACCTTTCACATCCCCAAGGTGGAAACAAGAAACTCACTTTCCCATTCTCCTTTGTAATGCTCCACCTCAGCCATACCAACCACAATGAGTGAGAGTATCACTGAAAAGTGAGCAAGATGAGAGAGCCGATGCTGGGTAGAAACTATTTTTTGGCTAGAGATGGCAGTGATGGCTGGAAGTGGAATTTCTGACATCCTGAGCCCAGAATGTGAGCTGGGGTCTCTGTCCTCATAGCATCGATGGAGTCTGTACTGGTTCATTCCCATTGTATGGTATGGATGTAATCCTTCTCCATAGAGCCTCCCAGTGTGACTCTCCAGCCATCTTGGAGACGTGAAGCACTAATATTCTTCAAAAAATTCTTTTTTCCCCTAAACCCACTTAATGGGTTCTGTTTGCATTTTTTCATAAGAACAAGCAAAAAAACTGTTCACAGTCGATAGGAAATCTAAGAAGGATGGACTCACAATTCACCTAGAACTCACTCACTGGCTTACACTAATCATCTTATTTTGGGGTAAAAACCACCTTGGCTACTAACACAGTAAAACACCCTAGTGTGCGCTGCATGAAAAAGGTATTTCAAAGATAATGTCTTCATCAACAGCAAAAGAAGAAACCTTGTCCTCTGTCTTATCAAATAGCCAATGCCTTCATCCAGCCAGTTTTTCCCCAGCTGTAAATACAACCTATGTGAGTTTGTCTCTATTTTGCAAGCACAGGAAATAGGAATCATAAGCCACCTGTGCTCCTTTCACATCAAATTAAAAGGGAGATAAAAAGATTGAAAGGAAGCGTGGGAAAACAAAACCTCCATAAAAATTTTAAAGTCAGACTGCCCTTGAGCCAGCTTGAACGTTGGTTTAAGTGGATTATGATGCCAGCTTTCGAGGACATGCTCTACCATGGGAATGGAGAGACGGTGCATGGAAGATGCACCACCTTCATCTTGTATTTGCCACTGTGGGAGAAGACTGACCTGTTAGCCTTTTCTGCTCACCAGTTCATCTTTTGCTGGGAGAGAGAATTCTGAGTGCAGAATTCTTCACATTATCCATGCAGAACTAGGAAAATTGCCAAAAGTTATGGGTCTGTACAGAGTTAGTGTCACAGTAAGAATCTCATTGCCCAAGCAATAGGGTCTAAAATCACGATCTTATTCAAAGTAACAGCGACCACTTACCTCATGCCTCATATGTGCCAGATACTTTTCTTACATTATTTTTAATCTCCATAGCAATTATCTAAGGTAGATAATATCTAGAGATGAGGAAACTGGGGCTCTAGGAGTATGCAAGATTTGTCCAAGGTCTCACAGCAATATCTTAGTAGAGTCTGTCTAGAATCAAAGCCAATTTGTCTTTTTGCCCTATCATGGTTCATCTCTACTTCACTCTAACTCCATCCTAAAAACCACCTTCCCCATCCACTATATAAATGAATGATAGCACCACCCTTTCAGTAAAAGGATCTAGACATTCACCATCTCTCTACCATCCTAGCAGCAACTGCAATGCTTGGAAAATAGTCGAGGATTAGTAAGAGCTTGTCAAATGAGACACAGTTTGTTGTTCTGGCCCTGACATGAAACAGGTAATCAAGTAAACGTATATTTTATATATAGTCACTTCACTTTCCTAGTCACTAATTTCCTTATCTATAAGACAAGGGTATTGGGCCAAAAGTCTAGTCTTAAAGGTTCCTTTCAAGTCATTTATTGAAAGTTTGTCTGATACTTTATTTTTTACTAAACTTTATATATTCCTTAAATACACACTCAAAGAAACATATACAGGTAAATACAGACAAGCTCTATCTAATGGTGTTAACTGTCACTTAGTATATAAAGACATCTTCTCTCAGAGAAATTGGTCACATGTTCTTTCTTTAGACAACTGCTCATCATGTCCTTTGACTAATCATAAGCCAACAGTAAGAAGTTAAGAGTGCCAAGAAAAGGTAACTGTGTTAAGTTGCATTTGTATTTTTCCAAGTATTTACTCTCCCATTCTTTCATATCTATAAGAGGATTATCCATCCCCACCCACTGGCATGTGCGTACAGTGCCTCCATGAGGGGCGTTTATCTGTTTTTCTTCACAATGAATTTATCACATTCCTTGCTTTGGCCAATAGAATGTGAGTGGGCATACGATGTGTGCATGTCTGAACAGAAGTCATGAAACAATTGCCTGGTTCTGATTTATCTCCTGCTTTTTTTTTCTTTGGCGTTAAATTGGTATGTGCGAGATAGAGGTTGATCTTTCAACTTTGACCTGGTATTGAGAAGGCACCTGAGGCAAAACCAGAGCTGATCTAGAGTTGACATACACAGTGGACATATAAAATGAATAAAAGATAAAACTTTTAGATTGTAAGCCACTGTAATTTGGAAGATGTTTGTTACTGCAGCATAACCTATCAAAGGCTGACTTATAAAAAATATTTCAGATACCGTTAGTTCTCACTGTTCACAGTAGTTATGTTTTATGAAGTTTCCATGGATACTGAATGAGCGAACAGTGAACTAATGTTCCTAGGTAAAATAGAAGATTAGGTTCCCGTGAGCTCTGGGCAAAACATTTTCATCATCCAAGCAATACATAATCTTGCTTTATGTGTGTTTCTATGTAAAGACACCTTATTCAATATATTTTGTTGATTCATTAAAATTAAACTCATGGCCAGCAGCATTATAGCTCATGCCTAAATGAGGCTTATCTAACATGTATATATTTTCTATAAGACATTTCACAGTCTTCTTGACTCAAGAACACTACACAGCACTTCAGCACTATGCTGAAATGGGGCCATTTTAAACAGAAAAATCACCACCAACAAAAATTAGCTGGGAGTGGTGGTGCACACCTGTAGTTCAAGCTACTTGGGAGACTGAGGCAGAAGAATCGTTTGAACCTAGGAGGCAGAGGTCGCAGTGAGACAAGATTGCACCACTGTACTTCAGCCTGGGCAACAGAGTGAGTCTCCATCTCAAGAAAGAAAACAAAACAAAAACAAAACAAAAGAAACAAACAAAAAAACACTTCATCAAAAAGCATAAAAATGGGGAAAATGTGGAGCTAAGTAGATTGAAAGGGACACTTATTACAATGTGAGAGCTGAAATGAGATAGCAGAGGCTCACCTTGTTTACCCTCAGCTAGGATCATGTGTGTCAACTGACTTAGATGTTTTGCCACCCACTCTAAGCATGTCCAAGAATCACTGTAAAAGCACCATGAGTATTGATTTGGGGATTTAAGTATGTTTTAGCAAGTAGGTGAGTTCACAAATATAGAATCCATGAATAATAAAGATCTACTCTATTTACATGTGCCACATCATTTAACCCTCATAACAATCCCAAAAGGTGAGTATTTTTATCACCATTGTAGAGAAAAGTAAGATTCTGACAGTGAAATAATGTGTCCAAAGGTATAACTAATTCGTGATAAAGCAAGAATTTAAAGGTTTTTAAAGTCTTCTAGGTTTGCATGGCTCCAAAATCACAGTATGGCTCTTTTCTCTGCCCCATATTGTCTCCCAGTAGAAGGAAAGTTGACATGTGGCACCAAGACTCAACTTATCTGCCTGGATTTCAGGGCCCTGCTTAATCTGATTGCTCATGGTATTTTCCATCTCCATTCAATCCATGCTCACCAACACCCTCCTCTTCAGTGAAGAGATTCTTTCCTCCCATTGTGCTCAGCCTCCATTTTTAGTTCTACTTTGACACGGAATATGCTCTTCTGTCACGCATCTGGTCCACATTCTCAAGGCTGGTTGGAGAAGCCTGGAGATTATTTGGTCCAATCTTGATGCTTCCAGCTCAGACCCAGAGAGGGTCAGTGATTTTCCCAATGTTAGTGAGAGTCTGAGTAAGGACTTGAACACAGATTTGCTGACCTTGGGGCAATTATCCCTGGGATTGTTTCACTTTTCCTCCCACCCCAAAAGCAATTACCTTTAACCTTAGAGCAAACAAATGGGCAGAGGAGGGGCGGGAGTGGCAAAAGCAAATCATTACCACTCAGAGGTATTTACAAATGATTTCAAAGGGTTTTTAGGAAGGAGACAGCTGATGACTTTGTCAGTCAAACAGCCTCCTGTTCTAAAAGAAGCCAACAAACCATTGAAGAATAATAGCAGAGACCTTCTGGTCTTTGAATTCATACAGCACTTTTCACCTCTGAAGCTCAAGGCTCCTTCCGGATGTTATCTCATTCTTCTTCCCAGATCACTAGTAGAGAGTAGTTGCAAGTATTGTACCCATTTTGCTGATAGAAACATTAAGCCTCAAACGCAGTAAGAGATTTGATCAGAATCAGAAAAATCAACAACCTTATTCTGCAGAACCAGGGTTAAAGCTGAGAACTAGAATCAAAACTTAGCCCTTTCAAATCTTATCCTAAGCCATAGAAGGAATTGTCTAGAAATGAGACTGAAACAAGGGGGAAAAGAGGACTGGCATTTGTTGAAGATGTGTTGTGTCAAATGTCTCATATTAAAGATATCACAGGTCCTTGGTATCCATCCTGTGAAGTAGAAATTGTTATCCTCACTTTATAGACAGAGAAAAGATTTGACCACAGATATTCATAACATCAAAGCCAGCATCATTGATAAAACTGCAGAAAGTGCCTGGTATTTGCAGAAGACTATGCTAGGCCCAATGAGCGTACAGTGAAGCACAAGATGAAGATGTAGCAAGAACTTATTATGCACCAGGCATCAGAGATCGGAAGATAACTAAGACATGCCCTCCAGGAGTCAACACTCTATTTGAACAGAGAAGAGGAGCATGTGGAGCATACAGAGAATAATCCAGAACCCACTCTCTTGTTGAGTACTTTCTACGTGCCAGGCACTGTGCTCTTCATGGTAGAGATTCAACAGGGAACAAAAACACAGTTCTTGCCTTCGTGTAGCTCACTATGCTTGATTGTCAATGTATTCCAAGGGATGCTGCATACCCAAAGATTCGGGGCAGGCACAGGAGAAAAGGGAGGACTTTGACTTTGTGTGCTTTATCTTAAAACTCATGCAAATTTAACATCCTACTCTATAAAATATGGAGGTTCATTTTAACATTACTATATATTTCCTAATAATCAAGTTAAATTATTTGCCTTTTTTTTCTTTATCAACCTTTCCAAAACAGTTGAGACTTCAGGGTACCATTCACATTGACTCTGGAGCATAAATGAACTCCTAACAAACTAGAGCTATACCATCAGGATGCACAAGCCTGATTTAAAAGTGCTGGCAAATAGGCACAGTCCTATTCTGTCGACACCACTTTGATTCAATATCGTTAGTGTCTACTATGTGCTATTATGCAGTGTTCAGTGCTGGGGGAAACAAAACAAAACAAAACAAAACAAAAACAACCAAAACCAAAAACTGGGATAATGGAGAAGAAAACTTCAAATTATTTCTATTCAATGAAGTTGGAGCTATGGCCAAAATAGCTAGAGGGGCCAAGAGGGGCCACCCAAACCAGATTAATAAGTTCCAGGTTCCTCTCATATTTGCACATTAAAAGCACACAATAAATGTTTTTGGCTGATAGAGTCACATCAGTTTTGTCTTAATCTTACAAAATATGTGTTCCTTATAAAGCACATAATCACACCCAGCCTTGCAGCTCCACGTGGGGGGCACAAAGAGGGTAGGGCTGCTTTCTGGACCCAGGAGTCTAATTAACTCTCTCATCAAGCCAGTCCAGTTGGGCCTCCAGCCTCCTACCCCACCCCCACCTTGGATGTGCCCTTTGGCAGCATTTACAGGAGTGGTCTCCCTCTCATTCCCCAAGCAAAGAAAGTTTCTCACATGGTGATCTATGAATGTGTCTGCTCATGACTTCTCTGGAAGTTAATTCTATTACCTTGTGGGTTGGATTGACAACTGCCAAAGGATTTCCTCACGCCTCTGGGACATGGACCTCCTGGCAGTGACTCTTTCTACACTGCTGCAACCTGACAAATTTAAAAATGAATCATTGGCCAGACGTAGTGGCTCATGCCTGTAATCCCAGCACTTTGGGAGGCCGAGGTGGGCAAATCACGAGGTCAAGAGATCAAGATAATCCTGGCTAACATGGTGAAACCCCATCTCTACTAAAAATATAAAAAATTAGCCGGGTGTGGTGGCAGGCACCTGTAGTCCCAGCTACTAGGGAAGCTGAGGCAGGAGAATGGCGTGAACCCGGGAGGTGGGGCTTGCAGTGAGCCAAGATCATGCCACTGCACTGCAGCCTGGGCAACAGAGCAAGACTCCGTCTCCTAAAAAAAAAATGCATCATTACATTCTATCTACATCAAAATCCTTTATTTTTCCCTCCTTGTTATGAACTAGCCCAGAAGCCTCAGACTTACTGCACTTTCTATTGTCAGTATATTCAGATTAAACTAACATTTACTGAGAACCCATTGTGTGTCTCTCATGTTTATAAATATTATTTAATCATATGTCCTGATTAGCCCTGGGAATTAAATGAGTGTTACCATTTTCAAGATGGGTTCTCTGAAGCTTAAAAAAATAAGTTACTAAGCCAAGTCTCCAAATTCCAGTTCTACTACTTTTCCCTCTCAACAGTGTTGCCTAAACCTTTGGATGGATAGATGGATGGATGGATAGAGAAAGAGACAAAGCAGGAAAGAGAAAAGAGAAAGGCATATATATATTTTTTTCTTCATTCTGGGGGCCCACCCTGAAACTACTGAATCACAGTCTCTAGAGGTTCTCAGGCAACTAGCCCAGCTGTTTTTGCCAACTGGAATTTATGAGCCACCGCAAGAGACCACATGCAGCTTCATGTAAAACAAATTATTTTTAAGCACGCAGACTGAGCAGTGATATGAGGAGTGCACAGGAGTGCCTACGCCTACTCCTGGTCTCCATGAGTCTCCTTTGCAAAGTCAAGTATTACAAGATTCTAGAACACATATTGCCTGCCACTGATAATTTAGTTGTTCAGCAAACATTCATTTGTTGAGTTGCACGCCAGACACTATACTAGATGATGGGACAACTAAAGGGTAATGAACAGTTCTGTCTCTATGTAAAAATAATAATGATGATGATGATGAGATGGGACTTCAATTGAGGAAGTGCCATTGGGGAGGTATGTAAAAAGTGCTATGGAAAAAAAGCAACAGGAACCCCTTGATAGAAAAAAAAATGCTGGTGGGGGTAGGGATTTCTGCCTGTGTTCTTCAGAATGGGGTATGGGAAAATCTGGGAGGAAAAGAAATTTAAGTAAGAGCAGAGACTTTGCAAAATTTGTTGTGTTGACTTTTCCTCATGCTGCTTCCCCTGGCATGGGAAGTCATTAGCTGGATAAGAGAGACTTCACAAGAACTGCAATGAATCAAGATGTGCTGGTTTTGTTTTGACACATGGAATTCTTAGGGATTTGATGTTTTTTTTCCCAGTCTTCTCCATCAAAGTTGTTTTCAACCAGTCCTGATTGGACCGATTGACTCATCCTCAGATATCATAGTTTTCCCACTACAAAAGCATGGAACTGATGCCAATAAACCCACTCCTTATTCCCAGAGGGCTAGGGTGAGTCCTTGCAGAGGGGAATTGCTAGGGATGGCACCTGGCAGAAATAGACCATCTGTCTTTCCTCCACAATTATGGTCCCTGCCATTGTGAAGGAAACATTTACCTCCTCCTCACCCTCAGGCCCCCTTTTCCTGCACTTAGGGTCTCATTGCCCCTCCCCACCCTCCGACAAGTAGCTGGTGCTTTCTCCTTGACCTCTGACTCACTGTGGGGAGAACTCTGCCTCAAGAAACATCTTTTCATCTCCCTCTCTAGCTCCAACTGTCCCTTTGCCTCCATGGGGAGCTCCTTGCTCTCTCCTTCGGTATTTCTCTGAGGGCTCACTCAGACCACTCCACTCCACCTGCCACCAGTGGTCTCATACTGAACTATAAATCTGGCCATCCTCCTCTCCTGTTTGGTATCTTCCATCCCCTTCCCATGTCTGGTAGATGATGATGGCCTCAACCCCCAGGTGACTCTTGGACCACGTACCATCCATGCCTTTCCCATTGAGCTACTGTGGAAAGCCCATGCTTGCTTCTAAGTGCTCCATGGTTTGGTTTGGTTTGGTTTTCTGTCATGTCATTCTGTCTGCCTGGGACAGGATTTCTCCCTATCAACACTGAGAGATCTCCTGCTGACCCTGTGCTCAATGATTGTGTCTGCCTTGTCCCTAGCATCCAGATCAACACCTAGCAAATAAACAAGTGCTCAAGAATGTATGTTAAATGAGTGAATAAGCTAGTTAGCAAGAGAGTGAAAGAGAATGAATGAATCCTTGGAGAGCGCAGGCCTTCACTGTGAGGCCTCTAGAACCCTAAGTGAATGACATACTCCTTCCTCTGGGCTAACAGCATGTGAAATATCCCTCTGCTGTAACCCTTATCACTTTTACGATGTGGAATCTCAGGCTCCCTTCTTGGGCACATAGTCTGTATCACATTTTGTATCAGCAGCACATAATAGCCATGCAATATATAATCAACAATTTAGTTTTACGAATCCATTTGACCATCCACATTCCCCACATCTCCTCACCTCTTTCTACAGCATTTTCTGACTCCTCACTTTTCATTCTATCTCTCTTACCTTCAGAAAATTCCAGACCTTGCTCCTTTACCCTAGTATTACTGCCTGAAATGCCCTCTCCTGCATCCTTTCCTGTGTGTATTTAAAACCTAAACTCCTCACAGCTAACAAAAGACCATCCTCCCAAGCCTCCCAGGCTTTCAAGAACATTCCTCCTGTGGCTCCCAAGTCACACACATGTCTCTTTGACAATAATAATATAAACAATCATTTTTCAGTACCAGAATGAATCTCAAGTGCTTTATGTATTACATAAATTCAGATATATCTCTTTTTATTGTACTTCTCTTTACTGTGCTTTGCAGAGATATTGCATTTTTTTTTTACAAACTGAAGATTTGTGGCAACCCTGCATCTAGGAAATCTATCAGTGCCAATTTTCCAACAGTGTAGGCTTATTTCATTTCACTGTGTCCCATTTTGTTAATTCTTTCATAAGTTCAAGTTTATTGTTATTATTCTATCTGTTATGGTGATCTGTGATCAGTGATCTTTGATATTACTATTGTAATTGTTTTGGGGTGCCACACACTGCACCCATATCAGAGAGTAAACTGGTAAATGTGTGTGTTCTGACTGCTCCACTCCAACCAGCCATGTCCCCCATCTCTCCCCATCTCCTCTGGCCTTTCTATTCCTTGAGTCAGAAAAAAATATTGAAATTACGTGAATTAATAATCTTACAATGAACTCTTAAGTATTCACATGAAAGGAAGGGTCACAAGTCTTTCATTGTAAATAAAATACTAGAAATGATTCAGTGAGCCGAGATCGCACCACTGCACTCCAGCCTGGATGACAGAGTAAGACTCTGTCTAAAAAAAAAAAAAAAAAAAAAAAAAAAAACTAGAAATGATTAAGCTTAGTAAGTATGGCATGTCAAAAGCTCAGCCTCTTGTGCCAAACAGCCAAGTTGTGAATGCAAAGGCAAAGTTCTTAAAGGAAACTAAAAGTGCTATTCCCGTGAACGTATTAATGATAAGAAGCAAAACAATCTTTTTGTGATATGGATAAAGTTTTAGTAGTCTGGATAGATCAAACTAGCCACAACATTCCCTTAAGTCAAAGGCTAATTCAGAGCAAGCCCCTAACTCTCTTCAATTCTGTGAAGTTTGAGAAAGATGAGGAAGCTGCAGAAAATGAGTTTGAAGCTAGCAGAGGCTGGTTCATGAAGTTTAAGGAAAGAAGCCATCACCATAACATAAAAGTGAAAGGTGAAGTAGCAAGTGCTGATGGAGAGGCTGCAGTAAGTTAACCAGAAGATCTAGTTAAGATAAGTTATCCAGAAAATCTAGTTAAGATAATTGATAAAAGTAGCTACACTAAGCAACAGAATTTCATTTTAGATCAAGCAGCCTTATACTGCAAGAAGATGCCATCTAGGACTTTCGTAGCTACAGAGGAGAAGTCAATGCCTGGCTTTAAAGCTTCACCAGGCAGGGTAACTCTCTTGTTAGGGGCCAATGCAGATGGAGACTTTAGGTTAAAGTCAATGCTCATTTACCATTCTTTTTTTTTTCTTTTTATTATTATACTTTAAGTTTTAGGGTACAAGTGCACAACGTGCAGGTTAGTTACATATGTATCCATGTGCCATGTTAGTGTGCTGCACCCATTAACTCATCATTTAACATTAGGTATATCTCCTAATGCTATCCCTCCCCCCTCCCCACCCCACAACAGGCCCCAGTGTGTGATGTTCCCCTTCCTGTGTCCATGTGTTCTCATTGTTCGATTCCCACCTATGAGTGAGAACATGTGGTGTTTGGTTTTTTTGGCCTTGCAATAGTTTGCTGAGAATGATGATTTCCAGCTTCATCCATGTCCCTACAAAGGAAATGAACTCATCATTTTTTATGGCTGCATGGTATTCCATGGTGTATATGTGCCATATTTTCTTAATCCAGTCTATCATTGATGGACATTTGGGTTGGTTCCAAGTCTTTGCTATTGTGAATAGTGCCGCAATAAACATACGTGTGCATGTGTCTTTATAGCAGCATGATTTATAATCCTTTGGGTATATACCCAGTAATGGGATTGCTGGGTCAAATGGTATTTCTAGTTCTAGATCATTTACTATTCTTAAATTCTTAGGGCCCTTTAGAATCATGCTAAATCTACTCTGTATGTGTTCTGTAAATAGAACAACAAAGCCTAGGTGACAGCACATCTGATTACAGAATGGTTTGCTGAATATTTTAAGCCCGTGCTTGAGACCTGCTGCTGAAAATCAAAGATTCCTTTCAATAATATAGCTACCCAAGAGTCTTGATAATGCTTTTAGTTATCCAAGAGTTTTGATGAAGATGTGCAAGGAGATTAATGTTATTTTGTGCCTGTGAACACAGCATTCCTGCCATAGCCCATGGATTGAGAAATAATTTGACTTTCAAACCTCATAATTTAAGAAATACATGTTATAAGGCTACAGTTGCCATAGATAGTGAGTCTTCTGATGAATCTGAGCAAATTAAATTGAAAACTTTCTGGAAAGAATTCAGCATTTTAGAGGTCATTAAGACTATTTGTGATGCATGGGAAGAAGTCAAAATATCAGCATTAATAGGAGTTTAAAAGAAGTGGATTCTAACCCTCATGGATGACTTTGAAAGCTTTAGTGGAGGCAAGAACTGTGGATGTGGTAGAAACAGTAAGATAGCCAGAATTAGAAGTGGAGCCTGAAGATGTGACAGAATTGTTACAATCTCGTGATAAAACTTCAGTGGATGAGAAGTTGCTTCTTATGAGCAAAAAAAAAAAAAAAAAAAAAAACAAAAAAATAGTTTCTTGAGATGGGATCCACTCCCAGTGAAGATGCTGTGAGCATTGTTGAAATGACAACAAAAGATTCACTACAATCAACTTAGTTGATAAAGCAGCAGTAGGGCTTGAGAAGATTGACTTCAATTATGAAAGATCTATAATACTATGGGTAAAGTGCTGTTAAACAGCATTGCAAGCTACAGAGAAATCTTTCATAAAAAGAAGAGTCAATCAATGCACTAAATTTCATTCTTGTCTTATTTTAGGAAATTGTCATAGCTACCTAACCTTCAGCAACCACCACCCTGATCAGTCAGCAGCCATCAACATTGAGACAAGACCCTCCACCAGCAAAAACAGATTATGATTTGCTGAAGGCCCAGGTTTATTATTTAGCAATAAAGTTTTTTTGTTTGTTTGTTTGTTTTTGAGATGGAGTCTCGCTCTGTTGCCCAGGCTGGAATGCAGTGGCATGATCTCGGCTCACTGTAACCTCTGCTTCCTGTGTTCAAGTGATTCTCCTGTCTCAGCCTCCCTAGTAGCTGGAACTACAGGCGCCCACCACCACACCTGGCTAATTTTTGTATTTTTAGTAGAGACAAAGTTTCACCATATTGGCCAGGCTAGAACTCCTGACTTCTGGTGATCCTCCTGCCTCAGTCTTCCAAAATGCTGGGATTACAGGGATGAGCCACCACGCCCAGCTAGCAATAAAATATTTTTTAATTAGGATGTGTACATTTAAGAATGGGCATGGTGGCTCACACCTGTAATCCCGGCACTTTGGGAGGCCGAGACGGGAGGATCACTTGAGGTCAGGAGTTTGAGATCAGCCTGACCAACATGGTAAAACCCTGCCTCTACTAAAAAAAAAAAAAAAAGTTTTTAAAAATTAGCTGAGTGTGGTGGCATGCACCTCTGTAATCTCAGCTACTTGGGAGGCCAAGGCAGGAGAATCACTTGAACTTGGAAGGTGGAGGTTGCAGTGAGCCGAGATCGCATCACTGCACTCCAGCCTGCGTGACAGACTGAGACTCAGTCTCAAAAAAATTAAAAAAGTAAAATAAGATGTGTACATGCTTTAGACATAATGCTATTTCACACACAGTAGACTACAGCAGTGTAAACATAACTTTTATATGCACTGGAAAATCAAAAACTTCACGTGACTTGCTTTATGGCAATATTTGCTTTATTGCAGTGGTCTGTAACCAAACCCACAATATCTCAAGTTATGCTTGTATATACATTTTTATAATCTCCTACACATAATATGGAAGGATAAGAAATTGAGGCACAAACAGGTTAAATATCTGTCTTAAAGCTGGGCAACTGGTAAATGATAGAGCCAGTATTTAAACTTGGCCATTATTCATTCATTTATTCACCGATTCATTTAATCATTAAACAAATAGTTATGGAGTGCCCATGAGGCATTATTTCCAGACTTCAACACTTTGTGGTATTATTCACTTGGCAAACTAAACTATTCTGTTGCTTAGACAAAGTGAAGGCAGACAAAGGAGGAAAACCAGAAGGGATTACAGGCTCTGAATCAAAGAAAGGCAGAAAAATGGAAGAGTGAGAGACAAGTTTCAGTTTCAGGTGAGATACCTGAAAGGGGAAAAATTCCTAGGGAATAGCTTTCCTCCTCCAGGGCTCCAGGTTGAATGAATTCCCTGAACTCAGGAACAAGCGTCAAGACTTGTTTTATTGGTATTTACAAAAATAGGTTTTAAAGGATCAGTGATTTGCAGATTCCAGTTGGATGTGTCACACACACACATCTCTCATTCCTCACGTCTAAGAGAGGGGAGAAGGAAAGACACGGCTTTGAAAGCCTAGATATTTTGAAAGGGGTGTTTTGGGATTTCAGCGATTTCTTTTTCCAGCAGCAACTGTATCTTGGACTGTGGTGTATCTCTCTTTCCCATCTCCCAGGCAGGTCAGTTAACCCTTTTGGGCTGTGTTCAATCAGGGTTAGTGCGTAATAAAGATCCTCTGCATTTAGAATTACCTTTTTTTAACCTCTAAACCCTCTTCAAGAGGCTGCAAACTCTTCAAAGACAGAAGCTGCTGTACGGATTTTTCACCTGCTTCAGTGCCTAGAGAGGAACAAGGGAGAGAAGGGGAGAGAAAAAGGAGGAAGGAAGAAACAGGAGCAAGGGATATCTACTTGGTACTTTACAAGGTAGTGTTAATGAAATACACTTAAATCAAGAGTTCTGGGTTCAAGTTCCAGTCCTGACGGTGCCTATACATCCTTGGGTCATCACTCAGACTCTCAGAGCCTCAATTTCTTACTCTGAGAAATGGAAATAATAATGCCTACTTCACCAGATCATTAGGAGAATTAAATAAGGTAATGTATTGGGTAACATTTTGTAATTGTGTGCTACTGTGTAAGTTAAAATTGTATGAAGGTTTAATAAAAGGAATTGTTCTTTAAGACTTCAAGGACTTTCTGTCAGAAGTTGAAACTAGAGGATTTACCAGGATGTTTCTGGCTCTATAGGGGTCATGTCCCTTTCCAAGATGCCTCAGTTGACCAGTAAACACATTCTTTTCAAGGCTTAATATTAAAATAGTATCAAATTCTGATCTAATCTGGATCAGAAGAGAAAATACTCCAACCTACCATTGTCAACCGCAACACTGGTTGTGTTTAATGGTGATGGAATTCTGTCACTTCCACCAACACTTTTTGAGCATTCGCTGCATGCGGGGCATTCTGGTGTATACTGATAAGAAACAACAACCAAAGATAATTAAGATTGACCTCACCCTCCGAGATGTTTACAGTTTACTTTGCTTCCCTAAGCTTCAGTTTTTCCCTCTGCCAAAACAGAAGCTCGGAAGAGATGTCTCCAAGACACTTTCTACCATGACCTTTTGAATTTCATAACTCTCTAATTCCAGAATTCAAAGAGTGACTGTTTTACCTCCCACTGAATGATTCCTCTGAGAAAAAAGCTCTCTGCTAGCTAAGCTAGCCAAGACACCATACCTGAAGATAATACCTAAACTTCTGTTTGTGTCCCAGGAATCCCAAATTGATGTCACACCAAAACAATGTCATTTATACAATTCATTATATGTCACTCATTAATACATTTGCTTAGTTGATTTTCATTAAAATCCTGCAGGGAGCATTATTACACTCATTTTTCAAAAGAGATAACTGAGTCGTAAAAGGATTAAATTATTTGCCCAGGTCACACGGAAAGAAATTAACGTGGCCACGGCATAAAACCAGATTTTCTGTTTTTAAACATATTTTTTTCGCTGACCTCCACCCTGTAAGAGCTTTTATTACCAAGCGATTGAGAAGCACAGGCTCAGGGACACTGAATTTGACCAAAGAAGCCAATAGAACTATTCCAAAAACCTATGGTTCCCCCTAAAGCATTAGAAAGACTCAGAACGGGTTAAGTGCTCCCTGGCTCATTCCCAACAGACACTACATTCACCTGTGCTTGCTCTGAAATAAATCAGTGTCCCTTTCTGCTGCTGCTGTTGTCTGGAAATAATGCAAATGCAATGGGCCTTTACTGACATTGTGCTTCCCTGGAAGGATACACATAATAAATTATCCCTTAATACTGTTAAAGAGACATTTTCCTCTTACTCAGGAGCTTTTGGGGTTGGACTGGGCTACTCACCCAGCAAGGAGGAGGACATGTGTCTTGTCACTGGCCCGGTTATTCATGTGGCCTCTCATTGCTCCTTGGCTCACTGCATTGCAAGATTCAAGGATGCACTTCCAGGCCTCCACATCAAGTCATAGGACTTGCCGGTAACCTAGATTGGTTTTCTCATTTGTAATTTGAATTTATTTTATGTTATGCATTTGTATGTTTATTTATTCGGATGCTCAGAAGCTGAAGATAACTAGTGCTCCTGGTCCATGCCATTCATCAATTGGAAGAATGCCAAGCTGTTTCCGCTGAGGACAGAAGGCATTGGTCTCCCCTGCAGGAAGCCACTGCTGCTCCTTAATTGTTTGCTAGAGGAAGAATCAAGGGTAAAATTTAAAGTAAATGGCTGGCCGAGTTGCACTAATTCATCAAAGCATGTTTCAAGTCAGTAGTCAGAGCATGCATCAGCCCCCGGCGCCACCAGCTTCTACGAGAGTGGAAAAGCCAGCAGACCTCCGAGCAGATGAAATCATTAGGAGGCATTCAGCAGGGCTTGAAAAGCAAAGAGAGAGGAGGCGGGGATTTCTCTGCATGCTCCCTTTGCCACATGGGAAACACCAGCTGTCTGTGACCTAGTTATCCAAGAAAGGAAACACGGAAGAGAACCCACAAAACTGTTTGCTACATGAGAACCCCATTCTCCAAAGACATGCTGGATGTTGAGAAAACAATTAGCATCTTCTAGTTTGACTCTATTTTTTTTTTTTTTTGCTTAGAGATTTTTGGTAGCAATAAAGACAAGCCCTATTACAGTAGCCTAAGAAAATGGAATTTTTAGGGATAGCCCATGGATAGGAAGTAAAAATCTTGGTTCATGAAAGATGGGAAGTAGGAACTGGAATGTTTTTGGAAAATCTATCAGCATCTCACCTCTTTCTCTTGCTCTCTCTCTCTCATTACATGGCCCTTTATTTGTGCAACAATTCATTTTCCTACTTCTCTATGAAGGTCTCTCTTCTTGCTTTTAAGCATGAAGCCACTCATTCATTCAGTAAATATGTATTTAATGCTAACAGGTGCTGGCACTGCCCAAGATGCCAGGGCTACAGCAATCAACAAAACAGACAAAATCCCTGCCCTCGTGAAATGTACACTGTGGTGAGGCAGGTGAGGCAGGCAGAAACTGAACAAGATAAATAAGTAAAAGATACAGTGTGCAAGAGGGCAGTGAGTGCTTGGAAGAAAAGATCAAGGGAGGAGAAGTGAAATACTGGCAAAGTAGTTGAAATCTTAAATAAAATGGTCATGGGAGACCCCACTGAGAAAGTCATTTCTGAGTGAAACCTGAAGGAAGTAAGAAGTTAGCATTGCAATTGTCTGGGGCAGAGCATGCTGAGGAGAGGGAATAGCAGGTGCAAAGGGCCTGGGGTGGTTCAAGGAGCTAGCAGAGAGGCCATTGAGGAAGGAGGTTAAGCAAGTGAGGGGGATTAGTTAGAGGTGAAGTCATAGACCTGGGGGCACAGATCACAAAGCGTTTTCTAGGTCATAGTGAGGACTTTGGCTTTTACTCTGAGTGAGATCAGAAGATCCCAAAAGGCCACCACAAGATGATATTCACGTGGTCCACCTAATCCAGTAGTCAGTCCTTATTGCTAACTTGCACACAGTCAAGCTCCCTTAGTCTCCAAAAGAGGAGATCCAAGCAACGATACTTCATGAGCAGTCGGCTTCGAGAGTCATCCTGAGTTTTCAAGGCTGACACAAATATCAGTCTAACTACGCAGTCCACCTGTGTAAATATTTGGGGAATAGTGGATGGTTAAGGAAGAGACCTAGTATGAGATAAAGTGTCCAGGCCCTGCACACATTTGGGTCTCACAGAATTAACTGGCAAATGCTAGTAAGAGTATCAGGACCTTAGGAAATAGAGATTCCTTTAGAAAACTCTAATTCCCAGAAAGATTTTCACATAAGACCTTCACACAAAGACAAAATTAGAATGTGTGTTCTCTCACCATCTCCTTATCCAGAGAGTCCTTAGATGTGGCAGAAGGACCCACAAGAGTTGTCAGAGGCAGTTGTGAGGGGTTGCCAGTCATGTTAGTATTAATAGATATCATGAGAAGTTAGACACGTTTTTGAATAAATTAGAATGAATTAAATATTAACCCAAAATGTCATTATGCTCACTCCCTACCCTCCCACTATGCTTTCCTGACAGAGAAAGAAAGGGTGGCACTGTGGCTGGAATACAGAGCCCACAGGACTTCAGCATGTCCTACACATAAACCTCCTCCTTTTTGTGACCCTTGGTGGAAAAAGTATGAGAGCCACGTATCTTAGAAATAACTGCCTTTCCTCCCTAGATGCCTGCCACAAAAACAGACATGTTCTAGAACTTTCTTCTCCCTAGTTCCAAGAACACTGAACTCATGGTAATGGCCAAACAATGATCTTTTTCTAAGGACAATGTCAGAATGCTTTACTGTGCCATTTTCATAATCAGACACAAGAAAGTTACCATCTGTAGTTCAGCCATAGCACTTCACATGAAAGAGGAAATGACTAAATATATATTTACATAGCTCTCATGAATATGCATTTTGTAAATGCACAAATATGTACAATTACTTGATAGACTGTTTTGGTTCCTATCTTTCGAATATTTAATACAACTGTAAATGTTTAATTCATATTTACTGAGTTGATTGAACAGTTTCTAAATTATCCCAAGCCTTGCTGGAAACAAGATTGAATGTTTCCAGCATATTTGCACACTAGGATTTGGCCAGGAGAATCCACACTAACTGGTTAAATGATGATTTTCTTAGAAAGCATATTGAATAAGCTGCTGGTGAAATCATCTTGCTGACCACAACATAGAGGGACAGCACCAGATCTAATTCCAACCATGACCTGCAGAGCCTCTCATGACTAGGCCCCCCTGATGCCTCTTTGCACCTCTGTCTGCACTGCCCCTCATTGCTAAGCCACAATCAACCCATGTTCCACTTTCAGTCCTCTGCACCAGCTGCTCCATGTGTCCAGAATGCTCTTCACATAGACATCAAGCCTTTGCTCTAATGTCACCTTTTCAATGAGGTCTATCTTAACCTCTGCATTTGAAATTGCAATCCCATCATCCCCCAGAACTCCTGATATCCCCTACACTCCCTTATACTTTTTTGTCTATAGCAACCACCCCTCACCACTTTATAACATTTATGCTTTGTAGTCTGTCTGTGTCCACTCACTAGAATTCAAATATCACAAAAGCAGGAGTCCACTTTTTTTTTCATTGAAAAACTCCAAATCCTAGAAGGAAGCTGGCATTTAATATGTGCTCAATAGACATTAGAGGAAGAAAAGAAGGAAGGAAGGAAAGAAGGGAGGGAGGGAGGGAGGGAGGGAGGAAGGAAGGAAGGAATGAAGGAAGGAAGGAAGGAAGAAAGGAAGGAAAGAAAGAAAGTCAAGAGACCTGGGCTCAAATCCAGCATGGGAATAAGTAGGGAGGAAAGAAGGGAAGTCAAGAGACCTGGGATCAAATCCAGCTTGGGCATGAGGCAAGACCAGAGCAGAGGAGATTGTCCTTGAGCTCAGGTGACGCCCATCTGGCCAACTCTCCACAAAGCTGGGTCACACTGTTTAGAGGACAGTTCTTGGCAGTAGTAGTAGTGCTGGTGGGGAGGGCTTTGTCATTATATTGTGTGCGTGTGGTGTGGGACTCTTCCTTAGTTCAGCTAAAGACAAGCTCCCTGTCACAAGGCCATGAAAGATTAGGCTCGCAGACAATTTGAAGGGTGAGAATAATGGGATTTATTGAGCAAAAGGAAAAATGGGGGCAGAACAGGGACGCAGCAGAGCCAGAGTCTTCCTAGTATGTGCTTCCTGCTTCACAATTGAATCCCAGCTACCACCCAGGAATAGGAAGGGCCAGGCTCTTCCCCACTGCAAATGGTGAGAACTTCTGTGGCTCCACCCCAGTGTGCACTCCTCCCAGTATGCAGGCTGGTTGGAGTTTCTCTGTGGACCCTTTCCCATCTGGCTGTCTCACATGCAAAATGGGAGTATTTGAATCTCCTTCTGAGAGTAATCTGAAAGTTAAATGAGGTAAAGCAAGTGAAAACATGCTCATGTATTAGGTCTAGGGAGGAAGCAAAAAGGAAGTAGAAGGATTCTCCTGAGTAGGGGATAATTCTTTTAGGGAGATGCTTACCCCAGAATTATTAATATTCAAGGAAAAGCCAGGAGCGACTATAAAACACAGCTCATCATTGCAGACCAAAGACAAAGCACCTCAAAATATGTCTACTACAGTAGGCATATTTTGCAGAAAAAAATTAGAGAAAACTACATCTCCTTGGAGTAAAGTGCCACAGGTATCCAATAACAGAAAATAGGAAAAGACATCATTGCAAACATAGGAAAATAGTAGATGAAGATGCAAGATCCTAAAATGTGTATTTTGGGCAGTTTGTGACAGATCAAGTCACATTTCTGACAGAGTGAGAATTAACCCAAAGCAAAATCAAGATATCATTTAAATGTAAAATGGAATGATAGACACAATTGAATAGGACAAGGAGATAATGTGAAAATAACAGAGAGGCAAAGGACAAAGAATAAAAATTAAAAGAAGGGGACTCACTCCAGAACCGAAACAAGATACCCCACTAATTCTCCTGTCTGCAGACATCACCAATATTCTGGTAAATAAAATTAATGATAATTACCAGAATGACACTATAGTTATCAATGAAGAGTGTTTGTAGCTTGTCATACGTGTGTGTGAATGTTCAAGGGGATGTTTAGTAAACGGTAAATAGTGTGGGTTCAGTTCTGCTCTGCTAATCCTATATGCCATAATTACAAGGTCTCAAATAAGTGCAAACCCTTCAATTATCAGGAAGAGATATCTGAGCCAAGTGGAACCAACTGACAGTAGCAATCAAAATTCTATCGCCCACAAGGGTGTGGGGGAAAGAAGTACTTTCAAAACTTTAGTGGCATTATAAACTGGCTAAAAATATATATACTTCTGGGAGGTAATTTTGCATACTTGCATATGCAAATATTCCTGTAAAAATGTGCCTAAAATTTATTCCTCTACTCTTCTCCATCCACCTCTGTAATACAACTTCTGGGAGTGCAGTCTACAGAAGTAATACAAAGATCCTGGGAAAACAATGTTATTTTGCTCATAGGTGTTTATGACCACATAATGTTTTATGGTAAAAAATAAAAAACAACATACATAATTATTGTGGGTATAGTTTAGGATTTCAAGATGCTTTTTTTCATTTTTATTAAACTTGGTGTGTAGACATATAATTTACACAGAGTTTTATACATTTTAAAAACGTAAATTTTTAGAAATGTATACAGTCATGTAACCATTGTCATCAAGGTATGTAACACTTGCCTGGAGTCCCAGCTACTGGGAAGAGTGAGGCAGGAGGAGCACGTGAGCCCGGGAGTTCCAGGCTGCAGTGCACTGTAATCATGCCTGTGAATAGCCACTGCACTCCAGCCTGGACAACATAATGAGACTTTATTTCTAAATTATTTTTTAATTTAAGAAAAGATATATAAAACTTGCATCATCTCGAAATTTCCTTCAAATAGTCAATACTCACTTCCTGCCCCAGGGAATCCGCTGGTATAGTTATTTCCCTATGGTTTTGCATTTTCTAGGTCACTATATAAATGAAATCATACAGTACACAAACTTTTGTGTATGCCTTTTTTCACCTAGCATGATGCATATGAGATTTATCCATGTTGTTATTGGGTAATATTCTACTGTATGGATGCAACAAAATTTGTTTATCTATTAACGATTCATTTTATTTTGATATAATTATTGATTGTCAGTGCATAATTATTAGTTATCTAAATTATAGATTTGAAAGATAGTACTGAGAGGTCTTGTATACCCTTCACCAAGGTTCCTTCTATGGTTCCACCTTATACAACTATCATACGATATCAAAATCAGGAATTGACAGAGGTACAGTGTGTGGGGGTGGGGGGACAGGCATGGGCATGCACAAATTTGCATGGGTGTGCGTGTGTAGTTCTATGTCATTTTATCACTTGTGTAGATTTCTGTAAGTGCTTCTGCAAGATACAGAAGTATTACCTCCCACAAAGATTATTATACTACTCCTTTATAGTTACACACCCCCATGCTTATTTCCGTTTGCTTTCTCCCAACAATAATGTAATTATTTTAGACATTTCCTGCTTTGATATACTTTTTTAACCCCATTAGACAGTGTTATATTTTTTTTCTTCAATCATCAAACATGATCTAGAAATATCAAGAGAAGAAAGTCTTCAGTATTTGCTGGTATTTTTACTCTTTCTGTTGTTCTTCCTTCCTTCCTGATGACCCAAGACTTCTTTTGTCATTTACTTTCTTTTTAGAGGAATTCTTTCTGAGCACCTACCTCCCTTGCTAGCAACATATTCCCTTAGTTTTACTTCATCGGAGAATATCTTTATTACACCTTCATCCTAGAAGGATATTGTCTCTGGATATAGACTAATTTTGGAAAGACATAGTTCTTGTCTTTCAGCACTTAAAAAATATGCCATTTTCTTTTGGCCTCCATGGTTTCTGATGAGAAGTGTGTTGTCATTTGTATAGTTTTTTCTCTGTAAATAAAATGTTGTTTCTAATTCACTGATTTCTTTTTTTTTTTTTTTTTTTTTTTTTTTTTGAGACGGAGTCTCGCTGTCGCCCAGGCTGGAGTGCAGTGGCGCAATCTCGGCTCACTGCAGGCTCCGCCCCCTGGGGTTCACGCCATTCTCCTGCCTCAGCCTCCGGAGTAGCTGGGACTACAGACGCCCGCCACCTCGCCCGGCTAATTTTTTTTTTTTGTATTTTTAGTAGAGACGGGGTTTCACCGTGTTAGCCAGGATGGTCTCGATCTCCTGACCTCGTGATCCGCCCGCCTTGGCCTCCCAAAGTGCTGGGATTACAGGCGTGAGCCACCGCGCCCGGCCCTAATTCACTGATTTCTAGAATTTTTGTCTTTAGTTTTTAAATGTTTTGCTATGGTGTGTCTTGGCTATCTCTTATATCTTGTACTATTGTACTTTGGATTTCTTTGGGCTTATCGTGTTCAGATTTCTTGGGTTTATCATGTTTGAGGTTCACTCAGTATCTTGAATCTGTAGGTTTATGTGTTTTGTCAAATTCAAGAAATGCAGCAATTATTTCTTTAAAGACATTTCAGCTATGCCTTCTTTCTCTTCTTCTGGGAATTCAACAATGTTAATATTCAGTCTTTTGTATTAGTCCCAAAGCTCTCTGAGGCTCTGTTCAATTCTTTTCCAATTTTTTTTCTGTTATTCAGATTTGAAAATTCTCCATTATTTTGTCTTCTGTTTCACTGATATTTTTTACTGTGTCCTTCCACTTTGTTATTGAGACTATCTAATGAGTTGTTTATTTCAGTTTATTGTATTTTTCAGCTCTAAAATTTTTATTCAGTTCTTTATATCTTCTTTGCCAATAATTTCTACTTTTTTCTCTTTTTTTCCAAACATGTTCATAATTTCTCACTGAGGCATTTTTGTAATGGCTGCTTTAAAATCATTGCCAGACAATTCTAGAATCTCTGTCATCAAGGTAATGGTGTTCTTTAATTATATTTTCTTATTCAAAATTTCTGATTTCTTATATAATAAGTGATTTTTTTAATGGAATCCTAGACATTTGGATTATGAAACTCTAGATTTCCTTTAAAGTCCTTGTTTTAGAGGGCTTCCTCTGATACCAAGCCAGAGGGAAAAGAATGGCACTATGTTGACACTATCAGGCGAAGGTGGATGTCCAGATACTCCACTCAGCCTCCGCTGAGACTCAGAAAGGGGGAGGATTCCTCATGACTGCTGGGCAGAAGTGGGAATTCAGGCCCCTGCCAGGCCTCTGCTGGTACCACTCTGGCTGGTAGTGGGGTGGATGGTGGTAGGGAGGTGAGGGGTGTGGGGGAGTTGGACTCCCTGCTGACCATCGAGGATGAAATTCTCAAGGTCCTACTTTACCTTTTCTGATGCCACCCAGGCAAGGGGGTTGGGCACCTCCTTACATCTTGGTGAGGGTGAAAGTCAAAGCTTCCTGCACAGCCCTGGCTGATAAGATGGAATGGGCTACTGTTTTTACAATGGTGTTTGGTAGTTGATGTCTGAAAATTTTTTTTTCTTGCTAGGCTGCCCTTTCCTGGTCCTCTGGCTGTAAGCAATCTTGTCTTGGGACTCTTTTCACTTGCATTCATTGACACTTCCAGGTTGCCAACTCCTCAAGAGGCCAGTCCTGGGATAGATGAGACCAAAAGAAAACCCAGGAATCCCACTGTCATGTCATACTCTGAGTCCTGAGGCCTCCAACAAGTTGCCTTCTTTTCTCCACCTTTCAATGTCTTCTCCTGCTTATATTATACATAATATCCAAAGTTTTTAGCTTTACTTATCCAAAAGAATGGGAAAAAATATCCATCCATTACATTTCAAAAGATGTTTATAAGACGATGTTGGAGCACAGAAAAAGAAAGTTATAATATTAAGGGAAGAAAAATGATATAAAATGTTCTGCATACTACATGCAAAATCGCATCTCTACTAAAAATACAAATAATTAGCTGGGCATGGTGGTGCACGTCTGTAATCCTAGCTACTCGGGAGGCTAAGAGATGAGAATTGCTTGAACCTGGGAGGTAGAGGTTGCAGTGAGCCAAGATAATGCCACTGCACTCCAGCCTGGGCGACAGACACGTGGTCTAAAAAAAAAAAAAAAAAAAAAAAAAATCTGCAAACTGTGGTTACTACTATGCATGTATTTTTTAAATCACAGATATGCAAGAAAAAACACTGAAAGAAAATATGACAGATGTTAATATGCACTGAGTTAGTGAAGCAGAAAGAGGGATAAAGCAATTCTCTTCTATTTCAGTGTTCTATATGATAGCAAGATTACATTAAACATATAAATTAGATTAACAAAAAGTATTCAGCCACTCAGACAAGAAAAGCTCTTAAAAATGAGACCTGCAAAGAGATCCATTTCAGGATGGCTATGCTGCTCATTCATAAAACTACATCGTAAACTTCACAGTTTATGAAGTATATAAAGGACAGGCATTGGGGTTGCTTTGTTGAACAAATCTAGCAGATATTTGAATGAGAAGAGTAATATAGTCAGTAGAAAAAAAGTGCAAGAAATAAGTAGAGAAAGAAGGGATATTTTCTGCTGAAGCATGTATTCTCTGGCACAAGCCCACAATAAATTGAAATTGACACCAACAGTTGGCTCAAAAATAATCAACTACAAATATGCTCAACACATAAGCATTCTCTTGGACAGAACCACAAAGCATGGTCTGCATTGTTCCTAACAACTCTTTAGAAGTCACCAGATGCAGTTTAAGCTACAATAACATAGTGAGGTACAAGTTAATTACATAGTTACCAGAAAGTCACAGACTTTTTTTTCAGTAATAATGTAGTAAATAAATACATGCTCACTCCATGGGAAATGGTGGCAATTATTAAGAGCACACATTCACACCATCATATTGCTTACTGATAACTGTGCAGTTAACCAATGGCAGTGTGCTAAAATGGATATCTGTGTTTCCCTGAGTTTTGCATGCTACATGCGATGCATGTGAAAACCAAGCATAGGGAATTTCAAGTATGAACTTCAGCGTGTGAGTGTTGTTTGTGGTCCAATCTCCGTCCCCAAACATCCCCAGAATAAGGCTTCTGCTTTTTAACAATGTATATCTATTTTAACCAATTGTCTAGCGTATAATTAATGCTCTATAAACTCTTTGTTAAATGCATTCACAGAAGGTAACAAAAGATTTTTGTGACACGAGTAAACCAAAAGGAACAAATAAACTTGAATTACTTTATGTTTGTGTTGGTGTTTCAGAAAAGAGCTTTGGCTTTGAATTCAGAAGTTCCTAATCTGAATACCAGGTCTACCAATTATTAATTAAGGAATATCAAATGAATTACTTGCAGTATTTGAATTTCAGATTTCTCAATTATAACAAGGATGTAAAGAGGTTTATTATGTGGCTCAAATAAGAAAATGCATGTAAAAACACTTGTAAACCAAACAAGTACTATACACACAGGAAACAATGTTATTATGGGGCTACTATTTAAACAGTAGCAAATTCAGGCCTATCTTCAAAGAATTATACGTTATCTAAGGACCTCTCACTGATAGTAAGAAAGAGGTGGTAAGAGAGTCAGCACAATTATTATTCATAAGGGCAAGGGAATGGCCTAAGAGGAATCCATAATGAGTGATCTGCAGTGTAAATAATCCGCAAATTTTGGACACAAAGGCTCAAATCTAGAACCAAATCTATGGCAGGAAGTTTCTAAAAATATAAACGCTGTGGGATTTTTGTGAAGTTACGTACCCCTATGACATATAAATGAGCTCAAATAATTTATTTTTCTCATTTCAATTGACTCATATGGCATGAATAACGCACTCTCCAGTAATAAGGATAGAGGAAGGATAAACAACTGTGGAAATTTATTGCCTCCAAGCCAAAACTGTGCATCTCTCCAAAGCTCTGCTTTGTACTATCAGAAATAACTCTGGTTCTTAGGTTAATGGCGTTCAGGAAAAACACATCACATGTAGAACAGCTTTTACAAGCTAGAAAAGAAGTCAACAACTAGATTTTTCTTATTTATTACAATTCATCAATAGAATAAAACCTTTCTATTCAATATGAATGGATTCAAAGTTGGTTGTTTAATTGGAAAATTTGTTGCAATGGGTTAACATCTATTTAGCTGAAATATATGTAAATGTTTATGTCATCACAAATCTTTTCTTTTAAGGCTCAGATCTTCTCTTTGATGATAGGTTTGGTCATTGACATTCAAATCATGTTACTTCTGTAAGCCATAACTCCTGGTTTTTCACTGGAGGGGAGTGATAACTTAAAACACTTGGAAAGAAATCTGACTAAGACCCTAGTAGATTCCTATGAGGTTTTCCTCGAACTTTTACAGTTGTCTTCCTCACACCTAATTCAACATTAATTTTGTTAGTAAGTTGTCTTTATCAAGACTGTGCGGAGCATTTATCTTATACTTCATCGTCTCTCCTTTTGCACTCATATTTCATCAGTTTGTATAATAATTAAGTGCTATAACTACAAGATATAGTACAGCTGAGACAAACAAATGTATGTACAAATAAAACCAAAATACAGAATAAGTCCTGGGTCCCTACTTTTCCTTTTCTGACAAACACAGACATTCAGAAAAAGAAGAGAGCATTTCTTAAACCAAGGTAAACTGAAGCGAATTTTTAAAGTTCTTTCCATTTCCACTACCCTCTGCAAAAATGTTTGCTATATGCTTATTGTCACCATCAAAGATGAAGTCACTCTCTCTCTCCCCTGAAAAATACAGAATTTTATTTTGTTTACCTGAAAGCTGTGTGATATGACTTTTAATTGAAAGTATTTATTGTCTATAATAAGATATGTGTTACATTGGTAGCTGGTCTTTTTGTAAGTAAACTTTTCTTATTTTAAAACAGCTTCATATTTGCAGAAAAATCTCAACAACAGTACAGAATACTCATATACCCCCCATCAGGTTTCCCTTATAGTTAACAGTTGCTGGCTTTTTGCTGTAACTGTAAAGCATTTAATCTGGAACAAAATAATCTCCCATTTTATAGAAGTCATCAAAATGTACATTCTTTCTTTTGTAAAGTTATTATGCCATTTCTGTTCCTCACTGCTAATCCAAAACTACAGCTACCAAAGGCATGTACACTTTTATTGTGTTGACCACCCAGGAACCCTTCCTTCAAATGGCACACAAGCACCTAATTTCCAGTTTGGGGAACAACTCCACCCCAACTCACAGTTTTTGGCATTCAGGTGGGGTGATTCCAGGGGTAGACATGGGGCTCAGGCCTGGCCAATCAGAGCACCCCTCACTCCAGCCACAGTAATCAACGAGTGGCTGGGGGAGATTGTTGCCACCTTGTGGGAGCAGCCTTGGATTATCTCAGTTTACACCTATTGTCCTGAGAGGATCATTAATGGATTTTCCTTTCACCTTCAAAAGCCAAAAATGATACAGTCCCTCCAGTGAAAGTCCTGAGCTATTCTATGCATGACTTTAGCTGCCTCCATAATTATATGAACCAATAAATACCATAGAAGAAAGGGGAGAATATTGGCTTAAAGTCATTTGACAAGCAAAGAGTGTCACTTGCCCTGTTCCTCATCACAAGTTCATGGTTGCAATCACCAAATCTTTCTATTTGGCCACTTAAAGTTCATACACGCATAATCTGCACTGGCAATACTGGAACATTTCCTTAGAAGAAGCACATGCAAAGACCTGGAAGCAAGAGAGGGGAGAATATGTTTCCAAAATGAAAGGGAGATCAAGAAGGAGAGAGATCAAGTGCAGAGGGAGGTGAGTGTGGGAGGGAAGATATCAGGCAGGGAGGGTAAGCAGGGGGCCATGTTGCGCAGGCTGCGTAGAAGCTTGTGTGTTATTCTAAGGACAATAAGGAACCAGGAAAGGATTCAAGACAGAAGGAGGGTCAAGACCATATGCTCATTTTGGAACAGTCTCTCTGAATGCTTAGAGAGAGTGAAAGGCAGATCTGAAGACAGGAAGCTGCCTCAGGAAGCAATGATCTTGAGTTGGGGCTATGATAGTGGCAAGGGTAAGAAATGTATGTATTAAAGATATAGCCAGGCAATTCTCTCGGGTCAAATTTGGAGTCTCATTAACGGAAATTCCTGTCTAACCCTGGTCTCCTTTCCCTTTGCAGACCAAACCATTAGGGCCCAGAATACAGCCCTGCACAAATAAATACTTGTTCAATTAATGAGTCTCAATATATTTGTTCAATTAATGAGTCTCAATAGTTTGATAGTTGAATACAATTAGAGATGCAAGCCACCTCCAAATTCTCTAGCAAAGAAATTTTGTCTTGGTTCCTAGGTTTTACGCATTCATGGGGGAAGTAATCATGCATTATCTACCTCAATATGGCAGCCTCAATTGCTTGAGCAAAAGCTGAAGTCAAACCTCTAAGATTTTCAAATACTTTGTTAAGTGTAACTATTCATATTCTTTTGCCCTTTAAACAGTAGAGAATCAGTAAAGTATTTTCTTGGTTCCGTTGATATTAGATAGAACTATTGACTTTCCTCCTCTTTTATGGCACCATAAAACATGTTGTACTGAAATAAAGGTTTACTTTGCAACTGAGAATTCATAGGCAAGGCTTCCTGCTGACTCCACAGAACCCAGGACAAGGGTGTCACTGTTTTTGTTGATGGAGGTATTCTTAGAACCAATTAACTACTCTTTCCAGAGGAACCTTTGGATCATAATTAGCTTTATGTGTGTGTGCACGCACACATGTTCTGGAGAAAAGAGAGAAAGTGTACTACATATAAATGAGTAATTAGGTTTCCGCTAAATTAAAAATTTTCCCAAGTCATGGTCTGCACTTAGATGATCTGTTTCTATTCTGCTAATTTCTGCTCAGAGCAATCACTGCCCATGAAACCATCACGTTTTCTTATTCCACAGAGGTCATAGAAGTTCTTTTCTTCTAATGGAGAGAGAAACCCTTGCCTATTTTCCCCTGTGCCTGCAAAGGTCAGAGAGATGATGAAGTAATGCTCCAAAAAGATGTTTAGCCAAAGGAACTTTAGCTCAAGGCTTTGACTTTTACCCCTTAGACTAAAAGGCCACAATTTTGAGTTTCAGTGTCATGAGATCATGAAAGAGGAAGGGACCTCTGTGTTCAGCTAGGCAGAGAGGTAACAAGAAAAAGAGATGTGCTCTAGAATTAGGCTTGAGTTCTGTCGGGGGCACCTCCTGGCTGTGAGGCCTTGGGAAAGATGCTCTGTCTCATTTGAGCCTCATTTTCCACATCTGTAAATTGGGGGCAGCAAATACTGAGGGTGACATCATCTTCACTGCATTGTAGTGAGGGTCACATGAGATAGTGGCAAGAAAATGCACCTGTGAACTGTAAATAACTAAAGGAATGCATATTGTTTTTTGCTATCTAGTTTGCCCCTTTTTCCAAAATGGAAACAGAGGTGCAGGACTTACCCAGAGCAGCAGCCTGGTGACCATCTAGAGTCCCAGCTCCCAATTCAGAGCACCTTCACCTCTGCACATGACCTTCCAGTTATTGACACTCCTCCAGCAGGGCTATGTTTACCTAATGTGTCAAACTCAATCCTGAGGACAGCCACTCTGACCAGTAGTACAGCAGTTAACATTTAGATGGGAAATCTTAGTGTGTTTGGACTTATCATATCTTAGTTTAAACCAAATAATTCAACCAAAGCATAAGAGTATTCCTTTTTCTGAGCCATCTCATTCTCAGAATCACAATTATTGATGTCACCCAAAGTGAACACCTAGCTCTAATTTATCTGAGGCCTTCCCTTTTTGAACACGGAAAGTTCCTCATGCCAGGAACTTCCTCAGTCCCAAGAAAACTGAGGCAGTCATCCATCCCAAATGTCCATATTTCTCTGAATGTCTACAATATGCCAGGCACTGTTCTGAGCTCTTTATTTACAATGTTCTACTTATTCATTTGGAAATATAGATGAGGTAGGGTTATTTCCAGTTTATGAGGTGAGGAAACTCAGTTCCGAGTGATCCAATAACTTGCCCAAGTCACACAGCCAATGTGCATTGGAGCCAGGACCCATGGCATTGTGAATCCAGAACTGTGTCATGTAACACTGACTCCCCGAATGCCCTGAACATTCTCAGGAATTGTGGGTGGGTGGTGTAAACTGCTTCACACCAGCTTATTTTATAGTCTACCTGCCAGTTGTAATGGTTCTGCATTGATTGGAAAGTGGTTCTAGTATTCAAACTTGGGAGTGTGATAGTGAAAAGACCACTAAGAAAATGCATATAAAGCCCTCAATTCAAGTTCCTACCACATTGTTTCTTGACTTTACATCTTGAAGTCTTTTTTTCCTTATCATATGAAATGAAAATAATAAAACCTACATCAAAGTAATACCTTGAGACTCAAAGTGTTTAGAAAACATTTTGTAAGCTGAGAAACCCAATATATTAGCAAAGTGGGGCTTAATTTATTTACATTAGGTTAATTATGTTATTGAGGATTTATATGGTGTCACTGTACAAGCTTAATGGCTCTGTTAGCCTCTAATTTTTTTGGTTTATTTCCCAAAATTTACTTTCACAACCAGTATCTTCCAGACACCGTATAGCAGACATCTGTGGTTGCCTGCACAGCAGGAATTCTTCCATTTCTCTTAATGAGATCCTGATTTCCACGTGGGAACATCATCCTGTCCCCATCCTTATTCTCAAACATGAGCTTTAGCCAATCAGCACATGAAACAATCAGTGTCAGTGAGACATTTGTGAGAACTTCTGCGAAACACAAGTTCTCGTCATCTTCCATGGGCAAATTTATCTTCCCCACTGGATGTGAACAATAATAGTTAAAGCCACTAAAGCTATCAACAGTAGACTTAAAAAGAGTTTTGAGTGAGGGAGAGAAGACGAATCCTCACTTCATGAAAGCAGAATTAAAACCAGAAAGAGAAATGGATTTTTTTTATATCAATTTAGCCTTAAATCAAGTCACATACAAATTCCAGCTCTGCACTTTCAAGACTGAGTGAGCTTGGGTGTGGCCATTAACTTCTCTGAGCTTTTGTTTCCTCATCTGTAAAATAGGGATCAATCACTTACTCCTTATAGTGCCGTGGTGAGTGTTGAACTGGATAACAATTGTCAAGTTGCCTACCACAAGGCCTGGCAAATAAGTGCTCAGTGAGTGAGGGCTTTCCCTCGCTGCCCTGCCCCTAGTGGGGAAGACTGGGCAGTGACTATATAAAAAATGATTTGAAAATAAGATTCTTGTTTGGAGTTTAATAAGACTCCAAGAACTTTGCTCATGTTACTGTGTGTGATACAATAAAGGGAAAGGAGGCTAAATTATTTCTTATTGTCTCATTTTCATATCTGTTTACATAATTCAATTTGCATTTTAATTTGCACATTAATTCACTTTCCAAGATGAACCCTGGACCAAATCCTGATGCAGTATTTTTTGTGTGTGTGCCTGTGTATGGGATATAAGGTATGGCTTTGGGAAGAGGACAACCATGACCCTGATAAACAACTGGCTAGAAGACACAATTCCTCCAGTTCCAGCCATCCTTAACCTCCTCATTCCCAGTCTCTTTGACCATATACTAAAGCTGTGCTCACTCAGTCTAGGATTGTCCCATATTAACATAAATCTGAAAGAGAGAACAATCTTTATTATTAGAGGAGAGTAGGTCTTCTCTGGCTGTTCAGCTGTATCTTGGAAACCCAAAGATGCAGCTGGCCACTCTTCAACAACAGCAGCAGATAAGGAAGTAACATGTCTGCTCCATCTGAACACCATCCAAAAGGAAATCCTCTCCAAGCCTACAGGAAACTCCAAGACTACACCTGGCAAGAGAACACAGGGAATAAGAAGCGGCTAGGTTTAAAGGCAGGAGCATAGAAATCAAGAATTTTCAGCCACCTCTGCTTCAACTATGTATTTCCCACTCTGGGAACCAGGGTTCCCACCTGTAAAATGGGCAGTCAGAAATAATGAAGAGTAAGAAACAATCTCAACATCAGGTCAGCTACATCCAGCACAATCCTGGAGTGTGAGCACATCCTAGGGTATGTGAGCACATACCCTAGACCTATAGGATAATGGATGGAGTGAACCCTGCAGGAGTACAATAAGTACGCCAGTGCTCCTTCAAAAACTTCCTTCCATTTCACAGGATTCTTTTCTTCCCAGCAAAATCCTTATCATCTCTGAGGCCCAGCTCAAATGCTGTCTCTTCTGTGATGTTTTTGCAACACTCATTGCCCAAGTAATCCCAGTTATTAAAGCTCTTAACCCCACAATGCCCTGTCCACAGACTCTGAAAGATGCTGATGCATTGTTGTGTCCCATGTCTGTTTCCCCAGCAGGTTGTGAGTTCTCAGTTGAATTCAGTTTCTTGTTGCAGAGTCTTTATCAAACCACAGAAGAATCAAAGTTGAACAACATGGAGTATCTACACCGGAGCAGCCCACAGTTCAGGGATGGACACAGAACAAGAGAGATTCATTACAGACATAAAGCACAGAGATGTTGGGGTTTTCTCTGTTGGGAAGAATAAGAGGTCCAGAAAAGCTTCCCAAAGTGATGGCACCTCAAGGGTCAGGACCTCACCTTATTAATCTCCATGACCCAGCATCTACTACAGCATCTGTCACAACTGGGCTCTGAGAATGTTGGCTAAATAAATGAATGAATGATATCAATACACAGGGTTTTTCCCCATTTTCTGAATATTCTGGACTAGGGGATATCTCAGAACAGTACTTAGCACCTAGTGTGTGCTCAATAAATTCTTGTTAAACCACTAAAAATTGCTGGACAGCTGAACTGAAAATTACTCACAGCCCCATTCAACTGCATCAGCCATGAAAATCAACTCAGAATTTGCAAATCTATGCTGGCATTTAGCACTTAAGATGTAAATACAGAGTGTCAGCCATGTGGCTAAGATCAGCTTTAATTCAGTGTTCATCTCTGAAATTCATTAATGATTAAATACTTTTTTCCTTTGCTCTCTATGGGAGTTGAAACAAGTATCATGTATCCAAAGACCAGGGTTCAGTTTGGCCCAACATTAATTCACTTAATGTTTCAACAAAAATTTATTGACCATCTACTAAGTGCTGAGTGCTAGAATCCATTGACTACCTACTAATGAAGTGCTAGATTTTAACACAGGGACATCTGTGGTAAAACAGTAAATTCTCTAACCTCATCTAGAGGGGTTGAAGGTTCTGCCTTTGCCTACCTTCTATAGTCAGAGACTACTGGTATTTCAATCCATAAGTATTAACTGAAAGTCACTCTAGTTCTCTGCACATGTGAAGCAGAGCATATTATTATTTTGTCCTTGTTGCTCTATCTAAATGTCATTCCCTCTTCTCCATCCCATCACTTATTTTGTCCTTGGAATTCCTTCTGGATTTCCTCAAGATTATATAGAAGCTCCATGAAGGCAGGACACTGTCTGACTCATTGGCTCCTGAGTCCCTTGAACGTAGTGCTGAGCTTGGCATATAGCAAGGGCTCAATAAATGTTTATTGAATGAATATATGACATGATGAATGATTAGATGAAAACGTCTCCTTTTCCAGGAAGTTTTCCCTGTTTCTAAAAAGGAGTTAAGGGCCTCTGCTGAGGGCTCCCCAAGTCTCTCCTCTGGGTCCAGCAGAGCACATTCTCCTTCTCCATTTTCTCCTGTCTCCACTGCTCAATGGAGAGTTCCTCTAAGGCACAGGCCATGAGTGTTTCATCTCTAATTTCCTGACTCTAGCAGAGGGATGTTCACAAAGGATGTGCTCAGATAATAAATATTGATTAAACTCAACAGACCTAAACGAAGGGAATCTCTAAACTCCTGGGTAACTCACTGCAGATTGGCCCTTGATCGGTTTCTAGGGATCCACTCTATCCCCTGAAAACTCCGGTGGTACTGAAGAGCCTCTTAAAGTTAAAAAGCATCAGTGGGATGGAGGTGGGATTTATGTTGATCATCAGAGGCCAAAAGTCCAGTCACAGCTGTGGGAATGAGGAAAAGAGTGAATACTATTCGTATTTCTTACCATTAAAACTAAAAATCATATTCTGATACTGTACACGGAAGAATCAAGTGCATTCTCCAGCAGGCAATTGACACTGGCCTGCTTATTGGAATTGTGAAAGAATAAGCAACCACAAAGGCAAGAATACACAAGTACTGTTCTGCTTATCCCAGAGAGGTGATTCATGGGCTCTTCCTGCCATCTGGTTTCCTGGCAGGAATGGTAGAGGCAAATCTGAGGTGGGACCACTTGCTGCTTAGGATAGCAATGTGGTAAGAAGCATCACCAACCTGCCATCATCACCAATCAGACAACTTGGGGCTCTCCCCTCTTGATAGCGCTGCCCTCAGGCTGCTCTGTCCTGACGGTAATTTTGGTCATGGGGAAAAGGCGCCAATTTTACCCTTACTTTCTCCCCCATAATGGTACCTGATGGCCCTCATAATTGTAAAAGCACACAATCATAGCAGCTATTAACTTGCTGACACATCCTTGAGTTACTCTTCTAAAATATATCCCTAAGTGGATTGCAGAAGTCTCTGGGTGACCGTAGGATCAGACCATCCAATGCAAGACATCACCAGTCCATTGCTGTCACTGAAACCTGGCTTTGTTGGGATGGCATTGGTCTGCAGCAACCTTCCCGGCACTGGTTCCTCAGCCCACTGGAGCCAAGGATTTCTGGTGGGAACATCTGGTAAACCATAGGATCTTTCTGTTCTCCACATTACCCAGACATGCATGCATTAGGGGAGAAAACATAAACATTTATACTCTCAATCTGCTCCACCCCTCAAAAACGGTATAATGCCTAAAACAGGTCTGGTTTCTATCGGGGATAGTTGGGCCATCTCTCTGTATTCCACTTCCCTCATATATTAAAGTAAGAATACATACTTCCATTTAAAGTTAAAAAGAAGAAGGATCAGCTTCTTTTGAGTATGTAAAGTCTCAGTGGCATCAACCAATAAGTGGAGACTGTTAAACTCTCCAGTGGTGGAATAATGCGGACAACCTTGTGAGTTTACATGTTTGTGCATGCTTATCATGCGCTAGAGAGTGTGCTAAGCACTTTACAAGTCTTATTGCTTCTAATTTTCATAACAAACCTAGGAGACACATATTATTACCATCTCCATTTTAGAGGTGAGGACACAGGCTCAGAGATAAAGTGATATGGCCCAAATCCCTATGGCTAGTTAAATAGTGGTGCCTGGGTTTGAATCCAAGTGGCCTAAGTTCAAAGTCCAGGCTCTTAACCAATACTCTGGGTTAGGGTAAGAAGAAAATTGGATAATGTATGAATCAGAGATATTCCAGATTAAAGGAAGCTTGAGGAGCTCCTCCCCAATGTTTTGATGTTGCAGGTGGGGAAGTTTTTGAAATTGGAAGCTGCTTAAGGCTTAAATTGTTATGAGCCAACACTTGGCAAGAACGAGTTGCCCAAGTTCTTTGCAATTCTGATGGCTAGGCCCATATACTCTAGCAGAACATTTTGTACATGATTGTTGCTCAAGTAATATTATTTGAAGAAAGAATGACAGTTTGACTCAAAATGAGAAGATCTTGACTCATACTTCACCATCAAAACTGATTCCTTTTCTGTGGCCATTTCTTTATCTGTAAAAAGGGCATAGTGCTTTCTGCTTAACTTTAAGACACCAAGATAAAAGGTTACATAAACCCACTGAGGCATATTCCTACAATGCACATTTATACATCCTTAGTGGCATTCTGATGGCTGATAAAAGTAAGACTTACTGAAAATAAAAACAAGAAAGAAAGAATAAATCAAAATAAATTTTCATATTTTTGCCAGACTGAAAACTCCCTTAGAATAAGGATGGTGTTTGGATTGGTCGCCACTGTATCTGTAATGCCAAGTAGTTATCACTGTTTGTATACATTTGGAGAATAAAGGAATGCATCACCAAGAATGTTTAATACAATGCAAAAGGAATTTTGAGAAAAAGGTAGGTGGGAAAATGTAGGATACAAATTTGCACATATGGTATAAACCCAGCTCCATAAAAAAGCAAGAAATACGTAGGAGAGAAAAAGAATTTAAGCCCAGAAGGAAATACACAAAACACAGAGTGGTTTGCCTCTGGATAATAGAGTAATGAGGAAATCATTTTTCTGCCCCATTCAGTTTCTTCTGAATTCTTTAAATTTTCCATAATGATCAGTTGTTAATGGATAATCAGGAAAAAATGAAAAATAAAACTATTCACAGAGTCCAGCTTAGAAACCCAAGTCCTAGCATAAGGAGGTCACTGAGTCTGAGCAGCTTGGGTGTGGGGATCTCGGCTGTGAGCTACCCCACTGGACACCATTAGAGCAGACGTTTAGCCCTGAGTCATATTCCAAAGCCATATTATACACTTGAACTTGCCTTCCCCAACCCTACAGCTGCACAGCAGACATGCTCAAAGTCCCATATGCTTCTTTAGTGCAGATTATTCAAGAAACACAGGCTGGGGGAAATGGCATTGTCAGGAATATTGCAAGACAGGCAAGACTTGCAGGTGCACAGCAGCAGAAACCCACAGCCATGGTTATTCAAGTGAAGCTGGAATCTAAAGGGATGAACAGACCTAGAAGCTCCTTGTGCGGTCACTTTGTCTGTGTCTCCATAGCCAGCCTTCTCAATTAGTTGCGACTTATAAATAAGCATGTTTCTGAAATCTCCAACACATTTCCTATGGGACCAAAGAAGATAAAGAGATGGGGCCGAGTGTGGATGAGTGGAGAATACAGATATGCTCAGGCCGGGCATTTCATATGGCTTGCAGAGATTTTACTGAGTGATGGAAGGTTGCAGGCCCCATCAGTCCATCAGGGGATGTTCATTTTGAAGTGAAGATCTGGACCCTTCTGCTCCACGTGGCCCGCTCTGGTTTATGGCTCTGTCTCTGGTTGTCTATTAACGTGAGTTAGTGCCAGTACTTTATAGTCTAAACCTTTGCAACAGAAAACAGCCATTCTTTGAGCTCAGCGAGCCCAGCAAGAGCAACAATGTATGGAACGAGGAGCGTCATTTCTCTGGACACTTACTTTCTGCCCCTTGCCCTAATGTACAACTACAGTCTTCTAAGCACAATACTTCTTTTTAGCAAGGCTTTAAAATACAGTTCTGCCTCTCTCTATTTCTATTCTCACTACTCCTGTTCAAGGGCCTAGTCTCCCTCACCTCTCTCCTGCACTGCTGGCTTCTACCCTTGCCCCCTCTCTTCCATTCTCCACTGGTAGCCAGAGTGAGCTTACAGAAACAGAATTGAGATCACACATCACTCCCCTGCTTAAAATAACTTAGAACTCTCCACATTGGTATGCAAAGGGCTGTTGGACTTGAGCTTCCTTCCTGACACCCCCTTGAGCTACTTGTCTCCTTTTCTATGTTCTAGCCATGCTGTTTGCAAACCTACCTAGCTTGTTCCTACCTTGGGACCCTGGCACTGACAACTCTGTCTACCAAAAAGGCTCCCCACCTGAGTGTAAATTAGTTCAACCATTGTGGAAGACAGTGTGGCAACTCCTCAAGGATCTAGAACCAGAAATACCATTTGACCCAGCAATCCCATTACGGGGTATATACCCAAACGATTATAAATCATTCTACTATAAAGACACATGCACACGTATGAAACTTGCAGCACTGTTCACTATAACAAAGACTTGGAACCAGCCCAAGTGCCCATCCATGATAGACTGGATAAAGAAAATGTGACACATATACATCATGGAATACTATGCAGCCATAAAAAAGGATGAGTTCATGTCCTTTTCAGGGACATGGATGAAGCTGGAAACCATCATTCTCAGCAAACCAACACAGGAACAGAAAATCAAACACCGCATGTTCTCATTCATAAGTGGGAGCTGAGCAATGAGAACACTGGACACAGGGAGGGGAATATCACACACCAGGGCCTGTTGGGGGTGGGGGGTTAGGGAAGGGATAGCATTAGGAGAAATACCTAATGTAGATGACGGGTTGATGGGTGCAGCAAACCACCATGTCACACGTATACCTATGTAACAAACCTACACACTCTGCACATGTATACCAGAATTTAAAGTATAATAAATTTTTTTTAAAAAAGGCTCCCCATTCTCACTTACAATCTTCTTTTAGTTTGTTCTTGATAAGCTTTCAGCTCTTGACCACAAATAGGCTCTCCAGGGTCCATCTAGTTCAATTCTCTGTTTAAGATTTATTCCTAAGAAGGAGGAAGGGAGTGGGGAAAGGGCTGAAAAACTATCTACTGGTTACTATGGTTAGTAACTTGGTGACAGGGTCAATCATACCCAAAACCTCAGCATCACACAATATACCAATATAACAAACTTGCACATATACGCCCAAACTCAAAATAAAAATTTAAATTTAAATTTTAAAAAATATTTCTTAAGATATTTATTCCTAACTTTGAAGTATATTGTTCTTTACAGTCTGTTTCCCTCTATAAGAAAGCAAAACCCATAAGAGACTAAGGATCTTGACAATTTAAAGCTGTATCCCCAGTACCTAGGACGTTGGCAATATCAATTCGTATGTTTTTAATGCATTCCTGAATGAACGAATAAAACAAATTCAAGCCTAAATGGAACCCAAAATCACAGAAATGCTGTTCTTCAGTACATTACTAAGTGCAGTGCCTCCTTGACCCGTCTACCCTAAATCATCAAAGGAAAAAGAAAACCTTCAAGAAGTGATTCCGAATCCTAGTTTCACCATTTACTCCATGATTCTAGACAAGTCTTAAATTCTCTGCACCTCAGTTTTCTCTTCTAAAATAGAAGATGTAAGAGAAATAAAAACAGCTGTACCTAGAGTTGTGATGCCTATTCAATGAGTGAGTATATGTTGGGCACTTTGAACTGTATCTGGCACATGCATTACCATGAGGATATTCTCCCCATGTTGACAGCATTGTGTAATAAAAAAGCTCTTAGCTCTGCCGCTGGAAATAGGCAGGAGGGGGCCCAGCAGGGAGCAAGTCTGAAAGCAGGGAGACCCTGTAAGGAGATTGATCCCCCCACAGCTGACTGGTAATGAGGCTGGGCCAGGGGAGAGGCAGTGCAAGCAGAGATGAGCTGATAAATTAACAGAGCAATGCAGAAGTAGAATTAATAGGATTTGTCTATTGTTGGAGCCATTGGAGGGAGGAGTCAAGAGCAGGAAGCTGAGGATGCAGACCTGGCCACCCGCGATAGAGATGAGCAGCTGTCTACTCACATCCACTCATAAGCCAACCCAGGAGATGCTCAGGGCACAAATCACATACAACCTGGAACCTGCCTTGAGGACGTGGGTGCAAAGAGGGGAACCAGCAGAGACAAAAAAAATAAGTGATGAGGGTCACCCTGGGGGTACGAACAGAGGACAATGTGGTCACAGAATGGGATACGATTTCTTCAAGTATAGGAGATTTGGATAGGCATCACAGAAAAAGTGACAGCCCGCAACTTTTTTATTGCACTCCTTACAGCATACCCGAAAGCATTGGTGAGGACACAAAAACTACAGATAAGAATCAGATTCTAAAAAGACAATTCTCTTTTCCATTCCTGTCCTCTCCCCTGCAACTTCCCAATCCCTCACCTCTAATTAACCCGCCCACCCCTTCACTAGCTTCTGATTTCAGGCAACGTCCAGTACTTGTTCCACCTTTCTCTCTGACCAGCCATCAAGAAGATCTTGTATGTTTCTCCTACACACCCCTGCCCCTGGACCCAGGAATTCTTCCATTTTTCCATATTTGGGCTATATTAAGTAATAAGCCCACATGCTTTCTGTTGAGAAAATACAAAAAGATGTTTCCCTCTGTCATAAAGAAAAAGAGGTAACCCAGGGAACATTTTGTCCCTCTAGTTATCTTCCCACAGGCCCATCAAGAATCAGGCAGTAGGTGAAAAAGAAACACAGAGAACCTAGGAACACAATAGGAAGACCACCATGGGCCCTTAGGGAGTCAGCGAAGGCTTATGATGCAAAAAGAAGGTCCCAGGTACCTTAAAAACTCCACTTCCCTCTCTAGGATCCCCAAGAGAGCTTGACAGCGTCCCTCTATGCAGATGTTCATAAATCAGGCATATGTAACTCTGCGGTTTCCTGCACATAATTGATCACAGTTGAGCTGCTCAGACATTAAATCCAAAGGACATCAGAGAAGGACGAGTTCAGTAAAGAACACTGAGAAAGAAGTGGACCCTGAGCATAGATCTTGGCATACATGCGTGGGAAATGGCCTCTCAAGGGGTCATTATCCATTCAATTACACACACGTTAATTTGGAAAGAGAAAGTTCCTGCCTTGAGTAAATTGCTGTCTGTTAGGGAAAGTGAAAATCCACTAGGGGTAACAAATAACAAATTTAAATGCCTTCTGGGTCCAGCAGATACCATCAATACCTATCATGACCAAGGAGGTGGGTGGCTTGTGAAAAACCAGAGAGTCCAGGGCCACCTGAAACACCCTCAATTTCAGAAACATTTTACATTTCATGACTAGCAGATAAATACCCCTGGGGTAGTGAATTTTCAAAATCTCACACAGGTCTCCTTAGAGCAGAGTTTCTCATCTCCAGCAATATTGACATTTGGAGTCAGATAATTATTTTTGGGTTGGGGGGTGGGCACTGATATGTTCATTGTAGGATGTTTAGCAAGATCTCTGGACTCTGCACACTAGATACCAGTAGCACCCCCATAGTGGTGACAATTAACTGTGTCCCCAGACATTGCCAAATGTATCCTGGGGAGCAAAATCATCTCCTATTCTCACCTCCTGAGAAAGAAGTGCAGGATATCACAATAGCAGAGGGCAATGGAAGATGACAGTCCCATGCTAGAAGCTGCTTTACCAACACAGTCAGCTGCTATCTCCACAACAGGCGGGTGAGGAAGGATTCATGACCCTCAATGAAATGAACAAATGCAAGCAAAGCCAAGTTGCCATTGAATGTGGCAGTTATTGTTTATTTATTTTATTATTTATTTTATTTATTTATATTTTAATTTCTCTCTCTCTTTTTTCTTTTTTCTTTTTTTTT
Organism: Homo sapiens; assembly: GCF_000001405.40. Lineage (NCBI taxonomy): Eukaryota > Metazoa > Chordata > Mammalia > Primates > Hominidae > Homo > Homo sapiens. Next base: position 127,506,498 of record NC_000008.11, read on the forward strand.
TTTTTTTTTAGAGAGAGATTGGGTCTCACTGTGTTGCCCAGGCTGGTCTCAAATGTCTGGCTTCAAGCAATCCTCTCACCTTAGACTCCCAAAGTGCACTCCGCCCTGCCAGAGTTACTATTTGAATCCAGACATTCTGACTCTGAGGCTGCGTTTTAACCAGCCTGACATCACGCCTCAAGCAGGGGATTTTTCAAAGGACAGGATGATGGAGCTGAGGCTCAAGAGACAGTCAGCCTTGACCTCTGTGTGTGGAGCATCCCTCCAGCGATTACCCTGTCCATGGTGTAGAAGATGGGCTGGCGAGAGGCCACAGATGTCCGGAGGCTGCTGCAGTTGTATTGATGATAAATGACAAGGGTCTGCACTTTAAGCAGTGGGAGTAGGGATCTAGAAGATACTAAAACTATTTAGGCTGGGGGCAATGAATCACGCCTGTAATCCCAGCCCTTTGAGAGGCCAAGGCAGGCAGATAATTTGAGGCCAGGAGTTCGAAACCAGCCTGGCCCATATGGTGAAACCCCATCTCTACTAAAAATACAAAAATTAGCCGGGCGTGGTGGCAGGTACCTGTAATCCCAGATACTCAAAAGACTGAGGCGGGAGAATCTCTGGAACCTGGGAGGCGGAGGTTGCAGTGAGCCAAGACCAAGATCATGCCACCATGCTCCAGCTTAGGCAACAGAGTGAGACACTGTCTTTAAAAGAAAAAAAACAAAAATTAAAGACAAAATTGACAGGATTCATGATTGATTGAACTAGGGAGTTTTTAAAAATTCTAGAATATTCCACAATTAGTCATAATACTTAATATCAACTGGTTTCACAAACCAACTAACTATCACAGCAGCTTAACAATAAGTTTTATTTCTCACCCATGTTGGTCCAATTGCGTGTTTGGCCAGCAGTCTTCAAAGAAGTGACTCAGGGATTCAAAATCCCTGCATCTTGTGGCATCGGCCTACTCTAGGTCAGGGGTCATCAAACTACTGCCTGTGGACCAAATCCAGCACTGCTTGTGGGCCAAATCCAGCCACTGCCTGTCTTTGTAAACACATTTTTTATAGGGACACAGTCATGCTCATTTGTTTACGTATTATCTATGGGGGTTTCACATTACAACAGCAGAGTTGAATAATTGCAACAGATGCAGAGACTGTATCATCCATAAGGTCTACAACATTTACTATCTGGCCGTTTGCTGGAACAGTTTGCTGACCCTTGCCCTCAGCTCTCCTTGGAGTCTCTCACTGGATTTCATGTTTCTATTGGCCAATGAGAAAAAAGAGAAAGTAAGAGGGCTCACACGAGAGGTTTATCACCAGCTGGACCTGACGCATGCCCTTCCTGTGGCCACACACTGTTCACTGGTCAAGACTGAGACTCACGGCCCCACTCACTGCAGGAAAGCTGGGAAGCATGCAGGCAATAGTGGATAAGGCTGAGAACCCACAGTCTACGCCACACATCCATCCATGGCTCTGGAGGAACTTCCTTTTGCTGATTATCATCCTTTGGTTTCCTTAGAATGGAAAACTCACATATTCTTGCAAAGTGCTATAAACAACCATATCTCACTGAGATGCATTAATGACCAACATAAACTACTGATCCCTGAGTTTAAACAAATGTATTATGTTAGTTGATAATCTTAGAATAAACATGACCTCAATTAATAAATTTTCTCAGAGCTATATACTCTCTCTTAGTTCAAGTAAGCGTACAAATGGAAATTCAGTTTAACTGGATAATACAGAGTGTCTACTTTGTGCTCAGCACTGTGCCAAGCAGAAAGAAAAATAAAGACCTACCGGATACCTGCCAGGACCTCATCCTATGCGTGAAATACATAAATATAGAAATAACAAAAGAAGTATTATGTCTAAGTTCAAAAATATGAAGTTTTATCTTCTTATCAGCTCAGAGAAAGAATATATCATAAGGACTGGGATAGTTGAGAGTCACTTCCTGGAGTGGGGGAAAAAGCCATTATAATTTACAACAGTGTTCAATAAAAATTAAAAAGAGTGAAAGTTGATCAAATGTAAAAAACACTTTAAAACTTAGAAGTCATTCTCACTATGTGATCTTCTTTAATATTCATCAAAATTCTGTAATTTCCAGTGTCATCAGGACTAGCTCAGTTTCAGTGAATTCCAGCAAGGGATGTCAAGTCACCTGAGACCTGGAACACACAGCCTGCGAGGAGAGCAGCAGGCCTGAAACGAGGGCGGGATTTTTCTTTTTCTTTTTTATTTTCTCTCCTTACCCCCTCTTTCTGATTTTTACTCCAGGGCTCTTTCTACTACCACATTGTCATTAAAAATAAAATAATGTCATTTGACAGACTTAAACTGAGATAACCACAGAAAACTCCAGATCTGTTCCAAAGCAAACAGCAGCCAGGAAATCCTTTCCATGCACAGACAGTAACATTTCTCCTTAGCTCAAGGATGGTGCAGCCAAGGGTAAAGGAAATGAGGACACAGGTTGAATGCTGTCCCCGAAGAGTGCTCCTTCCAGGAGCTCAGGTCAAAGGCAGCTTTGAGATTAAAACACAGCTATCCTGATAGGGGAAGGAAGTAGCACTGTGAGGGTTGTCAATTTTATCAAGTTCAGTAAATGAACTAGACAAAGAACAATTGATCAAGAATATGCAGCCCTTTGTTGGCAGTTCTGAAGAATTCTGGCTTCTCTCTGGGTCATGCTCCCAGGTCCCCGTGGCCCATGCTGTTTGTCATCTACACTCACAGGCCGCTGGGACGGTAAGCTCCTGAATGACAAAGGATATCTGGGTGTGCCGCACATGTATGTACACAGTGTTCTGCCTACATATGCAGGAGGTCTCCATGTTGTGGTAGAGTAGACACCTGCTGTTATGGCCCACTTGAGCCAAGCATGTCCATAGGGTGAACTGTAGCAGTCACCATGACAAGTCTGGCAAGAGGACTTCCCTTTGATGAGGAAGTCACCATGGAAATGGGAGACAAAATGAAGTCATTTGCCTTGGCCCTTAGAAATAAAGTTCACATCCTTAGTGTGACATATCTGTGCCCTGTTCCCCATTCATTGGGGCAATCTTTCTGTGTCAACTCCTGCTTTTCAGTGTCCCACCAATATGAGACGCTCAGTACATTACTCACCATATACCTGGGCTTGCTTATAATTCCACTTCCTGCTTCCTGGTGTGCCACTCCCACTTTCTCCACCTGGAAAACCCCTATCCATGTGCCATACTTAGCTATTAATGTCAGTTCATATGTGACAATTTCTCCAAGGTGTTTTTTTAGTGTCAGGAAGCCACTCTTTTTGCTTTGCAATTGTAACTCTTTGTATGCATTATTAATATAGCACATGTTACATTCTGTTGACATACTCTATGTTCTTCTCTGTTTCTCCAACCAGTCTGGATAGTTGAATGGACAGGCATGATGTCTAACTCTTTTCTGTTTTCTCCAGTCACCTATCAGAGTGTCTGACATGTAGTAGACATTCAACAAGTGTTTGCTGGAGATGGTAAATCTCAGGGGAAAATCTGGTTGGAAGGAAACTGTGAGGAAGTGGAAGGAGGCAAGAATTGAAGCTTGAAGCATTCCGGCCCCACCACTCTGTGCCCTTGAAATCATGGACACTTCAGCAAGTATCTATTTCTTCATTTAGAAAGTGGGAGTATTTTGTCTACCTTACATATTAATAACAAAGTCAAGATTAGGCAATAAAAAGCTAGGAGGAAATAGTTGATTAATTGTGTCAACAGTGAATTAATAAGGACATGAAAGGAATTTGCAACATGTACTTTTAGCAACACTGATTCATTGCTACAGAGTGATAAGTCAAGAAGGAAAAAACAGAAGATGGTATCAACTGGTAGGCTAAGAGGAGGGTCTAACCTTTTGGCCAATTTGCTGAGCAATCAATTCGAATTTACATCCAAATGGTCATTTGGTCTCAGAATAATGAAGAACAGAGAAATAAGAAGGTAGAAACTCACTAAATGAAATCATGACTACTCTAACTCTCCTTATCCTTCCAGATGCTGTTTAATCACATCATTTGTTGGTGTTTGCATTTGTTTATTAGTATTTGTATTCACTGAGAGGCCCACACAGCTCACTCTCAGAGTCTGGCAGCTCCAAGGAGATCACTTCCACTGTAGGTAGATTTGCTCTTACCAGCATCATTGCCTTAGAAGGGGAGAGTGTTCCATCTGCCTTAGTCAACAGTAGTAATAGTAGTAGCAATGGTGGTGACAGAAATAGGTAGCAATGGTTGTGTTATGGAAATTCACATTTATTGAAATCTCATCAGTGACCATGTACTGGCCAATCATTTAACTACATCTCAGTTAATGTTCAAAACTCACCTGCAAGTGACTTACAATCTTTTATTCAACTAATATTTAATCACACCTTCTAGGCACTGGGGATATAGCACTGAACACACCAGATGAGATCTTCAGCCTCATGTCAATTATTGCTTGCTGGTGAGAGAAGAAAGACAACAGACAAAAAAAAAAAAAAAAAAGTAACCGCACTAGATAACGCATTTTCTTTTTCTTTATTTTTTTTTTAAATTATACTTTAAGTTCTAGGGTACATGTGCAAAATGTGCAAGTTTGTTATACTTTAAGTTCTAGGGAACATGTGCAAAATGTGCAGGTTTGTTTCATATGTATACATGTGCCACGTTGGTGTGCTGCACTCATTAACTTGTCATTTACATTAGGCATATCTCCTAATGCTATCCCTCCCCCTCCCCCCACCTCATGACAGGCCCCGGTGTGTGATATTCCCCTTCCTGTGTCCAAGTGTTCTCATTGTTCAATTCCCACCTATGAGTGAGAACATGATAACGCATTTTCTAACATGTGACAGAAAGTGACTGAAAGGTGAACTCTGTGTTAGGTAGGAGAAAACTTATTAGTCTCATTTTACCAATGAGGCATTAGAGGCTCAGAGAAATTAAGTAACTTCTCCAAGATCACATAGCTACCCACGGACAGAGCAAGTCTGTCTAAATAGGAAGCAATAAAATAGCATACACAGCAGAATATAGTCAAGAATTAGATGTATTATGCTTTAAGCCTTTGTTTCGTAGCTTCTTAAGAATAGGAAGAAAAGTCAGTGTTGGCTACATTGGCTAGAAATCTTCACGAAGGAAGAAAAAGTTAAGCTTGTCTTGGAGCGTGGTTAGGATTTAGACAGGTAGAAAGAAAGAAAAGAGTTGTGAGCAGGAAGAAATGGGTATTTATCGAGGACTTATTAAGTGGCAAGAACAAGACAAAAAGTTTTAGATATGGTGTTTTAGTAAATATTTAAAGTTTTTTTTTTGTTTTTGTTTTTGTGTTTTTTTGAGACGGAGTCTCACTCTGTCGCCCAGGCTGGAGTGCAGTGGCGCAGTCTCGGCTCACTGCAAGCTCTGCCTCCCGGGTTCACACCATTCTCCTGCCTCAGCCTCCCGAGTAGCCGGGACTACCAGGCGGCCGCCACCACGTCCGGCTAATTTTTTGTATTTTTTAGTAGAGACGGGGTTTCACTGTGTTAGCCAGGATGGTCTCGATCTCCTGACCTTGTCATCCGCCTGCCTCGGCCTCCCAAAGTGCTGGGATTACAGGCGTGAGCCACTGTGCCCAGCCAAATATTTAAAGTTTTTTAAATTCAGGCTGGTTACATGACCTTTCGAGGTGACATAAGATGCTGGGTGTTGGGCATGTAGGTAGCAACTGGCACGCTGTATGCAGGGAACACTAAAATGGCTCAGGTACCTGAGGAAGAAATTTACATTGGGGACTATTGAGAAGTATAATTCAATGGGCTAGCAAACCAATGAGAGGCAACTGAAGACATTGAAGGAGAGGTGGTGGAAGCTGGAAGTGGCATAGGAGACAACAGGAACTGTAGCAATTTTTTCAACAAGGAAGTAAAACTCAGATGTTGGAACTGAAACCATCTTTTACCATACTCTTTCATCTTGGAGTCATCACTCTCAAATATGGCTCCCCAGAGATGCTCCCTTCTCGTATGATATTAGAATTAGTTGTATCACTTATTTGCTAGACTGGGCTACAGAATAAGAACACAGACTATGTCAACCCCTCTATCCTCTTAGAATCTGGCATGGGATCAGGCACACATTGTTTGATTTCAACTGGCAAGGCCATGGCAATCAGGCAGACAGGTTAGCTAGAAAATGGTGAAAAAATGGCACCAAATTAGGGCATCACAGCACCAGATAAAACTAAGCAGAGATTCACCTGAGGTGGCCCGAGGCAGCAGAGCCGGAGGGGCCTGACTCTGATCCTACAAAGGGGAACTCAGAATCATCACTGTGAAGGTGAGAAGAGCCATCAATTCTAAAGGATGAAGGAGGATAAACTGATAGAAGAAAAATGAGCCAGGACATCAGAAAGAAAATTAAAAACAAAGTGGAATACAGTGTGAAGATTGATTTGGGGCAAAAGATTTGAAACTAAGACCATGAACAATGAGATTCGTTAATGGAGTTTCCCTTTGTATGATGCCTAGACCCAGCAACAGGGCAGTTGCAGTGATTTAAGGATGACTCACAGGGATGGATACCTGTTGAACACACCTTAAAAAGGTGAAAGAAAGGTAGGAAGGAAACGAGATAGATGTGAGAAACATAGATAAGGACAGGGAACTGAGGAAAGGGAAAAAGGAAATAATCCATGATATTTTCAGAAATGATTTATAACAGGGATTGGTAAACTATGACCCTGAGACAAATTCAGTATACTGTTTCTATAAATAAAGCTTTGTTAAATCACAGCCACACCTATTCATTTAAGTAATATCTATGCCTGCTTTCAAACCATAGTTGCAGGGTTGTTGCAAGAAAGATTATCTAGCTCACAAAACCCAAAATATTAACTATCTAGCCCTTAACAGAAAAGGTTTGCCACCCTAGTCTATAGTAAAGGAGTATTGCAATATGGATGCTAAGTGGCTAAAGATAAAGCTGACATTCTATATCAGGGCCAGAATTTTGAATGCCTTGCTAAGGTGTTAGAACTTTCTCTGCAGGCAATAAGGATCCATGCAAATAGCCTAAAATTTTTCTCTACATAAGCATAATTCAAAACCAATCAAAGAACTCGACAGTGGCAATCAATGTGGCACATGAACAATAAGAACACTACTGGCATGTTTAATCAACCAAGCTCTCTTCTGGCTTCAACTGCCTAAGACTTAAGAACTGTATGCTGGTCACCAGTCTGCCAAATTAGAGAGTCACAATGCCACTGTGGTCTTTAAATTTCTAATGTCCAAAATGGGGGAAATAATCCCACCTGTGGGCTTATTATGAACATAAAATTTAGATAATAGAGAAAAAAATATATTAAATAAATAAAATATTTTACAAAGGTCTGACATCACTCATTCACTTACTCAATGAAAAAAAATGTATTTAGTGCCTGTTGTGCGCAGAGGAATCCAGAGATGAGGGAGATTAAGGCCCATAGACTAGAAGGAAAGATGGGATGCAAACGGCAGTGCCAAGTTCACACATAAAGCAAAGTAGGGAGGAAACCACTCAGCTTGAGAAGAAGTAGGCTGTCAGGAAAAGGGTCCATAGGAAGGGTTTCCAGCAAGGAAGAAAAGATCATGATGCTGAGGAAGGAGATGAAGCTGCTTTCTATGTACAACAAGTGCAAAGGCCTAATGTAGTTCAAAGTGAGTGGCACCTAGAAGCCAACTGTGGATGCAAACAGAAATGAAGCAAAAGATGGAGGGAGGATATGAAAGGTTTTCTATGCTATGCCAAGGAACTTGGACTTTATCCATTGGAAGTAGTAAGCCTTTGAAGGATTTGGCTTCCAGGAAAGACATGGTCAGAACTGGGTCACAAATGTCTCCATTGATCAGACTGTTAGTTGAGATTCCAGCTTTTCCTCCCCTGCATGAATGAGGGGGGCAGAGCTTAAGACTGGTCATGACAGACCTCTCAATGACCTTTCCATTTCAGGCAAGTCAAGGTTACCACTCATAGTCATCGTCCTAGCAGCCATTGGGGAAAAGCAGCTGGACAAGAGAAAAGAATGACGGCACATGAAACACCCTTGAATAATCCCCCTAAATTGACCCCCGGCCCTGGGACATCTGCCTACAAAAGAAACCGTGCCTGCATCTGTGCTATGTTTCACATTTCCCAGGCCCGTATCTTCTCCAAACGCAATCTGGACAGCCAATATTTATCAAGCAAGAGAGGAAACAATCAACATATTCAGGAGAGGATGGAAAGAGCAAGATAATTTCTTGATTTGGGTTTACACAGTGGATCAGGGTTTGTGTTGTTCTCTCACCTCCAAAAACCTCATTGATATCTTCTCCACCTTAGAGGAAAAGAGGACTAGGAAGTTATTGATATAAAAAGAATTGCCATGGGAAGGATGCCCACGTGGGACAGTGCCAAAGCTCTCTCTCCTGATGGGACCCTCTGCTAATGGAACCACTTGACCAAGAAGGACAATTTTTTATTTTTGTTCCTAAAACTTCAGAGTGTCATGGAAGAGAAAACAGGACCCGGTTGCAGTTTGACATGCACAGAAGCCCAAAAAGGACTCATTGCTGCTGAGAGGTAGTGTCATCAAAAAGGAAAGTATGGGTCTTGTAGGCAGATAAATGTGGGTCTAAAACTGGGTCCCAAGCCATACCTCCTGTGTGACCTTAGGGCACATGCTAAACTTTCCTAAGCCTCATTTTCTCATCTATAAAATGGGTAATATATTCTAATGAATAGGTAATATATTCCAAATGCTAAGCACAGTATTTAATGTGTACTCAATATACCCCATTATTAAAATTATGCATAGCTTAATGCTCAAGATGAGTTCCCAGGCCATTTATTTAGTAAAGTATGATGTGCTTTAAAAACAAAAATAATAATCCTACAACATGAAAGTCATAATACACTAAAAGAAATGTTTGAAGAAATGGCATCCATAAAATAAAATAATTACTATTTAAGATTTTCTACAGATTTCTTAATTAGCATAGAGTAGATATTCAGGAAATTTTGTTGAATGTTTAGATAAATTATTGAGCTAATTAATTTAATACATGATATAGGCAGATTTTAAGTCTATAAACCTGCATAAGACAAAGCAGTATTAGTATAAAGAAAGCTTACATAGACCGACAAAACTGAAAAAGTACAATTGCCAAAGGATTGAAAGAACAACGCAGAGAAGAGGAATTTGAAATTACCAATAAGCCTTTGAGCAAACCAATGTTCAAACAATACATAGTTGTATAAACACAAATGCAGACTAAAGCATTATTCACTATCGAGTTGTAAAAGATTTTTAAACTAACAGCATCCTATGATTGTTTGGGTGTCATGAGATGAAGCAATTCAGGCACAGTTAGTCAGAATGGACATTTACTAGCCTTTCTGGAAAGCCACTTTTCAGCACTACTACAAGCCTTGAATGATCTGCGTAGTTTGACTCAATAATTCTACCCCTAAAAGCCTCCAATATAGAAATAGGAGAGCCATAGACAAGGATTTATCTATAGAAATGTTTGTCACACTATTATTTATATAGTATCAAAAGAAGAATAAAAGGAGAAGGAGGAGGAAAGAGGAGAGGAAGAAGGAAAACGAAGAAGAAGAGGAAAGAAGACTAAATGTTTAGCAAGAGAAGAATATTTAATAACATAAGGCTTGCTGTTTATATACTTTTAAATAAAAGTAGTGAATAAATAATATTAAATATCAGTATGATCATAATTTAGTGAATAAATATTAGATAGATGTAGATAGATACGAGGACAAATCCAAAAATAGATTAAAGACAGAACATAAATTCAACAAAATATTATGTAGTTATTTTGCATAGTTATTTGTGTAAATAAAAAAAGGCTGCTTAAGAGAGAATAAAAATTGCATTCTTATCTAACTTCTAAATAGCAAAAAATGGGAACCCAGGACATTCAGATGCTTCTTAGCTTATAATGAGAGTATGTTCCAATAACTCTATCTTAAGTTAAAAAACATTTAATACACCTCACTTCCTGAAGACCACAGCTTAGCCTAGCCTACTTTAAACATGCTCAGAGCGCTTATATTTGTCTACAGTTGAGGAAAATCTACCACAAAGCTTATTGTATAATAAAGTGTTGAATGTCTTATGTAATTTATTGAATGCTGAAAGTACACTTTCTACTGAATGAATATCACTTATACACCATCATGAAGTCCAAACATCTAAGTCAAACCATTGTGAATTAGGATAGTGAAGTAATATCATCAACCAGCTAAGAGAAAACCATGCTCAATCTGCAGTTGTATGCACAAAGAGGGGTAACTTGTGGGAACTAGAGGTTGACACAATAGAATTAAAATATAGGGCAGCAATAGCAAGGGAGTTTGGATGAAAAATAATCAGTTAAAATATTATGTATTTTTATATTGTTCAAGTGTATAGAAAAGATAATACATTTAAACTTTGTTAACATGGTATGTGTGTTAAAATAGGTAGGTAACTACTAAAATGATAGTCACACAGCATATAATTGCCAAATAAGTAGAGGGAGAAAAAATGGAAAAAAACTAAATCAATCACAATGAAGGCAAGAAAGAAAAAAAAGAAAAGAAAAGAAACATAAAAGACAGACGAAGTGGAAAGCACATAACCAAATTTTTCAAATAAATCCAAATATATCAGTGCCTAGTCTGCTCCAGCTGCCATAGCAGAATATCATAGACTAGGTGACTTAAACAACAGAAGTTTACTTCTCGCAATTCTGGAGGCTGGAAATTTGACATCAGGGTTCCAGTATGACCGAGCTTTGGTGAAGGGACTCTTCCTGGTTTGCAGAGAGCCACCTTCTCACTGTGTGCTCACATGGCCTTCCCTCTGTGTGTGCATGGGGTGAGAGAGAGAGAGAGAAACAGCAAAATAAATGGTACTGAACAACAAAATAGGATGGCAAACAAATCAGTGCCTGGATTTTGTGACAGTTTGGTTTATTGTTCAGAAATATTCACCCTTTTGCCAGTTCTACCATGGGTGTGATAACTGCCCCACCCACTGAAGTGACTTGTTTTAACCAACAGTATATGATATGATTTGGATGTTTGTCCCTGCCAAGTCTCATGTGGAAATGTGATCTCCAGTGATGGAGGTAGAGCCTGGTGGGAGGTGTTTGGGTCATTCAGATGAATCCCTTAGGAATGGCTTGATGCCTTCATATTCTCACTCTGTGTTGCACGCAAGATCCAGTTGTTTAAAAAAGTGTGGCACCTTCCCCCTTTCTCTCTTGCTTCCATTCTTGCTCTATGATACCCTGCCTCCTCCTTTGCCTTCTGCCATGTGTCGAAGCTTCCTGAGTCCCTCACCAGAAGCATAGCTGGCCCTGTTTCATGTACAGCCAGCAGAACTGTGAGCCAAAATAAAACCTCTTTTCTTTATACATTACCCCGTCTCAGGTATTCCTTTACAGCAATACAAAAACAGACTAACACAGTATAAGGATAGATATAATTGGAGCAAAGGCTTAAATGTGTTTATATATATAAAATGGGGTTTGGCCTTTTATACTTCTGTCATAATGATGAGAAAAACATGTTCTAGTCTATGGTCTAAAAAGGGTGAGAGACACATGGAACAGACCTGAGCTTAACCTGTAATTTGGAAAAAAAACAAACAGCAGAATCCCACCTAGATCAGCCAAACCCAGCCAATTCACACATGTGAATCAGTGTGAATCAGAATGAGACACTGAGTTTTGTAGTAGTTCCTTACACAGCATATTTTGTGGCAACAGCTAACTGATACAGAGCTATATTTATAAACCTGTATCAGCCAGCCCCAGAGAGATCTATAAATATATGACTGACAGTAAGTCACCAAGTGTATTGGGTAACAGCTAAGTGATATAAAGTAATATTTATAAACTTCAATCTTTATGTTGAAAGAATAACAACCAACAGTTAACGGATTAGAAAAATGACAAAGAATGTACACATGAAAAGAGAACAATGACAAAATCAGAAAGCAATTACATTCTAAATCAACATCCATATCTCTGCAAAGGACTTGATATACGCTTATAGATCCAAAAAGCTCAGCAAACCACAAGCTGGACAAACCCAAAGAAATCTATGGCAAGGTTCATTATAGACAAACTTCTGAAAATTAAGGACAAATAAAAAAATTGAAAACAGTGGGAAAAAAATGACTTTTTATAGAGAAAAAAATATGAATGACTGATTTCTCATCAGAAACCATGAAAGCCAGAAAGAAGTGACGTAACACATTTAAAGTGCTGAAAAAAAATGTCAACTCAAAATTCTGTAACCAAAAAAAAATATTTCCCTGCAATGAGGGGGATATCAAGACATTCTCAGATGAAAAATAACAAGAATATTTTGTCAACAGAACTACCCTAAAAAAATGACTAAAGGAATTTCTCCAAACAGCAAGGACATCTGGAAGAAAGAACAACAGAAAGAGGAAAATTACAGGTAAATATATTTTGCTTCCCTTGAGTTTTCTAATTTACATTTGATAGTCGAAGCAACATTTTTAATATTGTCTTACGTGGTTCTGAATGTATGTACAGAAAATACTTGAGACAATACATTATAAATGAAGATAAAAAGGAAGGAATGTTTTTACACTTCACTTGAACTAGTAAAATTTCAATACCAGTAGACTATGATAAGCTATGTATATACAATTTAACATATATAGTAGCAACTATTTTTAAAAGCTATACAAAAAGATACCATCAAAAATATTATAGGTAAGTCAACATGAAATTATAAACCATGTTTAACTAACCCACAAGAAAAACAGAAAAAGAAAACAGATACATGAAAATCTGAGAGGAAAAAAAAAAAACAGAGAACACAATGGGAAGCTTCATTCAATGTAAGGGTACTAGAAGTTCTAGCCAGTGCAATTAAGAGGAAAAAAATAAATAAAAAGGCATATGTGTTGAAAGGAAGAAATTAAACTGTCTTTATTTGCAAATGACATGATTATCAGCACAGATAATCAAGATAAATATATAAAAAGATTTCTGAAACTAATAAGTTAGTTCAGTAAGGTCGTAAGCTATAAGACAAACAAAGGAAAATCAATTGTATTTGAATGTATCGACAGTAAACATATGGACATTAAAATTAACAATACAATATAATTTATATTTATTAAAAATATAAAATGCTTAGGCATAAATCTAACAAAACCCCCACAGTACTTGTAGGTGAAAACTATAAAATACTGATTAAAAATGATCTAAATAAATGGAATAACATAGCATGTCCATGGATTGAAATACTCAACATAGTCAGTTCTCTCCAGATTGATACACAGCTTTAATGCAATTCTTATAAAAATCTCTGCAAGATTTTTTTGTAAATATAGCTAAAACAATATTGGAAAAAAAATAGTGAAGTGGTATTCCAAGGCTTACTATATGGCCAGAGTAGTCCAGACTGTGGTATTGGCAGAGGCATTGTATTAGTCCGTTTTCACACTGCTGTAAAGATACTACCTGAGACCGGATAATTTATAAATAAAAGAAGATTAATTGACTCACAGTTCTGCATGGCTGGTGAAGCCTCAGGAAACTTACAATCATGGTAGAAAGCAGGGAGAAGCAAACACCTTCTTCACAAGGCAGCAGGAGAGAGAGAGGGGCAGGGAAAGGAAACACTCATAAAAATGGATCTTATTAAAATTAAGAATTTTGCTCTCTGAAAGACCCTGTTAAGGGGTTAAAAAGATAAGCTACAGTTGTAGGAAATATTTGCAATCCACCTATCCAAGCAACAACCAATATCTAGAATATATAAAGAACTCTCAAAACTCAATATTAAATGCAAATAATACAATTAGAAAATGGACAAAGTACATGAAAAGATGTTTCACCAAAGAGGGTGTGTGTTTGTGTGTGTGTTTGTGTGTGTGTATGTACTGTATATGGCAAATAAACACATAAAAATATTCAATATAATTAGCTGTCAAAGAAATCCAAATTAAAACCACATTGGCATATCACTACACATCCATCAGAATAGCTAAAATAAAAAATACAACACTAAAGTCATTATCACAAAGAAATACAAATTTATGTTCTACAGGAATTTGTACATAAATGTTCATAGCAGCTTTATTCACAATAACCAATAGGTAAATGGTTAAATCAACTGTGGTACATCCACACCATGGAATACTACTCAGCAATAGAAAGGAATAAAATATCGACATACACAACAACTTGGATGAACTTCCAGAGAATTATGCTGAGCAAAAACAGTGACTCCTAAAAGGCTACACACGGCATAATTCTCTTTACATAACATTCTTGAAATGATAAAATTATAGAAATGGAGAAAAAAATCAGTGGTTGCTAGGGGTTATGGAAAGGGTGGGGGTCAGGAGAAGGGAGTGTGGCTATAAAATAGCAACATAAGGGAAACTTCCGTGGTGAAAATGTTCTTATCTTGATTGTTATCAGTATCAATATCCTGGCTGTAATAATGTACTATCATTTTGAGAGATGTTAGGATTAGCAGAAAGTTAGTAGAGAATACATGGGATCTCTCTGTATTATTTCTCAACCCCAAGTAAATCTACAATTATTTCAAAAGAAAAGTTTAATTTAAAAAAGCAATACTTGTACAAATATTTTAATGAGGTATCCTAATATTTCACAAGATACCTCTTGCAGTTTTCCGAGAAAGAATTTTTAATGAATCTTTAAGAATCAGACTCAATTGATTCTTATGACTTTAAAATGGAAATCTTGGCTTATCAAAAAAACTTATACATCCTCAAAAAATGTAATTGGTGTTTACATGTGATATACTAAAATTAAATTTTTTTTATTGAGGAAATTTTAAAGTTTGGGTCAGAATTTATAAACAAAAAGAGTTAGAAAGACAGAAAATATAAATCAATTTTTCCCAGTAAAAATCAGATAGAAAATATAATTCTAAAGAGATATATTTATAGTGGTATTATTAAATATAATGCACACAATAAGAAAAAGTGTAAGCCATTTATGGATAATATTGTAAAACTTAATGGAAAGACATTAAAGGAAATCTAAATAAATGGTAAGCTATATAATATTGTAAGTAAGACAGTATCTTAAAGATGTGAATTTTCCCCAAATAGATCTATAAATTTAATGATATTTTACCAAAAATCCTAACAGCATGTTTTCATATACCTTAACTGATTCTAAAATTTGAAAAAAAGTTCAAGAATGGCCAAGATGCTCCTGAGGATGTAAATCAAAGTTATGGGACATCCCCAGTAGGATATCAATAACTGTTACAGAGATTTAGGGATTAAGCCAGCGTGGTGCTGGTGCAGAAATTAACAAAATGACAAATGGAAAAAAATAGAGTGCCTATGAACAAACATATACCCAAAATGGAAACTGTTATTTACAAAATGGTCATTGCAGATCACAGGAAAAATAACTTTTTAATAAATTGCACCGGAATAATGATTATTTATAAGTATTACATCGATATTTGATCCCAGCCAAAGATCTATTTCAAGTGGAATGATTTGAAGGTTAAGGAGCAAACTATAAAGCTATTAAAAGAACATAAGAGAATATATTTGTGGTTTTGGGGTGTAGAAGTATGTTTTTAAAAAAACACAAACCTTAAAAGAAAAAATAGACAAATTTCACTACATTGAAGTTAAGAATTTTCTTCATCAAAAGACACAATAAAGAAGCAAAAAGCCTCAAGCTGAGTGAAGACTTTTTTAAACATAATCAATAAAGGCTTTGTATCTAGCATCTATAAATATTTCCTACAAACCAGATGTTTTTAAAAGACAGCCAAATAGATTGGGAAAAAGTTATAAACAAGCATTGCACAGAGAAAAGGACACACAAATGGTCCAAAAACATGTAATGCTTAGCCTCTTTGGTAACCAGGGAAATATATATTGAACCCACAAACAGACAATTACCATTTCATGCATGACAGACTGGCAAAAATTTTAAAGGTGCACAACACCAAGTGTCAGTTAAATTGTGGATCAAAGAAAACTATAACACATGGCTGGTGCGAAAGTACATTGGCACAGCCATTTGTGGAATGTTTTGGCACTGAGCAATAAACGTGAACATGTACAGTGGATATACCACAAAATTATAATATCTGAGTTCTTGAGGCAAACAGGCAAGGTCTGGAGCTGCCACAGACTTTTCTACCCCAACACCCCTACAAACAATGTCCTCCATGTCCTGCAGGTAAACCCTACAGACAAGCACAAGAACAGATAACAACTTCTGGTGACCACTGCTTCACTCGTCAAAAGGAATGAATACAGCTATGCACATTAATATGGATCAATTTCAAAACACAATGGCAGGAGAAAGAAGCAAGTCACAGAAAAACATATGTGGTATGATTCTGTTCACATAAAGCCCAAACAGACAGAACTAAGCCTTATATCATTTAAGAAATTGTACATAGGTGACAAACTTATAAAGAAATAATAAAATAAACATAGAGAGTTTTACATTTGCTTACAATTTGGTCAAAGAAAAATGGGGGCCACGCTGGGCACGGTGGCTCACACCTGTAATCCCAGCACTTTGGGAGGCTGAGGCGGGCGGATCACGAGGTCAGGAGATCGAGACCATCCTGGCTAACACGGTGAAACCCCGACTCCACTAAAAATAAAAATTAAGAAAAAAAATTAGCCAGGCGTGGTGGCGGGCGCCTGTAGTCCCAGCTACTCGGGAGGCTGAGGCAGGAGAATGGCGTGAACCCGGGAGGCGGAGCTTGCAGTGAGCCTAGATCGCACCACTGCACTCCAGCCTGGGCGACAGAGACTCCCTCTCAAATAAATGAATATTAAAAAAAAAAAATGGGGGCCAGGCACGGTGGCTCACGCCTGTAATCTCAGCACTTTGGGAGGCCGAGGCGGGTGGATCTCCTGAGGTCAGGAGTTCAAGACCAGCCTGGCCAACATAGTGAAACCCCATCTCTACTAAAAATACAAAAAATTAGCCGGGCGTGGTGGCAGGCACCTGTAATCCCAGCTACTCGGGAGGCTGAGGCAGGAGAATCGTTTGAACCCGGGAGGCGGAGGTTGCAGTGAGTCGAGATTGCGCCATTTCACTACAGCCTGGGCAACAAGAGCAAAACTCTGTCTCAGGAAAAAAAAAAAAAAGGTGGGGGGCAAAGGGTAGAGGAAAGTCGGGGAGGGGTGGCTGATGAGGAACAAGGAGAGGGAGAGAGTAGAATAGATAATTATGCACACTGGAGTCAATTATTTGAGAATTAATACCTTAATGTCTTCATTACTGAGTTCTACATAAGCTCTAATCACCTTTGCCCTAGGCTCTGGGAATTTCAATGTATATGTTGATAATGATTCCTCAAAGCACAGTGTTCTAAAAGGAAAATGCTATTTTGGAGAAATAAGCCTGTTACCAAAATCCATTCTGCACCAAGCCATCCAAACATCCTGCCCCTTAAAAGGTGGTCTTAAAATGAAATAACGCTGAAGAGGTGAATCAGATGAGGAAATGAACTTACAAGCAGATAGGGAAAGGGCAATTCTAATGTCTAATTCACCCCATATAAACCAGTGTATTTATCCGCCTCTTCCCATCGCTTTGCATTTCCATGATGTCTATCATCATGCCACCAGGGCCGTTAGATGCAAGATGTTAAATTGGAAGAAAGCTGTTAAATAAATGGGGCTTTAGAGAGCCTAATGAAATGTACTTTCCATACACAACACGTCCTCAGAGGGAAGAATTGCCAGTTTACAGGATGATTTATGTGCACCCTGAAGTTAGGTCTATGCCAGAATTTTTAGTACTGGGTAAACTCATTTAATCCTATATTTATTAAGCATAGGCTAATAATTTCTGACAGTTTTACATGATGGCCATAGCACAGTGCATGGGAAATAGAAGAAATGGGTGCTACACTAAGTACTATAATTCAGCAACGGTGCTACTTTGGGCAAACCATTGACCTTAGCTCTTTCCAAGTATAATCATGTAAAATGCCTACCTACAGACCCATGGGTCTGTAGAAGCATCAAATGGCTTATTATATGAAAAAAATGAACAGGTAGCATAAAAGCTCAGGCCAATTTAAATGGGCAATCACATATACTTAAATCTGGAGCCACCAAACAAAATTCCAGGTTGCGGTCCTTTTTCCTATGGAAAACCAACCAACATCCAAGGAGCAAAAACTAAGATTTTTGTAATCTACCCTTTTCCAAACCAAGGTCAGATTTGTACTTAGGCTGACCAAAATGTTTAATTCTGATGAGGCTGTATCCTTATCTTACAAAATGGGAGAGGATAATGGAGGGAGGGTACAATGATGCAGATGCCAGTCTATATTTCTAGTGAGTCCAATTCTACAACTGTCTTAAGAATAAAACCCAATACACAATACAATAAAATCTACAATACAAGAGGGAAATCCATGCACAGAAACATTCACTGAAGCAGGGCTTGTAATGCAAAAAGCGGGTGGGGTGGGTAAGTAAGCCAAATGCAAAGTAATAAATGAACTGTGAACACCTATTATGTGCCAGCCACCACCTTGGACACTTCACGTTTATTTTCTCATAGGGACTTCACACCTATCCTATGAGATATTTATTTCTATCCCCATTTTGCAGAGGAGGAAACAGGTTCTGAGATAGTAACTATCAAGTAATTTGTCTAAGGATACATGCATAGTCTAAATCTGTCTAATTCACTCCACTATGAATTCTTGTCATCATTCCTTAGAGTGTAGACATTGGGGAGGGCTTATAGGTGGGACCACAGGAAATTAGGTAATGTACTGGGTACCATCTGTGTGCTCATCCACCTCCATTCTTGCCCCTTCTCCACCTGTTCTCAGCTGAAGAGACTGACAAGTGTGGGCTACATCAGTGGTCTCTCCACATCTCCCTCACTGCCAGGTGGCCACAGATTGGAAGCAGGAAGACAGAAAAGTCAGGGTTTTTGGTTTAGAGCTGGCTGTGTCCCTCAACCCAAGGTCTGAGCTTCCATCTCGAGGAGGCTCTTTCTCCAGTGTCCTGAAATCATTCTGGCAGTACTTCACTCATTCAGGCAAGGGGGTAATACGGCCCCACTGTCCTAGGTCAGAAAACTGCATTATCCCCTGTGGCTTCTCTACATCCCAAACTCTCCTCAATTACAGAATCATCATGTGCCACTGTACTTTAAAACCCAAGTGTGATCCAAAGGCAAAATGAATTGAGGCTCCTCAATGACCAGCAGAGTGAACTTCGCTGGGGGATGAATGTGGCCACTGATTATGGGGCTGAGGGTTTCTTGAGCTGGTGCAATTTCATTCCCAAGATCCCTACTCCAGAAGCTCAGTCAAAACACTGAGACTGCCAACCTAGTTCCCAGAAATAGAGGTGTCTTTCCTGCAGACCTCAGAATAATACAGATGCTATGGTTTGCTGGATTTAATCCCTTAATGTTTTACCCAGGGAATGGTAATAGTCTAATGAACATGGCAGGTATTTGGGACTAAGAGCAGAATTATGGTGCAAGAGCTTACACGTAGCATGGGAGTCCAACAGATGCAGAGTCAGTTCCCTGACTCACCAGCTGACCTTGGGCAAGCCATTCCTCAGTTTCTCCAGCCATAAAATAGGGATAATCATAGTTCCCACCAGAGATACTCTTCATCAGGACCTTTGATGTCAGTTTCCACAGACAAAGGGCTGGTATAATTATCCCAGGTGCAGTAATGAGAAAGGCAGAAAGCCAGACTGTTTTTTATAGGACTTCTCAGGTAGAGTTTCCGGCTTCTGTCCATGAGTCATATGGACAATGGGCCCAGCTTGCTCATACAGTGGATCTGCCAGGGAGAAGAGTGGAGGGCTGGGGGATGTTTTTCCAAACTTTGTAGGTTTGAGGGGTGCCATGGTTGAATAAAGACAAACAGGACTTCAGAACCTGACAGGTGTGAATTCTTATCTCTTTCCTGTTGCTTATTTCATCTATGATCTTGGAAAAGTTGCTTAAGCTTTCTGAGCCTGAGTTCTCTAATCTGCTGCTCGTTGTTGTTGTTGTAGTTGTTGTTTTGAGGTGGGGTCTCACTCTGTCACTCCCCAGGTTGGAGTGCAGGGGTGAAATCTCGGCTCACTGCAACCACCACATCCCAGACTCAAGTGATCCTCCTACGTCAGTCTCCCAGGTAGTTGGAACCACAGGTGTGCGCTACCACGCCCCACTAACTTTGTATTTTGAGTAGAAATGGGGTTTTGCCATATTGCCCAGGCTGATCTCAAACTCCTGAGCTCAAGTAATCCATCTGCCTGAAGTTCCCAAAGTGCTGGGATTACAGGCTTAAGCCACCACGCCCAGCCCACAGCTTTTGAATGGATAGATGTGATCGTTTAATCAAAATGTCTACCAGAATGCCTGGCACATTGTAGGTGCAAAAATGTCCATTCTTTCTCTTTTTAAAAATAAACCTTATTTTTTAGGGAAAATTTATCTTCACAGGAAAATTGAGCAGAAAGTACAAAGAGCTCCTGTATATCCCCTACCCCCACACATTCACAGCCTCCCTCATTACCAACATTTCCCACTAGAGTGGTGCATTTTGTACAATTGGGTCTATGTTGACACGTCATTTTCATAGTTTCCATCAGGGTTCATTCTTGGCATTGCACATTATATGGGTTTGAACAAATGTATAATGGCACATATCCACCATTATAGTATCAAATAGAGTCATTTTATTACCTCAAAAACTCTCTGTGCCCTATCTATTTATCCATCCCTCTACCCTAATTCCTGGAAACCACTGATCTTTTTACTGTCTCTATATTTTGCCTATCCCAGAATGTAATATAGTTGAAATTATACATCATGTAGCCTTTTCAGACTGGTTTCTTTCACCTAGTAATATGCATTTAAGATTCTTCTGCGTGTTTGCATGGCATGATAGCTCATCGCTTTTTAGAGTGGAATAATAGTCCACTGTCTGGATATACCACAGTTGACTTATCTGTTCACCAGTTGAAAAACATCTTGGTTATTTTCAAGATTTGGCACTTTTAATAAAGCCGCTATACACATACATGTGCAAGTTTTTGCGTAGACATAAATTTTCAACTCATTGGGTAAATATCAAGGAGGGCAATGGCTAGATTGTATGGTAAGAATCAGTTTAGTTTTGTAAGAAACTGCCAAATTGTCTTTTAAAGTGGCTGTACCGTTTTGCATCCCCACCAGCAATGCATGAGAGTTTGTATTGCTCCACATCTCCATCAGCATTTGCTGTTGTTGGTGCTTTGGATTTTGCCATTCTAAGAGAAGGTGAGTACCTTCTCTTTTTAGGAATCCCAAGGATTTGAAGATAAACCTGGAAAATCTCAGCTATGACTTGGTGTTAAGCAGTCACGTAGAGAGCAGCAGTAATCCCGAATAGTAATAAGACCCTAACCACTACATTTTGCACAGTATTTCTTTCCATTGTTATATATATGTGTGTGTATATATATGTGTGTATACATATATATGTGTATATGTATTTGTGCATATATATGTATATATGTGTATATATGTATATATATTTCTGCATATATTATGTGTGTGTGTGTGTGTGTGTGTGTGTGTGTGTGTATATATATATATATATTTTTTTTTTTTTGAGATGGAGTCTCACTCTGTGGCCCAGGCTAGAGTGCAATGGTGCGATCTCAGCTCACTGCAACCTCTGCCTCCCTGGTTCAAGCGATTCTTCTGCCTCAGCCTCCCGAGTAGCTGGGACCACAGGTGCGTGCCACCAAGCCCGGCTAATTTTTGTATTTTTAGTAGAGATGGGGTTTCACCATATTGGCCAGGATGGTCTTGAACTCCTGACCTCATGATCCACCCGCCTCAGCCTCCCAAAGTGCTGGGATTACAGGCGTGAGCCACCATGCCCGGCCCATTGTTTAATATATCATCAGCTGGTATTTATCACACTTTCTACTCAGTTTGTTTCAATGGCAATATAAACCAACACAGAATCTCTGCCCAATAAAATAGACACATTTTGGCCATATCTAGAGCCAAGAAAGTGAACATGAGCTTAGAATAACACAGACACCTACTTTCCATTTGTTTCATCAGTAAATATTAATCCAGTACCTTCTGGATTCTCAAAAGGTTTTGACAAAAAGGGCAAATATTTGTGCAGAGATGAGACTAGTGACCCTTAGAACAAGAGGAAGATTGGGATCAGGAGAGGCTGGAAGCTTTTACATTTGGAGAAAACCACACAAGCCAAGCTCCTGAGAAAAGCTTGTTTTGTGGGACAGGAAGATAAAGAAGAGGATAGCAAAGACTCCAGCTTATCTAGTTATGATCCAGAATTGGATCAAAACTGGCAAAAACTAATTGGTGATATTAGGGTCCATATTGCTGAGCAAAGATAGTTGAAGAGATGAAACATCTGTACTATGATCAACATAATTTGCATAAGGACACCTGCCGACATCTTAAGGAACAGCCTTTAATCTCATTCGTTATAGTGTATTGCTTTTATTAGCCTGTGACAGATGCATTTTAAAGCTTGTTTCTATAAAGTGGAAAACGGAGTTATGTCTATGCAGTTTAACCAAAATATAGGTCAATTTGGGTTGTCAAATAGCCAGTTATTTGGCACTCATTTTGGTTTTCTTTCTTCTTATGTTTTGCTTGTTTCATTTTGCATTTTCCAAAATGATGATATTGGAGATAACAAACTGTTAGGTCCTTGTTATTCTGTGCATATATGATTTTGTCCTAAGACAAGATGAAATAATCATATCTCATTTTACTATCCAGTTATTTGGGGTGTCATCTTAACTAGCAGTTAGGATTAGCATGTTACTCAAGCTCACAAAGACATAGCTGGGATGACAACATGTTCTTTGTTCAGAGTATTTGCCACATTGAGGACTCCTGGCAAAAATAAATAACTTATAAGAAAGGTAACTTATTTTGACTTTAAAATAATCGATGACTAAAACTCATTTTTCCTCAGACCATGAGAGCAATTTACCAAGCTTTATTAATGGGCATCTTCATATCCTTAGCAAGCTTAATTGCTAATTAATTAAAAGATGATTGGATAAACAATGGATTGTACTACAAAATGAAGATAGCAAAATTTACTGTCATGGTGTCTAATGAGCATTCTTTACCTATTGCCCTACCAATCTTTCAGCTCCATAATTTCTGAAGTAAAGATCCCCAAGAGCCATTTCCTGAAAATTAGAGTTAAATCAGATCAACGTTAAAGGACTTCTGGGTCAAACTATGTTGAGGGCCAGCCACAGGCAATCATAATTTAATTAAAGCAAGAGAGAGAAAAAAAATCATGCCAAGTGAAACAGCCTGGAAGAGTGACAAAAGCCTTTGTCTTAAAATCAGAATACCTATGCTCTAAACATTTACTACTGTGGAAACTAGTGAAAGATAATCTAATTTTTCTGAGCTTCATTTTTCTCATCTATAAAATGGATATGATCAGTTCAGCTGCAAGTAAAAGAAGCCCAAAAGTAACAGAGGACTAAGCAAGACAGGAGTTTATTTTTCTAACTTGCAAAAGATCCAAAGGTAGACAGTCAAGAACTCACAGCAGCTCTGCTCCACGGAAATTTCAGAGCCTAGGTTCCTTCTATGTTGTTTTTCCTCCATGCTATAGTCTAAAAAGACTTCTCAAATCCTAGCCCTCATGCCCAAGTTCAAACCAGCAGGAACAAATGTATAAAGAAACAGGGGCAAAGCATCTACACCAGATCTCTGTTAAGGAAAGTATCTGGAAGTTTCCACACAACACTTCATCTTACATCCCACTGGAGAAGCTAGTCATATGGCCACATCTAGCTGCAAGGGAGGTGGGAAAATGTAGTGTTATTCTGGACTGCCATGTGTCCAGCAGAAGGGATTTTATCACTAATAAGAAGTGGTGAGTGGATGCCTGGCACGGTGGCTCATGCCTGTAATCCAGCATTTTGGGAGGCCGAGGAGGGTGGATCACGAGGTCAGGAGATAGAGACCATCCGGGCTAACACAGTGAAACCCCGTCTCTACTAAAAAAATTACAAAAAAATTAGCCAGGCCTGGTGGCAGGTGCCTGTAGTCCCAGCTACTCGGGAGGCTGAGGCAGGAGAATGGCATGAACCCGGGAGGCAGAGCTTGCAATGAGCAGAGATTGCGCCACTGCACTCCAGCCTCGGTGACAGAGCGAGACTCTGTCTCAAAGAAAAAGAAAAAAAAAAGAAGTGGGAAGTGGAAATCAGAAAACGCCTAGCTGTCTCTAATCCAAGATATAGCTCAAAGCTTTGTTAGGAGAGTACACGGAGAGCATGGATATGAAATAGCTAGCAGAGTGTCTGGCTGATTAAAAAAAAAAAGCCAGAAATGTTTAATAACTTCTGTCTGAATCAGATAGACAAAAAAATAGAATAAGGTTTTCCTGAGAACCTTGACCCATTAGAGAAGAACGGGAGTAGGCTCTCTTAGTACCTGCATCTACAGCAGGATTAAATTCCCCAGGGCAGAGATGAGACAGGGAATGGCTTTTCTCTGAACCAAGCTTCTGTTCTAGTGTAAGGAGCCAAGACAAGCATCTCATTCCTCCATGTCTTTGATTATACACTTTTCTCTCTCCAAATCTTCTTCTTGCCCATTTTTCACCTTGCCAAGACTCAGTTCAAATATTACTTCATAAAAGAATCCTTCCTGACCCCCCAGGCTGGGTTAGATGCCCTTTTGCTGAATTATCGTAAGAGTTGGTGCATACTGCTTCCACAGAAATTCTTGCTGTGTTGAAATTAGTCTGTTTGCACGTCTCTACCACTGAAGTGTGAACTCCTTGAGGAAAAATATAAAGCCTTAGATATCATCATCTTCCCCAAATTTTTCAAAATATTAGATCTCAATCCCTTATTTCTATGCAGGGAACTAGAATGTTTGATGAACATTACAAGACATAGTTGGCAAAATGATAATATAACATTTTGTGCATGACTTGGGAATAGAATAGATATATGGTTCTCTTTGTTGATTCACTCAATATCTATGGGCAGCATATGGCACATATTAATTGGGTCCTTGGTCAATGCTTGTTCAACACAATAATACAACTTGTTCAACACAATAATACAACTTGTTCAACACAATAATTGAAGGTTAATATTTATTGAGAAGCCAATAATCCAGAGTGTGTAGTGACAAGTTTAGAAAAGATAAAGCACTCCGTATTTATGTGCTCTTGGTGAAAGAGAGAAGGATGAGGCTAGGTGCAGTGGCTCATGCCTAATGTAATCCTAACATTTTGGGAGGCCAAGGCAGAAAGATTGCTTGAGTCCAGAAACTTGAGACCAGCCTGGGCAACACAGCGAGACTCTGTCTCCACGAATATATATTATATACATTAGCCAGGCATGGTGGTAGGCACCTGTGGTCCCAACTACTCAGGAGGCTAAAGTGGGAGGATTGCTTGAGCCTGGGAGTTTGAGCCTGCAGTGAGCTATGATCACACCACTGCACTCCAGACGGGATGACAGAGTGAGACAAAACAAACAAACAAAACAAACAAATAAACAACAACAACAACAAAAAACAGAAAGAAGGATGAAAAAACAAAATCAAAAGATATGTGTTCTTTTTAACCTCCCGAAACATGAACTGAGAATAATTCCCATGATACAACATTATTAGAAAAACAACAACAATTAGAAACTGAAAGACTGAGAGCTCTGTTCCACCACTGACAAGCGTGTCATTTTAAGTATTTGTTTTATTTCTCCTGGTCAATGTGTTGGGGTAATGGTGTGGGTTTTAGCTCTTAAATCGGATTCTTAGCCTTGGCAGCATTGACAGTTTGGACCAGATAATTGTTTGTTGTGCAGGCTGTCTTGTGCACTGTAGGATATTTAGCAGCATTCCCGGTCTCTGCCCACTAAATGCCAGTAGCACCCACTCGTAAACATAGACTGTGACAACCAAAACAGTCTCCAGACATTTCCAAATGTCCCCTAGGTGGGTAACAGTGCTCTGCCCCCTCCCAAACACACAGAGTTGAAAACCACAGTGTAGACTTAAATAAAATTACTAAAGACCGGTCTATGGAAAATAATATACTTCCAAAATTAACATATACTTTCTTTCTCAGTCTCAGTTCTTTTCCCTAAAAATAAAATAAAATAAAATAAATAGGCTGTTGCACTCTAGAAACTACTCTAAAACAACTACAGATCAATTATGCAAAAAAAAGTCTGAAAGTTACAGTACATGAGGGGGGAAGGAACCCTTAGGTTTAACATAGAATTATCTCAGTTAAGGTGACTGCATAATGAATCTGACATAAACATCAATTTGACTGCATGTTGCTTTCATTAAAGCAAAGAAACCAGAAAGGTGGAAGAATCCTTATACCTTATGCTGCATGCATCACAACACACCAAGTATACTAGACCTAGTTCTGGGAACCTCATTTCAAGAGCAATGGTGCAAAGGAGAGCAGCCAGAATGAGGAGAGGCCAACAGACCAGGTCCACTCTATTCCACAGTGATTCAAGAAACGTTACTGAACATGTTGACTCCTATGTTCCAGGAGCTGTAGAGACGGAGTTGGATGCCACATTGACGCTTCCCTCTAGAAACTTACATTCTAGTAGAGGGAGCCAGTGTGCAATAGAATATCATGGCAATAAACACAGGGCTATACTGAATAGTGGGACTGTTGCATAGCTAAGAGTTATGCAAGCACCAAGTATAAAGAAGCAGCTTCTGAGTTGATAGTGCTGTTTTGTGCCTTTTCAGAGGTATGTTTTAGAAAAAATAACTCTAATGGCAGAATAAATAATGGAAATAAGACAGTGAAACTAAAAGTAAAAGAAAGCCACTGGGAACCCTTGCAGTAATTCCCGTGAAAAATGATAACCTCACAAACTAAAGTAGTGGTGATGAAAATCGAGAAGAAAAGATGTTCTGAGAGCTAGTTTAGAAGGTAGAATCATGAGAACTCGGTGACTGGATAAGTATGATGGGGAATGTAGAGGAAAAGACATCCAAGATGACTCTAGCTTCAAATAAGAGAAAGGATTGAGGAACAAGGGAAGTTTGGCATTAAACAAACAAACAAAAAAAAGACTACAGGGAGGCAAGGCTGTTGTTCCCATGT
Source organism: Homo sapiens (assembly GCF_000001405.40). Classification (NCBI taxonomy): domain Eukaryota; kingdom Metazoa; phylum Chordata; class Mammalia; order Primates; family Hominidae; genus Homo; species Homo sapiens. The sequence continues at coordinate 127,533,675 of NC_000008.11, forward strand.
ATCAAGGACATTATCCTGTGAAAAAAAGTACTAGGTGTGTTCTATATGGTCCCAAAGCTTTAAACTGGAGCAAAGAGTAGAAGTTCAGAAGGATTTTGCCTGAATGGCAGAAATAATTTTCTGAGACTCATTGTTATCCAAAAATTAACATTCCGCAGGAGGTAGAAGCTCATCAAGACAGCGCCTAGGGAGATAATGGACAGCTACCATGAAGGACATCTAGAGATTTTCACTGCTCTCCTCTCAGCTTGCTTCTTCTAGTAATGTCCTGATTGTTACCCCATCCTGATTGTTCTTCAGGGAACCAAAGCCTCCTTCTGTCAATTACTTGATTCAGATGGAATCAAGGCTCTTCTCTCCTGCACCAAGGGTGGTCCTGTGGCTTCAGCCTGCACAGGAAAAAGTCTCAGAGAATGGCCCCAAGATGAGCATGTGATCTAAATTATGGAAAGAGGCTCCTCATCAGAATTTTTGCAGAAACAATTAAGGAAGGCTTGCTCTCTCTCTGTGTGGTGTAGCTAAGAGGGTAGAAAGTAAGAGTGAGAGAGAGAGAAAGACTCAAGGACATGATCAAGAGAGCCTTTAGATATAGCTGTCCCTCAGAGTAGTTACACTCCAAGATTTCATTATCACCTGTGATCTTTTGATCTATTATTTTTTTTTAGCCAGTCAGTTTGAGATAGGTCTATTGTTATCTGCTCCCCAACCCCCAAAGAATTCCTCTTGTGGCTACTTGTACAGGAAGAAAATTCAGGCATAGAATGAGAAGCGACTCCCAGACAATAGGTCACTATCAGCAAAGCTTTTAGACAAATGTATTTTGAAAACAACTGAAAATCTTTAGATTCAGAAGAAATCAAAAAAGATATCTCACTTACTGTAAGGTGTTAAAATAAACATACAAGGTAATAATAAAGATGTCTTTCATTATAATGTTACTTAGAGAATTTACCAATAGCCTTCAATGTATCAAAAGCTGGCACATTACTGGTTCTGCTCTTGTTTTTTTTTAAATTATAGTACTTTCTTTCAGAAATATACTAACAAAGAAAAAAAGACAATTGAAATTTCCAAATCTGGAACAACTGGATTGGAGAAAAATATACAAAATAAACCCCACGAGGTTTTAATTCTAAGTACTTTAGACCTTACAAGCACCATAAACATTCTGTTGTGGCTCTTCCTCACTTAGAATGCATGTTAATGCCGTTAGCACTTACCTCTAAGACCGGTAGCATACTAAGTAGAACTGAAATGTTTTTTATTACACTACTGGATCATTCTTTTAATAGGGGATACAATCTCATTACAAGCTCTAGTAGTCATCCAGATTAAAATCTTAATTGTCAGGATTGGTAAAAGCGTAATAATATATACTTATCTTTTTTTTGGAAATGGCATAATTAAAGAAGAGCAAGAATGTTTTTCTGTAAGCAAGGCTTCTCATCCTCAGACTACGCAGATTTTCCCCCTTTCAAGTGGTGTATTCATGCAGTACCCATTCTTGAGAAACTATACGATATTTTAAAGATTCTCTTACATTTTAGGGAATACATGAAGTGGTTCACCCTCCTGCCTTCCAAAATATCTCTTTTCTTACTTCTCTTCAAATGTGTCCATGTAATCAATGTGAGGAGAATCAACTTTGGAAACAGAATATCTGTGCTCATGTGCAAAGGAATCTTCACTTCCTACTACTGTTGACTTTGAGTAAATCAGTTAAGGTATCTGAGACTCAGTCTTTCTCATCCATGACATGGAACTGCAAATACTACATATGTGGATCGATTTTTTTTAAAAAATGTAAATATTCTAAAACTGTAAGTTCTTTTATTATTTTTAGAATGAATGTTCACTGAGTGCTTGCTGTGGGTGATGCACTGAGGCAATGCATGTTACCTGTTGTTTGCTATTCTAATATAGAACCTCAGAATTGGAGTGGATCTTAAGGACTCCCAAGGACCAGGCACATCCCCTTGAGCTAAATAACCATCCTTTCCTAGTTTCCTCTTTAAAGCAGGTTTCAAGCTGCCATGGTGGTATGGATTTGAACATGTAGCCTGGAGAATTATGGCCAAGAGTGAAGCTCAACCTTAGAACCTTGGACAGAATGGTATTAGCAGGTACAGATGAGGGTCAGAAGTGGAAACTACCCAGGAATCAATCATGGAAGTTAAATGAAGATGGATGAATGAACATGTATTCAATATAGACTACAAAGATGAGGACCAGGAGCTGGAAATGAGTCAGTAACAGGAATTAAATGAAAAGACAAAGGAAGAATCCAAAAGTTTTATCAGAATAATTAAGCAAATTGTTAAGTCTGGTAAAAGTCACAGGTGCAAGTTACGTGAAATAGAACTCTGTAGTCAGAAATAAGAGTAATTTGGAGAGTTGTAAATAATCACACATACAGTTCTGGTCCATGTGATAACGTGCCTGCTGAGGTTGTTTATCTAGCCATACTCTCCATTCGTCCTTGCCTCGCTTCTTTTACTCATCAAGTCCTCCTGTAAGAAGGAACATGTTTGCTTATTCAGTTAGCTAATTTTTTAGAGCCCAACTTTTCCCATGACAGATCTGAAGATGCTAACAGAAAAAAAAAATACAAAATAAAATTGTTAAATATAAATTCTAAAACCTGGACTAGAGAAAAATATAAATTAGTATAGGTGGAGATTACAAAAGATAGATAAAAGAATTAATAGATTTGGGAGAGAAAGAGACTGCAAACAACAATCATAAAGTTTTTACCATTAGCTGCAGTTGAGATGAGATTTGTGTTCTGAGCTCCCTGTGGGCCAGAAATTAATAGAAAATACAGACAGAAGGTATATCTTTTATTATCCATAGGGCAAAAGGAGATAGGTGTTTTCCTTGAACATACCTCTAAATAAAAATTTTCATGAGAAACTTCCAATAAAAGGTTTTATGTGATGGAAGAACAATGTTCTACAGCATCTCCAGAACAAAGGAGAAGCAGATATTTCCTTCAAGGAAAAGATTGTTTCCATTGAGGACTCACTATTGGAAATACAGATGTCAATGTGAAGAAAAGAGTGGGGCAACAGCCTCTAATCCCACAGGACTCTTTTCACCCAGTGTGTGGAGCCCCTCCCCACCCCTTCTTAAAGCTCTCCATGGTTCTGACCCCTGTCTCTCATCAACCCTAACTTTATGATCCAGGTTCAGCCTACACATCCATGCCTTCATCTCTCTTGCCACATCCCACAAAGATCAACCCCACTTTTTTATCAACTTGAATGTGAAATTATCTAAGGACTAGCATTCTTTTAGGCTCCAATTAAAACTTTTGAGAATACTGGAAATGCTCAAAGTGTGTCAACTCTCACTCATATAACCACTTAATTCTGTTCTCAAGTCTTAGTCCACACTTGTGCTCTGAGACATTTAACACTCTATACTTAGTACCTAACAAATAAAATGACAATTACTAATTAATAACTCTTATAAAGTACTTATGATGTTTCAGTCATGTGTGTTATCTTATTGAATTCTCTCCACAACTCTCAAAAGGGATATCATTACCATTTCTATGTCACAGATATGGAAATTGGGCAAAGAAATCAAGTAACTTGTCCAAACTTACACAGATAGTGGTAGAATTTGGATAACAGAGCCCAAGTGAATGAATAAGCAAATAAATACAACATGAGGAATGACACTAAGTGAAAGGCATGTTCATCAATGTGAAGAAGTGGAGTATTCATTGAGTGCCAGAAATTATGCTCTGTTCCTTAAACACAGCATTTTTATTAGTCTTTCCTAACTCTGTGAGAGAGTCATCTTCAACATCAGCATAGAGTTCCCATTCTAGACAGTTGCCCTAAAAAACCCAGAGATCTGAACTGAGGCCCCATGAATCTGGATCAGAGAGTAAAGTCTTCAAGTCTTGATTAAGCTTTGCTATTTAGATTGTTAAATCTTTGGATGTTGAGGGCCCTCAGGTGAGTAAGAACAAATTCACAGAGTCATTACCACTTTCTGTAGGTACCCATCCCAAGAGGGATCCATGAGATACAATTTCAGTGATTGCGTGAACTTCAGTAACAATTACATATGAGTTTGAATTGTTCTAATTTTAACTACTGTTGTTTTTTCCTCCTTCTGACAGTATTATTTGTACCCAATGCATAGATGGCAATGTGAGTAGTCAGGATTGACCACAACACCCATCAAAGAATTAGGACAATTTAATAAATATGAATTGAGTGAGATCTTTCATATGTCAGGCACTGAGCTTGGCATAGGAAACACAGAGCTGAGAAGACGGGCATGGGCCAAGCCCTCAGGGAGCTTATAGTGTGACCATGAAGACAAACACTAACAAGCAATTCTTCAAAGCACTGCTGTTGATAAAGCAGTAGGAGTAAAGGGGGAGTGGGTGCAAATGGGAGAAAATTTGCTGAAATGAAGCTTATGGCCACAGTTGCAGCAGCAGGAGATGGCACCTGGTTGGAGACCACATCCCTGAGAAACAGGGTAAATGCAATCAAGTTCCAACCTAGCCATTATACTCAAGAAGGATCTTTATCCCCATTTAACAGATGAGAAAATGAAGACTCAGGTTAAGTAGCTATCAAAAGTCAAATAACTAGTAGGAATGGAGCTAGAGCACAAACCAGGGAGTCTAGCTCCAGAAGCCATGAGAACCAGTTCCTTGGGAAGAGGTAAATGGTCAATTCCCAAGGACCTATGAAGTCCAGCAGAAAGGAGCTAACAGAAGTACCCCCTTCCCCAATTTGGGGGCCAGTACCTTTTGTTGTGGCTATTTGGCCTGGACCCCACAGCCAGCCCCTCAGAAATAGTGCAACAAGGAGCTTAATTCTAAACCCACCAGTTTCTGAAACCAGGACTGTCAAACAGTGGCCTCTCTAGATCCAGAAAGAACTAGAATCATCTACATCTCACTGGATACTCCAGAGGAACAGCTGGGGTGGGTGAGAGCAGCTGAGAAAATCTGACAGCAGCTCCAGGCAGTCTTGACACAAAGGACATTTCTAAACTGGAGGTAATGTGAATCTAGCATTGGTCAGCTGTCCCAGAAATCAAATTTGGGACAAAAACATCTAGCCTGTATTAACCTTTTACATTTCCAAATTGCAGCCTTAATCTCTTTCCATCAGCTTACTTATAATTGCATCAGAGACCCCACAAACCTACCATTATTCCTCTCGGAGGCCCTAAGGCAAATCATTTGTGTGCTCTCTGATTGAGTGCCCTGTTAGTTAAGTGGGGAAAAGGGGAAAAAAAAAAAACCTTCCTCACCACAGTGCTGTGAGAATTCACAAGATTTCTGCACACTGCACTTGGAAGATACATCATCCCCGTCAGAGAAGACCTGTCCCTTGAGTGTCAGGATGCAAAGGGTGTATGCAGGAGAGGGAGAAACCAAAGTTTGGCATTGAATTGTGCTTATGTATGTTCCTCATTATTTGTTCAAAAATAATTTTTGAGCACTTACTGTTTGACAAGCATTGTGCTGGAGACTGAGGATTCAATGGTGAACAAACCACAGCTCCTGCCCACAAGCAGCCGATGGTCTTTAGAGCAGTGGATCTCCATCTGGCTGCACATCTCAGTAACCTAGAACACTTCTAAAAAGACCCATTCCCAGTGCCTCCAACCCAGACTAATTAACAAAATCTGTGATGGAAGGGCACCAATGTTTATTTAGTTTCCCTAGATGGTTCTGGTATCTAGAGAGGGTTGATAACCACTGGTCAGGAAAAAAGGAATTCCCTCCTTCTCTCTAACCTTGGTACAGCCTTCATACTTTGTTAGAATATTTCACTATAATCTTATCAGACCCTTAGTACCTGCAGGAAGACCCTTGTCATTTTGTCTGTATGAGAGTCAGATGTCATTTGCAGCTTCTGAGGCATGAATTGGAACTCTTGAATTGGAAGACTGGGTGTAGAGGTAAAGTCATCAGATAGTGATGAAGCCTGGGTCACTCTTTGGCATTCATGACTCCATGTCCTTTGAAAGAAGGTTTAACATCAGTCGGTGCTTTCCCTGTGTATAGCCAAGAACTGATACTTAATAAGTAATCAAGTAATTAATGAGAGTGGTAGTAGGTACCTTTGTTTGTATTTACCTGGATCTCTTCTTCCAAAGAGCCTTCTCTACCATTTGGTGAACCACTCCTCCATCCTCTCTCTAAATCCATGTTGTCTGGGTGGAGCTGCCTCAAACTCTTGGAAGCAAAAAGTGGCACCTGCCCAAGATCAGGCTAATATGTGAAACTGTATTCTCCTTGCCTAGGACACAGGCCAGGACAATCAATGTCCATCATTGGCCTTTTGCTGGAACAATCAGCCGTCATTCTTGCCCATGGCTATTAAGCTAGCATATGGCAAATTAGAGGTGCTGGTGGTCTTCTTAGCCACCAGCTGGGGAGAGACTGGCTAAAAACAAGATCAACTCAGAATCCTGCTGATATGGTTTGAATACCTGGATCCAGTTGAGACTGAAGATCTACCCCTGACCTTTTTATTATGTGGGCTAATCATCCTCCATTTTTGTTTTGTTTTGTTTTGAGACGGAGTCTTGCTCTGTCGCCCAGGCTGGAGTGCAGTGATGCGATCTAGGCTCACTGCAAGCTCTGCCTCCCGGGTTCACACCATTCTCCTGCCTCAGCCTCCCGAGTACCTGGGACTACAGGCACCCGCCACCACGCCCGGCTAATTTTTTTTTTTTTTAGTAGAGATGGGCTTTCACCGTGTTAGCCAGGATGGTCTCAATCTTCTGACCTCGTGATCCGCCTGCCTCAGCCTCCCAAGGTGCTGGGATTACAGGCGTGAGCCACCGTGCCCGGCCTCATCCTCCATTTTTGATTTCAGCCTATTTAAATCAGATTTTCTCTCTTGCAGTTAAAAGAATGTTCACTACCACACTGGATAAATAAATGAATTCTCTGCTCCCTTCTCTTCAAGTAAGAAAACTTTAGAAAACAAGCATAGCTTCTTCCCTTATCCCTCCAAGTTACCGAGAAAGACTAAAAAGGATCTCGCAATAACTGATAGTGCTGACATTTGTCTAATGCAATTTTCCCATGATGTGCTCCACAGAACATTAAATTTGTCCATGTCCAAGTAAGTTTAGGGTTAACTTGTTAAAAGCTATCTTTAGTGCAAAATTTCTCAAGCTTTTTGATATTGATATCAGTGAGAACTGTTAATCTCTCATAAGAGGTGCAGTATACCACATTTTCCCAACTTTTTTTTTCCTTTTAAAATCACAATTTTATTAATAGAATGGGGAATACAAATCTTTTTTTTTTATTATACTTTACGTTTTAGGGTACATGTGCACAACGTGCAGGTTTGTTACATATGTATACATGTGCCATGTTGGTGTGCTGCACCCATTAACTCGTCATTTACATTACGTATATCCCCTAATGCTATCCCTCCCCACTCCCCCCACCCCACAACAGGCCCCGGTGTGTGATGTTCCCCTTCCTGTGTCCAAGTGTTCTCATTGTTCAATTCCCACCTGTGAGTGAGAACATGTGGTGTTTGGTCTTCTGTCCTCGCGATAGTTTGCTGAGAATGATGTTTCCAGATTCATCCATGTCCCTACAAAGGACATGAACTCATCATTTTTTATGGCTGCATAGTATTCCACGGTGTGTATGTGCCACATTTTCTTAATCCAGTCTATCATTGTTGGACATTTGGGTTGGTTCCAAGTCTTTGCAATTGTGAATAGTGCTGCAATAAACATATGTGTGCATGCGTCTTTATAGTAGCATGATTTATAATCCTTTGGGTATATACCCAGTAATGGGATGGCTGGGTCAAATGGTATTTCTAGTTCTAGATCCCTGAGGAATTGCCACACTGACTTCCACAATGGTTGAACTAATTTACAATCCCACCAACAGTGTAGAAGTGTTCCTATTTCTCCACATCCTCTCCAGCACCTGTTGTTTCCTGACTTTTTAATGATCGCCATTCTAACTGGTCTGAGATGGTATCTCATTGTGGTTTTGATTTGCATTTCTCTGATGGCCAGTAATGATGAGCATTTTTTCATGTGTCTTTTGGCTGCATAAATGTCTTCTTTTGAGAAGTGTCTGTTCATATCCTTTGCCCACTTTTTAATGGGGTTGTTTGTTTTTTTCTTGTAAATTTGTTTGAGTTCATTGTAGATTCTGGATATTAGCCCTTTGTCAGATGAGTCAATTGCAAAAGTTTTCTCCCATTCTGTGGGTTGCCTGTTCACTCTGATGGTAGTTTCTTTTGCTGTGCAGAAGCTCTTTAGTTTAATTAGATCTGATTTGTCAATTTTGGCTTTTGTTGCCATTGCTTTTGGTGTTTTAGACAAGAAAACCTAGGCAATACCATTCAGCACATAGGCATGGGCATTTTCCTAACTTACTTAAGCACAGGGCTCTTTTTTGTCCTGCATCTCCTGGGATTAGAGTTTTGGAAGAAATGTCATTCTAGCTGCAACCCAAAGAATGTTCTTTCCTTTGCTTGGAATACTCTTCCCACACCATCCACTACCAAACTGTCCAATTTCTACTCAACTATCATGTCTCAGCATGAATACTACTTTCTCCAAAAAGTCTTTAATGACACCACTACTTTAATGACATCACTACTGCCACCTTCCCCAATCTCAGATAAGGTTATTTATACCCATGATTTGCTCTCTTACACTGTATACTTCCGCTTTCATGGTATTTACCACACATAATTATAATTATCCATACATTTCCCACTAGAATATGTGGTGGCCAGTTCACAATATGTTCCCCAATGATTCCCACCTACTGGTATTCATGATCTTTTGGAGACACTTCCCATGTGAATGTATGGCCAGTGCTATGTGATCAATAAAATATGGCAAAAATGAAGATATGTGACTCCCAAGGTTAGGTCATAAAAGGTATTGTGTCTTCCACCTGGGGTTCATAAATTGCCCACTCTAGGGAAACCAGACACCATGCCCTGAGGATATTCATGTGTCCTTGTAGAGAGGAGCTAAGGACCCCAACAAACAGCTGGCACCAGCTTTCTAGCTCTGTGAATGAGCCAACTTGGAAGGTGTCCTCCAGCCCTGATTAAGTCTTCAGAAGAATGAAGCTTCAACCAACATCTGACCACAATCCAGTGAGAGGCCACAAACAAGATCAGCCCAGCTAATCCCTTTTAAAGTTCTTACCTACAGAAACCATGAGACTATAAATTCCTTGAGAGCCAGTACTGTGAATTGCTTACTATTGTGGCATACTCCCCACCACACACATGAATGCATGTGCATGTATATGCACACATACTACCAGGGTCATAATTATAGTACTTGAAACATAGAAGTCACTCAATGTTTACAAAGTAGATGAAAAATAAATTTATGAATAAAGTAAATTATATATATATAAATTATATATATATAAATTATATATGTAAATATATAAATTATGTATTTATATACCTCTACATACACACCCAGAGGTAGATATATATTATATATGCACATAGACACATACGCCTCTATAAAATGTATATTAATTATAGACATATACAGGTATAGGGGGCTCGTTGGTAATTTGGGTTATAAAATAAGAAAGGAGAAGCATTCCTTCTAAATCACAGGAAGATTCTCAAATTCAAATATCTCACTGTGACTATAGCCCTGAACTGAAAAATCCAGGAGATCTGGCTTTAATATCACATCTGTGTGATTTTTATGAAGTGACATAACCCCCTGCCCCTGCCCCACCTCCAGTGCTAGAAAATGAGGGAGTTAGACTAGAGCATTTTCAAAGGCCATTTCAGCTCTACCTTTCCATGACTCCAAGGGAGTGAGCTTTCTGGAGGTCTTGTACCAACATGGCAGGGAGGGAATGGAATTCAGCTGGTCTAACACAGGGCCCTTCTGAGGCAGAGCTGAAGAAAAGAAGCCCACGTCACCTGCTGAAGTCCTGTCTTCTTTGCTGTTTCTCTTCCACTGTTTTTAGCTTTAGATTGGGCAGAACTAATGTGTCCCCAGATTGTAGGAAGTGGCAGAAGCACCCCATCCCAGGACTTTTTGGGTGGCGGTATGGGTCTTTGGTCATGGAAATGGTGGTGCTGTTGTTATTCACAGCCCTTGGAGCACTAAGACCCAGGCTCAGTCCTCAAAGAACAACTCCTGCCAATGGTATCACATAGTCAACTCTTAACAGATACAACAGCCACTTTCTAAGAATACAGTGTAGCTTTTAGGCAATCTGCCTAGAAATTCTTTTCCACTGAATTCCTGGAAGAGGCTGCTTGATTTTCTCCACACCCTAGACTCAGAGGAGCAAGTCAGAAAGCCGAGAATAGCCACACACGGCACCTGAGAAAATTGTGTCTGCAGGACCCAGGCTCACGTAGGGTGGAAAGAGCTGTTCTACAAGGAATTTGTGAGGGAGACATAAATTCTACAATTCTGGTTTGATATTACGTTGGTGGGGAAGGGGGTGGGATGGGGATTAGAGCTTGGAATATAATACCTACTGAGTAGTTACCGTATGTCAGGTACATTACATTTGTATCTTATTTAATTCTTATGAGTTCTAAAAGGCACAAAATTTTAATTCATTTTATGATTCACAGGACATCAGGTTGAGTACACAGAAAGGTCTTATCGCAGTCCAAGCCCTCCTTAAAGACTAGGCAATCTTGCTTCCTAAACAAAGTCAATGAGAATGTGAGTATGTGTGTGCATGTGGCATAGAGGAAAGGTTATAAAAATGAACACATTCTAGTGCAAGGTTTGGCAAACTATAGCCTGAGTGCCAAATTCATTCTGCTGGTTAATTTTGTAAATAAAGTTTCATTGGAACACTGCCATGCTCATTTGTTTATATGTAGTCTATGGCTGCTTTTATGCTACCATACTAAAGTTGAGTAATGTGACAGAGACCACATGGTCTGCAAGCCTAAAATATTTACCATCTTGCCCTTTAGAGAAAAAGTTTGCTGACTCCTGCTCTATATGACCACGGTAATATAAGGCGTTACTTTATATTGGTAAATTACCTTCTATATATCTAGGATAACTACATATCCCAGACTAAGAATATATTATTAACTTTTCTAATTAGCCATAACTAAATACTAAAAAGAGTTTGAAAATTAACCAAATAATATTCACAATCAAACATCCATTTGCAGGAAAAACTATAGCAATATTGTTCCTGTATTCTGGAAGTCATTAATAAAGCTAAAACCATCAGTAAAATAAAAGCAGACATTGCATATAGAGCCATCCTGAGAAAGTTTGCTGTCCAAGGAGTTAGTCCCATACCATCCTCTGAAGGAGTCAGTGCTATATTGGTTCCAATGAGCTGTCACTTTAATCCATTCTATGGGGACGTTGAACCAGTCACTCAGATAAGAACGATGATGAGGCTGAACAGGTAGCAACCTTTTCCCCTGTCCTTCTCAGTCCTCATTTCCACCCCCAGAGAATGAAGTCCTCCATTAGAATTTTTGAGATGAAAGGGCAAAAGGATTGGGGATATCCCCAAGTAAGTTTTGGAGTAGTAAAAGACTCCACGAATCAATATAATTTAGCAGAAAGAAAAGCTCTCAGAGGCAAGTGACTTGCCCAAGGGATATGGCGGTGGTAGGGCAGGAGTTATCACCCACGTCGCCAAAACCCAGAGCAGATCTTGCTCCAATGTGAATTCAAGTTGTGCTGTCCATGGGCAAACAAGAAACTTCCCCGTTGGCACTCTAATTCCTGACATAAAAGTACAATGTTGGCCTGGATTGGGGTTGCCCAAACCTCAGCCATTTCTGGAGCATCTTTACAAGTTTACCAGGACTGTACCATACATACTATTATCAACTAACTCTATTTAATTGAGTCACTTTCATCTTAAATTACTTTGCTGTACAAGAAAACTGTTGCATTGCAATAAATGGAATTTAAGTATGAATTATCCTAAATAGAAATTACTATGTAAACTTTACTATGCTATTAAATTCCAGACAGATAATGTTGCCCACCCAAAGCTTTGTTCCTGAGCCCTTTTCTATTGTCCTTGAGAAAGACTGAAACAAATGTTGGAGAGGTGTTAAAGAGTGATACCAAACTGAGAATCTCTCCAGGCAAATAGAAAGAGAATTCAAAAAAGAGCAACCTTCTCACAATTTCATACCATTAATAGTATTCTCCTCAGACATTTGGAAACACTGACATCTAATTTCATGAGAATTCCAAAGCCAGCCAAAGAGTTGGAGGAGGGGTGGAATTGGAAGAATTGAAAATAAGAAATATTTCTCTCTAAAATGAATTCAATTCCTTTAGTTTTCTTGTTGGCATCTCACGCACAGCAGACACTTGAGTATCATTGCATAGTCAAGATAACCTTTAAGGTTGAAATTTTATTTCCATTGTAGAGATAGAGACACCAAAGCTCAAGTCCAGGAAGATTAAGTAATTTACTCAGGGTCACAGACTGTGGATAGAGTAGCTTCAGACAGAGGTCTATTTGATGCCACATGCCTCTTTTTTTCTCCCTACAGTTGAATTTTGTCTCCTTTGCAATCTCAATGGTCCTGCCAGTGATCCAACCCCTGCTTACTGGATAATGAGAATTGGTCCCTGTCCTCCTTGGCACATCCTTTCATGTGCCTGCCAGAGTCTGAGCACCTCACCTGGCTCATCCTCCTCTGCAGACTCGCATGCTCTTCTTTCTCATCCTCTTTACATAAATCCCACCCTGGCAACCTTTTATCACTCTCTGCTCCTCTCCTTTTAACTGGTTCCAATCTCTCAGCCTCTACTCTTTAAGTGGGATTTCCAGGACTGAAGACAGCCTGCCACAAGATCCTGAAGATACAGCAGGGTTAAACTGAACCATTACTTGGTGCATTGTTAACAAGTTTCTCACTGACTCCAGCAATGGACCAGTGCTAGTTAGGGGTTCAGGGTGATAGAAGGGGGCATATAGGCAACTTTTGAGAAATGAAGACAGTGTCACTCAATGAAGCAGTGGCGAGAAAAGTAGTCAGGTAAGATGGCAAGTGCAGAAGTGTGAAAATGGAACTCAAACCCATACAACAAAAGTATTGAACACCAAGTTTGCATAAGGCAGATTCCAGGTACAAAGATGCATAGAGTGGAGACACAAAGGAGAATAAAATATCCTCTCCCTCAAGGGAGCTGCTGTCTAGCTCTTCCCTGCCCAACATGGGAGCCACTAGCCACACATGGTTACTGAGCACGGAAATGTGTCCAGGCCAAATTGAGATGTGATGTAAGTGTCAAATACATTCCATATTTTGAAGACTTGGTCTTCAAATGACAAAAAAGCATGTGAACATCACAGTAATCATTTTTACGTTGATTACTAATTGAACTAATAATATGAACATATTGGGTTAAAAATGTTATTAAAATTAATTTCATCTGTGTCTTTATACTTTTTTTTAAATAAGGCTACTAGAAAATCTAAACTTGTATATGTGGCCTACGTGACATTTCTGTTGGAGAACACTAGTCCATGCAGCAAGATGGGTATGGACCCAACACAGGAAACATGTAAAACTGTAACACATGATGAATTAGACACAAGTGTCTATGATCAGGAGGTGGGGGGGATTCCAAGTGGGGGAAGCACAGCAATTACTTATTTACACAATTACATCGTTTTCACAATATCCATTGGCTACTGAGCTTTAAAAATCTTTTTTCTCATTAATTTCCTTGTGTGTTCCCAGATCTGAGAATAAACTCTTTGTGTGCAAGGACAACCTCATCTCCCTTTTTAAATTCCCTCAGTACCACCTCCCAGAAGTTACCTCAGTTCTAGGCACACAAGGAATGCCTGTAGAAACCAATGAATCTCACATGCATTTATCTAGACTCTATTTCCGATGAGCCAATGTCCATATAGGCAAGTATTCAAAGTAGAGAAAAGCTATTGGCCAGAGCATGGAAAAGATAAATAGACACAGACATCATCAAATGGACATACAGGAGCATTTATTGGCTGCTTACTATATACCAGGCTCTCAATTTCATTCTTTATATATAATACCTGACATAAACCTTAAATCATCCTGCAGAAAAGCTAATCTTATCCTATTTTACAGATGGGGAAACTGAGGCTCCTAAAAGGTTATATAACTGCCTAAACATAGTTAATAAGAAGGCAATAATGAAAGGAGAGATCATGTCCACATACTTGAAAGCTCAGGGATATCTCTTTATGGAGCACATCTGCATGAGGATTTCAGCTTCTGCTTTGAATTACATTGTTAACTATTGTACAAGCAATTTGTCTGAACATTTGGAGAAAGATGTTGTGTAAGTACTTGTATCCTCTCTGTAGGAGGAAAATTCAGCAGGATACAGGTGACATGACTTTGCTCTCTTTTGCATCCAGCTGCCGAAAAGTATCCCTCTTTTGGAACTCCAGATTGTGTCTTAGCCTGCAGGTTCACACTATTTGGACTCCCAAACTCATAACGTAAGACTTGGAAACCAGCCAGTGAAAGAGGGAGGGAAGGAATATTTTTGCAATTGCTGCAAGAACTTTCCAAGAGCTATTCTTGGAGCTAGGAGTGTTGGCACCAGGCTCTCAAAAAGAGAACAGGGAAGGATTCTAATGTGGAAATATTCTAAACTGTGTGCTTGACAATATATACTAGATCCCACCACCTCCCCCCACCCCCGAATAAAAAAAGCCACTAGTGACAGAGGCTCTGGTAGAGTAACTGAATACTGGCTGGCTCATTGGTGGACTTGCTAGTGCAATAATCCCATTTAACCAAAGGTGGGGTAGTGATTGCCAGAATTCAGATCCCAGCTTTGCGGGATACTAGCCACATGACTTTGAATAAATGAGGCTCTCTGTACCTCAGCTTCCTCATCAACACAATAAGCACAATAATAATATCTGCCTTAGAGAGTTGTTACAAAGTTTAATTCAAGTTCATATATATAATGTGTTTTCAACAATGTAAGGAGTAGCTGTTATTATTATCATTTTTAATGGGCTATCACAACAGGTAGCTCAGTTCTAGTATCTTCAACAAAGATAGGGTAAAACAAGAGTAATGCTACTTAAAAAGACACTGTCTCCCCAACAATGCATGGAAATAGTGAGATTTTCTTGTGTCTACATTTAGTGGGGAAAGAAGTAGAACAAGTTGGTAGAATATGAGAAAGGCAAACTAAGGCATAAAGAGATTAGAAAAAACAAAAGGAGTTATTAAGAATGTAAACTTTGTATAAGATGAGCCCCCATATTTTCTAGGAAGGTTAAATCACAACCTTCCCCCATCTCTATAACCCTTTTCATTATTTTCTTCCCTTTACACCATACTTTGAAATGATATGTCAGTAAGTTCTTACTAAGTAATAATTTAAAAGCTTTAATTTTGTGTGTTATTTGGAGATGGAAGTAACTGCCCAAAAGAGGTCCTGAAATGATTTAAAATGCCAAGTTATTTTGAGCTGATAAAATTCTACTCTGCAGGATGGTGTGGCAGTACAAATTGTACAAAATGCTCAGTGTGTCCTTTAAGAATTCTGATGTCAATTAAATCCATCACAAATATCAGACTGGAATGGAGTGTCAGGAACCAGTATATCCGGAGCTATTTCTTGTTTCCTGATTTGTCAGAAAGAGCTCAGACACAAAGCTCAGAGTAATTGCAAAGCTGGACAACAATTTTCAGATCGATGACATTTTGACCCTAACTTGCAACTACTTAACATGCAATCTCAGCATTTAACAAGCTATTTTCTTATAAAGTAATTTTAAATTACATCTTAATTGCTTTTTTGCACTTGAAATAAAGATAAACAGAAAAATAAACAAAAAGAAATCATGTTGTCATGATACTTACCTCCAAATATGTTTGTTCATGCCTCATCTATGTGATTAATGTTCAATGGTCAATTAAGAATTTCTTAAATGAAACACCACCACCACCATCCATCACAGTCTAGTCATAAAATGTTCAGTTTCACCATTTGTAAAATGAAGCTAAAAGTGCTTACTCTTGGTATGAGGTTTGAGGATTAGGCCTACACCTTCCATTTGAGTTCATTCTTCCCCTCACTGGGAACCACCAATAAACAGAAGAAGCAATTGTGGTTGAGAGCATAGGCTTTGCAGCCAAACTTTGAGGTCTGGATCCCAGCTCCAACATCTTATATCTCTGTGACCCTGAGGAAATGACGTCTTTGAGCCTCAGTTTCCTCATCTAGAAAGCAATACTCATGAGCGTATCCACCCGAAAGGGTTGTTGTGTGGACTTCCACAGATGATGTAGGCTGAGAGATTGGTACAGTGTCCAGCAAATAGTGAACAATTGATCCATGTCAGCTACCCTATCATCTTCATTCAATAAATGAAGCTCTGAAAGGACCAACATATATCTAATGGATGTCAGTAGATACATGTTGAATGAAAGCATCTGAGGCATTGTATCCTTGGGCCCAGGGCAGATAGCCAAGGAGGAAGGAGAAACCCTTGACAAAATTTTTCTCCCTTTGAAAGCCAAGGGTCACCAGGCTATATAGTTAAAGTATTAAAAAGCCAACATTCTAAAAAAAATTAAAAATAAAAATAAAAAAAGCCAACATTCTAGCTTCTCTTTCTTGATCTACCCCACCTAGGGGAGAGAGAAGAGGAAATTTCCCCCAACTCCACCCAAGCCTCCTAATGAGCGCATAGAAGAGAAGGGATGTCTCACTTCCTTGTCATTGTCTCATTTTAGCTTCTTCTGGTATTACCCTACTTGGTGAAACCTGAACTAGGATTCTGAGGCCAATTTTATTGCCTAGTTATGGATGTAAAGTGATGCAAAGTGAGCCCACGCTGTTGAGAGGATGTAAATGGATTTACCAAGCTAACACTGAACCATAATTCAAAAACCTCAGGCCTGACACTGTCAGATCTTCAGGCTCTGGGTGCACATGGGTGGTGCAGAGTGCGTCCCAGGCACTGAAGATGACCACCTCGCATAGGTGCACTTCCAGAAGACCAGATGGAGGCAGCTGGGAAATCTTCTCACGGCCCTCATGCCTTGGCATCCTGATGACGCACTACCCTGCAGAGAGTGGAGGGCACCCAGAAATTCCCCAACCCACTCACTTTGCTTATCAGTATCCTGTCTTCCCCTTAGTAAGGAAAACAAAAAGAGAACACAACTGTTGAGTTCAGGATGGATGGGCCCAGAAATAATTTCAAAATGTAGCCTTCTTTCCTTCATCTTTTCAGTAAATATGTACTAAGGACCTAGGTATCAGTTTATTACATTGTAAAACAAACCTCCCAAAAATTACTGACTTAAAACAATGACCACTTTTTTTTAGTTCTTCAGGTCAGTAACTTTGTCTGTGTTCTTGAGGACAAAACTGTGTCTTATACAGCTCTAGATTAACAGGTACCAAAGGGCCTTGCACACAGTAGGCATTTGATAAATCAAGTTGAATGAATTTAGTAATTAGAAAACAATTGATGATGGTTTAAATCCCCTTGGGGCTCAATTTATGAGCAAGAGGTCAATCATATTGACCAACATGATTGCACTCATTTTAGAAAGTGTATGTTCCCTGTTGAATCTCTGTGTCTATAAGAATCCCTGGCAAATAGTAGGTGCTTATAAATATTTTTAAATGAATGAATGCTCTTTCCAGAATCCAACACTTCTCATCATCCCCTTTTCTACCACTGTATCAATGCCACTGTTATCTGTTGCCTTGATGGTTGTATTAGCCTCCCAACTGGAGTCTGGGTCATTGTCTCTTTATTACCCTCAGTACACCAGCCAGAGGAATCCATAAAAATATGAGTCAAATCATGTCACTCCTGTGATTGAATCTTTTCCTTGGCCCCTTTCTAACTCAGTCTAAAACCTGAAGCCTTTACAGTGCCCTACATGGCCCCACGCTTCCTGCCCTCTTGTGTCCTCTGCTTCTTCTTGTCTCCCCTCACTCCCTCCTCCCCACACTGGCCTCTTACTGTTCTGTGAGCCCACCAACTGCCCTTCCTCATGCTTTTAAATTTGTTATTCCAAATGCCTTGAAGGCTCTTCCTTACTTCCTTCAATCTTTTCCTAAATGTCATGTTCTCAGCGGGGTTTTCCCTGAAAACCATGTTTGTAATTTCATTGCAATCTCTTCTTTATCTGCTTTATTTTTCCCTATAGCCCACTTATCTCCATCTAGTATGATATATATTTTACTCATTTATTTTGTATGTTGCCTGCCTCCCCCAAACTAATATATAAGCTCCCCATGGGCAGGAATTTTTATTAGTTTGTTTACTGCTAAATCTCCAGCACCTAGAACAGTGTCTGGAACAGAGTAGGTCCTCAGTAAGTAACTTTTGGATGAAACCATAACGTGCTCTATGAGAAGTGTACATTTTCTCAGCTAACACTGAATCCATGCCATATGACCCATCAATTCTACTCATAGGTATTTGTACAAGAGAAGTGGAAACTATGTTCATACAACATTGTACATTAATGTTCATAGTAGCATTTTATAAAGCCATAAAAGGGAAACAATCCAAATGTCCATCAACTGATGAATGAATAAATACATGTGGCAAATCCATAAAATGGAATATTATTCATCCATGAAAAGGAATGAGGTATTACACATGCTGCATTGTATGAAGCTTAAAAACATGAGGTTAAGTGAAAGAGGCTGGTAACAATGAAGTATGAAGTGGAGAGTGACTGCTAAAGGTTATAGAGTTTCTTTTGGAGGTGATTACATTTTTCTGGACTTATATAGTGGTGATGGTTTCATAACTTTTTGAATATACTAAACACCCTGACGTGTACATTGAAATGGGTTATTTCTATGGTATGTGAATTATCTCTAACTTTTTTTTTAAGTTGCAGAGACAAAACAAAAAACAAAAAACTTGAATCCAACATTACCCATGTCATCCCAGAGGTTAGATCTCAAGTCTGGGGTCACCCAGCTACCTAGAGATGAAATCAAGATTTGCACTGTTTATTCAAAGAATTATTGCCTGAGGCTCTGTTTTGTCTTAAGCACTGCTTGGTGGAGCAAACAAAACAAAACAATATAAAGTATGCATTTAATGTCCAGTTCATTTGGAGGACAGACAGCTATGAATACAAATAAATAAAATTGAAGGTTCCACCTAAATACGAAAAGATAGGTGGAAGCCAAGAGCACGAGAACACAGAAGGGAATATTGTTTATTAGGGATGGTTTCCTGGAGCCAGGCTGGAAAGAAGGTAGGGATTCTGCAAGGACAGGAAAGGAAAGGAGGAGCATTCTGGCACACGGAGCTTGAGAAAGAGCATGGAATTCCCCAAAGGACAATGAGGAGGGCAGAGGAAAAGAATGCAGGAGAGACAGGCTGAAGAGATGCACCCTGAGGGTGCTCAGTCCCCTGCTATGCAGGCTGCATTTTCTCCTGTAGGCAACTGGCATTGGCAGAAGGTTCATGAGCATAGAACTGTTATGATAGAATATGTATTCTGGCAAGGCTAAGCTTCCAGCCATGTGAACCAAGAGTTGGAGAAGAGATTCATTGATATAGTTGGATCTGTGTCCCTGTCAACATCTTATGCTGAATTGTAATCTCCAATGTTGGAGGTAAGGATATATTGTAATCTCCAATGTGGGAGGTAATTGGATCACGGGGCTGGACTTTTCATGAATAGTTTAGCACCATCTTTTTTGGTGCTGTTCTCATGATAGTGAGTGAGTTATTATGAGATCCAGTTATTTAAAAGTGTGGCACCTCCCTGCCTCTCTCTCTTGCTACTGCTCTGGCCATGTGATGTGCCTTCTCCCCTGTCACCTTTCTCCATGATTGTGAATTTCCTGAGGTCTCCCCAGAAGCTAAGAAGATGCCAGTATTATGCTTCTTGCACAACCTGTAGAACCATGAGCTAATTAAACCTCTTTTTGTTATAAATTACCCAGTCGCAGGTATTTCTTTATAGCAACGCAAGAACAAACTAATATAGTCATGCATGACAAGGAGGGACTGCACAAACACATGAGGTTAACGCAAGAGCTTGGGTTCAGCCTGTGGCAGTGGGAGTGGCCAGGAATAAACATGTCCCAGAGGCATCCAGAAGGAGGATTTGGTGGCCAACTGGATACCAGGAGGGAAAAAGTCACAGATGCTGCAAAGTATCTCACCTCAGAGGCAAGAGAGTTTTGCTATTTTACTAATTTCCAGAGGGAGCACAGGAGGTGTGGGAGCAGGTAAGATGGGGAAAAAAATGCGTAACATTTGAGAGATTTTGGCTTTGAGTTGCCATCAGGGAATTGTCCAGCAGATAGTTGAACAAGGAAGAACTATTAAAGTATTAGCTACATGTAAGAAATATTTTGAGCATACACTACATCCTACAGAATGTTCTCAGCATTTCATATACATTATTCAATTTCATCTTATCAAAAGCCCTTTGAAACAGAGAAAGACAGCCTTCTCCTGTCTGCCTTCTCCTCACCATAGCCTTCTCCCACCTCCTGCCTTCTATACCTTGCATCTTCTCCCCATCCAAGCCTTCATCCCACCTCTACCTCCTCCCTGCCATTGCCTTCTCTCTTTTCCTGTCTTTCTCCTCTCCCATCCTTTCCCACTTCTGGCTTCTCCCTTCCACTACTGTCTAAGAGAAAAAATCTTGGATATGAATTTTATATAAACTGAGGCAATGGATACTTTTGAGAACTGAGAGGTAATCTGAAAGACAAGAATTATTTGCCCCATGCTCTTACTTATTAGACAACCATTACAATGGTCCACCCTTACCCACAGGGGCTGTGTTCCAAGACCTTCAGTGGACTACTGAAAGAGCAGATAGCACCAAACCCTATATATACTGTGTTTATGTCTATACATACACACCTATGATAAAGTTTGATGTATAAATTAGGCACAGTAAGAAATTCACAACAATAACTAATAATAAAGTAGAACAATTGTAACAATATGTCAGCATCACTGCTCTTCTGCTTTGGGGCTTTATTAAGTAAAATAAGGGTTATTTGAAGAGAAGCACTGCAGTATCACAACAGTCGATCTGATATTCTAGACAGCTGCTAAGTGACTGACAGGCAGGGAGCATCTACAGCATGGAGATGCCAGACAAGAGGAGAATTCATGTCCTGATCAGGACAAAGTGGGACAGTGCGAGATTTCATCACGCTGCTCAGAAAAGCACCCAATTTAAAACTTATGAATTGTTTATTTCTGGAATTTTCCATTCAATGTTCTTAAACTCCGTAAGTAAGGAAATCCTGGAAAGTGAAGCTACTGATATAAAGCACTATTGTAACTGGACACCTTGTTTGTGAGAGGTGCTGTTCTAGGTGCTGAAGGCAGAGCTGTGATGGAAACAGAAACCCTTGCTTTCATGCAGCTTACATTCTAAAGAGAGAACAGTGAGGATAACACATCAGAAAAGGGAGTAAGAGGCAAAAACTCAGTTCAGATTGGAATGGAGGGAGATAGTTTGGGGGAGTTTTAGGTGAGAGACAAGGAGGAATGGGGTAGCTGCTGTGTCAAGCAGTGAGGCTGAACTCACTAAGGTGAGAACAGAAAGCAAGTTTTCTCTTTCTGACCACTGCCCCCCAAACTACCTCTGTACTATTTCTTCCTTTGTCTCTTGGATGAACTTTCAGACAGTTTCCATGCTTTTTACACTCACTACTTGGTAATAAAATTTCCAATTAGTTTTGTCCACCAAAAAGACCACCACTGCCATTTTCCCTTCAATTACTGTGCCTAAGTCACATATAAACCATGGAATACTATGCAGCCATAAAAAAGGATGAGTTCGTGTCCTTTGTAGGGACATGGATGAAGCTGGAAACCATCATTCTCAGCAAACTATCGCAAGGACAAAAAACCAAACACCTAATGTTCTCACTCACAGGTGGGAATTCAACAATGAGAACACTTGGACACAGGAACGGGAACATCACACACTGGGGCCTGTCATGGGGTGGGTGAGGGGGAGATAACATTAAGAGATATGCCTAATGTAAATGACGAGTTAATGGGTGCAGCACACCAACATGGCGCATGCATACATAAGTAACAAACCTGCGCGTTGTACACATGTACCCTAGAACATGAAATATATCAAAAAAATAAAATAAATAAAAGAAAATGAACATATTCATTCAATGCACAATGAAATGAAAAAAAAAAATTATTGTGCCTAAGTCAAGACAATGATTCTTCTTTGGGCTTCATTCAGAGTTGGAACTTCTCACCTCTCCCAGGCTCAGGGAAGATGCAGACCTCGGATCCTGTAAGATGCTGTGGATATTTGCTCTATTTTGTGGCCCAACTTGCCTTTCTGCTTTATCTCCCCCTAAAGAGCCAGACTTGGATCCTGACTATTCCAGAGTTAGGCTTATGGAAAGAGGAATTAGAGGAGAATGTGGACACCTGGTCAATTGGTACTGTCACTATCCAGCTTTGGTGCTCTCCAGAACTGGAGGTAGTAAAGGCTGACTGTTTCTTCCAAGAGGTGCTTTGAAACTTTTCTCAGAGATTCCCCACCAGGAACTTTAACTTATTTTCTCATAGTCACTGTTTTTTCTCCTGGGATTGCCTCTAACATCAACCCTCAACCTTGGCATTTGGTGGTCCACTTCATAGAGACACTTTCTTTTTGGTGTCCCATTTAACCTCTGGGAAGACCACATGAGCTTCATCTCATTTCTGCTCATGAGAGAGACCCCAGCAAATTTTAGTACCACAATTGATGGAAATATTCACCGCAAATGTCAGTCCTTTCTCTCTTCTATGCAGCCCCAATGAAGAAGCCACAGAGTTGCTATTCAGATTTCTCAGGAAAAGTCAAATAACTGTCCACTGGGTTCCCTAAACCCTAGGGGGTGAATATCAAACTCTTTAAGTGGTCCTTGAAGCCACTCTCACCATGCAGGGGGTGGGAAGGAAATTTCTACAGAACTCCACAACCCGGCCCCACACATCGTCTTGTTAGATCAGCTATTTTAAATCCTAAAGCAGTAGTCAGCAAAGCTTTTCTGTAAAAGGCCTGATAGTAAATTATTTAAGCTTTGCAGGCAAAACAGTCTCAGTAGCAATTCTCAACTCTGCATTGTTTTTAAAAAAGAAAAGAGCAATGGGCTATGCTTAAGCAAATGGGTGTGGCTGTGTTCCAATATAACTTTATTTATGAAAACAGATAGCAGGCAGGATTCAGCCTGTGGGCTCTAGTTTGACTCTCTAAAGGTAGGTGATGACCCAATATTCTGATTTTCAGCCTTCCCATTGCAAGGCCCGTCAAGATGGGGTAGCACTTCCCTTGGAAGACAGAGGTTCTTTCTTTATTGATTTTTCTTGCTGAAGTCAGAGAGACAGAAATGGTCTCATTTTTAACATCCTATTAAACACAAACACACACACACACAGAGAGAGAGAGAGAGAGAGAGACAGAGAGAGAGACAGAGAGAGAGACAGAGAGAGAGAGGGGAGAAAGAAAGAAAAATGACAGAAACAAAGAAAGAAATTAGTAAAGACATTTTGAAAAAATGTGCTGCGTGTTAAGAATGAAATTCCCTATAGTATTTCTGAGATGACTGGTCATGCAGGTGGCTGGGTCTTTCAACTGTAACATGTGGTGGGAGGAAACCAGAGTAGCCCAATTTTATCTGAGATGTAATAGGTTCTCTTTTCCTCATTTTATAGTTGGAAAAAACTAGTACTATAGAGATCAAATAACCTGTCTTTGGTCCCACAGTTAGTAAGAGACAGAACCAGGATTTAATTCGTTTTCCATGACCACCAAATGCTACGTAGATTTTTCTTAGGTAGATTATTGTACTTGTTTTCTATTACTGCTGTAACAAATCATCATAAATTTAGTTGCTTACAGCGACATAAATTTATTATACCACAGTTTTAGAAGTCAGAAGTCCAAATGGGTTTCACTGGGCTAAAGTCAAGATGAGATGTCAGCAGGGCTTTATTCCTTCTAGAGACTCTAAGAAATAATCTATTTTATTTCCTTGCCTTTCCAGTTCCTAGAGGCCACCTGCATTCCTTAGATTGTAGCACCTTTCTCTGTCTTCAAAACCAACAGTGTAGCATCTCCTGTGATGGTTAATACTGAGTGTCAACTTGATTGGGTTCAAGGATGCAAAGTACTGATCCTGGGTGTGCCTGTGAGGGTGTTGCCAAAGGAGACTAACATTTGAGTCAGTGGGCTGGGGAAGGCAGACCCACCCTTAACCTAGTGGGCACAATCTAATCAGCTGCTGGTGAATATAAAGCAAGCAGAAAAATGTGAAAAGGTGAGACTGGCCTAGCCTCTCAGCCTACATCTTTCTCCCATGCTGGATGCTTCCTGCCCTCAAACATCGGACTCCAAGTTCTTCATTTTTGAGACATGGACTGGCTCTCCTTGCTCCTCAAGCTTGCAGACAGCCTATTGTGGAACTTTGTGATTGTGTGAGTTAATACTTAATAAACTCCCATATATATATATTTATATTCTATTATTTCTGTCCCTCTAGGGAACCCTAATATATCTCATGACTTCTCTTGTCCCTCTGTTGCCATTGTTATGTATGTCACTTTCTATCTGACTCTAAGTCTCTTGTCTTCCTCTTATAAGGATGTTGTGTTTACATTGAGCCCAACCAGTTAAGCCATGATCATCTTCCCATCTGAAAATCATTGAATTAATTACATCCGTGTAATTAATTCAATTTTTGCCATGTGAAGTAACATATTCATAGATTCTGGGAATTAAGACATAGACACCTTCTAAAGGGGGAGAGCATTGCTCCACCTACAACAATTGTTGATTACAATCCAGGAGATGAATGTGGTCTTTCAGAAAGAATGCTTAAAGCTAAAAGGGAATCAAGATGAAAAAAAGAACTTAAAGAAAGCATCTAAAAGTAGGGCCAGTGGAGGAAAAATGAGAAATTGCAAAGAGCTAGGAGAAGAATTGCATAAAAGTGCTTCCCGAAAGCCCCAGAGGAGAGAATTTCAAAATTCTTGAGTCACAAAGTCAAATGCTCTGAACTTGAAAAAGGACAAAGGAACACAATCTCAGGCAGGGGACCACCAGCAACCTTAGCAAAGGGAAGATTTGGACTGCACGGGTGGCGGCAGCGTGGAGTCACACTGTACAGCCTGGCCCAGCCCAGAACCTTTCTCCTAGCCCAGGCCCTCTGTTCACAGGAAGCATCAGCACTACCTTTTACCTCGGCCAACCCATCCATATTGTGAACTCAGCTTATTGGAACACAAAGAGCATTTGGCTGTCTTTTAGATATAATTTGAAAAGTCAGGAGTTGGCCTTTGGAAAAGCTGCTTCAGACAGCAAGAATATTTTAGTGTAAGGGGAAATATATTCATCTGATGAAAGGTGTGGGAACCAGGAGTGGGAGGGAAGCAAGGTTCCCTTGGTACCACCTGGAGTCTCAGCATCCATATTATTTTATGTGGCATCACCATCATTTTTTGACACCACCAGCGAGATTGTTCAATGAATATTTAATCATGATGGGGTTCTCTCCTTTCCCATTCCTTCGGTCCCCTGGCTCCAGCCTTTCTAAAGTAATAACTTTGCTCATCAAACACCAAAACTGGCACTTCCCCATCCTTATGCTGGTACCATGATGTAGACTATTTGTGGGTTCTGAGCGACAGGTGGCTGGTAAGGTAGCAACAGAACAGCTCCCAGAGACACCAGTTGTTGGAGGCTTATATTACCCCAGGGAGGATCATGAAACTGCAGAAGCCATCTGGCAGGGCTCTCAAGGCACCTGTATGCTGAGCCTGCTGCCAATATCTCCATCTCAATTAGGCTCCTGTGCAGTGATTTCCCTGCTGTACTCACTGACTCGCACAAAATCTCAGGGAAGAGCACAGGCACCAACCAACTATGCTGGAGAGAAGAGGAAAGTTTGGAAGATTACTGAAGAAATCTTTCCTCTACTTCCATGTGGTGAAAGAGAGAGGAATGCAACACACCTCTCCATGGAAGAAATCAAGGAGGATGACCAACAATTCACAGGCAATCTTGATAGCCCTTGATAGTCACACCCACCCTGTGACATTGGGCCACTTGGATGCCATTTTAGGTATGTGGAAATTGAAGCTTAAAGTGGTTAGGTAAGTCCCTGAGGTCCCAAGGATGATGAATGGCAGCACCAAGGTGTAAGCCACGTCTGTCTGACTCTAGGGTTGATGTGGATGCTCACTACAGTTCATTGCTTATTGCAGAGTCAAAGTTCAAGGTCCTTAAGCACAAGAACTGTGTCCTATCTTGCTCTTTTTGTATCCATCACCTCCTCACTCTCACCCATGATGCAACCTCAGGACCAAACACAATGGGTAAGTTTCTTCTCCACTGTCAACCACCAGCGTTGTATCTGGGAAGTGGGGTAAAAACACCCATCACTTGACTCCATAAATGCCTTTCCATCTCCATGATGAAGACAAACTCCAGAGATGGTGCATTTATGCAACTGAGTATTGAGTGAGCACATGCTATGTGCGCTAGGCAAAGTGGTAGGCGATTAAGGAGAGGTAGATTAGAGGCTCAGTATGACAGACATGCAGCAGCGGGTGTTAATTACTACTAAGTGTTCTTACTGTGCTTGGTAAGCATGTTGCATGCATTATCTCATTTAATAGGTGTGTGCGCATGTGTGCGTGTGTGTGTGTGTTTGTGTGTGTGTATGCAGGGAGAAATTGAAGTGGGCACATTCCTGGCTGCGCAAACAGCAGGAGCAAAGGTACTGAAGTAGAAATGTGCAATGCATGTAGAAGAAACTAAATAAGTTCAGAATATTCTTTAATTTATTTGCTTAACAAATATTTATTGACATCCTCTATGTGCTAGGCACTGTGATAAGCAAAGGAGAAAGAGGAGTGAACCAGATATGGTCCAGAGTGACACTGATAACAATTACAAATAGCGATACCATAATAACTGTAATAAAACTACAACGTTAAAAAGCAGGAACACAAGATTACTGAACTTCAGGAGGCTAACCTTGTCTGGAAGGTTATGGAAAGCTTCCCTGATACAGCATCAGTGAGAACAACAGAGAGTAGAAAAGTAGGGTCCTTCCCTTCTGGATACAGGGTAGATGTTAATTTAATAGTGAGCTTCTGAGAGAGTCAAGTCTTGATATGAATTCACCATAGCACTGGGGTGGAATCAAAAGAAGGAACTAGCCTGCAGCCTCATTTAGGACCAGGAGACATGGCATCAGTCAAATGAGAGTCAAAGCAGGATTGAAACTGGAGATCCCAGGCAAAGGCTAGGAGCACGGACCTCTCAGGAGGGTGCCAAGTTCACCAGAATAAGCATTGTGCATTTGGATAGTTTCAGTACCTTTTCCAGTCACTTTATCCACATGGATGTTTAACATGAATTATCTCACCTGAGACTCACAACAAGCATAGGGAGGCGGGAATGGGAACAAAAATCCTCATCTGACCCAGAAGGGAACTGGAAGGAGGGCTTGTGATTAGACATGGGACTTCCCATTCTCAACCAAGTCCCTGCGCACACAGCATGGTCACCAGGCAAGACCATGTTGAGCCTCACCCGCTACTTATTTTTCAATTAATAATAACCATATAAAGAATCCTTGCATAGTGTTTTATTTTTATTTTTCACAGCATTTTCCTTTCCACCGTCTCATTGGAGCATCTCATCAACCTTGCTAAGGAGACAACAAACTACAACAAAACCCCGCAAGGCTTAGAGATATTTGCCCAGAGCCATGCAGGTGAAAATATGGAAGAAACAAAATGCCAATTTAAGTCTTCTTCCATAGAATCCTTTGATCTTTCTGATACTCCACATCACACCACCCATCAGTTCATTTATTCAAGAAATGGTTACTGAGTAACTTTCATGGGCCAAGCCCTTTTCCAGCTACTGAAGATGCAATTCTCATAAGGAATTCACAGAGAACAAGTAACCTGATACATTACAGAATGTATAGCCAGAGTAGTAGCAAGGTGCTAAGGGGTACACAGAGGAAGAGACACAAGAGCTTCTTGTGTTATGGGGTAGAGGGCAATGGGGAGGCTTCATGCAGGAGCTAGCATTTGAGCTCAGATGTGGTGGATAGGTAGGAGTTTTCCAGGGCAACAAAGCAGGCAAATATCTGAGACCAGAGGAAACGGCATATTCAAGGGCACAGGCATGACCAGGCCTGACTCTTCCAGGGAATATGGCTGGAGTGAATACAGGAGAGATGAGAGAGAATGCTGGAATGGAAGGAGAGGACTTCATACCAGAAACTGAGAGTAGTCAGAGAGGTGTTTTCAGCAAGGGAGAGGCACATTCAGATTTTTGGTTTGGGGAAACCACCTATGCGAAATTTAGAATAAAAAGTGAAAAAAGAGCCTGAAGATGGGAAAATAGGTAAATTATGAGAGTGGCAGTGTGGAAGAAGGAATATTGCATCTGGGAATACAATTGGAAGATTTAGTGACTTGGATGAGAATATGAGAGAGAAGGTAAGGGATGACATGAAGCCTTCTACCCTGCGAAGCCAAGAAAATGGTAGAGCCATCCAGAGTAGCCCTATTTCCTAACACATGCTCATGGATACACACCACACACACACACACACACACACGCACACACACACAGGCACGAGAGGCTAGGTGCAGTGGCTCACACCTGTAATCTGAAAACATTGGGAGACTGAGTTGAGGAGTTTGAGACCAGCCTGAGCAACATAATGAGACTCTATTGCTACAAAAATTTAAAAATTAGCTGGGTGTGGTGGGGTGCACCTGTAGTCCCACCTACTTGGGAGGCTGACGTGGGAGGATAGCTTGAGCCCAGGAGTTCGAGGCTACAGTGAGCTATGATGACACCACTGTACTCCAGTCTGGGCAACAGAGTGAGAACCCGTCTCTAAAAACATAATTTTTTAAAAAAAGACAAAAGAAATGGAAGCACATTAGCATGTTAGCAGTGTTTATCCTTGGATTACAAAACGCTTGCCAGAATTTTCTTTTTAACTTTTTTTTTATACTTTAAGTTCTACAGTACATGTGCACAATGTGCAGGTTTGTTACAACTGTATACATGTGCCATGTTGGTGTGCTGCACCCATTAACTCGTCATTTACATTAGGTATATCTCCTAATGCTATCCCTCCCCCCTCCACCCCACCCCACAACAGGTCCCGGTGTGTGATGTTCCCCTTCCTGTGTCCAAGTGTTCTCATTGTTCAATTCCCACCTGTGAGTGAGAACATGAGGTGTTTGGTTTTTTGTCCTTGTGACAGTTTGCTGAGAATGATGGTTTCCAGATTCATCCATGTCCCTACAAAGGACATGAACTCATCCTTTTTAATGCTGCATAGTCTTCCATGGTGTATATGTGCCACATTTTCTTAATCCAGTCTATCATTGATGGACATTTGGGTTGGTTCCAAGTCTTTGCTATTGTGAATAGTGCCGCAATAAACATACATGTGCATGTGTCTTTATAGCAGCATGGTTTATAATCCTTTGGGTATATACCCAGTAATGGGATGGCTGGGTCAAATGGTATTTATAGTTAATCTTAGGGGGAGTTATTGTCGAGGTTGGTCTCGAACTCCTGGCCTCAAGCAATCCTCTTGCCTCACGGAGTTTTCCAAATGTTCTGTATGAGCATGTATTATATCATGCTCAGAGAATGTAACATTTTGAAATTACTAAAAATGGTAACAGTTACACTTTCTAACAACTACTACATTCTCATATTTTTATGAAGTAAGAACACAGTTATCCTCATTTTACAGAGGAAAAGCTGAGGCTCAGACAAGAGATCTCTGCAGGGACACATATCTACTAAGTGGCTGAATCATGAGTCGACTCAGATCTGTTTGATTCCAGAAGCTAAGGCCTGACTGAACACCTGACATTGTCGTGAATTTAAAAAAAAAAAAAAAAAGGAAGTAGATTTTAAAGAGAAGTGCTCATTAAGTTTAGTCTTGTGAGTCATAAGTTTGAAGCACTGAAGAGATGACTGGGGATGTCTTTTGAACAGGTTAAACATTGACTGGAGGCTCAGGAGCTCCTCTTTGGAGGTGTTGATTTGAGAATTGTTCAGAGATGTCAATGAAGCAACAGCAACAGAGGAGACCATCCGGGAGTAGTTTAGAGATTGTGAATAGAAGGATATTGCCAAAGACCACTCAGTAAGGAAAGGAGAGTCACAGGAGAGATGCAGGTAACCTGGAAACTGAGGGAGAGAGGACTTTCAGATCACTGAGCATGATCAAGTGGCATAAAATGGCCTTTAGGCAGAGTCTTATGATGAGTTTGACATGAGAATATTTATAGCATAAACTAGCCTGAACACAGTCAAGGTAGGAAGTATAAAATGCCCTTTCAAGAATGGAATTGATGAGGAATTGGTGAGGGAAAGATTGTAGTTCAAAATGATGGAGACAGGGGAAGGGATTTTCCCCTTGCAGAAGGCTTGACTCCACTTTTAGGCTGAATGGAAGGAGTAGGAGGGACAGAAGAGTCAGGATAGAGAGAAAACAACCCGAAGAACAAGTTCCTTGAGGAAATGGAAAGGGATGCCACACACAGGTAAGGGTTTGCTCTAAAGTGCTCCTCAAAGTTAACAGTCCAGTTATAGACACTGTTGCTGCAAAACAAACCACACCATATGCAAAATGTAAAGTAAAACAATCACCATCTTATGCACGCTGCTTCTGTGGGTCAGAAATTGGACAGAGCACAGTGGGGATGGCTTTTCTCTGCTCCACAGTGTCTGGGGTCTAATTTAGAAAGACTCAAATAGTTATGGGTGACTCAAATGTCAGGGGGCTGGAATCACCCAGGGTCTTTCACTCATGTGGCCGATGCCCGGGCTGGGATGATTTTAAGGCTGGGCTCAGCAGGGTCGATTCTTTGAGCACTCATGCATGGCCTGTGCATGTGCCTTGGGCCTCCTACGGCACGGCAGCAGCATTTTGAGAGGAAGCAATAATCCTTATGGTATCATCACTCCTATTGTGTTGAAAAGAGTCCTAAACCTCAGGAAATTCATGTCACTTGTTCAGTGTCATAGAGCTTTACAGTGTGCTCTCAATTTTGCCTAAAAAATACATTCATATCACATATAGAAAAAATTCTGGGAGAATACACATGAAAATTTTAGAAGTAGTCATATTTGAATAGTGTAATTTTTATTTCCTTTTAGATTTTCTCTGTTTTGTTTTTATGTTTTAGCAATGATTATGCATGGCTCATACATTAAAAGTTTTGTTTTTACTTTCTAGATGAAGCCTTCTGTAAGCAGTCTAATAACCCCTTGGACTTAGTTGTTTTCAGGACAAGCCCAGGGGTGGCATCTCCCGGATGGAAATACAAACCAAACATCTGCCAGGCATGTACCAAGGGTTCCATACTTGACGTCATCTTATCTTGGAGAAGAGATTCTCACACTATGGGACTGACTCAGACATCATGCCTCTTCAGCCAGGCAGAGGAACTGACATTCCCTAAGGTATCCTATAACATAGCTATATCAGAGATGGCCACATGAGGAGGCCAGGACATCATTGAGCAACATGCCTTGTGGTTGAGCTTCATACTACCATGACCAAGAGTCCAGGTCAAGAATGCCAGTGTGCTTCTCTCAACAAAACATAGCTTGATTCTGGGCTTTTAGGCTTTTAGGTTCTTTCTATCTTCTGAAACTCATCCAAGATTTTCAGCTCATACTTTAAACACGTTGAGGTTATCTTTGAAACACAACAGCATCTCCCCTGAGATCACCCTCTTAGTTTACGCAGTTTTAAGTTGGGGGTTTTATTCATTTAAATGAAAATGTAAGAATTTTAATTTAGGTTGAAATTTTCTAATGTTAGCTTTGAATGCAATTTAGATGAAGCATAATAAATGCAGGTTCAAATTCAACCAGCCATTTCTGAGAACTGTGCCTGGCACTGTGCCCAGTCCTCTCTGATGAGCATACACTCTTGTCTTCTCAACATTCACCCTGCCTTCTTCTGTCAACCCCAAATCAGGTGAGGCCAGCTAGTGAACAGTATCTGAACTCAATCACTGAGTTCACCCAGAATCTAATTGGCCTCGCTTGTGAAATATGTTATTTTGATGAGGAATCAGAGGGCCAATTAGCTGAGATGCTTTGGACAAGTCCTCCATTTAGTCACCTGTAAAATGAGAAGAGGACAAGGAATTGGATGAGGCATCTCTAAGACCCTTCTGGCCCTAAAGTCTCGGCTTCTTCAAGTCACAGATGTGAGCATGTCTCTTGTTACATCAGAGCTGCCCTTTCTCTGTCATCAGCCCACAAGTTATCTACCGGGAGGCACACAAACATATCCATACACATCCTGAGCCCACACCCCTGCAGCAAACAGCCTCACCCAGTTTCACACAAAGAGAAGCCACCTGCACATGTGACCAACCCTAGCGGCTCCTGAGCAGCTGCTCTTCTTTGCTCTCTAAGGCAGCAAAAGGGATGTATTTCCCTCATCGAATCTTTTTTCTCTTAAAGAATCAGAAGCCTCCTTCACTCTTGCCTTCTCACTATCTGGACTTCAACCCTGTTTACTATAACTGGCTGTTTAGCTATCTAAATTTTCTATGTGACCATGAATTCCACAAGGAAAACACCTATTTGTCATCTTACTGAGTGTTTTGGCTTCAGCAACTAGCTGGGAGCTAGATACAGAGGCATCGATTGCTGAATAACCTTGTCACCCCTCCCGGCCCGCTCTTGTGGTGAATTAGAGACAACTGCATGTTCTCTGACACCTCCCCAGTCAAGAGATGAAGTCCAAATCCCCTTTCCTTCTATCTTGGCAGGCAGATCCCATTTGTATTTATTTATTTATTTATTTTTTTTTTTGAGAAGAGTCTCACTCTGTCACCCAGGCTGGAGTGCAATGGCTCTATCTCGGCTCACTGCAACCTCCACCTCCTGGGTTCAAGCGATTCTCCTGTCTCAGTCTCCCAAGTAGCTGGGATTACAGGTGCATGCAACCACTCCCGGCTAACTTTTTGTATTTTTAATAGAGACGGGGTTTCACCGTGTTGCCCAGGCTGGTCTTGAACTCCTGCGCTCAGGCAATCCACCCACCTCAGCCTCCCAAAGTGCTAGGATTACAGGCGTGAGCCACCGTGCCCGGCGATCCCATTTGTATTATTCCTAGTTTCTAGATGAGGAAACTGAAGCTCGGAGGCTCAGAGATGCGATCCTCAAGGTCACCCAACTAGCAGGTGGGAAAGCCAAGATTCAAGTTGAGATCTTTCTAACTCCAAAGTTCAAGCCCTCTATAACCACTGGGCTGTCTTGCTTCCCAAACAATGTTACAGCGGGTGTGCCTGTTTGTGTATGTATGTGTGGCATACAGAGAGGTAGAAAAACTGGATACCTCCTTGAGCAAGCATTGGCATTGTACAGCCCACAGCCAAATCTGGCCTGTTTTTATAAATAACACTTCATGAAGCCGCAGCCACACTCATTCATTTACATACTGTCTATGGTTACTTTCACATCACCACAGCTAAGCTGAGTAGTTGTGACTCAGCAACCATGTGGCCCGAAAAAGCCTGAAGTATTGACTATCTTGTCCTTTACAAAAAGTTTGCTGATGCCTGTTCTAGAGGATCTACATAGGAGATTACTTACATCCCTTCAAGGACACAATGGGCCTCATTTTTTCCTGAGGCAAGATTTAAAGTTACCAACTTGTCCCAGTTTTTCCTAGACTTTGTTATTTTTTTCCAGAAAAACCTCTTGGTCCTGGGAAAACTGGGATGGTTGGTCATCCTAGTTCTAGATTATGCACCACAGACTCTATATAAGTGTGCAGTCCTGCTGTCCCTTGAAATGCCCTAACTGCAGCTTCCACGGCTGCCTAAGAGGGGATCAGATGCCCCAGGCACAGAAGGCACTTCCTTCTCTGCCAAGGTCCCACCACAGAGCAGGCCCAAGGCAAGGCCACCCTGTTAATAAGCTTAATTGGATTTGCCAGCTGAGCCATGAATTCATTATCCCTGTCAATCCCCAGCCCTAGAGAGCCAAGAAAAATTCCTAGAGGAAATGATAAAGGTCTCTCGTCTGGGCCTGTGTCTCCATTCTTTCTCCCCCTCCCACCCTGAAAAGGCATATACAGTGTGCTACCTTCTCGCATTCCAGGACATAAAGGAGATACTGTCAATGATGCAGACGTTTTAAGAAGTAGCATTTTCATAATGAAAAGAAAGGTCTGGCTGGTTTTTTGTTGTGGTTGGGTTTTTTGTTGGTTTATTTTTTCTTTTTTTGAGACATGGTCTCCCTCTGTCACCCAGGCTGGGGTCCAGTGGTGCAGTTAATCACGGCTCACTGCGGCCCCCATCTCCTCGGCTCAAGCGACCCTCCCACCTCAACCCTTCAAGTAGCTGGGACTACAGGGGTGCGCCACCACACCTGGCTAACTTTTTTGTATTTTTTGTAAAGACAGGGTTTCGCCCTGTTGCCCAGGCTGGTCTCCATCTCTTGAGCTCAAGCGATCCACCCACTTTGGCTTCCCAAAGTGCTGGGACTACAGGCATGAGTCACCACACCTGGCCAGTCTGGCTCTTTTTTTTTTTTTCTTGCATGTTTTTACCATGTTCTTGGGGTGTGTATAATAGGAGTGGAGTAGGTGATGTGCATATACATAGCCTATGCATAATTTTTCAGATGCGTGAACTTTCCCAGGCTTAATAATTGGCCTGAAGTTCCCCTCACTTTAGACATTCACATCTTCATGCACAGAGGCCCCCATAATGAGAGTTGTACGGACCAGTCATCTACTAGCAAAATTATCTAACACAATGCCAAAAACCTGGGTGTGAGCTGAGACTGGGAGAAAAGCAGCCAGAAAAGGCCTCTCTCCCTGTGCAGTTCTCAGAGGGAGGCCGGAGCTGCCTCAACAGCACAAAGAAAAGGGAGGGCCTCTTGCCTTCCTCCCAGACTTGAGTGATAAGTTCTGAAGACAAAAGGTTCTGGAAGAACGGACTCAGCTTCTGCAGCCCCTGACCAGGAAGAGAGAAATGACTAGAGCAGTTTCAGCAAACTGCAGTCCTCAGGCCACATCTGGCCTCCCTTTGTTTTAGTGCAGCCTGCCCAGAGGCTAAGAATGACTTTTACATTTTTTTAATGGTTGCAAAAATTAAAAGAATACTATTTGTGATACGTAAAAAGTATATGAGAATCAAATTTCAATCTCCATCAGTAAAGTCTTATGGAAACATGGCCAAACTCACTTGCTTTTGTGTTCTCCGTGGCTGCTTTCCCATTTTACAAATAAAGAAACTGAGGTCCAGAAGGATGAAATAAATGAATCATCCCAAAGTCACATAGTTTGTAAGAGGCAAAACTAAGATTTGAGCTTAGGTCTGCCTGCCAACAAAACGCCATCACTCTGACAAGCCACCCTCTTGAAGGAGGCAAAGAAGTGGGTTCTTGGGTGAGTGGGTCAAGGAGAAATTTGGATGATCGATGTCAGCTCAAGCCTGAGGTACAAGCCAGTGTTAATCAGTGGACAACAGCTGGCTCATGCAGGGTGTACATATAGAAGATACCTCAACAGAAGCTGAGAGATATTGAAAAATACTGCATGGCAGCTCCTCATTTTACAGAAGGGGAGTCCGGGGGTCCGAAGGCATGAGAGATAGAAGACTTTGTCTGGAATCATCCAGGCAGTCATAGCCAGAGCTGGGTGGAGAAACTACCACATCATTAACCCCAAGAGATGAGAGTTGGGTGCCAGCTTCAAGGAATGGGGTCAGTGGGAGAGGTGCTCTGGCTGGCGGATTCCAGTTCCACAGGAGGCCTTGGGTAATTCTGGGGACAAACATGGGTCAGAGGCCAAACTAAGGCTCAGCACACCTACCCTTAGTTCCCCAAAGTTGCAGAAGACAAAATAAATTTGCATTTTTACAATGGGATAATTAATGTGAACTAAAGTACTCTTGTAACAGTTGATCTGTTTGAAAAGGAAAGAAAATGTCCTAAGAAAGACCCAACACTGGGGTCAAAGCTCAATATTTGCAGTTAGTATCTGAGCCCCACTTACTAAATGCCTCTGTCCTAGTAGTACTTCCTTTTCCAATTTTGATCAGAGGAGACACTGAGCACGGAGGAGAGAACCACATGCATAAGTCACCAAACCCTCATCAAGCATCTGTTGTGCATTGGGCTTTCTGGGTGCATTATCACTGATCCTAAAAGATAGGCAAAATCATTTCCATTTTATTTGTGAGGAAACTGAGGCTTAGAGTGACCAAGTGATCACCTGAGGTCATACAGCTAGAAAAAAAACAAAAGCCAGCTGTCTCCACACTTGGAGGAGGGTTGAGTTTGGTAAATATGAAAAGGACTTCTTTCTCCCAGAGCTGCTGGGTTTTTCAGCCTCGCTGGTATAGCCAGATGTCTTTCCTCCCTAGCAAGATGTCTTCTGTTGAACTCTTAGGGCTGAAACCAGGTTATTGAAGGGAAGCTGCCACCTTGGGGAGTTGATGCATCGCAGATGCAGATAAAGGCAGATTGCGAGATTCCATACCTGCAATCAGATGGCTCAGATTCCTCTGCGGGGTCAAATGCCACCACAAATGTCTTTTTTATATAGACTGAAGGAGCTGATAATGTAAACCTTAACAACCCGGGCAGGGCCCTTTTCATCTCCCTGATCACACTCATCTCAGGATGAAATGGGCCGCAGGGAAGGGTTCACAACTCAACTCTCAACTCCAAAGTTTCCTGAAAGATAACCCCACACCTTGTGCAAAGTTATGACAGGAAGCCCCACAAGGCCTTTGTGATAAGCTCTCCCAGCACATTGCTGGGGACCCACAATTGTTTGGCAAAGGGGTGGTGTCCACTGCTTCAACTGTGACTTTGGACCAGAGAGTTGTAACAGACAAATGTGGCTCAGGCCCGGCAACCGTGCTCTGCCTTATGTCAGGGACTGGCTGAGATTACTTCAAGAGGGAAATTGTTGATACTAAACCCCTACGTGGTGTGAGTGACACTCTAGTGTCAGGTGACAACCCTGGATACATATCAAGGGGATGGGGAGAGACATGCTGAACTGGTTGCAGTTGAGTTTTGGGAGAGCGTTTTAGCGCTATAACCACTTTTAGCTCTAGACTCAGGCTTCTGCTGAGTTTCAGCTCCAGTCTTTCATATTCCACATAATAGATGACCTCCTGCTACTCCCAGTTATCTGGGAGTCTATGAGCCATGAGTCTAAGTGTCTCAGAAATCAACTACTGGTCACACATCCCAGAAAGGCAATGAAAGTCCTGACACTGTGGGAATCTCCTCAGCCCATTTCTCCAAGCCTGCCCAAGCAGAGTTCTAGAGCTTTGATCTATGCCAAAGATCTATGCCCAAAAGGCCAAACTTCTAGAAGTTCCCATGTATACGTAGCATGCTAGTTCCTGGCCCGAGGCCTTTGTGTGTGCTGTACCCTCTGTCCAAAACTCCATTTCCCCACTTGTCCACCCACCCATCTCCTCCTCTTTCTTCATAATGTGGCACAGACATCCTCTCAAAAGCAGTCTTTCTCTGAACCTCCAGGGTAGCCCTCCTCCTCTTCCTCTGTGCTCTCGCAGCCTCCTACCTCACCCCACTGCCCTTCTCTCTCAGCACCTCTCTTGTCAACACTCAACTGGGTGTTCATCAATCTTCACCACCAGTCAAGCCCATGGATGGTCAAGGCATGGCCTTCACCATCCCTGGAGCTGCACAACCGGTGCTTGGCCCATAGAAGATTTTTAATAGACGCTTACCTTCTTAAACACTTGGAAGAATTAACTGAAACCACAAACTCATGCTAGAGCAGCCTCTTTTAGAAATCTCCTCATTTATTTATTCAGCCCATGTTTTTGTGCCCCTGCTAGGGGTCATGCGCTGTGATAGCACAAGGAAGACAATGGGGAGCAAAACAGGCCTTGCCTCTGCCCTCAGGGAGCTGATTCGTGGCAGAATCAAACACTAGTGGCACTATTAACTTTTTTCTTAATAGACATTTTTTAGTTCTTTTTTAAAAAATTTTTAAGTTCTACTTTTAATTAACAAATAATAATTCTATATAGTATATATATTTACATTGTGGAGTAATTAAATCTAACAATTCTATCACCTCACATACATATTATTTTTGTGGTAAAAATATTTAAAATATACTCTTCTAGTAATTTTGAAATATATAATGGACTACTATTTAGTAGAGTCACCGTTCTGTGCAATAGATCACTCCCATGTTTACTGCAGAATTATTCACCATAATCAAGATATGGAAGCAACCTAGGTATTCATTATTCGATAAATGGATTTAGAAAATGTGGTGTCTATACACAATGGAATATTTTTCAGCCTTTAAAAAGAAGGAAATTCTGGGCCAGGCATGGTGGCTCACACCTGTAATCTCAGCACTTTGGGAGGCCGAGTCGGGTGGAATCACCTGAGGTCAAGAGTTTGAGACCAGCCTGGCCAACATGGTGAAACCCCAACTCTACTAAAAATACAAAAAATTAGCTGGGCCTGGTGGTGCACCTGTAATCCCAGCTACTCTGGAGGCTGAGGCAGGAGAATTTAGCTTGATCCCAGGAAGCAGAGGTTGCAGTGAGCCGAGATCGTGCCATTGCACTCCAGCCTCAGCAACAGGAGTGAAACTCCATCTCAAAAAAAAAAAAAACACAAAAAACAAAACAAAACAAAAAAAAACCCAGGAAATTCTGTCATTGGCAGAAACACGAATGAACCTGGAGGACAGTATGCTAAGTGAAATAAAGCAGGCAAAGAAAGACAAAAGACCACATGATCTCATTTAAAAGTGGAATCAAAAACAAAGTAGAGTAGAGCATAGAATGGTGGTTACCAGCAGCTGGGATCAGGGGACAGATGGGGAAAGAGAAATACTGATCAAAGGGTACAACGAACTATTTAACCGTGGTTCTGATAAATGCTACCAAAGAACGAGGCCAGGATTGGGTGGGGGAAGCAAATAAGGCACTGGCCCCAAGTGCAAAATTTAAGGTGGAGCAAAAACATACAGGGAAAAGACAAATCAAAATTAATACAAAAATCTTCGTGCTCAAGAAACTATCCAAAATGTAAACAAAGGCCAAAGCATCATGCCATGTCACAATGGAGCCAAAGGCATAAGGAAAATATGCACCCCTATAGACATGATTTTGCATATTTTAATGGTTATTTTTTCCCAGAACATTAAAGTAGTTGAAAATCACTGAACAATGTAAAAGTAGGATATTAAAACTCACATTATTTTATGTTTAAATATTTTATTTATTACCAAGCAGAATGTATTATCCTTTTATTATAGCTTAAGCTAATTAAAAAATCACGTAAGATTGCCACTTGGTCACATGAATTTATCCAACATGACAATTTTCTCCAGTGAAAGCAAGATAAGCAAAGAAGTAGACACCAAAAACATTATTGAGTGCTTGCTTCCAAAAAGCCTGGAGTATACATTTTTCCTTTCCTTCAGGCACCAGCTTGGCTCAGAACAGCATGAGTCTTTATTTAAAATTTGCGATTTTGTTCACCTTGAATTTTTTGCGTTAATTTTGATACGTTAAATAATTGCATTAAAATACTATTTATCTTGATATGAAGGGGGTTTTATGGGCACCCACTTAAAATTTTGCACCCAAAAGTGAGTCCCTCTTTTGCCTCACCCTAATCCCAGCCTTGCAGAATAAGGGTACAGGAGGCCAAACCTAGGCTGAGTGTGAAGGAGGGCTCCCCCAGGGATGTGACAATGAATGTCAATCCTGGTGGAAGATGACACAGTTAGAACTGTAGAGGGCTCTGCCTACAGTTAAACCCTGGGCCAGGAAGGAGCTTGCTAAAGAATAACGATAAGAACTGCAAACACAGACATTATGCTAGTATGCAGAGGCACTGTCCTAGCAGACATTCATTTGATTCTCACTACAAACTTATGTTGCTGGTATTATTGTTACAATTTTACAGACCAAAACTAGGACACAGAAAAGGTAAGCTAGTAGTTCAAAATCACAGAGCCATGAAGTGATCCAGCTAGAATGTGAATGCAGGCAATCTCGGGCCCAGTCCATCCTGGAAACCCTTCCTCTCTCTCACTCAGAGAGAAGTTTACATTGGCTAGGGTGGAGTGAGCCACCAGGAGGCTGCCATGAGTGGATAGTGAGATATAGGGCTGAAAGTTCCAGCCTTGTGAAGGTCCCAGTAGGAATTCTAAACCCTTGGAGGAAAAGTAACTGGTGCCATTTTAATGTTATTTTATTTTGCCTCTTTCTTCCCGCTATCATCTTTACAGTTGTCTTGTGCTTTAATCTTAGAAATCTGGAAATATTCTGTTCAGATGGTCCCTGGAAAGACGTAGAGCAGAGGTGTTTTATTCTAATTTACTTTATAATTTAAATGAGGGATGTCTCAGTCAAGACAGAGTGGATTCCAACACACTGCTAATGCAAAGCCTTGCCCGTACAGCCATGAGGTCAAGGGACCTACAGCAAACAAGAACCTCAGCATCGTCAGTCATTGACCGTATTCAACGACCCTTGTCTACAGGTAGTAACATACAGAGTGGTCAAGCACACAGGTTCTGGTATTAAATTGCCTTTGTCTTGACTTTGCAACCTTGGGCAAATTACTTAAAGCCTCTAAACCTCAGTTTTCTCACCTTTAAAATGGGGTGTCATCACAGTGTCTGTCATTACAGAGACTGGCTCAGCTGGTCACAAAACGCATTTTTCTCTTCTCCTAGCCCAGAGCTAGCCTATGCTTATTGCACAGATTCCCTTGCAATTTGGTGTGGCTGGGACTAAGTATTGGCCAAAAGAATGTGCACAGAAGCAATGGATACCACGTCCAGACCTGACTCATACAACCTCCTTTACTGCTGTCTGCTCTCT
Organism: Homo sapiens; assembly: GCF_000001405.40. NCBI lineage: Eukaryota > Metazoa > Chordata > Mammalia > Primates > Hominidae > Homo > Homo sapiens. Next base: position 127,574,608 of record NC_000008.11, read on the forward strand.
TTCTTCCTTTCTCTGTCTGCTGGCAGAATGCTGAGCCCCAGGGTGACTTCAGAAGCTGTGTGTTGAATACAGAGCATCTGTCAGCCGGAATCCCTGATTAAGTATGTGGAGACAGAGCTACTGTCTTGGACTAGGTTTCCTCCAAGTGGAGGCTGAGACAGGGATTAAAGTATATGTGATTCACTGAAGGAGGGATCTCAGGGAAAAGGAAGTGTAAAAAGCAGGAGAGGACAGGAAAAGGAACTAACCGAGTATGTGGTTTCAGCAGGGTACTAAGCTGCGGCAAGATTCCACAGGAGCCCTGGAGCTTGGATTCCACCAGAGCTGGGCCCACTTGGAAGCAAGTGGGGAGGGTGGCCTTAGTACCTGTATCAGGCAGTAATTGGCTAAAGGCCACCACTGCCACCCCACGAGGTGGGAGGTGTGACCTCCTGGGTGAGGCAGACCCATCTCTCCTCCCCCAGCCATTCTGCAGAAAGCAATTTTCTGAAAAGCGGGGTAGCAGTGAGCCCCTTGTACCAGCGGAGGCCTGGGCGCTGGGTAGGGCTCCAGTAGCACCCACTATAGACATCCCACTTCCCAATCAGGAATTCCTGATTTATGAGAGCAATAAATTAAGTTCATTTTCTTAAGCCTCCATGATTTCTGGGTTTCTATGTATCATTGTAAGGAACGTAAGCAATACTGTGTACTTCATGGGGTTATGTAACGATTAAATGAGATGCTGCATTTGAGTTGCTTAACATGTGGTACGTGTTCAATGACCATTAGCCACAATTAGTAATTATTGCCCTGTGGCAGGTAATAGAGATGGAGAAATATCTGTTCTGCCTTCTCTGGAGGGCCTCGTGGCCTTGTGGGCACAAGACAGATGGAAATTAATGATTACAGAAATACAGTAGGGACCATGTCTGAAATGTGCTCATAGCCACTCACACCTGCATCTACCCAGGAACAGAATAAAATGTTTCAAGCCAGAAGTGATGCTTGAGTTGACTTCTCAGGAATGAGCAGGTGCTCTCAAGCAGGCAAAAGAGAGAAGAGCACTTCCAGCAAAAGGGACATGCATTTATGCTATGTCCAAAGGCATTTCTTGTGCTCCGAGGTCTCTGTAGTATTCACACAAGTGTTGACCGTGCCTGTTGAATCAGTGACCTCTAGAGTTGAAGCCCACCTTCCACTTGGCTATATAATCCAGGACAGGTCATGAAACCTCTTGATCCGTGGCATCTACAGTTGTCAGGGGTGGGAGAGGGATAGTGACACCATCCCTCCCTCAAGCTTGAGATAAGGTTTTGATTCCAGAACTGGGCAGCATAATACCTTGCCATAGGGAGTGCTGGATTAATGTTAGCCCCTGATATGATTTGGCAGTGTGTGCACCCAAATCTTATCTTGAATTGTAGTTCCCATAATTCCCATGTGTTTTAAGAGGGATCCGGTGGGAGGTAATTTAATCAAGGGGATTGTTACCCTTGTGCCATTCTCATGATACTGAGAGAGTTCTCATGAGATCTGATGATTTTATAAGCGGCTTTCCCCACTTTTTCTCAGCACTTCTTCTTGCTGCTGGCATGTGAATAAGGACATGTTTGTTTCCCCTTCCACCATGATTGTAAGTTATCTGAGGCCTCCCAGACCAGCAGAACTGTGAATCAATTAACCTCTTTCCTTTATAAATTACCCAGTCTCATATATTTCTTCATAGCATCATGAGAATGGACTAATACAGCCCCCTCCTTTTTCTTGCATCCCCTCCAGCTCCATCCTTCCCCTGGTGGTCTCCCAGAGTGTCAACCTCAGGAGAACTTAGTTGGAACCAAAAGCTTCCACCTCCCAGCCTCCTTAAACCTCACCTTTCTCCTCTACATCAGTCCCAAACTAGAGGCTGAGCTACTTGCTAAGGGTCATACACTTTTCATCCACACTCCCATCTCCATTCTCCCACCAGTTCCTGTTCACAACCAAGTCCCCTTCTCCTTTCCCAGTCTTCCTCTTGCATGCTCCACTAGCTAGCAGAAGTTTGAGGAAGTATTTATGTGCAATGTACAAAGTGAGTTCCAGTTCCCTGACGGCCAGCTTTATTTTTAGCAGCCCTCCAGGCTCCTGCATGTCTCTTTCGAGCTCCTTGGCTTCCCGGTCTTTTCAGCAGGAGCAGAGATGTGCCTGGATACAAATAAGATACACACTCTGAGTCTTTTTTACCTAAATATTTGCAGCTCCCAACCAGCAAGTCTAATAGTCCAGCCTTCTCTCTGTGAACCTATTTTGTCTTCCCCACTCCTCAACTGCTTGTTTTTCCAGTTTTTGGATTACTGCCAGGAGCAATCATTTCCCTTTCCCCACAAAGGAGCAGAGAGATGCTTCCCTTTCCAAATACAGAGACACTGGAGCAGGAGGGGCTGCAGAACCATATTTGGCAATGGATCTCGGCTACGCTCCTGCAGGACAAGGAAAATCCAAGAGAGGAGACCCAAAAATAATAATAATAAATAAATAACAACAACAACAACAAAAAAACCTCACACAGGAGAAAAGGTTTAAGGCTTTAAGGACAAACATGTTGCTTAGAACCTAGGGGTTGGGCCTTATAAGTCCCCTTAACCCCAGCCAGGTAGCTGAAAACTGACATGGCTAAGCCCAAAACACAATAGACACAGCTCTGCTGTCCCCACTGTGTATGTGAGGGTCAGTCCACTGGGGCTGTAGGTAAGCCCGTGGCTCTGGAGTACCTGCCAGACTTGTGCCCTTAACCTTCATTCAAGGTACACAACCTGTCTGAGCCTGTTTTCTCATCTGCAAAATGAGATAATTAATGATGCCTTCCTTGCAGGTTTCCTGTGAGCATTCAATATGATGATTACAGAAGGTACTTATCACTGAGCACTGCTCCATCCACTGCCAGCGCTTAGTAAGGGGTTGTTGTTATGATTTTCATTTTTTACATTCATTTGCTACAAAAACCCTGGAAACTCTTCCCAAGAAATGGGAACTCCTGAATAGGATGATTGGCTTCTCCTTTTTTTTTTCTTGGCAGCCCCAGAACTTAGCATAGCATAGTATCGTACACTCAATGTTGGCTGAAGATGAAAAGGCAGAAGATACCATTCCTAGTTCATAGATCAGGTCTAAGGAATAAGGGAACCCCAGTTTGTATGCCTCCAGCCCCTGTCTTTTCACTAAGCCATGCTTATCCTGAGCTGTCTCACTTACAAAAATGATTTGTAGAGACAGGTAAAGTTATAACAGGTGTTTGTCTGAGGGATCAAGAGGGCTGGGGGTGCTTCCATTTCAGACCAGAAACAGGCAGGTGCCAGCTGGTGATTTCTTGTCCTACACAGGTGTTCTGCATTGCCAGTTCTACCCCTTGGAATGTCTCAGCTGGACATTCACCTACTCATTCATTCACTCGTTCTTTCACTCATTCATTCATCAAGGAGTGATTGCAAACCTGGGAGCAGAGGAGACAAAAGGCAATGAGACATGGGCTGTACCTTCTTGAAGCTCACAGTCTACCAACAGACACAGCCTGTAAATAAGCAATTGCTGCATACAGAGATGAAGGTTTTAAAGAAGGTTTGCTTGTGGTCCAACTAGAGATGGTGGAGTAAGAGGTCAGAACTACTTTGGGGGCAAGAACAGGGGTCGGTGAGGACTTTATCCAGAAGTAAAGGCTGGAGCTGGCTGGGACCTCATTGAGTGAACAGGATGAAGAAGACATTACCAGCTGAGAAAACAGACAAAGGCACAGAGGCATGGCTGAGAAGAAAGCATTAAGAAGACCACAAACAGCCAGGTGTGATGGTGCATGTCTGTAGTCCCAGCTACTCAGGAAGCTGAGGCCAGAGGATTACTTGAGCCCAGGAGTTTTAGGCTACAGTGAGCAACAATTACACCACTGCACTCCAGCCTGAGCAACAGGGCAAGACTCTGTCTCAAAAAACAAATAAACAAACAAAAGAAACAAACAACTGGGAATGCCATACACCTGGGAAGAGTTAGGAGCAATGCAGCTGGAGAAGGCAGCAGAAACAGGCTGAGCAAGCCTCATGGGCTTTATCCTGAAGGCAGCTGTGGACCACTGAAGATTTTCAGGCAGGGAAATGATACGACAGATTTGCATTTTAGGAACAAGGTGAGCCTTTCTGATCCATGTATGAACTCATCAGGCCCACTTAAGTGAAGCTGTGCTCTATGTTTTTCTTCTGACTCTCAGCAGCATTTGTCACTGGAGGCCATCTCCCTTTCTTTGTATTCGGGGATGGAGCGCGAGCTTGATTCTCCTCCCACCTCTCAGATCGTGTCTTCTCAGCAAGTTCCTGTTTCACCAGGAATTTCCAAACATGCATGTCTCCCAGTTTTTCTGCCAAAAACTAACGGCCTTCATTTTCTCTCTGCTCTGTCTCTTGGGAATCTCAACCACACCTGCAGCTTCAACATTTTTTTTTTTTTTTTTTTTTTTTTTTTTTTTTTTTTTGAGATGGAGTCTCGCTCTGTCGCCCAGTCTGGAGTGCAGTGGCATGATCTCGGCTCACTGCAAGCTCCGTCTCCCGGATTCACACCATTCTCCTGCCTCAGCCTCCCGAGCAGCTGGAACTACAGGCGCCCGCCACCAAGCCCGGCTAATTTTTTTGTATTTTTAGTAGAGACGGGGTTTCACCGTGTTAACCAGGATGGTCTCCATCTCCTGACCTCGTGATCCGCCTGCCTCGGCCTCCCAAAGTGCTGGGATTACAGGCGTGAGCCACCGCGCCCAGCCGCTTCAACATTTTAAAGTACTTTGAAGGTGAGTCCTCAACCCAAATTTCCAACAGGGTTGTATGTATGATAGGGAGTCCCACAATGCTGCTAAATTGCCTAAACATTACTGGCTAACATTATAAAGTCTTTCCAGCAGAGCATATTTGTAGCCATATGTGAGAGTTTAGCTAAATCCTGTTTTATGTTAAGATTGTCACAAATGTATTAAAGTATTAAAGAGGTAAAAAGTAGCGTGGAGGCCGGGCGCGGTGGCTCACACCTGTAATCCCAGAACTTTGGGAGGCCGAGACAGGCAGATCACAAGGTCAGGAGTTCGAGACCAGCCTGGACAATATGGTGAAACCATGTCTCTACTAAAAATACAAAAATTAGCTGGGCGTGGTGGCACATGCCTGTAATCCCAGCTACTCGGGAGGCTGAAGCAGGAGAATCACTTGAACCTGGGAGGTGGAGGTTAAAGTGAGCCAAGATTGTGCCATTGCACTCCAGCCTGGGTGACAGAGTAAGACTCAGTCTCAAAAAAAAAAAAAAAAAAAAAGTAGTGTGGATACTGTTATACTCATCAAATAGATTCTTAGCCCTCTTCAGCAAGTATTTACTGAAAACGTACTCAATATACAACCCTGTGCTGGGCACTATGGAATATACAAAGGCAACCTTTCACACTCTCCTTTTCCTCAATGTGTTTTGACACCAGTGAGAACAGCAAGGGGCAATAGGACATTGTGACCCAGAGCACAAACTTTGGGCTTGACAAACTTAGGTTTGCATTCTTGCTCCTCACAAGCATAATCTTGGGAAAAGTTATTCCATTTCTTTTAAGTTCAGTTTCTTCATCTGTAAAATGGGGAACATAGTACGTCCCTCATAGACTGGTTTCAAGGATTTCATTCAATCAAAACTTAAAACATAATGCCTGGGATGTTGCAAGGACTCAATTCATGTGGTTGAAAAATATTCAGCCACTGTGAAAAAGTTTGGCAGTTCCTCATTAGAAGTTATCATGTGATCCAGTAAGTTCATCCCTAAGTATATACCCAAGGTAAATAAAAACATTTGTGCACACAAAACCTTGTATGATAGTGTTCATAGCAGCATTATTCACAGCAGTCAAAAGGTGACCCAACTGTCCATCAACAGATGAAAAATTGTGGTGTACACACATGGTAGAATATTCAGCAAGAAAAAGGAATGAAGTCCTGATATATGTCACAACATGGAGGGATCCCAGGAACATGATGTTAAGCTGAAGAAACCAATCACAGAGGATTACATATTGTATTTTTTCATTTTTATAAAATGTCCAGATGGCAAATCCAGACTGGGGAGAACACCACAGGGAATGGGAGAAGGAGACTAGAAGGCACTGCTTAATGGGGACAGGATCTCCTTTGGGGTAATGAAAATGTTCTAGATAGAAGTGGTAGTTGCACAACATTGTGGGTGTACTAAATGCCATGAATTATTCGTTTTAAAATGGTTGATTTTATGTCATGTAAATTTAATCTCAATTTTTAAAAAATGAATCTTTTTTGGCACTGAATGAATGAAAGCACATCATGCTTTTCCTGGTCCTAGGCTGGTCCTGGCTTTTATGTTGGCTTGAAATTTTGTGCATTGATTCTGTGTCCTGAAACTTCACTGAAGTTTAAAAACCATGGGGGCAAGGCAGGACCCCTGAGCTCCTCTGTAGTCCTCAGGTTCTAGCAGAAATTCAGTAGACAGTTCTTGCCTTTATGGAGCTTATAGATGGTAGGAGTGTTCCTAAGCTCTGAAGATAAGTTAACACCTTGTACCCACAATCTGCAACCTCTGTGCAAAACATTGTAAAGCTCTGAGTCTCAGTTTCTTCCTCAATGAAATAGAAGTAGTAATAATGCCAGCCTCAGAGTTGAGGTGAGGATTAAAGAGGGATGAATTAGTTTCCTAGAGTTGCCACCACAAATTTCCAGCAAGTAGGTGGCTTACAGCAACAGAAATGTATTCTCTCATAGTTCTGGAGGCTAAACACCTGAAATCAAAGTAATAGCACGGTCATGCTTTCTTTAGAAGCTCTAGGAGAGAATCCTTCCTGGCCTCTTCCAGCTTCTAGTGACTCCAGGCATTCTTTGGCTTATGGCTGCAATCTTTGCTCTAACTGCACAAGGCCTCTCCTCTTCTCTCTCTATCTCAAATCTCCTTCTACCCGTCTCTTTCACCCAGGCTGGTCTACCTGTCTCTTAATAAGCACATTTATCATTGGATGTAAGGCCTAGCCAGATAATCTAGGATAATCTTATCTAAAGATTTTTACCTTAATTACATCTGCAAAGATCCTATTTCTAAATTAGGTCACATTTACTCTTTCAGGAATTAGTACATAAACATATCTCTTGATGGGGGCGGGGAGCTACCATTCAATTCAACCCACTGTTGAAGAGATAATCCTGGTAAGTGCTTTTCTGGCACTTAGTGAATGTCAGATATGTTCTTATGATCATCGTCATCATTGTCTTCTTTATTATTCTGTGGCCATATCCCTGTATGTCTCTAGGACAGAGTCTAACTGAAATCTTCATCTCACTGGGGCTCCTCCCAGGCCACAGCCTTCCATCCTTTTTTAGGATGCTGGAGCCTTTTCTCGTCTCTCCCATTCCCTCGACCCCGGTCCAAATTCAATTCTCACTGGGATTATGCAGCTCTTCTCCCTCAACACTACCAACCACCTGAAGCCCCCCATTTCTGCGCCCACCCACTATTCTGAGATTCTGGGATCTTAATCCTGTTTGATCTGTTGGACTATATGCACTGGACTCTTCAGGTGCCCCTACAGAGCTGACCCTCCGCAGCCCAGTGGCTCTCTCCAACTCATTCCTTTTATTTGGGTCTTGCTCCCTCTTGGTTGAAGCCGAGGGAACAACACACATTCATCCTCAACTAGGGAGCTGATAAAAAGCAAAGACAGGGCTGGGCGCAGTGGCTCACGCCTGTAATCCTGGCACTGTGGGAGGCTGAGATGGGCAGATCATGAGGTCAAGAGACCTAGACCATCCTGGCCAACATGGTGAATCCCCATCTCTACTAAAAATACAAAAATTAGCCAGGCATGGTGGCACGTGCCTGTAGTCCCAGCTACTCTGGAGGCTGAGGCAGGAGAATCGCTTGAACCCAGGAGGTGGAGGTTGCAGTGAGCCAGGATCATACCAACGCACTCCAGACTGGGCAACAGAGCAAAACTCCATCTCAAAAAAAAAAAAAAAAAAAAAAAAAAAAAAAAAAAAGCCAGGCATGGTGGCTTATGCCTGTAATCCTAGCACTTTGAGAAGCCAAGGCTGGAGGATCACTGAAGACCAGCCTTGGCAACATAGTGAGATCCCACCTCTACAAAAGAAGTAAAAACTAGCCATGTGTGGTGCTGTGCATCTCTTGTCCCAGCTTTTGGGAGGCAGAGGCAGAAGTATAGCTTGAGCCCAGGAGTTCAAGCCTGCAGTGAGCTATTATTGAGCCACTGAACTCCAGCCTGGATGGCAGAGCGAGACCAAAAAAAAAAAAAAAAAACAATCAAAGGCCCAGGCTACATTTCCAAATCCAGTTAAATCAGAATTTCTGGGGATTGGGACCCAGGGATTTAGATAGATAGATAGATAGATAGATAGATAGATAGATATTTTATATCAAAATATGGGGTGGGTAGGCTCTAAATAATTATTATATATATTTTTATATATTGTGGTGGCAACTCTAGGAAATGAATTCATCCCTCTTTAATCCTCATCTCAACTCTGTTTCCAATGGGCAGCCAAGATAAAGAATGCCTACCCTGGGGCATAAGCACCCAAGAATGGCATTGCTCCATTTCTAAGCACTGGAAATTTTCAAGATGTATAAAATGTAGCTATTGCTTACTAAACAGTTCTGGAGCAGAAAGAGTTTTATGGGGGAAAGCCTGGGTCTTGGTGATAGGCTTGGAATCAAATCTTGCCACTTATTAAGCTGTGTGGCCCTGACCACGTTCCTTAATCCTTCTGAAGCTCTGTGTTCCTGTGCTTAGAATGGAGTTAATAATACTTATCTCACAGAACTGGTGTGCAGAAGTCATGAATATTAACATCTAGCAGTCTCTGCACCATAATAAGGAAGACTCAAATTCCTTCTCCTTCCCCTCCTCCCAGAAGTTACAAAAAGTTTAAATCAAATTGCAGACACCAAAAGTGTACCTTCTACCAAAGGTTTGTTGGTCCCAGGAAAGGGTTAATTGTTTAGTTTAGAGTCTTAGATATGTGTTCGCTAGATTAGAGGCAATTCCAGAAATCCACTCCCAGATGATTAAATTAGGGTGAGGAAAAACGGTGAGGCCGATTTGGCTGTGGCTTCGGGCTACTTGATGGTAATTTGACTAGGTTAACACAAACTGCAGCACACAGAGATTTGGCAGGCTACAAAAGCTGGTAGACGTGAAAGTTCTGGTGAGCTTTTTGGCAGAATCCTCCCTGTTTTCCCTGATCAAAGGAGAAAACCAGAAGGCCATGTGTCCAAGCTGCTTGATCTTCCTGAGCAGCCTTAAAGTTCCTGTTCCTGACCAGCCAATGTTTTCTCTGTTGTCCCTATAAAATCAAAAGCAGACTCCCCTGTGACACCGGAAGCCAGAACCCAACAGACTGGAAGTGAAGAATTCAGATTTTACAAATGCTCCCAGCATTGTCTCTGCATTTTGCCTTTTGCAGGAACACCCTGTGGTATTCTTCTTCCAAACTCAAACACATATGCCTTTCCCTTACATTTTCCATCTTTTTACCCTTCCATTAGCAGTTTGCAAACACTGCTATTGCAATTCTCCTCCCCGATGTATTATTCCATTCTCACGTTGTTATAAAGAACTGCCCAAGACTGGGCAATTTATAAAAGAAAGAGATTTAATTGACACGGTTTCACAGAACTGGGGAGGCCTCAGGAAACTTACAATGGTGGCAGAAGGGGAAGCAAACACATTCTTCTTTACGTGATGTCAGGAGAGAGAAATGCCAAGCAAAGGGGGAAAAGCCCCTTATAAAACCATCAGATCTCGTGAGAATTCACTCACTATCATGAGAACAGCAGCATGGGGGTAACTGTCCCCAAGATTCAATTACCTCCCACTGAATCCCTCCTATGACACTTGAGGATTATGGGAACTACAATTCAAGATGACATTTGGTTGGGGACACAGCCAAACCATATCACATGAGCTAATAAAGACAGAGTCATCTATAATGTCTCTCACACATCTTTTCCTCATCTCTTTGTCCCTGGTTCCCAGCAGAATGTCTGGTACTTTCATCCATTTATTCATTCAGTCAATATTTATGGCGTATCTGTTGTTTTCCAGGCACGGTACTTTACCCCTTGTGCATACTTAGTGCCTGCCACATAGAAGATAATCCACTGAATAATTGTTGAAGTAAATTAAGCTTATTTAGAGCCCACCCACCCTAATGAACTGGGTTGTAGATAATACGTTAGCAAAATTCCAGTGGGCCATGCATTCTCAGATATCCTGAGCAAAATGTATCATCTCATATGGAAGCTCATATCACTACCTCAAATCCTCACCATGAAAGCAATTTTAGAGTTCACTTAGACCACTGGATCCCAAATGTGGATCCCTAGGTGATTCTGATGCCAGAGTTGAAACCAGTCCAACCTCCCAACCAAAAATCATCTCCTTGCTACAGCTTCTCCAATGCAATTGGATAGTAGGTTCCAATGCCCTTCACATAATACCCAGCCACCTTACCAGGACCAACAAGGACCCGTAGGATCTGGTCCCTACCTGCTCTCATTGCCTAGTGCTCTGTCCCTCTGCTCACTACACCAGCCACACTGAGCTTCTCTCTGCTCCTGAGTGCACCAAGCTACTTCCAACCTCCAGGCCTTTGTCCTTTCTGGTCCTTCTGATCACTCAGGTCACACCTCAGAGGTTATTGTCTCAGAAATACCTTCTCTAGCCACCCAGTAAAGCACAATCTATTACACACACACGCACATAAAACACACACACACACACACACACAATACAGTCATTCTTTTACATTCCCTTTTATTGGGACAATGGCACCCATCACTAGCTACAATTACCTTTGTATCTGTCTGTTCACTTATTTATTGTCTGTCTCCACTACTAGGATGGAAATTTCATGAAGGCAGAGATCTTGGCCGGGTGCAGTGGCTCACACCTGTAATCCCGGCATCTTGTGAGTCCGAGGCAGGAGGATCACGAGGTCAGGAGTTCAAGACCAGCCTGGCCAAGATGGTGAAACCCTGACTCTACTAAAAATCCAAAAATTAGCCAGGCGTGGTGGTGGCTGCCTGTAAGCCCAGCTACTCTGGAGGCTGAGGCAGAGAATTGCTTGAATCTGGGAGGCAGAGGTTGCAGTGAGCCAAAATTGCACCACTGCACTCCAGCCTGGGCAACAGAGTGAGACTCCGTCTCAAAAAAAAAAAAAAAAAAAAAGAAAGAAAGAAAACAAGCAGAGATCTTTCATGTCTTTTTCACTACTGCATCTATGTCTAGTACATAGTAAATGTTTCATGAGCACTAGTTAAATTAATGAATCTGTCAGCAAATCATTCATTGTACTAAGGAAGGTGAACCTTCTACATCTGCTGCATGCCCCTAGTGATGGAGGGAGGCATCTCACCCCCGTTCAAGGCCACTCTATTCCACTGTGGGCCAGTTGAGATTATTAGAGAATTTTTCCCAGTGCCAAGCTGTCACCTGCCTCCCTCTTGCCTCCTGCCACTGGCTCTGCTTTAATTCCCTGTAGCTGCCCCCAACAAGCCTGGTCCTCCTGCATATGACAGTCCTTCAAATATTTGAAGACTGTTAAGTTTCCTCTCTGCCTTCTATTGTCCCAGTGAATGGCTTCCTGGAGATGTTGTCAAGAAACAAGGCTGTGTTTACATTTAATGACTGTGCCCATAAAACACTTCAGCTTCCTGAATCTGTAAACGGCCTGTGTTTTTATTTTCCAGGACAGCTGCCGACACACTGCCAGGGTGGGGCTTGCACTTGCATTTTCCCCATCTCCGAGCTGTCCCTGGGAAGAGTCCAAGGGTTGTCTTTACAGGCCGTGAGAAATATGCATCTGGAAATATCAATTTCTAAGAAAGGTACTTGTGAGCTCCTTAGAAGAAAAAAGTAAAAAAGGTGTGGGAGAAGAAGGAAGTCCCTACAGCAGCTCCCTGCAGGAAGGGGGTAATAAAAGAAGCATAGAATAGGTCTTCCTTAAAATTTTATCTTTGTCTCCTCCACCTGCTTTCCCCAATCACCCTTTCCAAAATAGCACATACGTCCCGCCACCACCACATTGTCGGGCACTTTTTATCCAGTTTCCAAGGCTTCATTTTCTTTACGGCTCATGCTATTTGTCTACTTATTTGTCTCCTTGTTATCAACTTGTAACTCATATGTTTATTTTGTTTCCCCAAGTAGAATGTAAGCTCCCTAAGGACAGGGAGCTGTCTGTCTTACATGGTATCTATCCTCAGTAGGAATATCTTGCCTGGAGCAATGTTGGTACTTAATAAACAATGAAAGGATGGATGAAAGAATGAATGAATGATTGTAAGATCTCAGGCAGGTCACCTGACCTCTGTGAACCTCAGTTTCCTCTTCTTTAGAATGGGATAGTGGGGAGGAGATAATCTCATCACTAGGTTGTTGTATGGATCAAATCTGAGGATACCTGGGGAAATGTTTCACCAGCTGTAACTCTGTCAAATATTCCTGGTCATTGTGTCACACACTGACATAGGGCTGGACTTATAAGCAGGAAAAGCTAATACTATCCCTTCAGTGTGACTTCAGGGGCCCAAATGACCCCTCGGAAGGTCTCCCTTATTGTTTAACCATCTGAAAATTCCATCATTAGGCATTCCTTTCAGTAAAGGCATCATGTTCCCACTAGAACAGAAATGCTTTCCTCAGTTTGAAGATGGGAGGGCAGAGATAATGGAGAAGAGATAGCTCACTTTCTCGTCATCTCAGCTACTCTCCTTTCAGCCCCCGAGTCTTGCTAACTTTTCCAACACTTCAGATGCATGATCCTGGATTACTTTTACTGCCAACAATTTTTGAAACAGAGGGATGGACTTCACTATCATCCACCTATCTTTCCAGCCTGGCTTAGGACTTCGGAGACATTTTCCATCTGGCTCTCAGTCATGTCCCAACACACATTCCATAGCAGGGGAACTTCAATGTGCAAGTGTTTCCTGTCCTGGTCTTGCCAAAAGAAAACTGGACTCCGAAGATGAGACTCAAGGCAAGGCTTTGGCCCAGACAGTCCCAGTAGGATTATCACTGTCTGGAAGCAGAGGTGGGGTATCCTCCATGCCTTTAGGAGTGGCGGCAAGAAGTAAACGTAGAAGAAACATTATACCAACTCCTCACGGCAATGCCTACCCTCTGGCCAACGCTTCCACCTACTTACTCTTCCTGATACCCTCCCTTCCTCTATCACATTCCAACCTTGATGCAGTTCATCCCCCAAAACTCATTCACTTATTTAACAGGCAGGGGTTCAGCTCCTGCTCTGAACTGGAAGCATATGTAATCATTGTCCTGAAAGGCCTCAGCATCAAGTGCGAGAAACAAAAGAAATGAAAGGGTGCTGCACAGTGTTAGAGGCATCTGTAACCAGGGTGTTAAGGTACTCAGAGGAGGAAAATAGAGGAAGGTCTTTTAATAAGATTTAGGAATGTCTGGGAATGCTTTTGAGAGGAGGGGGTAAAGTGAGTTTTAAAGAACAAGTGTAAATTAACCCAGAACAAAAGGGAGGAAGGGCATTGAAACTTGGAGAATAGAATATGCAAAATAAGAGTAGAGCATCTTCAAGGAAGTTCAAGGAGGTTGCTTTGGCTGGAGGGGAGAATGAGTGAGCCAAAAAGGGCCTAGAGAAGCAAAAAGGGTCAGTTGATGACAGCCTAGTAGAGTAGGCTAAGGGGTTTTGGCTTATATGATAGAATGTCATATCCCTTTTATCATAAAGAGAGAGCCACTGAAGGAATTTAGAAGTGATCAAAATTGCACTTAGGTTAATTACTGCAGCTATAGTCTGGAGGACACATTCTGAGGAAAAGGTTCAATAGAAGAGTGAAGAACAGGCTAGGCACAGTGGCTCACACCTGTAATCCCAGCACTTTGGGAGACCGAAGAGGGCAGATCACGAGATCAGGAGTTCAAGACCAGCCTGACCAACATAGTGAAACCCCATCTCTACTAAAAATACAAAAAATTAGCTGGGCATGTTGGCAGGCACCTGTAATCCCAGCTACTCAGGGGGCTGAGGCAGGAGAATCACTTGAACCAGGGAGGCTGATGTTGCAGTGAGTGGAGATGGGGCCACTGCACTCTAGCCTGGGTGACAGTGTGAGACTCCATCTCAAAAAAAAAAAAAAAAAGAAGAGTGAACAACAAATAAAAAGCTATGGTAAAATTCTCCTAAATGGTGGTGACTCCCGAAATAAAGCAGTGGCAGTTAAGGGGATGGGAGGGCGCTCAGTTTGGGGCATGTTGAGTCCAAGGGTTTTAGAGGCAGATGGACCTGGATCTTTACTTTGGCAGTGCCTTTGCTTAATGATGTGGCCATGCAAGGCAACAATCTTTCAACCCAGTCACTTGTTCTGGAAAGAAAGGATAGTAAGTTCCACCTTGCCAGGTTGTAAGAATCTGAGCTACAAATATCAAATGTACAGTACAGAGCCAGACTCACAGTAGGTCCTCAATGATGATAGCCTTTATGTATATCACAATTCCTGAGGGAGAGAGGACCATGATGCTGCATCTGCCAACCATCTGCATCACCAATGCCGAGTACAGCGGTTATAGACTATCC